>NC_000020.11:25720162-26348365 GCF_000001405.40 Homo sapiens | reverse complement strand
TGTGAAGATATTTCGTTTTTCACTATAGGCCTCAAAGTGCTCCAAATGATCACTTCCAGATACTACAAAAAGAGTGTTTCAAAACTGCTCTATGAAAGGGAATGTTCATCTCTGTGAGTTGAATGAAAGCATCACAAAGAAGTTTCTGAGAATGCTTCTCTCTAGTTTTTATGTGAAGATATATCCGTTTACAACGAAATCCTCAAAGATATACAAATATCCACTTGCAGTTTCTACAAAAACAGTGTTTCAAAACTCCTCTATCAAAAGGAAAGTTCAACTCTGTGAGTTGAATACACACATCACAAATGATTTTGTGAGAATTCCTCTGTCTAGCTTTTATGGGAAGATATTTCCTTTTTCACCTTAGGCCTCAAAGCGCTCCAATTTTCCTCTTACAGATTCTTCAAAATGAGTGTTTCAAAACTGCTCTAAAAAAAGGAACGTTTAAACTTGTGAGTTGAATGCAAGCATCACAAAGAAGTTTCTGAGAATGCTTCTGTCTAGTTTTTATGTGGAGATATACCCGTTTCCAGCGAAGGTCTCAAAGCTGTCCAAATATCCACTTGCAAATTCTACAAAAGAGTGTTTCCAATCTGCTCTATCAAAAGAAAGTTTCAACTCTGTTAAGTGAAGACACAAATCCCAAAGAAGTTTTTGAGAATGCTTCTGTCTAGTTTTATGTGAAGATATTCCCGTTTCCAACGAAATCCTCAATGCTGTTCTAATATGCACTTGTAAATTCTACAAGAAGAGTGCTTCAAAGCTGCTGTATCAAAGGACAGGTTTAACTCTTTGAGCTGAGTACACACATCAGAAATTAGTTTCTGAGAATTCTTCTGTCTATTTTTTATGTGAAGATATTCCCTTTTTCACCATAGGTTTCAAATCGCGCTAAATGTCCCATTTCAGATTCTACAAAAAGAGTGTTTCAAAACTGCTCTATGAAAAGGAATGTTCAACTCTGTGACTTGAATGCAAACATCACAAAAATTTTCTGAGAATTTTCTGAAGATATTCCCGTTTACAACGAAGGTCTCAAAGCTATCTAAACATCCACTTGCAGATCCTACAAAAAGAATGTTTCAAAACTACTGTATCAAAAGAAAGGTTCAACCCTGTGAGCTGAGTACACACATCACAAAAGTTTCTGAGAATTCTTCTGTCTAGTTTTTATGTGAAGATAATTCCTTTTTCACCATAGGTCCCAAAGCACTCCAAATGTCTACTTCCAGATACTGCAAAAGAGTATTTCAAAACTGCTGTATCAAAGGAAATGTTCAACTCTGCGAGTTGAGTACACACATCACAAAGAAGGTTCTGCGAATGCTTCTGTCTAGTTTTTATGTGAAGATATTTGTTTTTTCTACATAGTCCTCAAATCGCTCCAAATGTGCACTTCCAGATACTACAAAAAGAGTGTTTCAAAACCGCTCTATGAAAGAGAATGTTCAACACGGTGAATTGAATGCAAACATCACAAGGAAGTTTCTGAGAATACTTCTGTGCAGTTTTCTTGTGAAGATATTCCCGTTTCCAACGAAATCCTCAAAGCTATACAAATATCCACTTGCAGTTTCTATAAAAACAGTGTTTCATAACTGCTCTATCAAAAGAAAACTTCAAATCTGTGAGTTGAGTACACACAACACAAACGAGTTTCTGAGAATTCCTCTGTCTAGTTTTTATGGGAAGATATTTCCTTTTTCACCTTTGGCCTCAAAGCCCTCCAAGTTTCCTCTTACAGATTCTACAAAAAGAGTGTTTCAAAACTGCTCTTTGAAAAGGAATATTAAACTCTGTGAGTTGAATACAAGCATCACAAAAAGTTTCTGAGAACGTTTCTGTCTTGTTTTTATGTGAAGATATACCCGTTTCCAGGGAAGGTCTCAAAGCTGTCCAAATATCCTCTTGCAAATTCTACAAACAGAGTGTTTCCAATCTGCTCTATCAAAAGAAAGTTTCAACTCTGTGAGTTGAATGCATACATCACAAAGAAGTTTCTAAGAATGCTTCAGTCTAGTTTTATGTGAAGATATTCCCGTTTACAACGGAATCTTCAATGCAGTCCTAATATCCACTTGTAAATTCTACAAAAAGAATGTTTCAAACCTGCTATATCAAAGGAAAGGTTTAACTCTGTGAGTTGAGTACACACATCACAAAGAAGTTTCTGAGAATTCTTCTGTCTAGTTTTTATGTTA
This sequence comes from Homo sapiens, assembly GCF_000001405.40. Taxonomy (NCBI): domain Eukaryota; kingdom Metazoa; phylum Chordata; class Mammalia; order Primates; family Hominidae; genus Homo; species Homo sapiens. The sequence continues at coordinate 26,346,161 of NC_000020.11, read as the reverse complement.
AGATACTTCCTTTTTCAGCATAGGCCTCAAATCGCTCCAAGATTCCACTTACAGATTTTTCAAAAAGAGTGTTTCAAAAGTGCTCTATGAAAAGGAATGTTCAACTCTTTGAATTGAATGGAAGCATAACATAGAAGTTTCTGAGAATGCTTCTTTCTAGTTTTTATGTGAAGCTATTTCCTTTTTCACCATAGGCCTCAAAGCACTCCAAATGTCCACTTCCAGATACTACAAAAAGAGCGTTTCTAAACTTATCTATGAAACAGAATGTTGAAATCTGTGAGTTGAATGCAAACCTCACAAAGAAGTTTCTGAGTATGCATCAGTCTCGTTTTTAAGTGAAGATATTCCCGTTTTCAATGAAAGCCTCAAATCTATCCTAATATCTACTTACGGATTCTACAAAAAGAATGTTTCAATACTGCTCTGTGAAAGGGAATATTCATCTCTGTGAGTTGAATGCAAACATCTCTAAGAAATTTCTGGTAATGCTTCCGTATACTTTTTATGTGAAGATATTCCCGTTTCCAGCGAAGGCCTCAAAGTTTTCCAAATATCCACTTGCAGATTCTACAAAAAGAGTGTTTCAAAACTGCTCTATCAAAAGAAAAATTCAACTCAGTGAGATGAGTACACACATCACTGAGAAGTTTTTGAGAATTCTTCTGTCTCTTTTTTACGGGAAGATATTTCCTTTTTCACCATAGGCCTCAAAGCGCTCCAAGTTTCCAATTAGAGATTCTACAAAAAGAATGTTTCAAAACTGCTCTATGAAAAGGAATGTTCAACTCTGTGTTGAATGCAAGCATCACAAGGTAGTTTCTGAGAATGCTTCTGTCTAGTTTTTATGTGAAAATATACCCGTTTCCAGCGAAGTACACAAAGCCGTCCAAATATCCACTTGCAAATTCCACAAAAAGAGTGTTTCCAGTCTTCTCTATCAAAAGAAAGTTTCAACTCTGTGAGTTGAGTATACACATCACAAAGAAGTTTCTGAGAATGCCTCTGTCTAATTTTTATGTGAAGATATTCCGTTTCCAGTGAAAGCCTCAAATCTATCCAAATATCCTCTTGCAAATACTACAAATAGAGTATTTCAAAACTGCTCTATGAAAGGGAGTGTTCAATTCTGTGAGTTCAATGCAAACATCACAAAGAAGTTTCTGAGAATGCTTCTGTCTAGTTTTTATGTGAAGATATACCCGTTTCCAGCCAAGGCCTCAAAGCTTTCCAAATATCCACTTGCAAATTCTAAAAAATGGTGTTTCCAATCTGCTCTATCAAAAGAAAGTTTCAACTCTGTAAGTTGAATGCACACATCACTAAGAACTTTCTAAGAAAGCTTCTGTCTAGTTTTATGTGAAGATATTGCCGTTTCCAGCGAAATCCTCAGTGCTGTCTTAATATCCACATGTAAATTCTACGAGAAGGGTTTTTCAAAACTGCTGTATCAAAGGAAAGTTTTAACTCTGTGAGTTGAGTAAACACATCACAAAGTAGTTTCTGAAAATGCTTCTGTGTACTTTTTGTGTGAAGATATTTCCTTTTTCACCATAGGTCTCAAATCACTCCAAACGTCCACTTGCAGATTCTGCAAAAAGAGTTTTTCAAAACTGCTCTATGAAAAGGAATGTTCAACTCTGTGAGTTGAATCCAAACATCACAAAGAAGTTTCTAAGAATGTTTCTGTCTGCTTTTTATGTGAAGATATTTCCTTTTTCACCATAGGCCACAAAGTGCTCCAAGTTTCAACTTACAGATCTACAAAAAGAATGTTTCCAACCTGCTCTATGAAAGGGAATGTTCAACTCTGTGACTTGAATGCAAACATCACAAAGAAGTTTCTGAGAATGCTTCTGTCTAAATTGTATATGAAGATATTTCCGTTTCCAATGAAAGCCTCTAAGCTCTCCATATATCCACTTGCAGATTCTACAAAAAGAGTGTTTCAAAACTGCTGCATCAAAAGAAATGTTCAACTCTGTGAGTTGAGTACACACATCACAAAGAAGTTTCTGATAATACTTTTCTCTAGTTTTATATGAAAATATTTCCTTTTTCACCATAGGTGTGAAAGCGCTCCAAATGTCCACTTCCAGTTACTTCAAAAAGAGTGTTTCAAAACTGCTCCATGAAAGGGAATATTCTGCTCTGTGAGTTGAATGCAAACATCACAAAGTATTTTCTGCGAATGCTTCTGTCTAGTTTTTATCTGAAGATATTCCCGTTTACAACGAAATCCTCAAAGCTATCCAATTATCCCCTTGCAAATTCTACAAAAGAGTGTTTTAAAACTGCTCTATCAAAAGAAGAGTTCAAATCTGTGAGTTGAGTACACACATCACATAGTAGTTTCTGAGAATTCTTCTGTCTATTTTTTATGGGAAGGTATTTCCTTTTTCACCATAGGCCTCAAGGCGCTCTAATTTTCCTCTTACAGATTCTACAAAAAGGTGGTTTCAAAACTGCTTTATGAACAGGAATGTTCCCCTCTATGAGTTGAATGAAAGCATCACAAAGAAGTTTCTGAGAATGCTTTGGTCTAGTTTTTATGTGAAGATATACCCGTTTCCAGCGAAGGCCTCAAAGCTGTCCAAGTATCCACTTGAAAATTGTACAAAACAGTTTTTCCAATCTGCTCTATCAAAAGAAAGTTTCAACTCTCTGAGTTGAATGCACACATCGTAAAGAAGTTTCTGAGAATTCTTCTGTCTAGTTTTATGTGAAGATATTCCCATTTCCAACGAAATCCTCAATGCTGTCCTTATATCCACTTGTAAATTCTACAAGAAGAGTGTTTCAAATCTGCTATATCAAAGGAAAGTTTTAACTCTGTGTGTTGAGTGCACACATCACAAAGTAGTTTCTGAGAATGATTCTGTCTACTTTTTGTGTGAAGATATTTCCTTTTTCACCATAGGTCCCAAATCGCTCCAATTGTCCACTTGCAGATTCTACAAAAATATTGTGTCAAATCTGCTCTATCAATAAGAATTTTCAACTGTGTGAGTTGAATGCAAATATCACAAAATAGTTTCTGAGAATGCTTCTGTCTATTTTTTATGTGAAGAAATTTCCCTTTCAACCATAGGCCCCAGATATACAATCATGTCGTCTGCAAACAGGGACAATTTGACTTCCTCTTTTCCTAATTGAATACCCTTTATTTCCTTCCCCTGCCTAATTGCCCTGGCCAGAACTTCCAACACTATGTTGAATAGGAGTGGTGAGAGAGGGCATCCCTGTCTTGTGCCAGTTTTCAAAAGGAATGCTTCCAGTTTTTCTCCATTCAGTATGATATTGGCTGTGGGTTTGTCATAGATAGCTCTTATTATTTTGAAATACTTCCCATCAATAACTAATCTATTGAGAGTTTTTAGCATGAAGGGTTGTTGAATTTTGTCAAAGGCTTTTTCTGCATCTATTGAGATAATCATGTGGTTTTTGTCTTTGGCTCTGTTTATATGCTGGATTACATTTATTGATTTGCGTATATTGAACCAGCCTTGCATCTCAGGGGTGAAGCCCATTTGATCATGGTGGATAAGCTTTTTGATGTGCTGCTGGATTCGTTTTGCCAGTATTTTATTGAGGAATTTTCCCATCGATGTTCATCAAGGATATTGGTCTAAAATTCTCTTTTTCTGTTGTGTCTCTGCCTGGCTTTAGTATCAGAATGATGCTGGCCTCAAAAAAACTACTTTAAAGTTCATATGGAACCAAAAAAGAGCCCGCATCACCAAGTCAATCCTAAGCCAAAAGAACAAAGCTGGAGGCATCACACTACCTGACTTCAAACTATACTACAAGGCTACAGTAACCAAAACAGCATGGTACTGGTACCAAAACAGAGATATAGATCAATGGAACAGAACAGAGCCCTCAGAAATAATGCCACATATCTACAACTATCTGATCTTTGACAAACCTGAGAAAAACAAGCAATGGGGAAAGGATTCCCTATTTAATAAATGGTGCTGGGAAAACTGGCTAGCCTTATGTAGAAAGCTGAAACTGGATCCCTTCCTTACACCTTATACAAAAATCAATTCAAGATGGATTAAAGACTTAAACGTTAGACCTAAAACCATAAAAACCCTAGAAGAAAACCTAGGCATTACCATTCAGGACATAGGCATGGGCAAGGACTTCATGTCTAAAACACCAATAGCAATGGCAACAAAAACCAAAATTGACAAATGGGATCTAATTAAACTAAAGAGCTTCTGCACAGCAAAAGAAACTACCATCAGAGTGAACAGGCCACCTACAAAATGGGAGAAAATTTTTGCAACCTACTCATCTGACAAAGGGCTAATATCCAGAATCTACAATGAACTCAAACAAATTTACAAGAAAAAAACAAACAACCCCATCAAAAAGTGGGCGAAGGACATGAACAGACACTTCTCAAAAGAAGACATTTATGCAGCCAAAAAACACATGAAAAAATGCTCATCATCACTGGCCATCAGAGTAATGCAAATCAAAACCACAATGAGATACCATCTCACACCAGTTAGAATGGCAATCATTAAAAAGTCAGGAAACAACAGGTGCTGGAGAGGATGTGGAGAAATAGGAACACTTTTACACTGTTGGTGGGACTGTAAACTAGTTCAACCATTGTGGAAGTCAGTGTGGCGATTCCTCAGGGATCTAGAACTGGAAATACCATTTGACCCAGCAATCCCATTACTGGGTATATACCCAAAGGACTATAAATCATGCTGCTATAAAGACACATACACACGAATGTTTATTGCGGTATTATTCACAATAGCAAAGACTTGGAACCAACCCAAATGTCCAACAATGATAGACTGGATTAAGAAAATGTGGCACATATACACCATAGAATACTACGCAGCCATAAAAAATGATGAGTTCATGTCCTTTGTAGGGACGTGGATGAAATTGGAAATCATCATTCTCAGTAAACTATCGCAAGAACAAAAAACCAAACACTGCATATTCTCACTCATAGGTGGGAATTGAAAAATGAGATCACATGGACACAGGAAGGGGAATATCAAACTCTGGGGACTGTTGTGGGGTGGGTGTAGGGGGGAGGGATAGCATCGGGAGATATACCTAATGCTAGATGATGACTTAGTGGGTGCAGCGCACCAGCATGGCACATGTATACATATGTAACTAACCTGCATAATGTGCACATGTACCCTAAAACTTAAAGTATAATAATAAAAAAAAAGATCCTTGCAATGTCACCAAGGAAGGCAATATATATAAGTGAATCACATACACAGCTGTACAAATGTGTGCCCATATATAGGCAAAAAAAAGATAGTTATGACTGTGATCCTGAACAGACTTACAGCTATATTATCTACTTTAATCACAAAATAAAGCAATTTGGAATGAATGAAAAAAAAAAACCATAGGCCCCAAAGCACTCTAAGTAAACACTTGCAAATTCTACAAAAAGAGTGTTTCAAACTGCTGTATCAAAGGAAATGTTAAGCTCCGCGATTTGAACGCACACGTCACAAAGTAGTTTCTGAGAATGATTCTGTCTAGTTTTTCTATGAAGATATTTCCTTTTCTACCATAGGCCTCAAAGAGCTCTAAATATACACTTGGAACTTCTTCAAAAACAGTGTTTCAAAACTGCTCTATCGAAAGGAAGTTTCATCTCTGTGAGTTCAATGCACACATCACAAAGAAGTTTCTGAGAATTCTTCTGTCTAGTTTTATATGAAGAAATCCCGTTTCCAAAGAAGGCCTCAAAGAGGTCCAAATATCCACTTGCAGATTCTACAAAAAGAGTGTTTCAAAACTGCTCTATCAAGAGGAATGTTCAACTTTGTGAGTTGAATGCAAACATCACAAAATAGTTTCTGAGAATGCTTCTGTCTAGTTTTTATGTGAAGAAATTTCCTTTCCAACCATAGGTCCCAAAGCACTCTAAATAAAAACTTGCAAATTCTACAAAAAGAGTGTTTCAAAACTGCTCTATCAAAAGAAAGGTTAAACTCTGTGAGTTGAACGCCCACATCACAAAGTAGTTTCTGAGAATCATTCTGTCTAGTTTTTATATGAAGATATTTACTTTTCAACCATAGGCCTCAAACCGCTCTAAATATCCACTTGGAAATTCCACAAAAAGAGTGTTTCAAAACTGCTCTATTGAAAGGAATGTTCAACTCTGTGAGTTGAATGCACACATCACAAAGAAGTTTCTGAGAATTCTTCTGTCTAGTTTTATATGAAGAAATCCCGTTTCCAATGAAGGCCTCAAAAAGGTCCAACCATCCACTTGCAGATTCTACAAAAACAGTGTTTCAAAACTGCTCTACCAAGAAGAATGTTCAACTCTATGAGTTGAATGCAAATATCAGAAAGTAGTTTCTGACAATCCTTCTGTCTAGTTTTTATGTGAAGATATTTCCTTTTCTACCATATTCCTCAAAGCGCTCTAAATACACACTTGCAAATTCCACAAAGAGTGTTTCAAAACTGCTCTATCAAAAGAAACTTTAAACTCCTCTGTAAGCTGAACGCACACATCACAAAATAGTTTCTGAGAATTATTCTGTCTAGTATTTTTATGAAGATATACCCTTTTCTACCATAGACCTAAAAGCATTCTAAACATACACTTGCAAATTCTACAAAAAGAGTGTTTCAAAACTGCTCTATCAAGAAGAATGTTCAACTCTATGAGTTGAATGCAAATATCACGAATTAGCTTCGGAGAATGCTTCTGTCTAGTTTTTATGTGATGATATTTCCTTTTCTACCATTGGCCTCAAAGCACTCTAAATATACACTTGCAAATCCTACAAAAAGAGTGTTTCAAAACTGCTCTATCAAAAGAAAGGTTAAACTTTGTGAGTTGAACGCACATATCATGAAGACGTTTCTGAGAATTCTTCTGTTTAGTTTTATATGAAGAAATCTCGTTTCCAACGAAGGCCTCAAAGAGGTCCAAATATCCACTTGCAGATAATTCAAAATAGAGTTTCAAAACTGCTCTATCAAGGGGAATGTTCAACTCTGTGAGTTGAATGCAAACATCACAAAGTAGTTTCTGAGAATGGTTCTGTCTGGTTTTTATGTGAAGATATTTCCTTTTCTAACATAGGCTTCAAAGCTCTCTATATATACACTTGCAATCACTACAAAAAGAGTGTTTCAAAACTGCTCTATCAAAGAAAGGTTAAACTCCGTGAGTTAAACGCACAGATCACAAAATAGTTTCTGAGAATTCTTCTGTCTAGTTTTATATGAAGAAATCCCGTTTCCAATGAACGCCTCAAAGAGGCCAAAATATCAACTTGCAGATTCTACAAAAAGAGTGTTTCAAAACTGCTCTATCAAGAGGAATGTTCAACTCTGTTAGTAGAGGGCACACATCACAAAATAGTTTCTGAGAATGCTTCTGTCTTGTGTTTATATGAAGATATTTCCTTTTCTACCCTAGGCCTAAAAGCCCTCTAAATACACACTTGCAAATTCTACAAAAAGAGCGTCTCAAAACTGCTCTATCAAAAGAAATGTTAAACTCTGAGAGTTGAAAGCACACACCACAAAGTAGATAATGAGAATGATTCTCTCCAGTTTTTCTATGAAGATATTTACTTTTCTACCATAGGCCTCCAAGCACTCTAAATATTCATTTGGAAATTCTACAAAAAGAGTGTTTCAAAAATGCTCCATTGAAAGGAAGTTTCAACACTGTGAGTTGAATGCACACATCACAAAATGTTTCTTAGAATTCTTCTGTCTTCTTTTCTATGAAGAAATCCCGTTTCCAACGAATGCCTCAAAAAGTTTCAAATATTCACATGCAGATTCTACAAATAAAGTGTTTCAAAACTGCTCTATCAAGAGGAATGTTTAAATCTGTTAGTGGAATGCAAACATCACAAAGTAGTTTCTGACAATTCTTCTGTCTAGTTTTTATGTGAAGATATTTCCTCTTCTACCATAGGCCTCAAAGCACTCTAAATATGCACTTGCAAATACTACAAAAACTGTGATTCAAAACTGCTCTACCAAAAGAAATATTAAACTCTGTGAGTTGAATGCAAACATCACAAAATAGTTTCTGAGAATGCTTCTGTCTGGTTTTTATGTGAAGATATATCCTTTTCTTCCATAGGCCTCAAAGCACTCTAAATATACCCTTGCAAATTCTACAAAAAGAGTGTTCCAAATCTACTCCATCAAAATAAATGTTAAACTCTGTGAGTTGAATGCACACATCACAAAGAAGTTTCTGAGAATTCTTCTGTCAAGTTTTATGTGAAGAAAGCCCGTTTCCAATGAAGGCCTCAAAAAAGTCCAAATATTCACTTGCAGATTCCACAAAAAGAGTGTTTCAAAAGTGCTCTATCAAGAGGAATGTTCAACTCTGTGAGTTGAATGCAAACATCACAAAATACTTTCTGACAATGCTTCTGTCTGTTTTTTATGTGAAGATAAATCCTTTTCTTACATAGGCCTCAAAGCACTCTAAATATACACTTGCAAATTCTACAAAAGAGAGTTTTAAAACTGCTCTATCAAAAGAAAGGTTAAACTCTGTGAGTTGAACGCACACATCATAAAGTAGTCTCTGAGAATCATTCTGTCTAGTTTTTATATGAAGATATTTACTTTTCTAACATAGGCCTCAAGCCGATCTAAATATCCACTTGGAAATTCTACAAAACGAGTGTTTCAAAACTGCTCTATCGAAAGGAAGGTTCAACTCTGTGAGTTGAAAGCACACATCACAGAGAAGTTTCTGAGAATTCTTCTGTCTAATTTTATATGAAGAAATCCCATTTCCAACGAAGGCCTCAAAGATGTCCAAATTTCCACTTCCATGTTCTACAAAAAGAGTGTTTCAAAACTGCTCTATCAAGAGGAATGTTCAGCTCTGGGAGTTGAATGCAAACATCACAAAGTAGTTTCTGAGAATGCTTCTGTCTAGTTTTTATGTGACGATATTTCCTTTTTTACAATAGGCCTCAAAGCGCTGTAAATATACACTTGCAAATTCTACAAAAAGAGTGTTTCAGAACTCCTCTATCAATAGAAAGTTTAAACTCTGTGAGTTGAACGCACACATTCCAAAAGAGTTTCTGAGAATTCTTCTGTCTAGTTTTATATGAAGAAATCCCGTTTCCAATGAAGGCCTTAAAGGGGTCCAAATATCCACTTGCAGAATCTACAAAACGAGTGTTTCAAAACTGCTCTGTCAAGAGGAACGTTCAACTTTGTAAGTTGAATACAAACATCACAAAGTAGTTTCTGAGAATGCTTCTGTCTAGTTTTCATGTGAATGTATTTCCTGTTCTACCATTGGCCTCAAAGCACTCTAAATATGCACTTGCAAATACTACAAAAACTGTGTTTCAGAACTGCTCTATCAAAAGAAATGTTAAACTCTGTGAGTTCAACACACAAATCACAAAGTAGTTTCTGAGAATGATTCTGTTTAGTTTTTCTATGAAGATATTTCCTTTTCTACCATAGGCCTCCAAACGCTCTAAATATCCACTTGGAAATTCTACAAAAAGATTGTTTCAAAACTACTCTATCAGAAGAAAGGTTAAACTCTATGAGTTGAACCCACACATCAAAAAGCAGTTTCTCAGAAAAATTCTGTCTAGTTTTTCTATGAAGATATTTCCTTTACTACCACAGGCCTCAAAATGCTCTAAATATCCATTTGGAAATTCAACAAAAAGAGTGTTTCAAAACTGCTCTATCGAAAGGAAGGTTCATATCTGCGAGATGAATGCTCACTTCACAAAGAAGTTTCTGCGAATTCTTCTGTCTAGTTTTATATGAAGAAATCCCATTTCCAACGATAGCCTCAAAGAAGTCCAAATATCCACTTGCAGATTGTACAAAAAGAGTATTTCAAAACTACTTTATTAAGAGGAATGGACAAATCAGTGAGTTGAATGCAAACATCACGAATTAGTGTCTGAGAATGCTTCTGTCCAGTTTTTATGTGAATATATTTCCTTTTCTAACATAGGCCTCAAAGCACTATAAATGTACACTTGCAAATTCCACAAAAAGAGTGTTTCTAAACTGCTCTATCGAAAGGAAGATTAAACTCCGTGAGTTGAAAGCACACATCACAAAGTAGATTCTGAGAATTCTTCTGTCTTGTTTATATGAAGAAAACCCGTTTCAAAGAATGCCTCTAAGAGGTCCAAATATCCACCTGCAGATAATACAAAAAGAGGGTTTCCAAACTGCTCTATCAAGAGGAATGTTGAACTCTTTGAGTTGAATGCAAACATCACAAGGTACTTTCTGAGAATGCTTCTCTCTAGTTTTTAAGTGAAGGTATTCCCGTTTCCAACGAAAGCCTCAAAGCTATCCAAATATCCACTTACAGATTCAACAAAAAGAGTGTTTCAAAACTGCTGTATCAAAAGAAAGTTTCAAATCTGTTAGTTGAGTACACACATCACAAAGAAACTTCTGAGAATGTTTCTGTCTAGTTTTTATGTGAACATATTTCCTTTTTCACCACAGGCCTCAAAGAGCTCCAATTTTCCACTTACAGATCTACAAAAAGAGTGTTTCAAAACTGCTATGAAAAGGAATGTTCAACTCTGTGAGTTGAATGCAAACATCACAAAAAAGTTTCTGAGAATCCTTCTGTCTAGTTTTTATGTGAAGATATTCCCGTTTCCAACGAAAACCTCAAATCTATCCAAATATCCACATGCAGATTCTACAAAAAGAGTGCTTCAAAACTGCTTTATCAAAACAAAGGTTCAACTACATGAATTGAGTACACACATCACAAAGTAGTTTCTCAGAATGCTTCCGTCTAGTTTTTATGTGAAGATATTTCCTTTTTCACCATAGGTCTCAAAGCGTTCAAAATGTCCACTTCCAGATACTGCAAAAAGAGTTTTTCAAAACTGCTCTATGAAAGGGAATGTTCAACTCCGTGAGGTGAATGCAAACATCACAAAGAAGTTTCTGAGAATGCTTCTGTCTAGTTTATATGTAAAGATATTCCCGTTTCCAATGTAATCTTCAAAGCTAACAAAATATCCACTTGCAGACACTGCAAAAAGAGTGTTTCAAAACTGCTCTATCAAAAGAAAAGTACAACTCTGTGAGTTGAGTACACACATCACAAAGAAGTTTCTGAGAATTCTTCTGTCTAGTTTTTATAGGAAGATATTTCCTTTTTCACCACAGGCCTCAAAGCGCTCCAAGTTTCCACTTACAGATTCTACAAAAAGGTTGTTTCAAAACTGCTCCATGAAAAGGAAAGTTCAACACTGTGAGTTGAATGGAGGCATCAGAAAGAAGTTTCTGAGAATCCTTCTGTCTAGTTTTTATGTGAAGATATTCCCGTTTCCAACGAAAGCCTCAAAGCTATCCAAATATCCACTTGCAGATTCTACAAAAAGAGTGTTTCTAAACTACTGTATCAAGAGAAAGTTTCAACTCTGTAAGTTGAGTACACACATCACAAAGAAATTTCATGGAATGCTTCTGTCTAGTTTTATGTGAAGATAATCCCATTTCCAATGAAATCCTCAATGCTCTCCTAATATCCACTTATAAATTCTACAAGAAGAGTGTTTCAAAACTGCTGTATCAAAGGAAAGTTTAACTCATTGAGTTTAGTGCACACATCAAAAAGCAGTTTCTGAGAATGCTTCTGTCTACTTTTTATGTGAAGATATTTCCTTTTTCACCATAGGTCTCAAATCGCTCCAAATGTCCACTTGCAGATTCTACAAAAAGAGTGTTTCAATACTACTCTCAGGAAAGGAATGTTCAACTCTGTGAGTTGAATGCAAATATCCCAAAGAACTTTCTGAGAATGCTTCTGTCTAGTTTTTTTGTGATGATAGTCCCTTTTCCAAAGAAAGCCTCATATCTATCCAAATATCCACATGCAGATTCCACAAAAAGACTGTTTCAAAACTGCTGTATCAAAAGAAAGTTTCAACTCTGTGAGTTGAGTACACACATCTCAAAGAAGTTTCTGAGAATGCTTCTGTTTAGTTTTTATGTGAAGATATTTCCTTTTTCACTATAGGTCTCCAATCGCTCCAAATGTCCTCGTGCAGATTCTACAAAAAGAGTGTTTCAAATCTGCTCTATGAAAAGGAATGTTCAACTCTGTGAGTTGTATGCAAACATCACAAAGAAGTTTCTGAGAATGGTTGTGTACTGTTTATATGTGAAGATATTCACGTTTCCAACGAAAGACTCAAAGGTATCCAAATATCCACTTGCAGATTCTACAAAAAGAGTGTTTCAAAACTGCTCTATCAAAACAAAGATTCAACTGTGGGAATTGAGTACACACATCACAAAGTAGTTTCTGAGAATGCTTCTGTCTAGTTTTTATGTGAAGATGTTCCCTTTTTCACCGTAGACCTCAAAGCCCTCCAAATGTTCACTTCCAGATACTACAAAAAGAGGGTTACAAAACTGCTCAATGAAAGGGAGTGTTCAACTCTGTGAGGTGAATGCAAACTTCACAAAGAAGCTTCTGAGAATGCTTCTGTCTAGTTTTTATGTGAAGATATTCCCGTTTCCAACGAAATCCTCAAAGCTATCCAAATAGCCACTTGCAGATCCTTCAAAAAGAGTTTTTCAAAACTGCTCTATCAAAAGAAAGGTTCATCTCTGTGAGTTGAGTACACACATCACAAAGAAGTTTCTGAGAATGCTTCTGTCTAGTTTTTATGTGAAGGTATACCCTTTTACAGCGAAGGCCCCAAATCTGTCCAAATATCCTCTTGCAAATTCTACAAAAAGAGTGTTTCAAATATGCTCTATCAAAAGAAAGTTTCAACTCTGTGAGTTCAATGCACACATCACAAGGAAGTGTCTGAGAATGTCTGTGAGATCATTGCAGACATCCAAATAAGTGTCTGAGAATGCTTCTGTCTAGTTTTATGTGAAGATATTCCCGTTTCTAACGAAATCCTCAATGCTCTCCAATATCCACTTGTAAATTCAACAAAAAGAGTGTTTCAAAACTGCTGTATCAAAGGAAAGGTTTAACTCTTTGAGTTTAGTACACACATCGCAAAGTAGTTTCTGAGAATGCTTCTGTCTACTTTTTATGTGAAGATATTTCCTTTTTTACCATTGGTCTCAAATAGCTCCTAATGTCCACTAGCAGATTTTACAAAAAGAGTGTTTCAATAGAGCTCTATGAAAAGGAATGTTCAACTCTGTGAATTGAATGCAAACATCACAAAGAAGTTTCTGAGAATGATTTTGTCTAGTTGTTTTGTGATGATATTCCCGTTTCCAATGAAAGCCTCAAAGCTATCCAAATATCCACTTGCAGACTCTACAAAAAAAGTTTTTCAAAACTGCTGTATCAAAAGTAAGGTTCAACTCTGTGAGTTGAGTACACACATCACAAAGCAGTTTCTGAGAATGCTTCTGTCTAGTTTTTATGTGAAGATATTTCCTTTTTCACTATAGGTCTCAAATCGCTCCAAATGTCCACTTGCAGATTCTACAAAAAGAGTGTTTCAAAACTAGACTATGAAAAGGAATGTTTAACTCTGTGAGTTGAATGCAAGACTCACAAACAAGTTTCTGAGAATGCTTGTGTCCAGTTTTTTGTGAAGATATTCACGTTTCCAGCAAAAACCTCAAAGCTATCAAAATATCGATTTGCAGATTCTACAAAAAGAGTGTTTCAACACTGCTGTATCAAAAGAAAGATTCAACGCTGTGAGTTGAGTACACACATCACAAAGTAGTTTCTGAGAATTCTTCTGTCTAGTTTTTATGGGAAGATATTTCCTTTTTCACCATAGGCCTCAAAACCCTCCAAATTTCCACTTCCAGATTCTTCAAAAAGAGTGTTTCAAAACTGCTCTATGAAAAGGAGTGTTCAGCTCTGTGAGTTGAATGCAAGCATCACAAAGAAGTTTCTGAGAATGCTTCTGTCTATTTTCTATGTGAAGATATACCCGTTTCCAGCAAAGGCCTCAAAGCTGTCTAAATACCCACTTGCAAATTAGGCAAAAAGAGGGTTTCCTATCTGCTCTATCAAAAGAAAGTTTCAACTCTGTGAGTTGAATGCAGACATCACAAAGAAGTCTCTAAGAATGCGTCTGTCTAGTTTTATGTGAAGATATTCCCGTTTCCAACGAAATCCTCAATGATGTCCTAATATCTACTTGTAAATTTTACAACAAGAGTGTTCCAAAAGTGCTGTATCAAAGGAAAGGTTTAATTCTGTGAGTTGAGAACACATTAACAAACTAGTTTCTGAGAATGCTTCTGTCTAGTTTTTATGTGAAGATAATCCCGTTTCCAACGAAGGATTGAAAGCTTTCCAAACATCCACTTGCAGATTCTACAAAGAGAGTGTTTCAAAAATGCTCTATCAAAAAAAAGGTTCAAATCTGTTAGTTTAGTACACACATAACAAAGAAGTTTCTGAGAATGCTTCTGTCTAGTTTTTATGTGAAGATATTTCCTTTTTCACGATAGGCCTCAAAGCGCTCCAAATATCCACTTTCAGATTCTACAAAAAAAGTGTTACAAAACTGCTCTATGAAAAGGAATGTTCAACTCTGTGAGTTGAAGGCAAACATCACAAAGTAGTTTTTGAGAATGCTTCTGTCTAGTTTTTATGTGAAGTTATTCCCGTTTCCAACGAAAGATCCAAAACTGCCAAAATATCCACTTACAGTTTCTACAAAGAGAGAGTTCCAAACTGATCTATCAAAAGAAAGGTTCAATTCTGTGAGTTGAGTGCACACATCACAAAGAAGCTTCTGAGAATGCTTCTGTCTAGTTTTTATGTGAAGATATTTCTTTTTTCACCATTGGCCTCAAAGTACTGCAAATGTCCACTTGCAGATTCTACAAAAACTGTGTTTCAAAACTGCTCTATTAAAAGGAATGTTGAACTCTGCTATTTGAATGCAAACTTCACAAAGAAGTTTCTGAGAATGATTCTGTCTAGTTTTTATGTGAAGATATTCCCGTTTCCAAAGAAAGATTCAAAGCTGTCCAAATATCCAATTGCACATACTACAAAGAGAGTGTTTCAAAACTGCTCTATCAAAAGAAAAGTTTAACTCTGTAAGTTGAGTACACACATCACAAAGAAGTTTCTGAGAATGCTTCTGTCTCGTTTCTATATGAGGATATTTTCTCTTTCACCATAGGCCTCAAAGCGCTCCAAGTGTCCACTTGCAGATTGTACAAAAGGAGTGTTTCAAAACTGCTCCATGAAAAGGTGTGTTCAAATCTGTGAGTTGAAGGCAAACATCACAAAGAAGATTTTGAGAATGCTTCTGTCTAGTTTTTATGTGAAGATATTCCCGTTTCCAAGGAAAGATTCAAAGCTGTCCAAATATCCACTTGCAGATTCTACAAGAAGAATGTTTCAGAACTGCTCTATCAAAAGAAAGTTTCAGCTCTGTAAGTTGAGTATACGCATCACAAAGAAGTTTCTGAGAATAATTCTGTCTAGTTTTTATATGAAGATATTCCCGCTTCCTGCGAAGGCCTCAAAGCTGTCCAAATATCCACTAGCAAATTCTACAAAAAGTGTGTTTCAAATCTGGTCTATCAAAAGAAAATTTCAACTCTGTGAGTTGAATGCACACATCACAAAGTAGTTTCTGAGAATGCTTCTGTCTAGTTTCTATGTGAATATATACCCGCTTCCAACGAAAGCCTCAAAGCTGTCCAATTATCGACTTGTAAATTCTACAAGAAGAGTGTTTCAAAACTGCTCTATCAAAAGAAAGGTTTAATTCGGTGAGTTGAGTACACACATCCCAAAGAAGTTTCTGAGAATGCTTCTGTCTAGTTTTAATGTGAAGATATTTCCTTTTTCACCATAGGCCTCAAAGCGCTGCAAATGTCCACTGACATATACTAGAAAAAGAGTGTTTCAAAACTACTCTATTAAAATGTATGTTGAACTCTGATTTGAATGCAAACTTCATAAAGAAGTTTCCGAGAATGCTTCTATCTAGTTTTTATGTGAAGATATTTCCTTTTTCACTTTAGGCCTCAAAGCGCTGCAAATGTCCACTTGCAGATCCTACAAAAAGAGTGTTTCAAAACTGTTCCATTAAAAGTTATGTTCATCTGTGTGATTTGAATGCAAACTTCACAAAGACGTTTCTGAGAATGCTTCTGTCTAGTTTTTATGTGAAGATATTCCTTTTCCAACGAAACCCTCAAAGCTGTCCTAATATCCACTTGTAAATTCTACAAGAAGAGTGTTTGAAATCTGCTCTATCAAAAGAAAGGTTTAACCCTGTGAGTTGACTACACACATCACAAAGAAGTTTCTGAGAATGCTTCTGTCTAGTTTTTATATGAAGATATTTCCTTTTTCACCATAGGCCTCAAAGCGCTCCAAATGTCCCCTTGCAGATTCGACAAAAAGAGTGTCTCAAAACTGCTCTATGAAAAAGAATGTTCAAATCTGTGAGTTGAAGGGAAACATCACAAAGTAGTTATTGAGTATGCTTCTGTCTAGTTTTTATGTGAAGATATTCCAGTTTCCAACGAAAGATTCAAAGCTGTCCAAATATCCACTTGCATATTCTACAAAGAGAGGGTTTCAAAACTGCTCTATTGTAAGAAAGGTTCAATTCTGTGACTTGAGTGCACACACCACAAAGAAGTTTCTGAGAATGCTTCTGTTTAGTTTTTATGTGAAAATATTCCCGTTTCCAACGAAAGATTCAATGCTGTCCAAATATCCAATTGCAGATTCTACAAAGAGAGTGTTTCAAAACTGCTCTATCACAAGAAAGGTTCAACTCGGTGAGTTGAGTACACATATCACAAAGAAGTATCTGAGAATGCTTCTGTCTAGTTTTTATGTGAAGATATTTCCTTTTACACCTTAGGCCTCAAAGCGCTGCAAATGTCTACTTGCAGATTCTACAAAAAGATTGTTTCAAAACTGCTCTATTTAAGGTATGTTCAACTCTGTGATTTGAATGCAAACTTCACAAAAAAGTTTCTGAGAATGCTTCTGTCTAGTTTTTATGTGAAGATATTGACATTTCCAAAGAAAGTTTCAAAGCTGTCCAAATATCCACTTGCAGATTCAACAAAGAGTGTTTTTCAAAACTGCTCTATCAAAAGAAAGGATCAACTCTGTGAGTTGAGTACACACATAACGAAGAAGTTTCTGAGAATTCTTCTGTCTAGTTTTTAAGTGAAGATATTTCCTTTTTAACCTTAGGCCTCGAAGTGCTCCAAATGTTCTCTTGCAGTTTCTACAAAAAGAGTGCTCCAAATCTTCTCTATGAAAAGGAATGTTCAACTCTGTGAGTTGAATGCAGACATCACAAAGAAGTTTTTGAGAATGCTTCTGTCTAGTTTTTATGTGAAGATATCCCCATTTCCATTGAAGCCAGAAAGCTGTCCAAATATCCACTTGCAGATTCTACAAAGAGAGTGTTTCAAAACTGCTCTATCAGAAGAAATGTTCAACTCTGTGAGGTGAGTATACACATCACAAAGAAGTTTCTGAGAATACTTCTGTCTAGTTTTTATATTAAGATATTCCCATTTCCTGCGTAGACCTCAAAACTGTACAAATATCCACTAGCAAATTCTACAAAAAGAGTGTTTCCAATCTGCTCTATCAAAAGAAATTTTCAACACTGTGAGTAGAATGCACACAACACAAAGAAGTTTCTGAGAATGCTTCTATCTAGTTTTTATGTGAAAATATTCCCGTTTCCCATGAAAGCCTCAAAGCTATCCAAATATCCACCTGCAGATTCTACAAAAACAGTGTTTCAAAACTGCTCTATCAAAAGAATGTTTCAACTCTGCGAGTTGATCACACACATCACAAGAAGTTTCTGAGAATCCTTCTGTCTAGTTTTTTTGTGAAGATACTCCAGTTTCCTGTGAAGTCCTCAAAGCTGTCCAAATATCCATTTGCAAATTCTACAAAAAGTGTGTTTCAAATCTGCTCTATCAAAAGAAAGTTTCAACTCTGTGAGTTGAATGCACACATCACAAAGCAGTTTTTGAGAATGTTTCTGTCTAGTTTCTATGTGAAGATATTCCCGTTTCCAACGAAAGCCTCAAAGCTGTCCAATTATCGACTTGCAAATTCTACAAACAGAGTGTTTCAAAACTGTTGTATCAAAAGAAAGGTTCTACTCTCTGAGTTTAGTACACACATCACAAAGTAGTTTCTGAGAATGCTTCTATCTAGTTTCTTTGTGAAGATACTCCCGTTTCCAGCGAAGGCCTCAAACCTGTCCAAACCTCAAACCTATCCACTTGCAAATTCTACAAAAAGTGTGTTTCAAATCTGCTCCGTCAAAGGAAAGTTTCAGCTCTGTGAGTTGAAGACGCATATCACAAAGAAGTTTCTGAGAATGCTTCTGTGTAGTTTCTATGTGAAGATTTTCCCGTTTCCAACGAAAGCCTCAAAGCTGTCGAAATATCCACTTACATATTCTACAAGCAGAGTGTTTCAAAACTGCTCTATCAAAAGAAAGGTTTAACTCTGTGAGTTGAGTACACACATCACAAAGAAGTTTCTGAGAATTCTTCTGTCTAGTTTTTATATGAAGATAATTCCTTTTTCACAATAGGACTGAAAGCGCTCCAAATGTCCACTTGCAGATTCTACAAAAAGAGTGTTTGAAAACTGCTCTAAGAAAAGGAATGTTCAACTCTGTGAGTTGAAGGCAAACATCACAAAGAAGTTTTTGAGAATTCTTCTGTCTAGTTTTCATGTGAAGATATTCCCTTTTCCACCGAAAGATTCAAAGCTGTCCAAATATCCACTTGCAGATTCTACAAGATTGTTTCGAAACTGCTCTATCAAAGGAAAGTTTCAACTCTGTGAGTTGATTACACACATCACAGAGAAGTTTCTGAGAATGTTTCTGTCTAGTTTTTATGGGAAGATATTTCCTTTTTCACTAAAGGCCTGAAAGCGCTGCAAATGTCCACTTGCAGACCCTTCAAAAACAGTATTTCAAAATTGCTCCATTAAAAGGTAAGTTCAACTATGTGATTTGAATGCAAACTTCACAAAGATGTTTCTGACAATGCTTCTGTCTAGTTTTTGTGTGAAGATATTCTGGTTTCCAACAAAAGCCTCAAAGCTGTCCTAATATCCAATTGTAAATTCTACAAGAAGTGTTTTTGAAAACCCCTCTATCAAAAGAATGGTTTAACTCTGTGAGTTGAGTACACACATCACAAAGAAGTTTCTGAGAGTGCTTCTGTCTAGTTTTTATACGAAGATTTTTTTTTTCACCATAGGCCTCAAAGCGCTGCAAATGTCCACTTGCAGTTTCTACAGTGTGTTTCAAAACTGCTCTATTAAAAGGTATGTTCAAAAATGTGATTTGAATGCAAACTTCACAAAGAAGTTTCTGAGAATGCTTCTGTCTACTTTTTGTGTGAAGATATTCCCATTTCCAACGAAAGCCTCAAATCTGTCCTAATATCCACTTGTAAATTCTGCAAGAAGTGTGTTTGAAAACTGCTCTATCAAAAGAAAGGTTCAACTCTGTGAGTCGAGTACACACATCACAAAGAAGTTTCTGAGAATGCTTCTGTCTAGTTTTTTTGTGAAGATACACCCATTTCCAGCGAAAGCCTCAAAGCTGTCCAAATATCCACTTGCAAATATTTCAAAAAGTGTGTTTCCAATCTGCTCTATCAAAGGAAAGTTTCAACTCTGTGAGTTGAATGCACACGTGACAAAGAAGTTTCTGAGAATGCTTCTGTCTAATTTCTATGTGAAGATATTCCCGTTTCCAACGAAAGCCTCAAAGCTGTCCTAATATCCACTTGTAAATTGTACAAGAAGAGTGTTTCAAAACTGCTCTATCAAAAGAAAGGTTTAACTCTGTGAGTTGAGTACACAAATCACAAAGAAGTTTCTGAGAATCCTTCTGTCTAGTATTTTGTGATGATATTTCCTTTTTCACCGTAGGCCTCAAAGCGCTGCAAATGTCCACTTACAGGATCTAGAAAAAGAGTGTTCAAAACTGCTCTAATAAAAGGGATGTTCAACTGTGTGATTTGAATGCAAACTTCACAAAGAAGTTTCTGAGAATTCTTCTATCTAGTTTTTATGTGAAGATATTCCCGTTTCCAACGAAAGCCTCAAAGCTGTCCTATTATCCAATTGTAAATTCTTGTAGAAGAGTGTTTCAAAACTGCTCTATCAAAATAAAGGTTTAATTCTGTGAGTTGAGTACACACATCACAAAGAAGTTTCTGAGAATGCTTCTGCCGGTTTTTATGTGAAGATATTTCCTTTTTCACCGTAGGCCTCGAAGCGCTCCAAATATTCACTTGCAGATTCTACAAAAAGAGTGTTTCAAAACTACTCTATGAAAAGGAATGTTCAACTCTGTGAGTTGTATGCAAACATCACAAAGAAGTTTCTGAGAATGCTTCTCTGTAGTTTTTATGTGAAGATATCCCCGTTTCCATCGAAAGCCAGAAAGCTGTCCAAATATCCACTTGCAGATTCTACAAAGAGAGTGTTTCAAAACTGCTCTATCAGAAGAAGTGTTCAACTCTGTGAGTTGAGTATACACATCACAAAGAAGTTTCTGAGAATAGTTCTGTCTAGTTTTTATGTGAAGATATTCCCATTTCCTGTGAAGGCCTCAAAGCTGTCCAAATATCCACTAGTAAATTCTACAAAAAGAGTGTTTCCAATCGGCTCTATCAAAAGAAATTTTCAACACTGTGAGTGGAATGCACACAAAACAAAGAAGTTTCTGAGAATGCTTCTGTCTAGTTTTTAGGTGAAGTTATTTCCGTTTCCAACAAAAGCCTCAAAGCTGTAGAATTATCGACTTGTAAATTCTACAAGAAGAGTGTTTCAAAACTGCTCTGTCAAAAGAAAGTTTTAACTCTGTGTGTTGAGTGCACACATCACAAAGAAGTTTCTGAGAATGCTTCTGTCTTGTTTTTATGTGAAGATATAACTTTTTTCACCATAGGCCTAAAATCGCTCCAAATGTCCATTTGCAGGTTTTACAAAAAGAGTGTTTCAAAACTGCTCTATCAATAGAAAGGTTCAACTCTGTGAGTTGAGTACACACATCACAAAGAAGTTTCTGAGAATGCTTCTGTCTAGTTTTTATGTGAAGATATTTCCTTTTCCACCATAGGCCTCAAAGCGTCCACTTGCAGATTCTACAAAAAGAGTGTTTCATAACTGCTCTATTAAAAGGCATGTTCAACTCTGTGAGTTGAATGCAACGTTCACAAAGAAGTTTCTAGAATGCTTCTATTTTTTATGTGAAGGTATTCCCGTTTCCAACGAAAGCCTCAAAGCTGTCCTAATATCAACTTGTAAATCCTAGAAAAAGAGTGTTTCAAATCTGCTCTATCAAAAGAAAGTTTTAACTCTGTGAGTTGAGTACACACATCACAAAGAAGTTTTTGAGAATGCTTCTGTCTAGTTTTTATGTGAAGATATTTTCTTTTTCACCATAGGCCTCATAGCGCTTCAAATGTTCACATGCAGATTCTAGAAAAAGAGTGTTTCAAAACTGCTCTATGAAAGGGAATGTTCAACTCTGTGAGTTGAATTCAAACATTACAAAGAAGTTTCTGAGAATGCTTCTGTGTAGTTTTTATGTGAAGTAATCCCCGTTTCCAAAGAAAGCCACAAAGCTATCCAAATATCCCCTTGCAGACCCTACAAAAATAGTGTTTCAAAACTGCTCTAACAAAAGAAATGTTCAACTCTGTAAGTTGAGTATACACATCAAAAAGAAGTTTCTGAGAATGCTTCTGTCTAGTTTTTATATGATGATAGTCCCGTTTCCTGTGAAGGCCTCAAAGCCGTCCAAATATCCACAAGCACATTCTACAAAAACATTGTTTCCTTTCTGCTCTATAAAAGGAAATTTTCAACACTGTGAGTAGAATGCACACAAAACAAAGAAGTTTCTGAGACTGATTCCGTCTACTTTTTAGGTGAAGTTATTTCCGTTTCCAACAAAAGTCTCAAAGCTGTCCAATTATAGACTTGTAAATTCTACAAGAAGAGTGTTTCAAAACTGCTCTATCAAAAGAAAGGTTTAACTCTTTGTGTTGAGTACACACATCACAAAGAAGTTTCTGAGAATGCTTCTGTCTAGTTTTTATGTGAAGATATATCCTTTTTCACAGTAGGCCTCAAAGCGCTCCAAATGTCCACTTGCAGATTCTACAAAAAGAGTGTTTCAAAACTGCTCTATGAAAAGAAATATTCAACTCTGTGATTTGAATGGAAACTTCCCAATGAAGTTTCTGAGAATGCTTTTGCCTAGTTTATATGTGAAGATATTCCTGTTTCCAAAGAAAACCTCAAGGCTGTCCTAATATCCAATTGTAAATTCTACAAGAAGAATGTTTCAAAACTGATCTATCAAAAGAAAGTTTAACTCTGTGAGTTGAGTATACATATCAAAAAGAAGTTTCTGAGAATGCTTGTGTCTAGTTTTTATGTGAAGATATTTCCGTTTTCACCATAGGCCTCAAAGCGCTCCATGTGTCCACTTGCAGATTCTGCAAAAAGTGTGTTTCAAAACTGCTCTATGAAAAGGAATGTTCAACTCTGTGAGTTGAATGCAAACATCACAAAGAAGTTTCTGAGAATGCTTCTGTCTAGTTTTTATGTGAAGATAAACCCGTTTTCAGCGAAGGCCTCAAAGGTGTCCAAATATCCAATTGCAAATTCTACAAAAAGAGTGTTTCCAATCTACGCTATCAAAAGAAAGTTACAACACTGTAAGTTGAATGCACACATCACAAGGAAGTTTCTGAGAATGCTTCGTTCCAGTGTTTATGTGAAGATATTCCGGTTTCCAACGAAAGCCTCAAAGCTCTCCAATTATCCACTTGTAAATGCTTCCAAAAGGGTGTTTAAAAACTGCTCTAGAAAAAGAAATGTTCATCTCTGTGAGGTGAGTACACACATCAAAAAAGCAGTTTCTGAGAATGTTTCTGTCTAGTTTTTATGTGAAGATATTTCCTTTTTCATCATAGGCCTCCAAGCGCTCCAAATGTCCACCTGCAGATTCTACAAAAAGAGTGTTTCAAACTGCTCTATGAAAAGGACTGTTCAACTCTGTGAGTTAAACGCAAACATCAGAAAGAAGTTTCTGAGAATGCTTCTGTCTAGTTTTTATGTAAAGTTATTTCTTTTTTCACCATAGGCCTCAAAGCACACCAAATGTCCAATTGCAGATTCTACGAAGAGAGTGTTTCAAAACTGCTGTATCAAAAGAAGGGTTCAACTCTGTGAGTTGAATGCACACATCACAAAGAAGTTTCTGAGAATGCTTCTGTGTACTTTTATTTGAAGATATTCCCGTTTCGAATGAAGGCCTCAAAGTGGTCAAAATGTCCACTTGCAGATTCTACAAAAAGAGAGTTTCAAAACTGCTCTATGAAAAGGAATGTTCAACTCTGTGAGTTGAATGCACACATCACAAAGAAGTTTCTGAGAATGCTTCTATCTAGTTTTTATGTGAAGATATTTCCTTTTTCACCACAGGCCTCAAAGCTCTCCAAATGCCCACTTGCAGATACTACAAAAAGAGTGTTTCAAAAGTGCTCTATGGAAAGGAATGTTCAACTCTGTGAGCTGAATGCGAAACATCAAAGAGAAGTTTCTGAGAATGCTTCTGTCTAGTTTTTAAGTGAAGATATTCCCGTTTCCAACGAAAGCCTTAAAGCTGTACAAATATACACTTGTAGATTCTACAAAGAGAGTGTTTCCAATCTGCTCTATCAAAAGAAAGTTTCAACACTGGGAGTTGAATGCACACATCACAAAGAAGTTTCTGAGAAGGCTTCAGTCTAGTTTTTATGTTAAGATATTCCCGTTTCCAATGAAAGCCTCATCGCTGTCCGAATATCCACTTGTAAATGCTTCAAAAAGAGGATTACAAAACTGCTCTAGCAAAAGAAAAGTTCATCTCTGTGAGTTGAGTACACACATCAAAGAGAAGTTTATGAGACGGCTTCTGTCTAGTTTTTATGTGAAGATATTTCTTTTTCACCATAGGCCTCCAAGCGCTCCAAATGTCCACTTGCAGATCCAACAAAAAGAGTGTTTCAAAACTGCTCCATGAAAAGCAATGTTCTACTCTCTGAGTTGAATGCAAACGTCACGAAGTAGTTTCTGAGAATGCTTCTGTCTAGCTTTTATGTGAAGATATTCCCGTTTCCAAAGAAAGCCTCAAAGAGTCCAAATATCCACTTGCAGATACTACAAAGAGAGTGTTTCAAAACTGCTCTATCAAAAGAAATGTTCAAATCTGTGAGTTGAGTACACACATCAAAAAGAAGTTTCTGAGAATGCTTCTGTCTAGTTTTTATGTGAAGATGTTCCCTTTTTCACCATAGGCCTCAAAGCGCTCCAAATGTCCACTTGAATATTCTACAAAAAGAGTGCTTCAAAACTGCTATATGAAAAGGAATGTTCAACTCTGTGAGTTGAATGCAAACATCACAAAGAAGTTTCTGAGAATGCTTCTGTCTAGTCTTTATGTGAAGATATTCCCGTTTCGAGTGAAGGCCTCAAAGCTGTCCAAATATCCTCTTGCAAATAATGTAAAAAGAGGGTTTCAAAACTGCTCTAGCAAAAGAAAGGTTCATCTCTGTGAATTGAGTACACACATCAAAAAGAAGTTTCTGAGAATGCTTCTGTCTAGTTTTTATGTGAAGATATTTCCTTTTTCCCATTAGGCCTCCAAGCGCTCCAAATGTGCACTTGCAGACTCTACACAAGGTGTGTTTCAAAACTGCTATATGAAAAGGAAAGTTGAACTCTGTGAGTTAAATGCACACATCACAAAGGTGTTTCTGAGAATGCTTCTGTCCTGTTTTCATGTTAAAATATTTCCTTTTTCACCATAGGCCTCAAAGCATACCAAAATTCCACTTGCAGATAGTACAAAGAGAGTGTTTCAGAACTGCACTTTCAAAAGAAGGGTTCAACTCTGTGAGTTGAACGCACGCATCACAAAAAGGTTCTGAGAATGGTTCTTTATAGTTTTTATGTGAAGATATTCCCATTTCGAACGAAGGCCTCAAAGCGCTCCAAATGTCGACTTGTAGATTCTACAAAAAGAGTGTTTCAAAACTGCTCTATGAAAGGGAATGTTCAACTCTGTGAGTTGAATACACACATCACAAAGAAGTTTCTGAGAATGCTTCTGTCTAGTTTTTACGTGAAGATATTCCCGTTTCCAACGAAAGCCTCAAAACTATTCAAATATCCGCTTGCAGATTCTACAAATAGAGTGTTTCAAAACTGCTGTATCAAAAGAAAGGTTCCACTCTGTGAGTTGAGTAAACACATCACAATGAAGTTTCTGAGAATGCTTCTGTCTAGTTCTTATGTGAAGATATTTCCTTTTCACAGTAGGCCTCAAAACGCTCCAAATGTCTACCTGCAGATCCTACAAAAACAGTGTTTCAAAACTGCTCAATGAAAAGTAATGGTCAACTGTGTGACTTGAATGCAAACATCACAAAAAAGTTTCTGAGAATGCTTCTGCCTAGTTTTTATGTTATGATACTCCCTTTTCCTGCGAAGGCCTCAAAGCTGTCTAAATATCCACTTGGAAATTCTACAAAAAGGGTGTTTCAAATTTGCACTATTTAAAGAAAGTTTCAACACTGTGAGTTGAATGCACACATCACAAAGAAGTTTCTGAGAAGGCTTCTGTCTAGTTTTTATGTTAGGATATTCCTGGTTCCAACGAAAGCCTCAAAGCTGTTCAAATATCCACTTGTAAATGCTTCAAAAAGAGGGTTACAAAACTGCTCTACCAAAAGAAGGGTTCATCTCTGTGAGGTGAGTACACACATCAAAAAGAAGTTTCTGAGAATGCTTCTGTCTAGTTTTTATGTGAAGATATTTCCTTTTTCACCATAGGCCTCCAAGCTCTCCAAATGTCCACTTGCAAATTCTACACAAAGAGTGTTTCAGAACTGCTCTATGAAAAAGAATGTTGAACTCTGTGGGTTAAATGCAAACATCATAAAGAAGTTTCTGAGAATGCTTCTGTCTAGTTTTTATGTAAAGGTATTCCCATTTCCAATGAAGGCCACAAAGTGCTCCAAATATCCACTTGCAGATTCTACAAAAAGAGTGTTTCAAAACTGCTCTATCAAAAGAAAGTTTCAACCCTGTGAGTTGAGTGCACACGTCACAAAGATGTTTCTGAGAATGCTTCTGTCTTATTTTTATGTTAAGATATTTCCTTTTTCACCATAGGCCTCAAAGCACACCAAAAGTCCACCAGCAAATTCTACAGAGAGAGTGTTTCAGAACTGCTCTCTCAAAAGAAGGGTTGAACTCTGTGAGTTGAATGCACACATCACAAAGAAGTTTCTGAGAATGGTTCTTTCCAGTTTTTATGTGAAGATATTCCCGTTTCGAACGAAGGTCTCAAAGCGCTCCAAATGTCGACTTGCAGATTCTACAAAAAGAGTGTTTCAAAACTGCTCTATGAAAAGGAATGTTAAGCTCTGTGAGTTGAATACACACATCACAAAGAAGTTTCTGAGAATGCTTCTGTCTAGTTTTTATTCGAAGATATTCCCGTTTTCAATGAAAGCCTCAAAGATGTCCAAATAACCATTTGCAGATTCTACAAAAAGAGAGTTTCAAAACTGCTCTATCAAAAGAAAGGTTCAACTCTGTGAGTTGAGTACACACATCACAATGAAGTTTCTGAGAATGCTTCTGTCTAGTTTTTATGTGAAGACATTTCCTTTTGACAGTAGGCCTCAAAGCACTCCAAATGTCTACCTGCAGATTCTACAGAAAGAGTGTTTCAAAACTGCTCAATGAAAAGTCATGGTCAAATATGTGTGTTGAATGCAAACATCACAAGGAAGTTTCTGAAAATGCTTCTGCCTAGTTTTTATGTTAAGATACTCCCGTTTCCAGCGAAGTCCTCAAAGCTGTCTAAATATCCACTTGGAAATTCTACAAAAAGAGTGTTTCAAATCTGCACCATTTAAAGAAAGTTTCAACACTGTGAGTTGAATGCTCTCATCACAAAGAAGTTTCTGAGAAGGCTTCTGTCTAGTTTTTATGTTAAGATATTCCCGGTTCCAACGAAAGCCTCAAAGCTGTCCAAATATCCACTTGCAAATGCTTCAAAAAGAGGGTTACAAAACTGCTCTACCAAAAGAAGGGTTCATCTCTGTGAGGTGAGTACACACATCAAAAAGAAGTTTCTGAGAATGCTTCTGTCTAGTTTTTATGTGAAGATATTTCCTTTTTCACCATAGGCCTCCAAGCACTCCAAATGTCCACTTGCAGACTCTACACAAAGAGTGTTTCAAAACTGCTCTGTGAAAAGGAAAGTTGAACTCTGTGAGTTAAATGCACACATCACAAAGAAGTTTCTGAGAATGCTTCTGTCTAGTTTTTATGTTAAGATATTTCCTTTTTCACCATAGGCCTCAAAGCACACAAAACGTCCACTTGCAGATTCTACAAAGAGAGTGTTTCAGAACTACTCTCTCAAAAGAAGGGTTCAACTCAGTGGGTTGAATGCACACATCACAAAGAAGTTTCTGAGAATGGTTCTTTCTAGTTTTCATGTGAAGATATTCCCGTTTCGAACGAAGACCTCAAAGCGCTCCAAATGTCGACTTGCAGATTGTACAAAAAGAGTGTTTCAAAACTGCTCTATGAAAAGGAATGTTCAACTCTGTGAGTTGAATACACACATCACAAAGAAGTTTCTGAGAATGATTCAGTCTAGTTTTTACGTGAATATATTCCCGTTTCCAACGAAAGCCTCAAAGCTGTCCAAATAACCATTTGCAGATTCTACAAAAAGTGAGTTTCAAAACTGCTCTATCAAAAGTAAGGTTCATCTCTGTGAGTTGAGTACACACATCACAATGAAGTTTCTGAAAATGCTTCTGTCTAGTTTTTATGTGAAGATATTTCCTTTTCACAGTAGGCCTCAAAGCGCTCCAAATGTCTACCTCCAGATTCTACAAAAAGATTGTTTAAAACTGCTCCATGAAAAGTAACGGTCAACTGTGTGAGTTGAATGCAAACATCACAAAGAAGTTTCTGAGAATGCTTCTGCCTAGTTTTTATGTTATGATACTCCCTTTTCCTACGAAGGCCTCAAAGCTCTCTAAATATCCACTTGGAAATTCTACAAAAAGAGTGTTTCAAATCTGCACTATTTAAAGAAAGTTTCAACACTGTGAGTTGAATGCACACATCACAAAGAAGTTTCTGAGAAGGCTTCTGTCTAGTTTTTATGTTAAGATATTCCCGGTTCCAACGAAAGCCTCAAAGCTGTCCAAATATCCACTTATAAATGCTTCAAAAAGAGGGTTACAAAACTGCTCTAGCAAAAGAAGTGTTCAACTCTGTGAGGTGAGTACACACATCAAAAAGTAGTTTCTGAGAATGCTTCTGTCTAGTTTTTATGTGAAGATATTTCCTTTTCACCATAGGCCTCCAAGCGCTCCAAATGTCCACTTGCATATTCTACACAAAGAGGGTTTGAAAACTGCTCTATGAAAAAGAATGTTGAACTCTTTGA
Organism: Homo sapiens; assembly: GCF_000001405.40. NCBI lineage: Eukaryota > Metazoa > Chordata > Mammalia > Primates > Hominidae > Homo > Homo sapiens. Next base: position 26,317,608 of record NC_000020.11, on the reverse strand, counting down.
GTTAAATGCCAACATCACAAATAAATTTCTGAAAATGCTTCTGTCTAGTTTTTATGTAAAGATATTCCCATTTCCAATGAAGGCCACAAATCACTCCAAATGTCCACTTGCAGATTCTACAAAAAGAGTGTTTCAAAACTGCTCTATCAAAAGAAAGTTTCACCTGGGTCAGTTGAGTGCACACATCACAAAGAAGTTTCTGAGATTGCTTCTGTCTTGTTTTTATGTTAAGATATTTCCTTTTTCACCATAGGCCTCCAAGCGCTCCAAATGTCCACTTGCAAACTCTACAGAAAGAGTGTTTCAAAACTGCTCTATGAAAAGGAAAGTTGAACTCTGTGTGTTAAATGCACACATCACTAAGTAGTTTCTGAGAATGCTTCTGTCTAGTTTTTATGTTAAGATATTTTCTTTTTCACCATAGGCCTCGAAGCACACCAAAAGTCCACTTGCAGATACTACAAAGAGAGTGTTTCAGAACTGCTCTCTCAAAAGAAGGGTTCAACTCAGTGAGTTGAATGCACACATCACAAAGAAGTTTCTGAGAATGGGTCTTTCTAGTTTTTATGTGAAGATATTCCCGTTTCGAACAAAGGCCTCAAAGCGCTCCAAATGTCGACTTGCAGATTGTACAAAAAGAGTGTTTCAAAACTGCTCTATGAAAAAGAATGCTCAACTCTGTGAGTTGGATACACACATCACAAAAAAGTTTCTGAGAATGCTTCTGTCTAGTTTTTATTTGAAGATATTCCCGTTTCCAATGAAAGCCTCAAAGCTGTCCAAATATCCACCTGCAGATACTACAAAGAGAGTGTTTCTAAACTGCTCTACCAAAAGAAAGATTCAACTATGTGAGTTGAGTTCACACATCATAAAGAAGTTTCTGAGCATGCTTCTTTCTAGTTTTTATGTGAAGATATTTCCTTTTTCACCACAGGCCTCAAAGCACACCAAATGTCCACTTGCAGATTCTATAAAGAGAGTGTTTCAAAACTGCTCTATCAAAAGAACTGTTCAAATCTGTGGGTTAAAGGCACATATCACAAGGAAGTTTCTCAGAATTTTTCCGTCTAGTTTTTATGTGAAGACATTCCCATTTCGATCGAAGGCCTCAAAGTGATCCAAATGTCCACTTGCAGATTCTACAAAAAGAGTGTTTCAAAACAGCTCTATCAAAAGGAATGTTCAACTCTGTGAGTTGAATGCACACATCATAAAGAAGTTTCTGAGAATGCTTCTTTCTATTTGTTATGAGAAGATATTTTCTTTTTTACCATAGGCCTCAAAGTGCTCCAAATGTCCACATGCAGATTCTACAAAAAGAGTGTTTCAAAACTGCTCTATCAAAAGGAATGGTCAACTCCGTGATTTAAATGCACACATCACAAAGAGGTTTCTGAGTATGTTTCTGTCTGGTTTTTATGTGAAAATACACAGTTTCCAGCAAATTCCTCTTAGTGGTCCATATATCCACTTGCAGATTCTACAAGTTTCAAAACTGCTGAATCAAAAGCAATGTTCAACTCTGTGAGTTGAATACACACATCACAAGGAAGTTTCTGAGAATGCTTCTGCCAGTTTTTATATGAAGAAATTTCCTTTTTCACCATAGGCCTCAAGCGCTCCAAATGTCCCCTTGCAGATTCTACAAAAACAGTGTTTCAAAACGGCTCTATCAAAACAAAGGTTGAACTCTATGTGTTGAATGCATACATCAGAAAGTAGTTTCTGATAATGCTTCTGTCTAGCTTTTATATGAAGATATTCTCATTTCCATTGAAGTCCTCAAAGCGGTCCAAATATCCACCTGCAGATTCTACAAAAAGAGTGTTTCAAATCTCTTCTATCAACAGAAAGGTTCAACTCTGTTAGCTGAATGCACTTATCACAAGAAGTTTCTGAGAATGCTTCAGTCTAATTTTTATGTGAAGATATTACCGTTTCAAACGAATTCCTCAAAGCGATTCAAATATTAGGTTACAGATTCTACAAAAAGAGCCTTTCAAAACTCTTCTATCAAAAGGAATGTTCAACTCTGTGAGTTGAAAGCACACATCACAAAGAAGTTTCTGATAATGCTTCTGTCTAGTTTTTATGTGAAGATATTTCCTTTTTCAGCATAGACCTCAAAGCGTACTAAATGTCCACTTACAGATTATACAAAAAGAGCGTTCCAAAACTGCTCTATCAAAAGCAACGTTCAACTCTAAGAGTTGAATGCACACATCACAAAGAAGTTTCTGAGAATGCCTCTGTCTAGTTTTTATGTGAAGATATTTCCTTTTTCACCGCAGACCTCAAAGCTCCACAAATGATCACTGGCAGATTCTACAAAAACGGTGTTTCATAACTGCTCTATGAAAAGAAATGTTCAACTCCGTGAATTGAAGGCACACATCACAAAGAAGTTTCTGGGGATGCTTCTGTGTAGTTTATGTGAAGATAGACCATTTCCAACAAAGGCCTCAAATCGGTCCAAATATCCACTTGCAAACTCTACAAAAAGAGTTTTTCCACACTGCTCTATGAAAAAGAATGATCAACTCTGTGGGTTGAAAGCAAACAACACAAAGAGGTTTCTGAGAATGCTTCTGTGTAGTTTTTATGTGAAGACATTTCCTTTTTCACCATAGGTCTCAAAGCGCTCCAAATGTCCAGTTGCAGATTCTACAAAAAGAGTGTTTCAAAACTGCTCTATTAAAAGGCATGTTCAACTCTCTGATTTGAATGCAAACTTCAAAAAGAAGTTTCTGAGAATGGTTTTTCTAGTTTTTGTGAAGATAGCATGTTTCCAACAAAGGCCTCAAATCGGTCCAAATATCCACTTGCAAATTATACAAAAAGAGGGTTTCAAAACTGCTCTATGAAAAAGAATGTTCAACTCTGTGGGTTGAAAGCAAACAACACAATGAGGTTTCTGAGAATGCTTCTGTGTAGTTTTTATGTGAAGATATTTCCTTTTTCACCACAGGCCTCAAAGCGCTCCAAGTTTCAAAACTGCTCTGCCAAAAGAAAGGTTCAACACTGTGAGTTGAATGCACAAATCAGAAAGTATATTCTGAGAATGCTTCTGTCTACTTTTTATGAGAAGATATTTCCTTTTTCACTTTAGGCCTCTAAGCGCTCCAAATGTCCATTTGCAGATTCTTCAAAAAGAGTGTTTCAAAACTGTTCTATCAAAAGAAAAGTTCAACTCTGAGAAGTGAACGCACACATCACAAAGAAGTTTCTGGGAATGCTTCTCTCTAGTTTTTATGTGAAGATATCCCGTATCCAACGAATGCCTCAAAGCGGTCCAAATATCCACTTGCAAATTCTATAAAAAGAGTGTTTCAAAACTGCTCTAAGAAAAGGAATGTTCAACTCTGTGAGTTGAAAGCAAACATCACAAAGCAGTTTCTGAGAATGCTTCTGTGTAGTTTTTATGTGAAGATATTTCCTTCTTCACCACAGGCCTCAAAGTGCTCCAAATGTCCACTTGCAGATCCTACAAAAAGAGTGTTTCAAAACTGCTTCATCAAAACAACCGTTCAACTCTGTGAGTTGAGTGAACACATCACAAGGTAGTTTCTGATAATGCTTCTGTCTAGTTTTGTGAAGATATCCCGATTTCCAATGAAGGCCTCAAAGCTGTCGAAATATCCACTTGCAAATTATACAAAAAGAGGGTTTCCAAACTGCTCTATGAAAAAGAATGTTCAACTCTGTGGGTTGAAAGGAAACATCACAAAGAAGTTTCTTAGAATGCTTCCGTGTAGTTTTTATGTGAAGATATTTCCTTTTTCATTTCAGGCCTCAAAGTGCTCCAAATGTCGACTTGCAGATTCCACAAAAAGTGTGTTTCAAAACGGCTCTATGAAAAGGAATGTTCAACTCTGTGAGTTGAATGCGCACATCACAAACAAGTTTTAGAGATTGCTTCTGTGTAGTTTTTATGTGAAGATATTTCCTTTTTCACCATAGGCCTCAAAACACTCCAAATGTCCCCTTGCAGATTCCACAAACAGAGTGTTTCAAAACTGCTCTATCCAAAGAGTGGTTCAACTCTGTGAGTTGAATGCCCACATCACAAGGAAGTTTCTGAGAATGCTTCTGTCTAGTTTTCAAGTGAAGATATATCCTTTTTCACCATAGGCCTCAAAGAGCACCAAATGTCCACTTGCAGATACTACAAAAAGAGTGTTTCTAAACTGCTTGGTCAAAAGATCGGTTCAACTCTGTGAGTTGAATGCACACTTCACAAAGAAGTTTCTGAGAATGCTTCTGTCTAGTTTCTGTTAAGATATCCTGTTTCCAACGAAGGCCTCAAACGGTCCAAATCTCCACTTGCGAATTCTACAAAAAGAGTGTTTCAAAATGGCTCTATGAAAAGGAGTGCTCAACTCTGCGAGTTGAAAGCTAACATAAGAAATAAGTTTCTCAGAATGCTTCGGTCTAGTTTTTTGTGAAGATATATCCTTTTTCAACAAAGGTCTCAAAGCGCTCCAGATGTCCATTTGCAGATAGTACAAAAAGAGTGTTTCAAAACGGCTCTCTCAAAAGAAAGGTTCAACTCTGTAACTTGAATACACACATCACAAAGAAATTTCTGAGAATGCTTCTGTCTACCTTTAATATGAAGATGTTTCCTTTTTCACCATACGCCTCAAAGCGCTCCAAATGTCCACTTGCAGATTCTACAAAAAGAATGTTTCAAAATTGCTCTAACAAAATTAAGGTTCAACTCTGTGAGTTGAATTTCCACATCATAAAGAATATTCTGAGGATGCTTCTCTCTAGTTTTTATGAGAAGATATTTCCTGTTTCACTTTAGGCCTCAATGAGCTCCAAATGTCCACTTGCAGATCCTTTAAAAAGCGTGTTTCAAAACTGCTCTCTCAAAAGAAAAGTTCAACTCTGTGAGGTGAATGCACACATCAAAAAGAAGTTTCTGGGAATGCTTCTTTCTAGTTTTTAAGTGAAGATATCCCATATCCAACGAAGGCCTCAAAGTGGTCAAAATATCCACTTGCAAATTCTACAAAAAGAGTGTTTCAAAACTGCTCTAAGAAAAGGAATGTTCAATTTTGTGAGTTGAAAGCAAACATCACAAAGTAGTTTCTGAGAATGCTTCTGTGTAGTTTTTATGTGACGATATTTCCTTTTTCACCACAGGCCTCAAAGCGCTCCAAATGTCCACTTGCAGATCCTACAAAAAGAGTGTTTCAAAACTGCTCTGTCAAAACAACCGTTCAACTCTGTGAGTTGATTGCACACATCACAAAGTAGTTTCTGATAATACTTCTGTCTAGTTTTTGTGACGATATCCCGATTTCCAACGAAGGCCTCAAAGTGGTCCAAATATCCATTTGCAAATTATACAAAAAGAGGCTTCCCAAACCGCTCTATGAAAAAGAATGCTCAACTCTGTGGGGTTGAAAGGAAACATCACCAAGAAGTTTCTTAGAATCCTTCCATGTGGTTTTTCTGTGAAGATATTTCCTTTTTCATTGAGGCTTCAAAGCGATCCTAATGTCCACTTGCATATTCTGAAAAAAGAGTGTTTCAAAACTGCTCTATCAAAAGAAAGGTTCAATTCTGTGAGTTGAATGCACACATCAGAAAGAAGTTTCTGAGAATACTTCTGTGTAGTTTTTATGTGAAGATATTTCCTTTTTCACCACAGGCCTCAAAGTGCTCCAAATGTCCACTTGCAGATTCTACAAAAGGAGTGTTTCAAAACTGCTCTGTCAAAAGAAAGGTTCAACTCTGTGTGTTGAATACACACATCACAAAGACGTTTCTGAGAATGCTTCTGTCTAGTTTTTGTGAAGATAGAACGTTTCCAACAAAGGCCTCAAATCGGTCCAAATATCCACTTGCAAATTATACAAAAAGAGGGTTTCAAAACTGCTCTATGGAAAAGAATGTTCAACTCTGTGGGTTGAAAGCAAACAACACAATGAGGTTTCTGAGAATGCTTCTGTGTAGTTTTTATGTGAAGATATTTCCTTTTTCACCACCGGTCTCAAAGTGCTCCAAATGTCCAGTTACAGATTCTACAAAAGGAGTGTTTCAAAACTGCTCTATCAAAAGAATGGTACAGCTCTGTGATTTGAATACACACATCCCAAAGAAGTTTCTGAGAATGCTTCTGTCTACTTTTTATGTGAAGATACTTCCTGTTTCACCATAGGCCTCAAACCCCTCCAAATGTCCACTAGCAGATTCTACAAAAACAGTGTTTCAAAAATGTTCTATCAAAGAAGGGTTCAACTCTGTGAGTTGAATTCACACATTACAAAGAAGTTTCTGAGAATTCCTCTGTGTAGTTTTTACGTGAAGATATTTCCTTTTTCACCATAGGCCTTAAAGTGCTCCAAATGTCCAATTGCAGATTCTACAAAAAGAGTGTTTCAAAATTAATCTATCAAAATTAAGGTTCAACTCTGTGAGTTGAATGCACAAATCAGAAAGTATATTCTGAGAATGCTTCTGTCTACTTTTTATGAGAAGATATTTCCTTTTTCACTTTAGGCCTCTAAGCGCTCCAAATGTCCATTTGCAGATTCTTCAAAAAGAGTGTTTCAAAACTGTTCTATCAAAAGAAAAGTTCAACTCTGAGAAGTGAACGCACACATCACAAAGAAGTTTCTGGGAATGCTTCTCTCTAGTTTTTATGTGAAGATATCCCGTATCCAACGAATGCCTCAAAGCGGTCCAAATATCCACTTGCAAATTCTATAAAAAGAGTGTTTCAAAACTGCTCTAAGAAAAGGAATGTTCAACTCTGTGAGTTGAAAGCAAACATCACAAAGCAGTTTCTGAGAATGCTTCTGTGTAGTTTTTATGTGAAGATATTTCCTTCTTCACCACAGGCCTCAAAGTGCTCCAAATGTCCACTTGCAGATCCTACAAAAAGAGTGTTTCAAAACTGCTTCATCAAAACAACCGTTCAACTCTGTGAGTTGAGTGAACACATCACAAGGTAGTTTCTGATAATGCTTCTGTCTAGTTTTGTGAAGATATCCCGATTTCCAATGAAGGCCTCAAAGCTGTCGAAATATCCACTTGCAAATTATACAAAAAGAGGGTTTCCAAACTGCTCTATGAAAAAGAATGTTCAACTCTGTGGGTTGAAAGGAAACATCACAAAGAAGTTTCTTAGAATGCTTCCGTGTAGTTTTTATGTGAAGATATTTCCTTTTTCATTTCAGGCCTCAAAGTGCTCCAAATGTCGACTTGCAGATTCCACAAAAAGTGTGTTTCAAAACGGCTCTATGAAAAGGAATGTTCAACTCTGTGAGTTGAATGCACACATCACAAACAAGTTTTAGAGATTGCTTCTGTGTAGTTTTTATGTGAAGATATTTCCTTTTTCACCATAGGCCTCAAAACACTCCAAATGTCCCCTTGCAGATTCCACAAACAGAGTGTTTCAAAACTGCTCTATCCAAAGAGTGGTTCAACTCTGTGAGTTGAATGCCCACATCACAAGGAAGTTTCTGAGAATGCTTCTGTCTAGTTTTCAAGTGAAGATATATCCTTTTTCACCATAGGCCTCAAAGAGCACCAAATGTCCACTTGCAGATACTACAAAAAGAGTGTTTCTAAACTGCTTGGTCAAAAGATCGGTTCAACTCTGTGAGTTGAATACACACTTCACAAAGAAGTTTCTGAGAATGCTTCTGTCTAGTTTCGGTTAAGATATCCTGTTTCCAATAGATAGTACAAAAAGAGTGTTTCAAAACAGCATTCTCAAAAGAAAGGTTCAACTCTATGAGTTGAATGTACACATCACAAAGAAGTTTCTGAGAATTCTTCTGTCTAGTTTTTGTGAAGATATCCCATTTCCAAAGAAGGGCTCTAAGCGATCAAAATATCCACTTGCAAATTCTACAAAAAGAATGTTTCAAACCTTCTCCATGAAAAGAAATATTCAACTCTGGGAGTTGAAAGCAAACAACACAAAGAAGTTTCTAAGAATGCTTCTGTGTAGTTTTTATGTGAAAATATTTCCTTTTTCATCACAGGCCTCAAAGTGCTCCAAATGTCCACATGCAGATTCTACAAAAAGAGTGTTTCAAAACTGCTCTATCAAAAGAATTGTTCAACATTGTGAGTTGAATGCACACATCACTAAGAAGTTTCTGAGACTGCTTGTGTCTAGTTTTTGTGAAGATATCTCGTTCCCAACGAGGGCCTCAAAGAGGTCCAAATGTCCACTTGCAAATTCTACATAAGAGTGTTACAAAACTGCTCTATGAAAAGGAATGTTCAACTCTGAGTTGAAAGCAAACAACACAAAGTTGTTTCTGAAAATGCTTCTGTGCAGATTTCGTGTGTAGATATTTCCATTTTCTCCACAGGCCTCAAGGTGCTCCAAATGTCCACATGCAATTTCTACAAAAGGAGTGTTTCAAAACTGCTGTATCAAGAGAAAGATTCAACTCTGTGGGTTGAAAGCAAACATCACAAAGAGATTTCTGAGAAATCTTCTGTGTAGTTTTTACAGGAAGATATTTCCTTTTTCACCATAGGCTTCAAAGCGCTCCAAATGTACACTTGCAGATACTACATAAAAAGTGTTTCTAAACTGCTCTTTCAAAAGAAAGGTTCAACTCTGTGATTTGAATGCAAATATCACAAAGAAGTTTCTGAGAATGCTTCCGTCTAGTTTTTGTGAAGATATAACGTTGCCAAAGAAGGCCTCAAAGAGGTCCAAATATCCACTTGCAAATTCTACAAAAAGAGTGTTTCCAAATTGCTCTATTAAAAGGAATATTTAACTCTGTGTGTTGAAAGAAAACATCATAAAGAAGTTTCTGAGAATTCTTCTGTGTCGTTTTTATGTGAAGATATTTCCTTTTCACCATAGGCCTCAAAGCGTTCCAAAAGTTCATTTGCTGATTCTAAAAAAAAAGTGTTTCAAAACTCCTGTATCAAAAGACAGGTTCACCTCTGTGAGTTCAAAGCAAACATCACAGAGTAGTTTCTGAGAGAGCTTCTGTTTAGTTTTTATGGGAAGATATTTCCTTTTTCTCCACAGGTCTCAAAGCGCTCCAAATGTCCACTTGCAGATTCTACAAAAGGAGTGTTTCAAAACTGCTCTATCAAAAGAAATGTTCAACTCTGTGAGTTGAATGCACACATCACAAAGAAGTTTCTGAGAATGCTTCTGTGTAGTTTTTATGTGAAGATACTTCCTTTTCACCATAGGCCCAATAGAGTTCCAATTGTCCACTTGCAGATCCTACAAAAAGTGCGATTCAAAACTGCTCTATCAAGAGAAATGTTCCACCCTGTGAGTTGAATTTACACATCACAAAGAAGTTTCTGAGAATGCTTCTGTCTAGTTTTTGTGAAGATATTCCGTTTCCAACAAAGGCCTCGAAGCGGTAGAAATATCCACTTTCAAATTCTACAAAAAGAGTGTTTCAAAATTTCTCTATGAAAAGGAATATTCAACTCTGAGAGTTGAAAGCAAACAACACAAAGAAGTTTCTGAGAATGCTTCTGTGTAATTTTTATGTGAAAATATGTCCTTTTTCACCACATGCCTCAAAGCGCTCCAAATGTCCACATGCAGATTCTAGAGAAAGAGTGTTTGAAAACTGCTCTATCAAAAGTAAGGTTCAACTCTGTGAGTTCAATGCACACATCACAAAGAAGTTTCTGAGAATGCTTCTGTGTAGTTTTTATGTGAAGATTCTTCCTTTTTCACCATAGGTCCAAACGAGCTCCAATTTCCATTTACATATTCTACAAAAAGAGTGTTTCAAAACTGCTCTATCAAAAGAAATGTTCAACCCTGTGAGTTGAATGTACACATCACAAAGAAGTTTCTGAGAATGCTTCTGTCTGGTTTTTGTGAAGATATCCCACTTCCAATGAAGGCCTCAAAGCAGTACAAATATCCACTTGCAAATTCTACAAAAAGAGTGTTTCAAAACTTCTCTATGAAAGGGAATACTCAACTCTGAGAGTTGAAAACAAACAACACAAAGAAGTTTCTGAGAATGCTTCTGTGTAATTTTTATGTGAAAATATTCCCTTTTTAACAACAGGCCTCAAAGCGCTCCAAATGTCCACATGCAGATTCTACAAAAAGAGTGTTTCAAAACTGCTCTATCAAAAGAATGGTTCAACTCTGTGAGTTGAATGCACACATCACAAAGAAGTTTCTGAGAATGCTTCCATGAAGTTTTTATGTGAATATATATCCTTTTTCACCATAGGCCCCAAAGCGCCCCAAATGTCCACTTGCAGATTCTACAAAAACATTGTTTCAAAACTGCTCTGTACAAAGAAAGGTTAAACACTGTGAGTTGAATGCGCACATCACAAAGAAGTTTCTGAGAATGCTTCTGTCTATTTTTATGTGAACATATTTACTTTTTCACCACAGGCCTCAAAGCGCTCCAAATATCCACTTGCAAATTCCACAAAAAGACAGTTTCAAAACGGCTCTATGAAAAGAAATGTTCAACTCCATGAGTTGAAAGCAAATATCACAAAGTATTTTCTGAGAATGCTTCTGCATAGTTTTTATGTGAAGATATTTCCTTATTCACCATAGGCCCCAAAGCGCTCCAAATGTCCACATGCAGATTCTACAAAAAGACTGTTTCAAAACTGCTCTATCAAAAGAAAGGTTCAACTCTGCGATTTGAATGAACACATCACAAAGAAGTTTCTGAGAATGCTTCTGTCTACTTTTCATGTGAAGATATTTCCTTTTTCACCACAGTACTCAAAGCGTTACAAGTATCCACTTGCAAATTCTGCAAAAAGAGAGTTTCAAAACGGCTCTATGAAAAGGAATGTTCAACTCTGTGAGTTGAAAGCAAACATCACAAAGTAGTTTCTGAGAATGCTTCTGTGTAGTTTTTATGCGAAGATATTTCCTTATTCAACATAGGCCTCAAAGCGCTCCAAATGTCCACAAGCAGATCCTAAAAAAAGAATGTTTCACAACTGCTCTATCAAAAGAAACGTTCAACTCTGTGAGTTGAATGCACACATCACAAAGAAGTTTCTGAGAATGCTTCTGTCTAGTTTGTATGTGAAGATATTTCCTTTTTACCATAGGCCTCAAATCGCTCCAAATGCCCACTTTCAGATTCTACAAAAGGAGTGTTTCAAAACTAATCCATCAAAAGAAAGGTTCAACTCTGTGAGTTGAATGCACACATCACAAAGTAGTTTCTGAGAATGCCTCTGTGTAGTTTTTCTGTGAAGATACGTTCTTTTTCACCAAAGGCCCAGAAGAGCTCCAATTGTCCACTTGCAGATACTACAAAAAGTGTGTTTCAAAACTGCTCTATCAAAAGAAAGGTTCAACCCTGTGAGTTGAATGTACACATCAAAAAGAAGATTCTGAGAATGCTTCTGTCTAGTTTTTGTGAAGATATCCCGTTTCCAACGAAGGCCTCAAAGCGGTACAAATATCCACTTGCAAATTCTACAAAAACAGTGTTTCAAAACTTCTCTCTGAAAAGGAATATTCAACTCTGAGAGTTGAAAGCAAACAACCCAAAGAAGTTTCTGAGAATGCTTCAGTGTAATTTTTATGTGAAAATATTTCCTTTTCCACCACAGTCCTCAAAGCGCTCCAAATATCCACATGCAGATTCTACAAAAAGAGTGTTTCAAAACTGCTCTATCAAAAGAACGGTTCAACTCTGTGAGTTGAATGCACACATCACAAAGAAGTTTTTGAGAATGGTTCCATGAAGTTTTTATGTGAACATATATCCTTTTTCACCATAGGCCTCAAAGCGCTCCAGTTGTCCACTTGCAGATTCTAGAAAACGATTGTTTCAAAACTGCTCTATCCAAAGAAGGGTTAAATTCTGGGAGTTGAATGCACACATCACAAAGAAGTTTCTGAGAATGCTACTGTCTATTTTTGTGAAGATATTTCCTGTTTCACCAGATGCCTCAAAGCGCTCCAAATGTCCACTTGCTGATTCTACAAAAAGTGTGTTTCAAAATTTCTCTATCAAAAGAACCGTTCAAATCTGTGAGTTGAATGCACACATCGTAAAGTAGTGTCTGAGACTGCTTGTATCTAGTTTTTGTGAAGATATCCCATTTCCAAGGAGAGCCTCAAAGCTGTCCAAATATCAAGTTGCAAATTCCACATAAGAGTGTTTGAAAACTGCTCTATGAAAAGGAATGTTCAATTCTGTCAGTTGAAAACAAACATCCAAAGAAGTTTCTGAGAATTCTTCTGTGTAGTTTTATCTGAAGATATTTCCTTTTCAAAAGACAAGCCTCAAAGCGTTCCAAATGGCCACTTCCAGATTCTACAAAAAGAGTGTTTCAAAAATGCTGTATCAAAAGAATGGTTCACCACTGTGCATTGAATGCAAATATCACAAAGAAGTTTCTGAGAATGGTTTTGTCTACTTTTTGAAGATATCCCGTTTCAACGAAGGTCTCAAAGCAGTCCAAATATCCACTTGCAAATTCTACAAAAAGATTGTTTCAAAACTGCTCCATGAAAAGGAACGTTCAACTCTGTGAGTTGAAAGCAAACAACACAAAGAAGATTCTGAGAATGCTTCTGTGTAGTTTTCGTGTGAGGATATTTCCTTTTTCTCCACTGGCCTCAAAGTGCTCCAAATGTCCACGTGCAGATTCTACAAAAAGAGTGTTTCAAAACTGCTCTATCAAAACAAATGTTCAACTGTGTGAGTTGAAAGCAAACATCACAGAGAAGTTTCTGAGAAAGCTTCTGTGTAGTTTTTATGGGAAGATATTTCCTTTTTCAACATGGGTCTCAAAACACTCCAAATGTCCACTTGCAGATTCTACATAAAGAGTGTTTCTAGATAGCTCTTATTATTTTGAAATACGTCCCATCAATACCTAATTTATTGAGAGTTTTTAGCATTAAGGGTTGTTGAATTTTGTCAAAGGCCTTTTCTGCATCAATTGAGATAATCATGTGGCTTTTGTCTTTGGTTCTGTTTATATGCTGGATTACATTTATTGATTTGTGTATATTGAACCAGCCTTGCATCCCAGGAATGAAGCCCACTTGATCATGGTGGATAAGCTTTTTGATGTGCTGCTGGATTCGTTTTGCCAGTATTTTATTGAGGATTTTTGCATCAATGTTCATCAAGGATATTGGTCTAAAATTCTCTTTTTTGGTTGTGTCTCTGCCCGGCTTTGGTATCAGAATGATGCTGGCCTCATAAAATGAGTTAGGGAGGATTCCCTCTTTTTCTATTGATTGGAATAGTTTCAGAAGGAATGGTACCAGTTCCTCCTTGTACCTCTGGTAGAATTCAGCTGTGAATCCATCTGGTTCTGGACTCTTTTTGGTTGGTAAATTATTGATTATTGCCACAATTTCAGCTCCTGTTATTGGTCTATTCAGAGATTCAACTTCTGCCTGGTTTAGTCTTGGGAGAGTGTATGTGTCGAGGAATTTATCCATTTCTTCTAGATTTTCTAGTTCATTTGCGTAGAGGTGTTTGTAGTATTCTCTGATGGTAGTTTGTATTTCTGTGGGATTGGTGGTGATATCCCCTTTATCATTTTTTATTGTGTCTATTTGATTCTTCTCTCTTTTTTTCTTTATTAGTCTTGCTAGCGGTCTATCAATTTTGTTGATCCTTTCAAAAAACCAGTTCCTGGATTCATTGATTTTTTGAAGGGTTTTTTGTGTCTCTATTTCCTTCAGTTCTGCTCTGATTTTAGTTATTTCTTGCCTTCTGCTAGCTTTTGAATGTGTTTGCTCTTGCTTTTCTAGTTCTTTTAATTGTGATGTTAGGGTGTCAATTTTGGATCTTTCCTGCTTTCTCTTGTGGGCATTTAGTGCTATAAATTTCCGTCTACACACTGTTTTGAATGCGTCCCAGAGATTCTGGTATGTTGTGTCTTTGTTCTCGTTGGTTTCAAAGAACATCTTTATTTCTGCCTTCATTTCGTTATGTACCCAGTAGTCATTCAGGAGCAGGTTGTTCAGTTTCCATGTAGTTGAGCGGCTTTGAGTGGGATTCTTAATCCTGAGTTCTAGTTTGATTGCACTGTGGTCTGAGAGATAGTTTGTTATAATTTCTGTTCTTTTACATTTGCTGAGGAGAGCTTTACTTCCCAGTATGTGGTCAATTTTGGAATAGGTGTGGTGTGGTGCTGAAAAAAATGTATATTCTGTTGATTTGGGTTGGAGAGTTCTGTAGATGTCTATTAGGTCTGCTTCGTGCAGAGCTGAGTTCACTTCCTGGGTATCCTTGTTGACTTTCTGTCTCATTGATCTGTCTAATGTTGACAGTGGGGTGTTAAAGTCTCCCATTATTAATGTGTGGGAGTCTAAGTCTCTTTGTAGGTCACTCAGGACTTGCTTTATGAATCTGGGTGCTCCTGTATTGGGTACATATATATTTAGGATAGTTACCCACAGCCAATATCATACTGAATGGGCAAAAACTGGAAGCATTCCCTTTGAAAACTGGCACAAGACAAGGAAGCCCTCTCTCACCACTCCTATTCAACACAGTGTTGGAAGTTCTGGCCAGGGCAATCAGGCAGGAGAAGGAAATAAAGGGTATTCAATTGGGAAAAGAGGAAGTCAAATTGTCCCTGTTTGCAGACGACATGACTGTTTATCTAAAAAACCCCATCGTCTCAGCCCAAAATCTCCTTCAGCTGATAAGCAACTTCAGCAAAGTCTCAGGATACAAAATCAATGTAGAAAAATCACAAGCATTCTTATACACCAACAACAGACAAACAGAGAGCCAAATCATGAGTGAACTCCCATTCACAATTGCTTCAAAGAGAATAAAATATCCAGGAATCCAACTTACAAGGGATGTGAAGGACCTCTTCAAGGAGAACTACAAACAACTGCTCAAGGAAATAAAAGAGGATACAAACAAATGGAAGAACATTCCATGCTCATGGGTAGGAAGAATCAATATCGTGAAAATGGCCATACTGCCCAAGGTAATTTACAGATTCAATGCCATATCCATCAAGCTACCAATGACTTTCTTCACAGAATTGGAAAAAACTACTTTAAAGTTCATTTGGAACCAAAAAAGAGCCCGCATCACCAAGTCAATCCTAAGCTAAAAGAACAAAGCTGGAGGCATCATGCTACCTGACTTCAAACTATACTACAAGGCTACAGTAACCAAAACAGCATGGTACTGGTACCAAAACAGAGATATAGATCAATGGAACAGAACAGAGCCCTCAGAAATAACGCCGCATACCTACAACTATCTGATCTTTGACAAACCTGAGAAAACAAGCAACGGGGAAAGGATTCCCTATTTAATAAATGGTGCTGGGAAAACTGGCTAGCCATATGTAGAAAGCTGAAACTGGATCCCTTCCTTACACCTTATACAAAAATCAATTCAAGATGGGTTAAAGATTTAAACGTTAGACCTAAAACCATAAAAACCCTAGAAGAAAACCTAGGCATTACCATTCAGGACATAGGCATGGGCAAGGACTTCACCTCTCAAACACCAAAAGCAATGGCAACAAAAGACAAAATTGACAAATGGGATCTAATTTAACTAAAGAGCTTCTGCACAGCAAGAGAAACTACCATCAGAGTGAACAGGCAACCTACAACGTGGGAGAAAATTTTCGCAACCTACTCATCTGACAAAGGGTTAATATCCAGAATCTACAATGAACTCAAACAAATTTACAAGAAAAAAACAAACAACCCCATCAAAAAGTGGGCGAAGGACATGAACAGACACTTCTCAAAAGAAGACATTTATGCACCCAAAAAACACATGAAAAAATGCTCATCATCACTGGCCATCAGAGAAATGCAAATCAAAACCACAATGAGATATCATCTCACACCAGCTAGAATGGCAATCATTAAAAAGTCAGGAAACAACAGGTGCTGGAGAGGATGTGGAGAAATAGGAACACTTTTACACTGTTGGTGGGACTGTAAACTAGTTCAACCATTGTGGAAGTCAGTGTGGCGATTCCTCAGGTATCTAGAACTAGAAATACCATTTGACCCAGCCTTCCCTTTACTGGGTATATACCCAAATGACTATAAATCATGCTACTATAAAGACACATGCACATGTATGTTTATTGTGGCATTATTCACAATAGCAAAGACTTGGAACCAACCCAAATGTCCAACAATGATAGACTGGATTAAGAAAATGTGGCACATATACACCATAGAATACTATGCAGCCATAAAAAATGATGAGTTCATGTCCTTTGTAGGGACATGGATGAAATTGGAAACCATCATTCTCAGTAAACTATCGCAAGAACAAAAAACCAAACACCGCATATTCTCACTCATAGGTGGGAATTGAACAATGAGATCACATGGACACAGGAAGGGGAATATCACACTCTGGGGACTGTTGTGGGGTTGGGTGAGGGGGGAGGGATAGCATTGGGAGATATACCTAATGCTAGATGACGAGTTAGTGGGTGCAGCGCACCAGCATGGCACATGTATACATAAGTAACTAACCTGCACAATGTGCACATGTACCCTAAAACTTAAAGTATAATAAAAAAAAAAAGTGTTTCTAAACGGCTCTATCAAAAGAAAGTTTCAACTCTGAATGCACACATCACAAAGTAGTTTCAGAGATTGCTTCTGTCTAGTTTTTGTGAAGATATCCCGTTTCCAACGAAGGCCTCAAAGCGTTCCAAATATCCACTTGCAAGTTCTACATAAGAGTGTTTCAAAACTGCTCTATGAAAAAGAATGTTCAATGCTGTGATTTGAAAAAAAATCCAAAGAAGATTCTGAGAATTATTCTGTGTAGTTTCATCTGAAGATATTTCCTTTTCCATCACAGGCCTCAAAGCGTTCCCAATGGCCACTTGCAGATTCTACAAAAAGAGTGTTTCAAAATTGCTCTATCAAAATAACGGTTCAAATCTGTGAGTTGAATGCACACATCACAAAGTAGTTTCTGAGACTGCTTGTGTCTAGTTTTGGTGAAGATCTCCCGTTTCCAACGAGGGCCTCAAAGCGCTCCAAATGTCCACTTGCAAATTCTACATAAGGGTGTTTCAAAACTGCTCTATGAAAAGGAATGTTCAATTCTGTGAGTTGAAAACAAACATCCAAAGAAGTTTCTGAGAATTCTTCTGTGTACTTTTATCTGAAGATATTCCCTTTTCCAGCAAAGTCCTGAAAGCGTTCCAAATGGCCACTTGCATATTTTTCAAAAAGAGTTTTTCAAAACTGCTCCATCAAAAGTACGGTTCACTTCTGTGCGTTGAATGCACACATCACAAAGAAGTTTCTGAGAATGCTTCTGTCTAGTTTTTTGAAGATATCCCGTTTCCAACGAAGGCCTCAAAGCAGTATAAATATCCACTTGCAAATACTACAAAAAGAGTGTTTCAAAACTGCTCTATGAAAAGGAATATTCAACTCTGTGAGTTGAAAGCAAACAGCACAAAGAAGTTTCTGAGAATGCTTCTGTGTAATTTTTATGTGAAAATATTTCCTTTTTCATCACAGGCCTCAAAGCGCTCCAAATGTCCACATGCAGATTCTAGAAAAAGTGTGTTTCAAAACTTCTCTATCAAAAGAATGGTTCAACTCTGTGAGTTGAATGCAGCCATCACAAAGAAGTTTCTGAGAATTCTTCCGTGAAGTTTTTCTGTGAAGATACATCCTTCTTCACCATAGGCCTCAAAGCACCCCAATTGTCCACTTGCAGATTCTACAAAAAGATTGTTTCAAAACTGATCTATCCAAAGAAAGGTTAAACTCCGTGAGTTGAATGCACACATCACAAAGAAGTTTCTGGGAATGCTTCGGTCTATTTTTGCGTGAAGATATTTCCTTTTTCACCACAGGCCTCAAAGCGCTCCAAATATCCCCTTGGAAATTCTGCAAAAAGAGAGTTTCAAAACAGCTCTATGAAAACGAATGTTCAACTCTGTGAGTTGAAAGCAAACATCACAAAGTAGTTTCTGACAATGCTTCTGTGTAGTTTTTATGTGAAAATATTTCCTTATTCACCATAGGCCTCAAAGCACTCAAAATGTCCACATGCAGATTCTACAAAAAGACTGTTTCAAAACTGATCTATCAAAAGAAAGGTTCAACTCTGTGAGTTGAATGCACGCATCACAAAGAAGTTTCTGAGAATGCTTCAGTGTAGTTTTTATGTGAAGATATTTCCATTTTAACCTTAGGCCTCTTAGTGCTCCAAATGTCCAGTTGCTGGTTCTACAAAAAGAGTGTTAAAAACTGCTCTATCAAAAGAGTAGTTCAATTCTGTGAGTTGAATGCTCACATGACAATGTTGTTTCTGAGACTCCTTTTGTCTAGTTTTTGTGAAGATATCCCGTTTCCAACGAAGGCCTCAAAGCAGTCCAAATATCTACTTGCAAATTCTACATAAGAGTGTTTCAAAACTGCTCAATGAAAAAGAATGTTGAATTCTGTTAGTTGAAAACAAACATCCAAAGAAGTTTCTGAGAATTCTTCTGTGTAGTTTCACGTGAAGATATTTCCTTTTCCACCACAGACCTCAAAGCGTTCCCAATGGCCACTTGCAGATTCCACAAAAAGAGTGTTTCAAAACTGTTCTATCAAAAGAACGGTTCAACTCTGTGAGTTGAATGCACACATCACAAAGAAGTTTCTGAGAATGCTTCCATCTAGTTTTTGTGAAGACATTCCGTTTCCAATGAAGGCCGCAAAGCGGTCGAAATATACACTTGCAAATTCTACAAAAAGAGTGTTTCAAATCTGCTCCATCAAAAGAACGGTTCAACTCCATAAGATGAATGCACACATCACAAAGAAGTTTCTGAGAATGCTTCTGTCTACTTTTTATGTGAAAACATCCCGTTTCCATCGAAGGCCTCAAAGTGGTCCAAATATCCACTTGCGAATTCTACAAAGAGAGTGTTGCAAAACTGATCTATGAAAAGGAATGTTCAACTCCGTGGGTTGAATGCACACAACACAAACAGGTTTCTGAGAATGCTTCTGTGTAGTTTCTATGTGAAGATATTTCCTTTTTCAATTTAGTCCTCATAGCGCTCCAAATGTCCACTTGCAGATTCCACAAAAAGAGTGTTTCAAAACTGTTCTGTCAAAAGAATGGTTCAACTCTGTGAGTTGAATGCACACATCACAAAGAAGTTTCTGAGAATGCTTCCGTCTAGTTTTTTGAAGATATTCCGTTTCCAACGAAGGCCTTAAAGCTGTCCTAATATCCACTTGCAAATTCTACAGAAAGAGTATTTCAAAACTACTCTATGAAAAGGAATGTTCAAATCTGTCAGTTGAAAGCAAACAACACAAAGAAGTTTCTGAGAATGCTGCTGTGTAGTTTTTATGTGATATTTCTTTTTTCAATTTAGGCCTCATAGCACTCCAAATGTCCACTTGCAGATTCTACAAAAAGAGTTTTTCAAAACTTCTCTATCAAAAGAACGTTCATCTCTGTGAGTTGAATGCATGCATCACAAAGAAGATTCTGATAATGCTTCTGTCTAGTTTTTTGAAGATATCCCTTTTCCAACAAATACCTCAAAGCAGTCCAAATATACACTTGCAAATTCTACAAAAAGAATGTCTCAAAACTGCTCTATGAAAAGGAATGTCAAATCTGTGAGTTGAAAGCAAACAACACAAAGATGTTTCTGAGAATGCTTCTTTGTAGTTTTTATGTGAAGATATTTCATTTTTCACCAAAGGCCTCAAAGCGATCCAAATGTCCACTTGCAGATTCTACAAAAAGAGTGTTGCAAAACTGCTCTATAAAGAGAAACGTTCAACTCTGTGAGTTGAATGCACACATCACAAAGAAGTTTCTGAGAATCCTTCTGTGAAGTTTTTATGTGAAAATATTTCCTTCTTCACCGTAGGCCTCAAAGAGCTCTAAATTTCCACTTGCATATTCTACAAAAAGAGTGTTTCAAAACTGCTCTATCGAGAGAACAGTACAACTCTGTGAGTTGAATGCAGACATCAAAAAGAAGTTTCCGAGCATGCTTTTGTCTAGTTTTTACGTGAAGACATTGACTTTTTCACTATAGGACACAAGGCTCTCCAAATGTCTACTTGCAGATACTACAAAAAGAGTGTTTCAAAACTGCTCTATCAAAAGAAGGGTTCAACTCTGTATGTTGAATGCACATATCAGAAATAAATTTCTGACAATGCTTCTGTGTAGTTTGTATGTGAAGATATTTCCTTTTTCACCATAGGCCTCAAAGCGCTCCAAATGTCCACTTGCAGATCTTTCAAAAAGAGTGTTTCAAAACTGCTGTATGAAAAGGAATGTTCAAATCAGTGAGTTGAAAGCAAACACCACAAAGAAGTTTCTGAGAATACTTCGGTGTAGTTTTTATGTGAAGATATTTCCTTTTTCCCCTTAGGCCTCAAAGCTTCAAATGTCCACGTGCAGATTCTACAAAAAGTGTCTTTCAAAACTGCTCTATCAAAAGAAAGGTTCAACACTTTGAGATGAATGCAGACATCACAGAGGGGTTTCTGAGAATTCTTCTATGGAGTTTTTATGTGAAGATATTTCCTCTTCCACATTAGACCTCAAAGCCCTCCAAATTTCCACTTGCTGATTCTACAAAAAGACTGTTTCAAAACTGTTCTATCAAAAGAACGTTTCAACTCTGTGAGTTGAATGCTCATCACCAAGAAGTTTCTGTGAATGCTGCTGTCTATTTTTTGTGAAGATATACCATTTCCAATGAAGACCTCAAAGCGGTCCAAATATTCACTTGGAAATTTTACATAAGAGTGTTTCAAAACTGCTCTAAGAAAACGAATGTTCAATTCTATGTGTTGAAAGCAAATATCCAAAGATGTTTCTGAGAATGCTTCTGTGTAGTTTCATCTGAAGATATTTCCTTTTCCAACACAAGCCTCTACGCGTTCCAAATGGCAACTTGAAGATTCTACAAAAAGCGTGTTTCAAAACTGCTCTAACAAAAGAACGGCTCAACACTGTGAGTTGAATGCACACATCACAAAGAAGTTTCTGAGAATGCTTCTTTCTAGTTTTTGTGAAGATATCCCGTTTGCAATGAAGGCCTCAAAGTGTTCCAAATATCCACTTGCAAATTCTACAAAAAGAGTGTTTCAAAACTGCTGTATGAAAAGGAATGTTCAACTGTGTGAGTTGATAGCAAACGTCACAAACAAGTTTCTGAGAATGCTTCTGTGTAGTTCTTATGTGAAGAGAATTCCTTTTTCACCATTGGCTTCAAAGCGCTCCAAATGTCCATTTGCAGATTCTACAAAAAGTGTATTTCAAAACTGCTCTATCAGAAGAAAGGTTCAACTGGGTGAGTTGAGTGCACACATGACAAAGTAGTTTCTGAGAATGCTTCTGTCTAGTTTTTGGGAAGATATCCCGTTTGCAACGAAGGCCTCAAAATGTTCCAAAATATCCACTTGCAAATTCTACAAAAAGAGTGTTTCAAAAGTGCTCTAAGAAAAGGAATGTTCAACTCTGTGAGTTTAAAGCAAACAACAGAAATAAGTTTCTTAGAATGCTTCTGTGCAGTTTTTATGTGAAGATATATAGTTTTTCACCATAGGCCTCAAAGCTCTTCAAATGTCCATTTGCAGATACTTCAAAAATATTGTTTCAAAACTGCTCTATTAAAAGAAATGATCAACTCTGTGAGTTGAATGCACACATCACAAAGAAGTTTCTCAGAATGCTTCGGTCTAGTTTTTATGTGAAGATATTTGCTTTCTCACCATAGACCTCAAAGCGCAACAAATGTCCACTTGCAGATTCTACAAAAAGAGTGTTTCAAAACTACTCTAACTAAAGTCCAACTCTGTGTGTTGCATGCACACATCACTAGGCAGTTTCTGAGAATGCTTCTGTCTAGTTTCTAAGTGAAGATATTCCTGTTTCCAACGAAGGCCTCAGAGAGATCCAAATATCCACTTGCAGATTCTACAAGTGGAGTGTTTCAAAACTGCTCTATCTAAAGAATGGTTCAACTCTCTGAGTTGAAAGCACTCATCACAAAGAACTTTCTGAGAATGCTTCTGTCTAGTTTTTATGTGAAGATATTCCCGTTTAGGCTACAAAAATCTCCAAATATCCATAAGCAGATTCTACAAAAAGAGTGTTTCAAAACTGCTCTATCAAAAGAAAGGTTCAACTGGGTTAGTTGAGTGCATACATCACAAAGAAGTTTCTGAGAATGCTTCTGTATAGTTTTTGTGAAGATATCGCTTTTGCAACGAAGGCCTCAAAGTGTTCCAAATATCCACTTGGAAATATCACAAAAAGAGTGTTTCACAACTGCTCTATTAAAAGGAATGTTCAACTCTGTGAGTTGAAAGCAAACATCACAAAGTATTTTCTGAGAAGGCTTCTTTGTAGTTTTTATGTGAAGATACATCCTTCTTCACCACAGGCCTCAAAGCGCTCAAAATGTCCACACGCAGATTCTACATAAAGAGTGTATGAAAACTGCTCTTTCAAAAGAAAGGTTCAACTCTGTGAGTTGAATGCCCACATCACAAAGAATTTTCTGAGAATGCTCCTGTATTGTTTTTATGTGAAGATATTTCTTTTTTCCCCATACGCCTCAAAGCGCTACAAATGTCCACTTGCAGATGCTACAAAAAGAGTGTTTCAAAACTGCTATATCAAAAGAAATGTTCAGCCGTGTGAGTTGAATGCACACATCACAAAGAAGTTTCTGAGAATGCTTCTGTCTAGTTTTTGTGAAATATCCCGTTTCCATCAAAGGCCTCAAAGTGGTCCAAATATCCACTTGCAAACCCTACAAAAAGAGTGTTTCAAAAGTGCTCTAAGAATAGGAATGTTCAACTCTATTAGTTGAAAGCAATCAACACAAAGATGTTTCTGAGAATGCTTCTGTGTAGTTTTTATGTGAAGATATTTCGTTTTTCACCATAGGCCTCAAAGCCCTCCAAATGTCCAGTTGCAGATACTTCAAAAAGATTGTTTCAAAACTGCTCTATCAAAAGAAATGTTCAACTCCGTGAGTTCAATGCACACATCACAA
The DNA here is from genome assembly GCF_000001405.40 of Homo sapiens. Lineage (NCBI taxonomy): Eukaryota > Metazoa > Chordata > Mammalia > Primates > Hominidae > Homo > Homo sapiens. The sequence continues at coordinate 26,294,604 of NC_000020.11, read as the reverse complement.
AGAAGTTTCTGAGAATGCTTCTGTCCAGTTTTCATGTGAAGATATTTGCTTTTTCACCATAGGCCTCAAAGCGCTACAAATGTCCACTTGCAGATTCTACAAAAACAGTGTTTCAAAGCTGCTCTATCAAAAGAAAGGTTCAACTATGTGAGTTGAATGCATGCATCACAAAGCAGTTACTGAGAATGTTTCTGTCTAGTTTTTATGTGAAGAAATTCCCGTTTCTAACAAAGTCCTAAAAGAAATCCAAATAACCACTAGCAGATCCTACAAAAGGAGTGTTTCAAAACTGCTCTATCGAAAGAAAGGTTCGATTCTGTGAGTTGAATTCACACATCATAAAGTACTTTCTGAGAATGCTTCTGTATAGTTTTTATGTGAAGATATTCCCGTTTCCAACGAAGGCCTGAAAAATCTCCAAATATCTACTAGCAGATTCTGCAAAAGGAGTGCTTCAAAACTGCTCTATCAAAAGAAAGCTTCAACTCTGTTAGTTGAATGCACACATCACAAAAAGTTCCTGTGAATGTTTCTGTTTAGTTTTTATGTGAGGATATTCCCTTTATCACCATAAGCCTCAAATCGCTCAAATATACACATGCAGATACTACAAAAAGAGTGTTTCAAATCTGCTCTCTCAAAAGGAAAGTTTAACTCCGTGAGTTGAATGCACACATCACAAAGAAGTTTCTGAGAATGATTCTGTCAAGTTTTTATGTGAAGATATTTCTTCTTCCACAGTAGGCCTCAAAGCGCTCCAAATGAACAATTACAGATGCTACAAAAAGAGTTTTTCAAAACTGCTCTATCAAAAGAAAGTTTCAACTCTGTGAGTGGAATGCACGCATCACAAAGAAGTTTGTGAGCAAGCTTCTGTCTAGTTTTATGTAAAGATATTTGCTTTTTCACCACAGGCTTCAAAGCGCTCCAAATGTCCACTTGCGGATTGTCCAAAAAGAGTGTTTCAAAACTGCTCTAACAAAAGAAAGGTTCAACTCTGTGAGTTGAATGCACACATCCAAAGAAGTTTCTGAAAATGCTTCTGTGAAGTTTTTATGTGAAGATATTTCCTTTTTCACCGTAGACCTCAGAGAGATCTAAATGTCCACTTGCAAATTCTACAAAAAGAGAGTTTTAAAAGTGCTCTATCAAAAGAAAAAGTTGAATGCACACATCACAAAGAAGTTTCTGAGAATGCTTCTGTCTAGTTTTTGTGAAGAGAATGCTTTTGTCTAGTTTCCAATGAAGGCCTAAAAGCGATCCAAATATCCTCTTGCAAATTCTACAAAAAGAGTGTTTCAAAACTGCTCTATGAAAAGGAATGTTCAACTCTGTGAGTTGAAAGCAAACAACACAAAGAAGTTTCTGAGAATGCTTCTGGGTAGTTTTTATGTGAAGATATTTCCTTTTTCACCATAGGCCTCAAAGCACTCCAAATGTCCAGTTGTAGATTCTACAAAAAGAGTGTTTCAAAACTTCTCAATCAAAAGAAATGTTCAACTCTGTGAGGTGGGTACACACATCAAAAAGAAGTTTCTGAGAATGCTTCTGTCTAGTTTTTATGTGAAGATATTTCTTTTTTCAACAAAGGCCTCAGAGCGCTCCAAATGTCCACTGGCACATACTAAAAAAAAAAAGTGTTTCAAAACTGCTCTATGAAAAGGAATGTTCAACTCTGTGAGTTGAATGCATACATCACAAAGATGTTTCTGAGAATGCTTCTGTCTAGTTTTTATGTGAAGATATTCCAGTTTCCAACGAAGGCCACAAAGCTCTTCAAATGTCCACTTGCAGATTCCATAAAAAAAGAGTTTCAAAACTGTTCTATCAAAAGAAAGGTTCACCTCTGCGAGTTGAGTGCACACATCATAAAGAAGTTTCTGAGAATGCTTCTGTCTAGTTTTTATGTGAAGATATTTCCTTTTTCACCATAGGCCTCCAAGTGCTCCAAATGTCCTCTTGCAGATTCTACAAAAAGAGTGTTTCAAAACTGCTCTATGAAAAGTAATATTCAACTCTGAGAGTTGAATGCACACATCACAAAGAAGTTTCTGAGAATGCTTCTGTCTAGCTTTTAGGTAAAGATATTTCCTTTTTCACTTTAGGCCTCAAAGCACTCCAAAATCCAGTTGCAGATGCCACAAAAAGAGTGTTTCTAAACTGCTCTATAAAAAAAAAGAGTTGAATGCACAAATCACAAAGAAGTTTCTGGGAATTCTTTTGTCTAGTTTTTGTGAAGATATCCCGTTTCCAAAGAAGGCCTCAAAGTGTTCCAAATATCCACTTGCAAATTCTACTAAAAGGTTGTTTCAAAACTGCTCTATGAAAAGGAATGTTCAACTCTGTGAGTGGAAAGCAAACATCTCAAAGAAGTTTCTGAGAATGCTTCTTTGTAGTTTTTATGTGAAGATATTTCCTTTTTCTCCATGGGCCTCAAAGCGCTCCAAATGTCCACTTGCATATTCCATAAAAAGAGTGTTTCTAAGCTCCTCTATCAAAAGAACGGTTCAACTCTGTAAGTTGAGTTCACATATCGCAAAGAATTTTCTGAGAATGCTTCTGTCCAGTTTTTGTGAAGATATCAGATTTCCAAAGAAGGCCTCAAAGCGTTCCAAATATCCACTTGCAAATTCTACAAAAAGAGTGTTTCAAAACTGCTCTATGAAAAGGAATGTTCTACTCTGTGAGTTGAAAGCAAACATCTCAAAGAAGTTTCTGAGAATGATTCTGTGTAGTATTATATGAACATATTTTCTTTTTCACCACAGGCCTCAAAGCGCTCCAAAGGTCCACTTGCAGATTCTACAAGAGTGTTCCATTACTGCTCTATGAAAAGAGAGGTTCAACTCTGTGAGTTGAATGCACACATCACAATGAAGTTTCTGAGAATTCTTCTGTCTAGTTTTTTGTGAAGACATTTCCTTTTTCACCATAGGCCTAAAAGCGCTACAAATGTCCACTTGCAGATTCTACAAAAAGAGTGTTTCAAATCTGCTCTATAAAAAGAAAGGTACAATTCTGTGAGTTGAATGCACACATCACAAAGAAATTTCTGGAAATGCTTTTGTCTAGTTTTTGTGAAGATATCCCGTTTCCAACGAAGGCCTCATATCGGTCCAAATATCCACTTGCAAATTCTACAAAAAGAGTTTTTCAAAACTGCTCTATGAAAAGGAAAGTTAAACTCTGTGAGGTGAAAGCAAATATCACAAAGAATTTTCTGAGAATGCTTCTGTGTAGTTTTTATGTGAAGATATTTCTTTTTTCACCATAGTCTTCAAAGCGCTCAAATGTCCCCTTACAGATTCTACAAAAAGAGTGTTTCAAAACTGCTCTATCAAGAGAAAGGTTCAACTCTGTGAGTTGAATGCGCACATCACAAAGAAGTTTCTGAGAATGCTTCTGTCTAGTTTTTATGTGAAGATATTTCCATTTTCACCATAGGCCTCAAAGCACTCCAAATGTCCACTTGCAGATTCTACTAAAGGAGTGTTTCTAAACTGCTCTATCAAAAGAAAGGTTCAACTCTGTGAGTTGAATGCACGCATCACAAAGAAGTTTCTGAGAATGCTTCTGTGTTGTTTTTGTGAAGATATCCCGTTTCCAAACAAGGCCTCAAGGCTGTCCAAATATCCACTTGGAAATTCTTCAAAAAGAGTGTTTCAAAACTGATCTATGAAAAGGAATGTTCAACTCTGTGAGTGGAAAGCAAACATCACTAAGAAGTTTCTGAGAATGCTTCTGTCTAGTTTTTATGTGAAGAAATTTCCTTTTTCTTTTTTTTCTTTTTATTCTACTTATTTATTTATTTATTATTATTATACTTTAGGTTTTAGGGTACAAGTGCACAATGTGCAGCTTAGTTACATGTGTATACATGTGGCATGCTGGTGTGCAGCACCCACTAACTCTTCATCAAGCATTAGGTATATCTCTCAATGCAGTCCCTCTCCCCTCCCCCCACCCCACCACAGTCCCCAGAGTGTGATGTTCCCCTTCCTGTGTCCATGTTTTCTCATTGTTCTATTCCCACCTATGAGTGAGAATGTACGGTTTTTAGTTTTTTGTTCTTGTGACAATTTACTGAGAATGATGATTTCCATTTTCATCCATGTTCCTACAAAGGACATGAACTCATCATTTTTTATGGCTGCATAGTATTCCATGGTGTATATCTACCACATTTTCTTAATCCAGTCTGTCGTTGTTGGACCTTTGGGTAGGTACCAAGTCCTTGCTACCGTGAATAATGCCACAATAAACATACGTGTACATGTGTCTTTATAGCAGCATGATTTATAGTCCTTTGGTTATATACCCAGTATTGGGATGGCTGGGTCAATTGGTATTTCTAGTTCTAGATCCCTGACGAATCGCCACACAGACTGCCACAATGGTTGAATTAGTTTACAGTCCCACCAATAGTGTAAAAGTGTTCCTATTTCTCCACATCCTCTCCAGCACCTGTTGTTTCCTGACTTTTTAATGATTGCCATTCTAAATGGTGTGAAATGGTATCTCATTGTGATTTTGATTTGCATTTCTCTGATCGCCAGTGATGGTGAGCACTTTTTCATTTGATTTTTGGCTGCATAAATATCTTCTTTTGAGAAGTGTCTGTTCAGGTCTTTGCCCACTTTCTGATGGGGTTGTTTCTTTTTTTCTTGTAAATTTGTTTGAGTTCATTGTAGATTCTGGATATTAGCCCATTGTCAGATGAGTAGGTTGTGAAAATTTTCTCCCAATTTGTAGGTTGCCTGTTCACTCTGATGGTAGTTTCTTTTGCTGAGCAGAAGCTCTTTAGTTTTATTAGATGCCATTTGTCAATTTTGGCTTTTGTTGCCATTACTTTTGGCGTTTTAGACATCAAGATATTTCCTTTTAAACCACAGGCTTCAAAACGCTCCAAATGTCCACTTTCAGATCCTACAAAAAGACTGTTTCAAACTGCTCTATCAAAAGAAAGGTTCAAATCTGTGAGTTGAATGCACACAACACAAAGAGGTTTCTGAGAATGCTTCTGTCAAGTTTTAATGTGAAGATATTTCCTTTTTCAACAGAGGCCACAAAGCGCTCAAAATGTCCACTTGGAGATTCTACAAAAAGAGAGTTTCAAAACTGCTTTATCAAAAGAAAGGTTCAACACTGTGCATTGAATGCACACATCACAAAGAAGATTCTGGGAATGCTTCTGTCTAGTTTTTGTGAAGATATCCCCTTTCCAACGAAGGCCTCAAAGCATTCCAAGTATCCACTTGCAAATACTACAAAAAGATTGTTTCAAAACTCCTCCATGAAAAGTAATCTTCAACTCTGTGAGTTGAAGGCAAACAACACAAAGAAGCTGCTGAGAATGCTTCTGTGTATTTTTTATGTGAAAATATTTCCTTTTTCACCATAGGCCTCAAAACCCTCTAAATGTCCAGTTGCAGATCCTAGAAAAAGACTGTTTCATAACTGCTCTACCTAAAGAAAAGTTCAATTCTGTGAGTTGAATGCACACATCACAAAGAAGTTTTTGAGAATGCTTCTGTCTAGTTTTTATGTGAAGATATTTCCTTTTTCACCACAGGCTTCAAAGCGCTCCGAATATCCACTTGAAGATTCTACAAAAAGCGTGTTTCAAAACTGCTCTAATAAAAGAAAGTTTCAACTCTGTGAGTTGAATGCACACATCACAAATAAGTTTCTGGGAATGCTTCTGTCTAGTTTTTATGTAAAGTTACTTCCTTTTTCACCAGAGGACTCAAAGCGCTCCAGATGTTCTCTTACATATTCTATAAAAAGAGTGTTTCAAATCTGCTCTATCAAAAGAAAGGTTCTACTCTGTGAGTTGAATGCACACATCACAAAGAAGTTTCTGAGAATGCTTCTGTGTAGTTTTTATGTGAAGATATTTCCTTTTTCACCATAGGCTACAAAGCGCTCTAAATGTTCACTTGCAGATACTACAAAATGAGTGTTTCAAAACTGCTCCATCAAAAGAACGAGGTGAATGCAAACACCACAAAGAAGTTTCTGAGAATGCTTCTGTGTGGTTCTCAGGTAAAGATATGTCCTTTTTCACCATAGGCCACAAAGGGCTCCAATGTTCACTTTCAGATTCTATAAAAACTGTGTTTCAAAACTGTTTTATCAAAAGAAAGGTTCAACCCTGTGAGTTGAATGCACACATCACAATTAAGTTTCTGAGAATGCATCTGTCCGTTTTTATGTGAAGATATTTCCTTTTTCACCACAGGCATAAAGGAGCTCCAACTGTCCACACATGCAGATTCTACCAAAACAGTGTTTCAAAACTGCTCTACCAAAAGAAAGGTTCAACTCTGTGAGTTGAATGCACACATCACAAAGAAGTTTCTGAGAATGCTTCGGTGTAGTTTTTATGTGAAGTTGTTTCTTTTTTCACCATAGGTTTCAAAGCGCTCCAAATGTCCACTTGCAGATTCTACAAAAAGAGTGTTTCAAAAGTGCTCTATCAAAAGAAAGGTTCAACTCTGTGAGTTGAATGCACACATCACAAGGAAGTTTCTGAGAATGCTGCTGTGTAGTTTTTATGTTAAGATACTTCGTTTTTCAGTATAAGCCACAAAGGGCTCGAAATATTCACTTGCAGATTCTGCAAAAAGTGTGTTTCAAAACTGCTCTATGAAAAGGAATGTTCAACTTTGTGAGTTGAATGCACACATCACAAAGAAGTTTCTGAAAATGCTTCTGTGTATTTTTTATGTGAAGATATTTCCTTTTTCACCACAGGCCTAGAAGCGCTCCAAATGTCCATTTGCAGATTCCACAAATAGTGTGTTTCAAAGCTGCTCTATGAAAACAGAGGTTTAACTCTGTGAGTTTAACCCAGACATCATAAAGATGTTTTTGAGAATGCTTCTGTCTGGTTTATACGTGAAGATACCCTTTATCCAAATAAGGCCGCAAAGTGGTCCAAAGGTCCACTTGCAGATTCTACAAAAAGAGTGTTTCAAAACTGCTCTATCAAAAGAAAGGTTCAACTATGTGAGTTGAAAGCACACCTCACAAAGAAGTTTCTGGGAGTACTTCTGTGTAGTTTATATGAAGATATACCGTTTCCAACGAAGGCCTCAAAGCGGTCCAAATATCCACTTGCAAATTCTACAAAAAGAGTGTTTCAAAATTGTTCTATGAAAAGGAATGTTCAACTCTGTGACATGAAAGTCACAAAGAAGTTTCTGAGATTGCTTCTGTCTACTTTTTATGTGAAGATATCCCGTTTCCAACGAAGGCCTCACAGCAGTCCAAATATCCACTTGCAAATTCTGAAAAACAGTGTTTCAAAACTGCTCTATGAAAAGGAATATTCAACTCTGTGAGTTGAAAGCAAACAACAAAAGAAGTTTATTGGAATGCTACTGTGTAGTTTTTATGTGAAGATATTTCCATTTTCACCATAGGCCTCACAGCCCTCCAAATATCCAGTTGCATACCCTATAAAAAGATTGTTTCAAAACTGCTCTATCAAAGAAATGTTCAACTCTGTGAGTTGAATGCACACATCACAAAGAAGTTTCTGAGAATGCTTCTGTATAGTTTTTATGTGAGGATATTTCCTTTTTCACCATAGGCCTCAAAGCGCTACAAATGTCCACTTCCAGATTCTGCAAAAAGAGTGTTTCAAAACTGCTCTATCAAAAGAAAGTTTCAACTCTGTGAGTGGAATGCACACATCACAAAGTAGTTTCTGGGAATGCTTTTGTCTAGTTTTTGTGAAGATATTCCTTTTCCAATGAATTCCTCAAAGCGGTAGAAATATCCACTTGCTAATTCTACAAAAAGAGGGTTTCAAAACTGCTCTATGAAAAGGAATGTTCAACTCTGTGCGTTGAAATCAAACAACACAAACAAGTTCCTGAGAATGCTTCTGTGTAGTTTTTATTTGAAGATATTTCCTTTTTCTCCATAGGCCTCAAAGCACTCCAAATGTCCACTTGCAGACTCTACAAAAAGAGTGTTTCAAAACTGCTCTACCAAAAGAAAGGTTCAACTCTGTGAATTGAGTGCACACATCACAAAGGAGTTTCAGAGAAAGCTTCTGTGTAGTTTCTATGTGAAGATACTTCCTTTTTCACCACAGGCCTCAGAGCGCTCCAACTGTCCACATGCAGATTCTACAAAGGAGTGTTTCAAAACTGCTCTATCAAAAGAAAGGTTCAACTCTGTGAGTTGAATGCATACATCACAAAGAAGTTTCTGATAATGCTTCTGTGTAGTTTTTATGTGAAGATGGCTCCTTTTTCACCATAAGTCTCAAAACGCTCCAAATGTCCACTTGCAGATTCTACGAAAAGAGTGTTTCAACACAGCTCTATCAAAAGAACGGTTCAATTCTGTGAATTGAATGCACACATCACAAAGAAGATTCTCAGAATGCTTCCGTGTAGTTTCTATGTTAAGATACTTCCTTTTTCACCATAGGCCTCAAAGCACTCTAAATGTCCACTTGCAGATTCTGCAAATAGAATGTTTCAAAACTGCTCCATCAAAAGAACCGTTCAACTCTGTGAGTTGAATGCACACATCACAAAGAAGTTTCTGAGAATGCTTCTGTCTAGTTTTTATTTGAAGATATTTCTTTTCCCAACAATGGCCTCAGAGCCATCCAAATATCCACTTGCAAATTCTACAAAAAGAGTGTTTCAAACCTGCGCCATGAAAAGGAATGTTCAACTCTGTGAGGTGAAAGCAAACTTCACAAAGAAGTTTCTGAAAATGCTTCTGTGTAGTGTTTATGTGAAGATATTTCCTTTTTCACCACAGGCTCGAAGCGCTCCAAATGTCCACTTGAAGATTCTACAAAAAGAGTGTTTCAAAGCTCCTCTATGACCACAAAGGTTTAACTCTGTGAGTTGAACACAGACATCATAAAGACGTTTCTGAGAATGCTTCTCTCTCGTTTATATGTGAAGATATTTCCTTTTTCATCATAGGCCTCAAAGCGCTACAAATGTCCACATGCAGTTTCTACAAAAAGTGTTTTCCAAAACTGCTCTATTAAAAGAAAAGTTCAACTCTGTGAGTTGAATGCACACATCACAAAGATGTTTCTGAGAATGCTTCTGTGAAGTTTTCCTGTGAAGACATTTCCTTTTTCACCATAGGCCTCAAAGAGATTCAAATGTCCTCTTGCAGATCCTACAAAAAGAGTCTTTCAAAACTGCTCTATCCAAAGAAAGTTACAACTATGTGAGTTGAATGCACACATCACAAAGCAGTTGCTGAGAATGCTTGTGTCTAGTTTTTATGTGAAGAAATTCCCGTTTCCAACAAAGGCCTAAAAGGGATCCAAATATACACTAGCAGATCCTACAAAAGGAGTGTTTCAAAACTGCTCTATAAAAAGAAAGGTTCGATACTGTGAGTTGAATGCATACATCACAAAGTACTTTCAGAGAATGCTTCTGTCTAGTTTTTATGTGAAGATATTCCTGTTTCCAACAAAGGCCTGAAAAATCTCCAAATATCCACTAGCAGACCCTGCAAAAGGAGTGCTTCAAAACTGCTCTATCAAAAGAAAGGTTCAACTCTGTTAGTTGAATGCACACGTCACAAAGAAGTTCCTGAGAATACTTCTGTCAAGTTTTTATGTGAAGATATTTCTTTTTCCACACTAGGCCTCAAAGCGCTCCAAATGAACACTTGCAGATGCTACAAAAAGAGTGTTTCAAAACTGCTCTATCAAAAGAAAGGTTCAACTCTGTGAGTGGAATGCACACATCACAAAGAAGTTTGTGAGCATGCTTCTGTCTAGTTTTATGTGAAGATATTTCCTTTTTCACCACAGACCTCAAAGCGCTCCAAATGTCCACTTGCAGATTCTCCTAAAAGAGTGTTTCAAAACTGCTCTAACAAAAGAAAGGTTCAATTCTGTGAGTTGAGTGCACACAACACAAAGAAGTTTCTGAAAATGCTTCTGTGAAGTTTTTATGTGAAGATATTTCCTTTTCACTGTAGACCTCATAGAGCTCCAAATGTCCACTTGCAGATTCTACAAAAAGAGAGTTTCAAAAGTGCTCTATCAAAAGAAAAAGTTGGATGCACACATCACAAAGAAGTTTCTGAGAATGCTTCTGTCTAGTTTTTGTGAAGATATCCCATTTCCAACGAAGGCCCAAAAGCGGTCCAAATATCCTCTTGCAAATACTACAAAAAGAGTGTTTCAAAACTGCTCTATGAAAACGAATGTTCAACTCTGTGAGTTGAAAGCAAACAACACAAAGAAGTTTCTGAGAATGCTTCTGTGTAGTTTTTATGTGAAGATATTTCCTTTTTCACCATAGGCCTCAAAGCGCTCCAAATGTCCAGTTGTAGATTCTACAAAAAGAGTGTTTCAAAATTGCTCTATCAAAAGAAATGTTCAGCTCTGTGAGATGAGTACACACATCACAAGGTAGTTTCTGAGAACGCTTCTGTCTAGTTTTTATGTGAAGATATTTCCTTTTTCAACATAGGCCTCAAAGCGCTCCAAATGTCCACTGGCACATACTAGAAAAAGAGTGTTTCAAAACTGCTCTATGAAAAGGAATGTTCAAATCTGTAAGTTTAATGCACACATCACAAAGATGTTTCTGAGAATGCTTCTGTCTAGTGTTTATGTGAAGATATTCCAGTTTCCAACGAAGGCCAAAAAGCACTCCAAATGTCCACTTGCAGATTCCATAAAAAGAGAGTTTCAAAACTGTTCTATCAAAAGAAAGGTTCACCTCTGCGACTTGAGTGCACACATCAGAAGAAGTTTCTGAGAATGCTTCTGTGTAGTTTTTATGTGAAGATATTTCCTTTTTCACCATAGTCTTCCAAGCGCTCCAAATGTCCACTTGCAGATTCTACAAAAAGTGTGTTTCAAAACTGCTCTATGAAAAGGAATATTCAACTCTGAGAGTTGAATGCAAACATCACAAAGAAGTTTCTGAGAATGCTTCTGTCTAGCTTTTATGTGAAGATATTTCCTTTTTCACTTGAGGCCTCAAAGCACTCCAAAAGTCCAGTTACAGATGCCACAAAAAGAGTGTTTCTAAACTGTTCTATAGAAAAAAAGAGTTGAATGCACACATCACAAAGAAGTTTCTGGGAATTCTTCTGTCTTGTTTTTGTGATGATATTCCATTTCCAAAGAAGGCCTCAAAGCGTTCCAAATATCCACTTGCAAATTCTACTAAAAGGATGTTTCAAAACTGCTCTAGGAAAAGGAATGTTCAACTCTGTGAGTGGAAAGCAAACATCACAAAGAAGTTTCTGAGAATGCCTCTGTGTAGTTTTTATGTGAAGATATTTCCTTTTTCTCCACAGGCCTCAAAGCGCTCCAAATGTCCACGTGCAGATTCTATAAAAAGTGTGTTTCTAAACTCCTCTATCAAAAGAACGGTTCAACTCTGTAAGTCGAGTGCACATATCACAAAGAAGTTTCTGAGAATGCTTCTGTGTAGTTTTTGTGAAGATATCAGGTTTCCAAAGAAGGCCTCAAAGCGTTCCAAATATCCACTTGCAAATTCTACAAAAAGAGTGTTTCAAAACTGCTCTATGAAAACGAATGTTCAACTCTGTGAGTTGAAAGCAAACATCACAAAGAAGTTTCTGAGAATGATTCTGGGTAGTATTATATGAACATATTTCCTTTTTCACCACAGGCCTCAAAGCACTCCAAATGTCCACTTGCAGATTCTACAGTAGTGTTTCATTACTGCTCTATGAAAAGAAAGGTTCAATTCTGTGAGTTGAATGCACACATCACAATGAAGTTTCTGAGAATTCTTCTGTCTAGTTTTTTGTGAAGAAATTTCCTTCTTCACCACAGGCCTAAAAGCACTACAAATGTCCACTTGCAGATTCTACAAAAGGGTGTTTCAAAACTGCTCTATAAAAAGAAAGGTACAATTCTGTGAGTTGAATGCACACATCACAAAGAAATTTCTGGGAATGCTTTTGTCTAATTTTTGTGAAGATATCCCTTTTCCAATGAAGGTCTCATTTCGGTCCAAATATCTACTTGCAAATTCTAGAAAAAGAGTGTTTCAAAACTGCTCTATGAAAAGGAATGTTAAACTCTGTGAGGTGAAAGCAAACATCACAAAGAAGTTTCTGAGAATGCTTCTGTGTAGTTTTTATGTGAAGATATTTCTTTTTTCACCTTAGTCTTCAAAGCGCTTCAAATGTCCCCTTGCAGATTCTACAAAATGAGTGTTTCAAAACTGCTCTATCAAAAGAAAGGTTCAACTCTGTGAGTTGAATGCGCACATCACAAAGAAGTTTCTGAGAATGCTTCTGTCTAGTTTTTATGTGAAGATATTTCCATTTTCACCATATGCCTCATAGCGCTCCGAATGTCCACTTACAGATTCTACTAAAGGAGTGTTTCTAAACTGCTCTATCAAAAGAAAGGTTCAACTATGTGAGTTGAATGCCCACATCACAAAGAAGTTTCTGAGAATGCTTCTGTCTACTTTTTATGTGAAGATATCCCACTTCCAACGAAGGCCCCAAAGCGGTCCAAATATCCACTTGAAAATTCTGCAAAAATTGTGTTTCAAAACTGCTCTATGAAAAGTAATGTTTAACTGTGTGAGTTGAAAGCAATCATCACAAAGAAGTTTCTGAGAATGCTTCTGTGTAGTTTTTATGGGAAGATATTTCCTTTTTCACCCCAGGCCTCAAAGCCCTCCAAATTTCCACTTGCAGATTCTCCAAAAAGTGTGTTTCATAACTGCTCTTTGAAAAGAAATGTTCAACTCTATGAGTTGAATGCACACATCACAAAGAAGTTTGTGAGAATGCTTCTTTGTAGTTTCTATGTGAAGATATTTCCTTTATCACCACAGGCCTCAAAGTGCTCCATATGTCCACTTGCAGATTCTACAAAAATAGTGTTTGAAAACTGCTCTATCAAAAGAATGGTTCAACTCTCTGACTTGAATGCAAACATCACAAAGAAGTTTCTTGGAATGCTTCTGTGTAGTTTTTATGTGAAGATAACTTCCTTTTTCACCATAGGCCTCAAAGTGCTCCAAATATCAACTTGCAGATTCTACAAAAAGAGTGTTCCAAAACTGCTCTATCTAAAGAAAGGTTCTACTGTGTTAGGTGAATGCACACATCCCAAGGAAGTTTCTGAGAATGCTTCTGGGTAGATTTTATGTGAAGATTCTTCCTTTTTCACCATAGGCCTCAAATTGCTCCAAACATCCACTTCCATATTCTACAAACAGTGTTTCAAAATTGTTCCCTCAAAAGGAAGGTTCAACTCTGTGTGTTGAATGCACACATCAGAAAGAAGTTTCTGAGAATGCTTCTGTCTAGTTTTTATGTGAAGACACATCCTTTTTCAGGATAGGCCTCAAAGCCCTCCAAATGAACACTTGCAGATTCTACAAAATGCGTGTTTCAAAGCTGCTCTATCAAAAGAAAGGTTCAACTCTGTGAGTTGAATGCACACATCACGAAGCGTTTTCTGAGAATGCTTCTGTCTAGTTTTTATGTGAAGATACTCCCGTTTCCAACGAAGGCCTCAAAATCGCCAAATATCCACTAGCAGACTCTACAAAAGGAGTGTTTCAAAACTGCTCTATCAAAAGAAAGGTTCAACTGTGTTACTTGAAGGCACACAACACAAAGAAGTTTCTGAGAATGGTTCTGTCTCGTTTTTATTTTAAGATATCCCTTTTCAAACGAAGGCCTCAAGGAGCTCCAAATATCCACAAGCTGTTTCTACAAAAGGAGTGTTTCAAAACTGCTCTATCAAAGGGAGGGTTCAACTCTGTGAGTTGAATGTGCACATCACTAAGAAGTTTCTGAGAATGCTTCTGTCTAGTTTTTATGTGAAGTTATTTCATTTTCCACCATAGACCTCAAAGCACTCCATATGAAGACCTGCAGATTCTACAAAAAGAGGTTTCAAAACTGCGCTAACAAAAGAAAGGTTCAACGCTGTGAGTTGAATGCACACATCATAAAGCAGTTTATGAGAATACTTCTCTCTAATTTTAATGTGAAGTTATTACCTTTTCCACCACAGACCTCAAATCGCTCCAAATATCCACCTGCAGAATCTAGAAAAAGACTGTTTCAAAACTGCTCTATCAAAAAGAAGGCTCAACTCTGTGAGTTGAGTGCACACATCACAAAGAAGTTTCTGAGAATGCTTCTGTCTAGTTTGTATGTGAAGATATTTCCTTTTCCACCATAGCCCTCAAAGCGCTCCAAATGAACTCTTGCAGATTCTACAAAAAGAGTGTTTCAAAACTGCTCTATCAAAAGAAAGTTTCAACTCTGTGAATTGAATGCAGGCATCACAAAGAACTTTCTCAGAATGCTCCTGTCTACTTTTTATGTGAAGATATTTCCTTTTCCACCGTTGGCCTCAAAAATCTCCAAATATCCACTACCAGATATTACAAAAGGAGTGTTTCAAAACTGCTCTATCAATATAAAGGTTCAGCTTTACTAGTTGAATGCACACATCACAAAGAAGTTCCTCAGAATGCTTCTGACTAGTTTTTATGTGAAGATATTTCCTTTTCCACCATAGGCCGCATATCACTCCAAATATCCACTTGCAGATTCTACAAAAAGACTGTTTGGAAACTGCTTCATCAAAAGGAAGGTTCAGCTCTGTGAGCTGAATGCACACATCTCAAAGAAGTTTCTGTGAATGCTTCTTTCTAGTTTTTATGTGAAGATAATTCCTTTTCCACCATAGGCCTCAAAGCGCTCCAAATGAGCACTTGCAGATTCTACAAAAAGACTGTTTCAAACTGCTCTATCAAAAGAAAGGTTCAACTGTGTGAGTTGAATGCACACAACACACAGCAGTTTCTGAGAATGCTTCTCTCTAGTTTTTATGTGAAGATATCCCGTTTCCAACGAAATTCTCAAAGAACTCCAAATATCCACAAGCAGATTCTATAAAAGGAGTGTTTCAAAACTGCTCTATCAAAAGAAAGGTTCAACTCTGTGAATTGAATGCACACGTCACAAAGAAGTTTCTGAGAATGCTTCATTCTAGTTTTTAAGTGAAGATATCCCGTTTCAAATGAAGGCCTCAAATCGCTCCAAATATCCACTTGCAGATTCTACAGAAAGACTGTTTCAAACTTCTCTCTCAAAAGCAAAGTTCAACTCTGTGGGTTGAAAGCACACATCAAAAAGAAGTTTCTGAGAATGCTTGTGTCTACTTTTCATATGTAGATATTCCCTTTTCCACCATAGGCCTCAAAGCGCTCCAAATGAACACTTTCAGATTCTACAAAAAGAGTGTTTCAAAACAGCTCTATCAAAAGAATGGTTCAACTCTGGAGTTGAACGCATACATCACAAAGAACTTTCTGAGAATGCTTCTGTCTAGTTTTTTTAGGAAGGTATTTCCTTTTCCACCACAGGCCTCAAATCACTCCAAATATCCACTTGCTGATTCTACAAAAAGACTCTTTCAAAACTGCTCTATCAAAAGAAAGGTTCAACTCTGTGTGTTGAATGTACACATCAAAAAGCAGTTTCTGAGAATGCTTCTGTCTAGTTTTTATGTAAAGTTATCCCAATTCCAACGAAGGCCTCAAAGAGCTCCAAATATCCACAAGTGGATTCTACAAAATGAGTGTTTCAAACTGCTGTATCAAAAGAAAGTTTCAACCCTGTGAGTTGAATGCACACATCACAAAGATGTTTCTGAGAATGCTTTGGTCTAGTTTTTAAGTGAAGATATACCGTTTCCAACGAAGGCCTCAAAGAGTTCTAAATATCCACAATCAGATACTACAAAAGGAGGGTTTCAAAACTGCTCTATCAAAAGAAACGTTCAACTCTGTAAGTTGAATGCACATATCGCAAAGAAGTTTCTGACAATGCTTCTGTCTAGTTTTTATATGAAGATATTTCCTTTTCCACCATAGGCCACAAAGCGCTCCAAATGAACACTTTCAAATTCTACAAAAAGACTGTTTCAAAACTGCACTATCAAACTGAAGTTTCAACTCTGTGAGTGCAATGCACACATCATATAGAACTTTCTGAGAATGCTTCTGTCTAGTTTTTATGTGAAGATATTCCCGTTTCCAACGAAAGCCTCAAAAATCTCCAAATATCCAATAACAGATTCTACAAAAGAAGTGTTTCATAACTACTCTATCAAAACAAACTTTCCAATCTGTGAGTTGAATGCACACATCACAAAGAAGTTTCTGAGAATGCTTCTGTCTAGTTTTTATGTGAAGATATTTCCTTTTCCACCATAGGCATCAAAGCACTCCAAATATCCACTTGCAGATACTACAAAAAGACTGTTTCAAAACTACCTTGTCAAAAGGAAGGTTCAACTCTGTGAGTTGAATGCACACATCACAAAGAAGTTTCAGAGAATGCTTCTGTCTATTTTTTATATGAAGATATTTCTTTTTCCACCATAGGCCTCAAATCGCTCCAAATATCCAGTTGCAGATTCTACAAAAGGAGAGTTTCAAAACTTCCCAAATCAAGCAGAAACACGTTTGGAGAGAGAAATAATCATGGCATGGATATCCAGGAAGTGTCTCCCTGATGGACTGGGAGGTCATCTTCTTTGAAGACATTTGGCCAGAGCGAGAGGCATCCAGGTCCCTGAGAAACAGGGGAGGCACAGCAAGAGGGAGGATGGAGCAGAGGCCAGAGCCCAGAGCCCAGGCAGGATACAGCACCATACCACCACCACGGGCCTAAGGGGTCGGGTTCCAAAAGGGTGGCTTGTCCAGAGAGGCCAGCGTTCCAGTGACAGGGATTGCTGCCATCTCCCATTCCCGGCTTCCTCTTCCAGACTGTATCGTAGTGTGGCTTCATTTCTCAGAGAAAAGCCGTGAAAAGATACAACCATCTTCTCTGACGTGGGTCTGCTCCTGTCCTGCAGGACAAAGAGCTCCTATGGGGCTCTTGTCCTTGGCTGCAGTGTGTTCATCTTGATCCTAGAAAAGAGGCCGCTCACGATGGGGATGAGATTTCAATTGCTCTGGGACCGACGCGTCTCCTCACGTGGGCCAGGCCTTCACACTCCCAAAGCGGATCCGCGGCGGCAAAGATGATTGACAACCGGCCTCACGACCCAGGCAGAGACGCAGAAAAAGGCTCACCAAAGGCAGGCCGACATGTGAGAAATTGCTCTGTGGTGCACAGGGCGCATTCGGCCAAAGACACACACGCAGACGGGCACACACGCACAAACCGACAGAGAGAGGGAAAGAAACACACAGAGACCAAGAGACAAAGAGAGAAGAGAGAATGGGAGTTACACACACACACATTCTCACACACACACACACACACACACAAAGACACACACAGATTCATACAGCAGAGGCATTGAAAAACACACCCCCAGGCAAACCCTGAGGCTGCGGGGTTCTGCTCTTGGGGAGAATGACCCTCGGGTGAGAGAGCAGCCACAGAGGGCTCCTGCTCTGCCAATCCTCGGGGACCGGTTTCTAAGACAACCGTGGGAAGCACTTTGACAGGAGAAGCTGCTCGCGTCTGGAGCATGCATATTGGCTGGGCCGACTCGCTCTCGGCTCCTGGCAGTCAGGCTGCCTCCCCTTTAATTAAGTCCACCGCTGCACGGCGGCAGCGAGTCTCCTGCTGCAGCTGCAGCGAAGGCTGGATCCGGGGTCCAGTTGGGGGTGGCGTTTGAGAGGGGACCGCGGGGGTCCTGTCCCAGCGCGAAACCCACAGGAGTCCTGTCCTCAGGACCTCCTTGAGCCGACTCCCACCAAGGGAGGGAGAGCTTCAGGACGCCTGCTGGGTTCTCGGGACTCCCCTTCAGATCCGATTTTGGCCCCTTCCAAGTGAGATAGGATGGGCTCACCACACCTGATGTGGCAGGCAGGGCCTCGCTGCAGCACAGATCGATACCATGGGTCTTAAGGCGTGTTGTCAGCTGAAAATTCACTGATCCATCAGCCCTCTGCCTCCCTCCTCCTTTGAAAGAGCAGTGTGCCCCGCTTCTAAAAGCTCTGGGCCTCTGGAAAGCTGAGAGTGCTTTACAGGACACGTGCAAACAGGAACAGGGGTGAATCCGAGGTGGAGACCATGTGGCCAGGCATGGTACTGGTGTATCCCAGAGCAGATGGTGTGATTGTGTGTCACCGGAGGCATATGGGGTGACAGTGAAACAAACGGTGGTGTTCATGCTTGTGCCCGGTGGACAGTGCACATTTGGCTTAATGCTGAAATGAGTTAAGACTTTGGGGGACTGTTGGGAAGGCTTAATAAGTTTTGAAATGTGAGGAAATGAGATTTGGAGAGGACATGAGATTTGGAGGGGCCAGGAGTGGAAAAATATGGTTTGACTATGTCCCTACCCGCATCTCAACTTGAATTGTATTGCTCAGAATTCCCACGTGTTCGGGGAGGGAACCAGGGGGAGGTAGTTGAATCTTTGAGGCCGGTCTTTCCCATGCTATTCTTGTGATAGTAGATAAATCTCACAAGGTCTGATGGGATTATTAGGGGTTTCGTCTTTTGCTTCTTTTGCCTCCTTTTCATATTCTCTTGCCGCTGCCATGTAAGAAGTGCTGTTCAACCGCTGCCATAACTCTGAGGCCTCCTCAACCATGTGAAACCCTAAATCCAATTAAGCCTCATTTTCTTCCCTGTCTCAGGTATGTCTTTATTACCAGTGTGAATGTGGACTAACACATTTGGTATTGTCAAACTTCTTAATAATTGTGGGGAGAATAGATGTGTAGTATCTTGGCATTTTCCTGATTACTAATGAGTTGAGAATTTTTTGTACATTTTGCGGGCTTTCTCTTTTGTGAAATCCCTAATTGATGTCTTTTCCCAATTTTCTGTTGGGTTGCTATTTTTAAAATTAATTCATAGGAGCTCCTTATACTTAGTTGATCTGATTTGAATCTTTCATAGGTTTTAGATACTGCAAATATCTTCTAATTTATAGTTTATCTTTTCACTTTTTTACTTTTATTTTTAAATTTCTTTTTCTTTTTCTTTTTTTTTTTTTTTTGAAACAGAGTCTAGCTCTGTTATTCAGGCTGGAGTGCAGTGGCTCACTGCAACCTCCACCTCCTGGGTTCAGATGATTCTCGTGCCTCAGCTTCCCAAGTAGCTGGGATTACAGGTGTCTGCCACTAAGGCCAAGCTAATTTCTTGTATTTTTAGGAGAGATGGGGTTTCACCATGTTGGCCAGCCTGGTCTCAAACTCCTGACCTCAGGTGATGTACTGTCGGGATTACAGGATTGAGACACCGTGCACAGCCTATCTTTCCACTTTTTGATGTAAAAAGTTCTTAATTTTGTGTTAGTCAAAATGTCTAATCTTTTTTAATGGTTAAATGGCTTTTTGTGTCTCATTCACTTACATTTTCTACTAAAAGTTTTAAAGTTTTCTTTCTGACATGTAAGTCTGTGGTCCTCTGGAATTTAATGTTTGTATATAGAGTGAGGCAGGAATATAATTTCATTTTGTTCCCTATATCAATAACCATTATTTTTCTATTCTATTTATTGAAAAGTCCTTTCTTTCTTTGCTGAACTGCCATGTCACCTACATCACATATCAAAGATTAAATTTGTGGAGATTTGTTTGGGAACTCTCTATTCTGTTTCATTAGTCACTTTGTCAGTGAAGACCACACTGTCTTAATTGCTGTAGCTTTATAAAAGTTCTGATATTTGCCAGCACTAATATATATATATAATATATATCTATATATATATGGATATATATATTATATATATATATGTATATATTTATAGAGAGAGAGAGAGACAGGGTCTCACTTTGTTGCCCAGGCTTGAGGACTGGTGCAATCGTAGCTCACTGCAGACTTGAACTGCTGGGCTCAAGAACCCCTCCTACCTCAGCCTCCCAAGTAATTGGGACTCTAATGCATGCACCACCTCATCCAGCTAATTTTTAAAAAATATATTATTTTTTGTAACGAAGGGGATCTTGCTATGCTGCCCAGGCTGGTCTCAAACTTTTGACCTCAAGCAATCCTCCCACCTCAAGCTCCCAAAGTGCCGGGATCACAAGAGTGAGCCACCACACCTGGCTCCATTTTCCATATTTTAAGACCATTTTTTAAAAGCTGCTCAAGACTGCTTTTTTCTCTTGGTGCTACTGGCAACTCCCTTACTTAGCTTTGGAAATACTCTTAATGAAGAAAATCTAAAGAGTTGAAAAATAAAATGTTATTCCTTTTCTTCCAATTGCAAAAGAGCAGACAGTCTCCTGAATTATAAAGCTAGTTTTGATAAATTGGTGAACTGAGAGCATACACAGTATTATTAATTCTGTTCTAATTTCTGCTTCACTGTGGAGTGTCTTCACATAGTCTTAAAAGATTATTGCTATGAAATATTCTTATACATGTAACACATAACCTCTACAATTCTGCAGTTGTACCTGGCTGTCTTACCTAATAATCAATTGCTTTGCTTCATAATATTTAAATTGGCATCTTTATTTTCCAAAATGCATAAATACTAGTAAAGATTTTTAGTTAAGCCAGAAGAAAGTAGACTTTATTTACTAACATAACTTATATGTAAAGTTTTAATAAATCTCCCTGCATCTTTTCTTTTGCATCATAACAACCACTGAAAATAATATTTCTATAGCAGTTGGGGGTAAATGAACAATGACTTTTGTGGCCAGAGGTGAATGGCCCAGGGGCTCCTGCACTCCAGGTTCCACTGAGCCTGCCACACAGCTGAGGACATCGGTATTTCCACACACCTACAGTGCACGCTGTCCCAGAACACAGATCCGATGCTCTCCTATATTCAAATGGGGAGTTGAGAGTATTGTCATTGTAATTAAATTAATAAATACGTATTTATGCACTGTTAAAATCTGCTTGGATTTGTGTCCCTTCACAAAACAAATTGCTTAAATGAAACCACAGAGTTAACATAAATGAGTACATTTGCTTCTATGAGATGCTCTTTTAAATGGAATTAGAATCTAATTGGAAATGTGAATTAAAAGTTTAAATATTCAACTCAATTACATTTAGATTTTTATTTTGTTTTGTTTTGAGACGGAGTTTAGCTCTTGTCACCCAGGCTGGAATGCAATGGCTCAATCTCAGATCACTGCAAGCACCTTCTCCCAGGTTCAAGCAATTCTCTTGCCTCAACCTCCTGAGTAGCTGGGATTACAGGTGCCTGCCACCATGCCTGGCTAATTTTTGTATTTTCAGTAGAGATGGGGTTTCACCATGTTGGCCAGGCTGGTCTTGAACTCCTGACCTCACGTGATCCACCCACCTTGGCCTCCCAAAGTGCTGGAATTACAGGTGTGAGCCACCACACTTGGCCTTTTTAGATTATTTTACTTTATTTTAGTTACTTATTTTTATGACTTCATTGTTATAAAAATGCTAGATTTTTTAAAAAATCAATCAATATAACAAAGAACACAGAAGATGATCAACAAGCATTCCCACCTCCATGATCTGGAAATAACTGTCATCAATCCAAAAGCTGACACATGGTGGATCCCTTTGCACCAGTTCCCAGTACAAAGTAACCCCTTACTTGTAGAAAACATTATTATTGTCATTAGTATTTTCGAGATGTAATTTGAGTCTTGTAGCCCAGGCTGGAGTGCAATGGTCCAATCTCAGCTCACTGCAACCTCTGCCTCCCAGGATCAAAGTATTCTCCTGCCTCAGTCTCCCAAGCAGCTGGAATTACAGGCATGCACCACCATGGCCTGCTAATTTTTTGTACTTTTAGTAGAGACAGGGTTTCACCATGTTGGCCAGGCTGGTCTCGAACTCCTGACCTCAGGTGATCCACTTGCGTCAACCTTCCAAAGTGTTGGGATTACAGGCATGACCCACCACACCTGGACTAGAAAACACTATTCAATAGCAAACAGTAGCAGTATGCTTGGGGGTTTTAGGATTGTTTATTTTCAAATCTCTAGAAAACTTCAATACATTACCTTAGGCTATAATCCCAGGGCAGAGTCTCATCTGTTAATAGGGGGCTGGTCTAAGGGTCCTTCCAGCTCTCAGATTAATGGTTTCCCATGTTGAACTGCTCCCTGCCACCCACCCATCCTTGGTTTTGTTTGTTTGTTTGTTTTTACAGAGACAAGGTCTCACTATATTGCCCAGGCTGGTCTACAACTCCTGGCCTCAAGCAATCCTTCTGCCTTGGCCTCCCAAAATGTTGGAGTTACAGATGTGAGCCTTTGTGCTCAGCCCATTCTTGGCTGTTCAAATGTGGAGGTAAATTGTAGATGCCAAGTTTACCTCCAGGTCAGAAGGGACAGATGCCCCAGGGCTGAATCATACCCTAACCAGGCCTCCCACTGCATGAAGACCTTATTTTCTGAAGCTTAAACCTGGACAAAGGTCTGACCAGTAGCACTGTGTTCATGAATGCCAGGTCAACAATTTAAAACTAGGACTATCCAGAAGAACCTGGTAGATGCAGGTGCAGTCTGCAGTCCAATGATCAGCCACAAAAACAGGCTACCTGTTCTTTCTCTTTACCATGGAGTCTTTGATGTAAAAATCGATGACACTTTCTTGCTTCTGGTGTGCTTCCCTTTCTTCTTCAATTTCCATAAGCAGTTTCCTCCATCCCACCTCCCAACAGATCACAGTCAATTCAGGACATTTTAACCATGAAAATCAGTCTACATAACATGAATTTAGAGGCCAGGAAGGGTGGCTCACGTCTCTCAGAGGCTGAAGTGGGAGAATGGCTTGAGCTTAGGAGTTTGAGACCAGCCTGGGCAACATGGTGAAACCCTGTCTCTAACCAAAAATAAATGAATAAAAAAAATAAGCCATGTATGGTGGTGCATGCTACTAGTCCAGCTACTCAGGAGACTGAGGTGGGAGGATTGCTTGAGTCAAGGAGGTCAAGTCTGAAGTGGGCCAAGATCTTGCCACTGCAATCCAGCCTGGACAACAGAGTGAGACCTTATCTCAAGAAAAAAAAAAGATTTAAAGGACAGACTGACTCTCTTATTACAAGCCAATGCTTATTTGCCATTCCATAAATCCTAGGGCACCTCTTAAGAATTACACTAAATCTACTCTACCCGTGCTCTATAAATGGATTCACTATTTTAGATGCCAATAAGAACATTCATGATTCCCAGAGGAAGTAAAAATAGCAGCATTAATGGGAGTTTGGAAGAAGTTGATTCTAACCCCCATAAATGACTTTGAGGGGTTCAAGACTTTAGCAGAGGAAGTAACCACAGATGTGGTGAAGATAGCAAGAGAACTAGTATTAAAAGTGGAGCGTGAAGATGTGAGTGAATTGTTGCAATCTTTTTTTTTGAGATGGAGTTTTGCTCTTGTTGCCCAGGCTGGAGTGCAATGGTGCAATCTCAGCTCACTGCAACCTCCAACTCCTGGGTTCAAGCGATTCTCCTGCCTCAGCCCCCCGAGTATCTGGTATTGTAGGCATGTGCCACAACACCTGGCTAATTTTGTATTTTTAGTAGAGACGGAGTTTCACCATATTGGTCAGGCTGGTCTCGAACTCCCAACGTCAGATGATCCACCTGCTTCAGCCTACAAAAGTGCTGGGATTACAGGCATGAGCCACCGCACCTGGCTAGATTGCTGCAATCATAATGGATGAAGAGTTGCTCATTATGAATGAGCAAAGAAAGTGGTTTCTTGGGATGGAATCTACTCCTGGTGAAGATGCCATGAACATTGTGGAAAGAACAACAAAGGACTTAGAATATCCCATAAACTTAGTTGACAGAGGAGTGGCAGGGTTTGAGAGGATTGGTTCCAGTTTTGATATAAATTCTACTGTGGGTAAAATGCTACCAAACGGTGTAGAATACTACAGTGAAATCTTTTGTGAAAGCAAGAGTCAGTCAACGCGGCAAACTTCACTGTCATGTTATTTTAAGAAATTGCCACACCCTCTCCAGCCCTCAGCAACCATCACTCTGATCAGTCAGCAGCTATCAACACTGAGACAAAACCATCCACCAGCAAAATGATGATGACTTGCTGAAGGCCCAGATGATGGTTAGCATTTTTTGGCAATCAAGTATTTTCAAAATAAGGTATATACATTATATTTTAGACATAATGCTATTGCACACTTAATTAACTACAGTAGTTTAAACACAACTTTTTTTTTTTGAGATGGAGTCTCACTCTGTTGCCCAGGTTGGAGTGCAGTGGTGTGATCTTGTCTCACTGCAAACTCTGCTTCCCAGGTTGAAACAATTCTCCTGCCTCAGCCTCTTGAGTAGCTAGGAATACAGGCGCTCACCACCATTTTTGTATTTTCACAGGGTTTCCCCATGTTGGCCAGGCTGGTCTTGAACTTCTGACCTCTGGTGATCCACCTGCCTCAGCCTCCCAATGTGCTGGGATTACAGGCGTGAGCCACCATGCCTGGCAACATAACTTTTATATGCATCAGAAAGCAAAAAATTTCTTATGACTTGCAAAAAATTTCATGTGACTTGCTCTATTGTGATATTCACCTTATTGTGGTGACCTAGAACCAAACCTGCAATATCTCCAAGGTGTGCCTGTACCCCTGAAAGCAGAGCTGGAGTAAATACTTGGGTGTGGATGATTTATTTGGGAAGTGATTCCAAGAAGCAAGGGTGAGATGTGGGAAGAGTGAGCCAGGCAAGAAAAAAAAGCCAAAATAATAGAATGCCATTGAGGCTGCTCCCATGGCCTTTTTTTATGCGGGAACTTCCGAGAGGCTCTGGAAAGTTATCCAGGACTGTCCACCTGAAACTTGAGCCTCGAGCATTTGCCCACCTGTCCCACACTGGTTGAGGTCTTCCCCTGAGGCTGTTGACCTGCAAGTGTTTCTGGGCTGTATTTGTGCTTAGGCAAAATCCTACAATAGTGGAGATGTCCCAGGGCAGAAAGCGTAGCTTGAGTTTGCTGGCAGCACAAGGGAAGCCTGTGCTTCCATGGAACTCCCCACGGTGGCTGAGACTGAAAGAAAGGTGCTCTGAGAAGACTTGACGCAGTCGTCATTGCACGAAGGAATCGTAGCCATCGATCTTGGCAAGAGGACCCCCGCCCTGAATCCTGAGCTTGAGAAGGTGCCTCTCTGGCCCTCCACTGACTGTACCCCGGCCCACACAGAGCTCTCACCCTCTCTTCTAGGGCACATGCTGGGCACTCAGGCCCCTGGCCAAATGTACCTGAGCCCGCATGGCCTCTTCCCTGGGTCCATTTCAAAGTGAAAACTGTGCTTGTCCAAATGGTGCCCAAGGCTCTGCTGTCTGAAGGGGTGAGAATTGTGGATGGAGCTTGCATGGGGCCTAGGGAGTCCCCCACACAGGGGTAGGCAAGGTTTCTCAAGTAAGGACAGGGCTAGCTATGATGAAAGAAAAAAAAATAGCCTGGGGCTGAGGATCAGCTCTCCCTTTACTAACACATTCCCGTGCAGAGCACCAAGAACTCAGAGAATTCTACACTCGACTTTGACCTTGTGGGTTATTATGGCGGTATAGTTATTGAAGTAGAAGAATAGAACATATTTAGCTATTTTTAGCTTCATTTATAATTCATAATTATTTAGACATAATGCAAATATGGGCTGGAATTCATGTTCTGATTTTTGTGGCCTTGAGCTAAGGGAAAGGGACCCAGGAAATGGGCTTTATGTGCTTGGATGGCTTCATGGAATCCCCAAATTCATTAGCTTCTGTGATGACTCAAGATTGTTGCTAAAATCCACTTTGTATTATCTTTAAAAACCAAGGGATATTATGTAGCTCAGCGGTTAGAAGGCACTTGACTCAAAATATCTATGAACCAAAGGATATAAATGACTAAGAGCAGGAGGATCATTACCTGAAGGGGTGGAGGGTTGATCTCAGGATATGACCTGTGAAATCCCTCCTGCTGGCTCAGTGCTGACTGAATGTGGGGCAGGAGAGCCCCAGGAGCAACACATATCTGGGATAGGAGGGAATGCTGGGAGGAAGGAAAGAGAAATAAGCCCTTTTTGTTTTTATTGATACATGACAATTATAATTATTTCTAGGGTTCATGTGATATTTTGATACATGCATACAGTGTGCACTGATCAAATCAAGACAATTTGCATATCCATCACCTCAAATATTTATCATTTATTTGTGTTAAGAAAATTCCACATCTTTCCTCCAGCCATTTTGAAATGTATAATAAGTTATTGTTAACGACCATCACCCTACTGTGCTATTGAACACTAGAACTTCTTCTGTTCCTTCCATCTAATTGTATTTTTGTGCCCATTAACCAACTTCTGGGAAGGGTAAAAGAGTGGGTGGATGAAAAGGGCCCTTCTTAAGGCAAAGAAAATCTTACAAGAAGGGAAGACATCTTAGAAGGAAAAATAAAATGGTGGACCATGGGCTTAGAGTGGGGACAGCAGAAATTGAATGGCAAAGAAAAAACCAACTTAGCGATGTGAAAATAAATCTCAATGTCATTCCTTTCACAGGTCCAATGTCTGATATTCTTTTGGGAAGCTGGATATGAAGTAGGAATCTTTCTTTGAGTCATATATTTTCATGATTATGATTATTACTGAATAATAGCTGACAATTATTGAGAGCAATTATTGAGGACAATTATTGAGCTTTGACAAGATCTTTTGAAAGGCCTTTATATATGTTTTCTCCACTTCTAACTGTTAGATATTCTTATTATTCCCATTTTGTAGATGAGGGATGCACAGGCATAAAGCCTAAGTGGAGGCAGAGAGCAGCTAAGTAACCTGACCATGGCCCAACAGCAAACAAATGATGGGGCCACATGCAAATCCAGGCAGAACCCTTCTATTATATGAAGCTCAATGTTTTCTTGTTTGCATCTTGTTATGAATACACCTATTTGCAAAGGGGTTTTGAAGCTACATTAAAATATTCTGTGGTAGTGTGCGGTGGCTGATGCCTATAATCCCAGCATTTTGGGAGACCAAAGTGGGCAGATCGCCTGAGCTCAGGAGTTTGAGACCAGCCTGGCCAACTTGGTGAAACCCTGTGTCCATTAAAAATAAAAAAAAAAA
Organism: Homo sapiens; assembly: GCF_000001405.40. Taxonomy (NCBI): domain Eukaryota; kingdom Metazoa; phylum Chordata; class Mammalia; order Primates; family Hominidae; genus Homo; species Homo sapiens. The sequence goes on along the minus strand of NC_000020.11, from coordinate 26,267,570 downwards.
ATTAGTCGGGCGTGTTAGTGTGCACCTGTAAACCCAGCTACTCTGGAGGCTGAGGCAGGAGAATCGCTTGAACCCGGGAGAGGAAGGTTGCAGTAAGCCGAGATCGTGCCACCACACTCCAGCCTGGGTGACAGAGTGAGACTCTGTCTCTAAATAAAAAATAAATACATAAGTTTGAATTTTGAGCTCCTGACCATGTCCCTAGATTGTACTCATATGTATTTTGATGTCTTCTAAGATTTATTCTTAGTGCGTTTTTTAAGTTATTTACTGAGCATCTACTGTACATCACGTGCTGAGATAGGCATCAGTGGTGCAGGGAACATATGGCACAGTCTCTGCCCTCAAGTAACTTTCATTCACCACATATATTTATTAGGACACCGATACATGTGTGAATATAAGATATTAGGATAGACATTGCAACAAATAATTATTTACTGTAAACCTATTTCATAGGATTTTAATCTTAAAGTACTTTCACCCTATTTCCAAAAAAAAAAAGTATTGCATAACTTTAAAGGGATTCTTAGTTTGAAATCACCATATGAACTGCAGTAGCATCTGCTGGTGAAATACTGCTTTGTATCTATTAGAAAAGTCCAAACAATTGGGAGATAACTGCATTATTAGAGCTGTAAAAGTTACTGTCTAGAAATCTCAGAAAAGAAGAAGAAGTTCTATGGTAGATGAATAAGATGACATCTAAACTGTTCTCTTAAGCTACTGAAGTTCTGTGGATATCTCACAGCACAAAGTTCAAGTGTATGTCCACAAATCCTCATGCCACAAGATGTGACACCTTTCCAATCTCTTTTTGCAAAAGTTTCCAATTTTTCTCTTATAAGAGTACTTTTTATACCCACATATTCAGGATTTTGTTTTGCACGCAAAGACAAGATGGGAAGGGGGCTTCCATTTGTTGATGCCAGCTGCTCTATGGACCAGGCCCTGCCCATGCATCCTTGTTGGTTCTTTTATCCCTACATCAGCCATAGCCCGTAGGCATTAACCTCCATTGTACAGATGAAGAAATTGAAACTCTAAGAGAATATGCAATTTACCCAGAGTCATGCAGCTTGTGTATGTAAGAGTTGGAATGAAAATCCAATCTGAGAATGCAGTAAACTATCGCAAGAACAAAAAACCAAACACCGTATATTCTCACTCATAGGTGACAATTGAACAATGAGAACACATGGACACAGGCAGGGGAACATCACACTCTAGGGACTGTTGTGGGGTGGGGGGAGGGGGGCTGGATAGCATTGGGAGATATACCTAATGCTAGATGACGAGTTAGTGGGTGCAGCACACCAGCATGGCACCTGTATACATATGTATCTAACCTGCACATTGTGAACATGTACCCTAAAACTTAAAGTATAATAATAAAAAAAAGAACAAAAAAAGAAAATCCAATCTGAGTCTCGAGTCCCCTTCCACAATATGGTTTCCATTTTATTTTGCAATCACCTTAGCTGGGTTATATGTCTTCCCTAAAAGATAGTAAGTAGGAATACTTGTCTCTATACCTTAACCTAACATCCATGGGCTTCGTTTTTGTATTTGGAGGTGTCATGACATTATAATAATTTGATTTTATTTGAATAGTGAGTATTATACTACTCAGTCTAGAGATCTGTGACATCCCAGTCTAAACTGGTTGATAGCAATGAAGCGTCTTCAAGGAGACAAGTATGAGTAATAAGGTAGAAATAAGTTGAATTTCTATGGAGTTGCTACTTCTGAATTTAAAGCTAGCTGAGGTTAAGTAGATATTCAAAAAGATCGCTATAATCGTCACTTGAATAATATAAATATTTATTATTTTTTACATATTTATTTATTTATGGAACAAAGATGTAATTTGAAAACAGAATATTTGCAAATTGTATTAAAATATATTAAAAACGAAATACATTATGACACAATAGAGTTGTTCACAGTAACTCAGTGTTAGTTTAAAATGTGAAATTCAATCAATATAATTCACCATAGAATATAGAGTGTATGTCAGTATAATATATGTCAAAATTGGAAAGAAGTAAATTTATCTTTGTTTTTTAGTAAGATGAGATTAAAATTTTAGGGAATTTCAACTTTCATTTTAGATTCCAGTGGGTACCTCTGCAGGTTTATTACATGAGTGTACTGTGTGATGCTGAGATTTGGGGTACGAATGAAGGTGTGAGTGCCTGTCTTGAATTTGCACCCAGAGCAATCTCCCCTGATCAGCAGAGGGTAAACTAACTTGAATTACACTTGAATTTCTTAGGAGAGCAGGTCACAGAGGGCAAATTGTGGTCCAGACACAAAAGTGTCCAATGGTCTAAAATGAGCCTGCCATATCACTTAGGGTACAGGTTTTAACACAAATACATTTCAGAAAGGGGTCAAACCCTTGTTTAAAGATAAATGTAAGCTGGCTGTGGAGGCATACGTCTATAATTCCAGCTACTCAGGAGGCTGAGGCAGGAGGATCCCTTGAGTTCAGGAGTTTAAGACCAGCCTGGACAACATAGGAAAATCCCATCTCAATTTTTAAAAATGAGAAAAAAATAGATAAACTTAAGCATATTAACATTTTAAAGAGTTTCTTAAGCAAACAGAGATTCACGGATCAGCCAGCTCCAAACTGAAAGTGGTTGGAGGATCTACTGGAGGCGTTTGTAGGGAAGGCTTTTATAGGGTGAATATAGAAGTAGAGTAGAGCAATTATTTGTTTGGCAAAAATTTGGGCAGTTGCATTATTTGAACTATCCTGGTGGTAGGTCTCTCATTATGCAGCTAATACTCAGTGGGCCACTTGGTGGACTAAGGTTGTTTCATTTTGTCTATGTACGAACCCAGGCCATGGGAGCTATCTCAGCCTAATGCTCTCCCATTACATTATTTTACACCTCTCTGTATCAGGGTAAGCGGGGATCTTCCCCACGAGGCTTCTTACCACCCTGTTTCCCTCAGCAAAATGAAACTGTCCCTTTTGCCTCTGTAGGCAATCTTCTGAACAGGGCTTTCCTAATATTCTTAGCTCATCTTATTTTATCTTATCCTCTTCTCTGTACCTTGTTTACATGCTTCTGGAACACTTGTGTGTCTTGCACACATCCCCTGCATTATTCAGGCAATACTAGGATGGATTGGTAGAGAACTGCTGGCATATTGAGCCCTCTCTCCTTGTATCTGGAACTTTCATAATTACCTTTGTTCTCCAGACCAGTTTTGCAATTATCTTCATTCTCCACTTCAAAATACATTTACCTCTGACAGAAGCTGAGCACATAAAAGGGACCTTGTCCAGTGGTACATATGAGGCAGGAGACATGATATAGTTAAAATTATAAACTAAAAGCTTTCTGACACCAAAAGCATAAGTAACAAAAGAAAAAAATAAGTAAATTGGACTTCACCAAAATTTAAAACTTTTGTGCAATCAGAGGACAACTGGCAGAATGGAAGAAAATATTTCAAATAATATCTTTGATAAGGGATCAATATGCAGAATATATAAAGAATTCCTACAACTCAACAATAAATAAACAACCCAATTAAAAAGTAGGCAAAGGACTTACATAGAAAATTTCCCAAAAAAGATATACAAGTGGCCATCAAGCACATGAAAGATGCTCAACATGACTGATTACTAAGGAAATGCAAATCAAAACCATAGTAAGATATCACTTCATACACATGAGGATGGCAATCATCAAAAAAGCAGGGAATAACAAGTGTTGGTGAGGATGTAACCAAGTCGAAACTCTTGTACATTGCCGGTGGACTCTACAGCAGTATAGTCAGGGTGGAAAAGAGTACAGTGGTTCCTAAATTAAAAATAAATGGAACATAGGCTGGGCTCAGTGGCTCGTGCCTGTTATCCCAGCACTTTAGGACACCGAGGTGGCCAGATCATGAGGTCAGGAGTTAAAGACAAGCCTGACCAACGTGTTGAAACCCTGTCTCAACTAAAAATACAAAAATTAGCTGGGAGTGGTGCTGTGTGCCTGTAATCCCAGCTACTCAGGAGGCTGAGGCAGCAGAACCACTTGAATCTGGGAGGTGGAGGTTGCAGTGAGCCAAGAGAGTCAGACTCCATCTCAAAAATAAATAAATAAATAAATAAATAAATAAATAAATAAATAAATAAAAATGAAACATAGAATTACTATGTCAATTAGCAAGTCCACTTCTGGGTTTAAACCCACAAAAATTGAAAGCAGGGACTTCAACAGATATTTGTAAATTCATGTGTATAGCAACATTATTCATGATAGCCAAAAGGTGGAAGCATTCATTGACAGAGGAATGGATAAACAAAATGTGGTACAGATATACAGTGGAACATTACTTAGCCTTAAAAAGGGACATTCTGTGGAATGTGGTTTGAAAACCACTTCTGTAAGGTGTTGTGTAAATGTACAAAATCCAAACCAGGGTAATAACCTCAAAATATAAAATTTAACTTATAATATTAAGACCCTGATAAATTTCACTCTCTGCTTCATAGCAAATAATTTGTTTTGAATGCAGACATATTTTGTTAAGTAGAAGACTGTGCACTAAAATACAGTCCTTAAACAAAAATCCTATGTATAAAACCACATATTTTCTATTGATTTGCATTTTTTAAATGTAAAAAAGGATTCACATTTCTATGTGTAAAATGCCAGACTCAAAATACTTTTACTGCTATGATTCCATGTCTTATTTACTGAGGAGGCAAACCATACTAACCCAGAATCAGGGTTTTGTGACCATCCATTTTAAATATAATTGCCTCTAATATTTCTAAGTCCCCGTTCTGCAACCCTGTGGCTCTTTTAAATTTGAGAAACAGTTTTGATGGGCCCTGTATTGAGTATTATTATTTTCCAGAGGTACTATTAATAGTTTATGGCCAGACCATCCATCCCTGAGTTTCCATTAAAAGAAAGAGGGTATATGGCACTGTAACTTTTTCCCACCATTGACCATCTGTCCTTGCTCCTCAGGAGCTCCCCATGCCTCCCTGTGTATGTCTATCCCTGCAAATGCCAAGGATATGGAATAAGTGAGCCTACTGCCCCTGTGGCACTGCAGGGGGACTCCTTGGTGAAGCGTCTACATCTATCTGATGTCTCCTCACTTCTTCAATCTGCTCGCTAATGTAGAATTAGGTCAGGCACAAGCTATCACAAAAAAAGAAACATAGAGTGTTTGATGTCCACAAATGTATTCACTGTAGGTAACTTAGAAATACATATACACAAAATCCAAACCAAATATACACCCTAAATATCACCACTAGAAAAAACTATTTTGGAATACTTACAGTACTCTCATTGTTATTTTAATTAGTCACTTGTGATCTCTTTTACTTAAAACGTAAAAACTGTGTACTAAATGATTTTTTAAGATACGCAATTGGTAGAAAAATCTAATCTACTATTTTCACAAAACTTCAACACAATAAACACTTATTGCAAAAGTGGAAGCATTCCCTTTGAAAACTGGCACAAGACAAGGATGCCCTCTCTCACCACTCCTATTCAGCATAGGATTGGAAGTTCTGTCCAGGGCAATCAGGCAAGAGAAAGAAATAAAAGGTATCCAATAGGAAGAGAGGAAGTCAAATTGCCTCTGTTTGCAGATGACATGACTGTATATGTAGAAAACCCCATCGTCTCAGACCCAAAACTCTTTAAGTTGCAAAGTATCAGGATGCAAAATCAAAGTGAAAAAATCACATGTATTCATATACACCAATAATAGACAAGCAGAGAGCCAAATAATGGGTCAATTCCCATTCACAATTGCTACAAAGAATAAGCTACCAAGGAATAGAACTTACAAGGGACGTGAAGGACCTCTTCAAGGAGAACTGCAAACCACTGCTCAAGAAAATAACACAGGACACAAATAAATGGAAAAAAAAAGTCCATACTCATGGATAGGAAGAATCAATATAATGAAAATGGCCATACTGCTCAATGTAATTTATAGATTCAATGCTATTCCTATCAAGCTACTATTGACTTTCTTCACAGAATTAGAAAAAAAAAAACACTTTAAATTCCATATGGAACCAAAAAAGAGTCCATATAGCCAAGATAATCCTAAGCAAAAAGAACAAAGTTGGAGGCATCACGCTACCTGACTTCAAACCGTACTACAAGGCTATGGTAACCAAAACAGCATGGTTTTGGTACCCAACAAATATATAGACCAATGGAACAGAACAGAGACCTCAAAAATAATACCACACATGTACAACCATCTGGTCTTCCACAAACCTGACAAAAACAAGCAACAGGGAAAGGATTGCCTATTTCATAAATGGTGCTGAGAAAACTGGCTAGCCATATGCAGAAAACAGAAACTGGGCCCCTTCCTTACACCTTATAAAAATTAACTCGAGACAGATTAAAGACTTAAAACCACAAAAACCCTAGAAGAAAGCTTAGCCAATACCGTTCAGGATGAAGGGATGAGCAGACTATGACTAAAACACCAAAAGCAATTGCAACAAAAGCCAAAATTGACAAATGGAATCTAATTGAACTAAAAAGCTTCTGCACAGCAAAAGAAACTATCATCAGTGTGAACTGGCAACCTAAAGAATGGGAGAACATTTCTGTGATCTACCCATTGGAAAAAGGTCTAATATCCAGAATCTACAAGGAACTTAAACAAATTTACAAGAAAAAAACAATCCCATCAAAATGTGGGTGAAGGATATAAGCAGACACTTCTCAAAAGAAGACATTGAGGGCCGGGCATGGTGACTCATGCCTGTAGTCCCAGCACTTTGAGAGGCTGGGGTGGGTGGATCACCTGAGGTCAGGAGTTCAAGACCAGCCTGGCTAACATGGTGAAACCCCGTTTCAACTAAAAATACAAAAAATTAGCTGGGCATGGTGATGCATGCCTGTAATCCCAGCTACTTGGGAGGCTGAGGCAGGAGAATCACTTGAACCCAGGAGGCGGAGGTTGCAGTGAGCCGAGATCGTTCTGTTAACTACTCCAGATTGGGCAACAAGAGCGAAAATCCGACTCAAAAAAAAAAAGGGCATTTATGCAGCCAATAAACATATGAAAAAACGCTCATCATCACTGGTCATTAGAGAAATACAAATCGAAACCACAGTGAGATACCATCTCATGCCAGTTAGAATGATGATTATTAAAATGTCAGGAAACAACAGATTCTGGCAAGGCTGTGGAGAAATAGGAATGCTTTTACGCTGTTGGTGGGAGTGTAAAGTAGTTCCACCATTGTGGAAGACAGTGTGGCAATTCCTCAATGATCTAGAGCCAGAAATACTATTTGACCCAGCCATCTCATTATGGAGTATATACCCAACAGATTATAAATCATTCTACTATAAAGACACATGCACACATATGTTTATTGCAGCACTATTTACAATAGCAAATACTTGGAACCAATCCAAATGCCCATCAATGATAGACTGGATAAAGAAAATGTGGCATGTATACACCATGGAATACTATGCAGCCATAAAAAAGAATGAGTTCATGTCTTTTGCAGGGACATGGATGAAGTTGGAAGCCACCATTCTCAGCAAACTAACACAGGAACAGAAAAACAAACACTGCATTTTCTCAGTCATAAATGGGAGTTGAACAATGAGAACACATGGACACATGGAGGGGAACATCACACACCAGGGCCTGTTGGAGGGTGTGGAGCAAGAGGAGGGAGAGCATTAGAATAAATACCTAATGCATGTGTGACTTAAAACCTAGATGATGGGTTGATAGGTGCTGCAAACCATCATGGCACATGTGTACCTATGTAACAAACCTGCATGTTCTGTACATGTTCTGTCCCAGAACTTAAAGAAAAAAAATAATAAAAGAGAGAAAATCTCTTAAAACTTCATAGAATCTCTAACTTTATTAATACAGTCAGCATACAATAAGGTAATCATAAAGGTATCATGAGAAATAAAATTTCATGAAAGCATATGTTTGTAGAAATAGCTTGTTTCAGGAAAAACATAGTCTTATTTTTAAAAAATTGTCCATAATATTTTATGGCATAAAATATCTTCTTTTCTGCCAGCCATGTATATCTTTACAGAATACACATAGTAATCAACTAATAGGCAATCCTCATCAGGATCAACGAAAATCAATTGTTAAAGTAATATAAATTAATATACATTTATTAGGGAAATTCCATGAATTATCTTTTGGACCAAAAACTATCTAGTCTGTAAATGGATCAGGTTTAGCGCGTTTACAGGGTAGGTACTGAGGCCAGAAACATTCAAGAGAGAGATTCGGACTTCAGAAAGACAAACTTGAGAGAGTTAGCTGCAGAACAAAAGCACTAATTCAGGACTGGTGGAATAGGATAGCATAGAAAAGACATGGGGAAGAAGAGAATATTTGTTTCCATGCATGCATGTATTGACACAAGCAAGCTTCCATCAAAAAATGACTTTCTTCTAAAGGTTCATAGGGCATAAACATTAACATTTTTCCTTTACTGCCTCACAGATCAGCTTTTCCTCCAAAGATTCTCTTTCTGGAAAAGTAAAGTCCAGAAAGAGAAATATTTAATTGTTATAGTCATAAAAATTATACTTATTCACTAATGCTGCAGCCAGGGTAGAAGAGAGAGAAGTTCCAACTTTAGCCATACTTTCATCAACTTTTCCTTCTACTTTTAAAGACAAGCATACAGGAATGAAAGTGAGTGTTGTTATTCTGGAGAAATTCTCTTAAATTTATGAAAGAACAAATTGCTCATAATTATGAGATTTTGTAATCAGTAACACATTTCTTATTATAGTTTTTATCAGTGTGCCTCAACTGGGAAGGTTGAGACTTTCTGCTTAACATGATACCATATTACAGCCATGCGCCACATAACAATGTTTGGTCAATGACAGACTTGTATATATGATGGTAGACCCATAAGACTATCTTACTGTATTTTACTGTACCTTTTCTATGTTGTTGCTTGTTTAGAAACACAAATATCTACCATTGTGTTACAATTGCCTACAGTATTGAGTAAAGTAACATGCTATAAAGTTTTGTAGCCTAGGAGCAATAGGTTATACCATATTGCCTAGTTGTGTAGTAGTGGGCTGCAATTTAGGTTAGTGTAAGTACACTCTACGATGTTTGCAGGAAAATGAAATTGTCCAACAACGTATTTTTCAGAAAGTATCTCTGTTATTAAGCAATGCATTTTATTCCCCCTCCCTTCTTACTCACCTGACTCCTCATTTTTTCATACCTTGCTTAACTCATCATTTGTCAATTCTTGCCAGTTCTTACTCCTCTGCAGTGTATTTAACATTCATCCTTTCACTATCATTTCCATTGTCATGTCTCAAATTTCTATTCTCTGTCATCTGGAAAATTGCAAAGTTTCCATGATATGGCACATTGGGGCCTGAGAATATTTATATGTACATTTTCCACTTCTATTGCACTCTGTCATGAAATTCAGTGACCACAGTAGTTCCTTGTTCAAAAGCCACCAATGGCTTTAAAGCACTTATCTAAAAGTGTTCAAGTAGCCTGGTCAAATATCAACATAGCTTACAGTGATTTCACTCTTATTCTACATAAAGGTTACGATTTAATCTGGACGTATCATGTTCTTTCCTGATTCTTATCAGACCATTTCTTCTGTCCTCTAGAATATAGATTTCATGTGGCCGGAAAATTTTTCTGTTTTGTTCTCTGCTATACTCACGGTCCCTAATGATGTGCAAATATTAATAGTGAGAATTTTTTAATGAATCAGTTCATAAATACATGAATATTTAAAATAGTTTTGTCCACATTTTTTAACCTCTGGAAATCCCCCACTTTTTATTTTTGAATGCCGTTGACCACAGTGAGTGGTTTGGTCTCATCATAAGGGAAGACGGATCAGAATGAGTAAGAATTCTTTGATGAGTTTTAGGAAAGTGGAAAGATGTCCTGTTATTGTTTATTCAACAAATGCTTACTGACTAACTCCTGTGTTCAAGGACCTGATTCCGTTGTTTCTATCTTCAAAGGCCTCAAAATCTAGAACTTGAGATAGAAAGAAAACCTACATAGGATATCTTGTTTATTTCAATATTTTGATATTTAATCATAAAATAAAATGAAAAAACATAGAAGTCAGTTATTTTGTTTACTTGGGTACATTGGAGAATCTCTGAAAAGGTCACTCAGAAGCCAGATTTGAAGTTAGTAGAAAATGTAAGTGAATGAGACACAAAAAGCCATTTAACCATTTAAAAAGATTAGACATTTTGACTATCGCAAAATTAAGAACTTTTTACATCAAAAAGTGGAAAGATAGGCTGGGCACGGTGTCTCAAGCCTGTAACCCCAATAATACATCACCTGAGGTCAGGAGTTTGAGACCAGGCTGGCCAACATGGTGAAACCTCGTCTCTCCTAAAAATACAAGAAATTAGCTCAGCATTAGTGGCAGATACCTGTAATCCCAGCTACTCAGGAAGCTGAGGCACGAGAATCATCTGAACGCTGGAGGTGGAGGTTGCAGTGAGCCACTGCACTCCAGCCTGAATAACAGAGCTAGACACTGTCTCAAAAAAAAAAAAAATTAAAAAATAAAAGTAAAAAAGTGAAAAGATAAACTATAAATTAGAAGATATTTGCAGCACCTAAAACCTATGAAAGATTAAAATCATATCAACTAAATATAAGGAACTCCTATGAATTAATTTTAAAAATAGCAACCCAACAGAAAATTGGGAAAATACATCAATAGGGATTTCACAAAAGAGAAAGCCTGCAGAATGTAAAAAATTTCTCAACCTCATTAGTAATCAGGAAAATGCCCAAGATACTACACATCTATTCTCCCCACAAATATTAAGAAGTCTGACAATACCCAATGTATTAGTCCACATTCACACTGCTGATAAAGACACACCTGAGACAGGGAAGAAAAAGTGGGTTAATTGTATTTAGGGTTCCTCATGGTTGAGGAGGCCTCAGAGTTATGACGGTGGATGAACAGCACTTCTTACATGGCAGTGGCAAGAGAATATGAGAAGGAGGCAAAAGAAGCAAAAGATGAAACCACTGATAAACCCAAAAGATAATGTGAGATTTATCCACTATCAAAAGAATAGCATGGGAAAGACTGGCCCCAAAGATTCAACTACCTCCCCCTGGTTCCCTCCCCGAACATGTGGGAATTCTGAGCAATACAATTCAAGTGAGATGTGGGTAGGGACAGAGTCAAACCATATTTTTCCACTCCTGGCCCCTCCAAATCTCATGTCCTCTCCAAATCTCATGTCCTCACATTTCAAATCCGATCATGCCTTCCCAACCGTCCCCCAAAGTCTTAACTCATTTCAGCATTAACCCAAATGTCCCCTGTCTGAAATCTCATCTGAGACAAGGCAAGTCTCTTCTGCCTATGACCCTGTAAAATCCAAATCAAGCTAGTTACTTCCTAGATACAGTGGGGGTACAGGTAATTGAGTAAATGCAGCTGTTCCAAATGGCATAAATTGGCCAAAACAAAGGGGTTACAGGCCCCATGCAAGTCTGAAATCCAGCAAGGTAGTCAAATTTTAAAGCTCCAAAATGATCTCCGTTGACTTCATGTTTCATATCAAGCTCTTGCTGATGCAAGAGGTGGGCTCCCACAGCCTTGGGTAATTCTGCCCCTGTGGCTTTGCAGGGTATAGCCCACCTCCTGGCTGCTTTCATGGGTTGATGTTGAGTGACTGCAGCTTTTCCAGGCTCACAGTGCATCTACCATTCTGAGGCCTGGAGGAGAGTGACCCTCTCCTCACAGCTCCACTAGGAAGTGCCCCAGTAGGGACTATTTGTAGGGGCTCCAACCCCACATTTCCCTTCTTCGCAGCCCTAGCAGAGGTTCTCCATCAGAGCACCACCGCTGCAGCAAACTTCTGCTTGGACATCCGGGAATTTTCATACATCCTCTGAAATCTAGGTGGGGGTTTCCAAACCTCAATTCTTGACTTCTATGCATGCGCAGGCTCAACACCATGTGGAAGCTGCCAAGGCTTGGTGTTTGCACTCTCAAGGCCAAGGCCTGAGTTCTATGTTGGCCCCTTTCATCCATGGCTGGAGGGGCTGAAACACAGAGAACCAAGGCCCTAGGCTGCACACAGCACAGTCAACCTGGGCCCAGCCCAGAAAGCCATTTTTTTCCTCCTAGGCCTCTGGGCTTGTGATGGGAGGGGCTGCTGTGATGACCTGTGACATGTCCCATAGAAATTTCCCCTATTGTTTTGGGGATTAACATTCAGCTTCTCGTTACTTATGCAAATTTCTGTAGACTGCTCTAATTTATCCTCAGAAAATGGGATTTTCTTTTCTATCACATTGTCAGGCTGCAAATTTTCCAAACTTGTATGCTCTGCTTCCTTTATAAAACCTAAGGCCTTTAGCATCACCCAAGTCACCTCTTGAATGCTTTACTGCTTAGAAATTTCTTCCAGCAGATAACCTAAATCATCTCTCTCAAGTTCAAAGTTCCACAAATCCCTAGGGCAGGGGCAAAATGCTGCCATTCTCTTTGCCAAAACATAATGAGAGTCACCTTTGCTCCAGTTCCCAACAAGTTCCTCATCTCCATCTGAGACCACCTCAGCCTGGACCTTATTGTTCAAAACACTATCAGCATTTTTGTCAAAGCCATTCAACAAGTCTCTAGGAGGTTCCAAAATTTCCCACCTTTTCCAGTCTTTTTCTGAGCCCTCCAAACTGATCCAACTTCTGCCTGTTACCAAGTTTCAAAGTCGCTTCCACATTTTTGGGTATCTTTTCTGCAGCACCCCACACCACTGGTATCAATTTACTATATTAGTCCGTTTTCACACTGCTGATAAAGACATACCCAAGTCTGAGAAGAAAAAGAGGTGTAAAGGAAAAGAACTGTAATTGGATTTACAGTCCCACATGGTGGGGGAGGCCTCAGAGTCATGGTAGGAGGTGAAAGGGACTTCTTAAATGGCAGCAGCAAGAGAAAATGAGGAGGAAGCCAAAGCAGAAACCCATGAGAAACCCATCAGATCTCATGAGGCTTATTCACTATCATGAGAATAGCACAGGAAAGACTGGCCTCCATCATTCAGTTACCTCACTCTGGGTCCCTCCCACAACATGTGGGTATTCTGGGAGATAGAATCCAAGCTGAGATTTGAGTGGGGACATAGCCAAACCATATCACCAAATATGGAGAGACTGTGGATCAACAAGATCATTTCGAACTAATACAGGAGGTGAGAGTTTAAATTAGAACAACCACTTTGGAAAACAATTTGGATTATCTCATAAAGTTGAGCATTCTCATATGTTAGGGCAAAGTAATTTCTCTACCATAGGCCCTGGAGAAACTCTTGCCCATATGTACCAGAAGTAGTAGAAAAATAAATGCTAATGTAATGCCATTCATAATAGCGAATATATGGAAACAAGCCAGATTTTCATTAATAGGAGAATGGGTAAATTAATAGAAGAATGGGTAAATAAATTATACCCTTAAAAAACTAAATAATATGTCATTTAGGGCAATCATATATATGCAATAAAACAATGTTTTTTTAAAGGCAGGGAATCCTAAACATAAATTCAGGGTAGTAGTTACCCTGGGACTGAAGGGTGTAAATCAGGAAAAAGGACAGAGGAGGAGCAGATGTTAGGGTCAGAACCCTAGTTCTTGGGTTGTGTTGTGGGTTCACAAGTGATTACCATATTATTCAAATACATTCAAATACATTTACATACAGGCCCAGGCACAGACAAAGATGAAATAGGAGCCAAGGTATGCTATGAGCCAAGGAATATGATTAATCAAATTTTGTGCACTTTAAGCCATTTGAAAAACAGAAAAGCAAAACAACAAAATAATTTTTTAAAAAATTGAATATAGAGTGCTATGTTCTGAATGTGTTCCCCTAAAATTAATCACAAAGTTATAAGATTAGGAAGTAGGGCCCTCAGGTAGTGATTCAGTCATGAAGGGAGAATCTTCATGAATGGGTTCAGGGTCCTTATGCAAGGACTGGAGGGAGTGGGCTTCTCCTGTTTTGCCCTTCTGCCTTCTGCCATGTGAGGGCACAGTGCATCTCCTCCTGAAGACACAGTGCACAAGCTACCATCTTGGATGCAAAGGCCAGGTCCTCACGAGACACCAATCCTGCTGGCACCTTGATCTTGGACTTCCAGCCTATGGAACTGTGAGAAATAATTTCTCTTCTTCAGAAATTACCCAGCCTATTGTATTTTCTTATACAGTAGCACAAACTCATTAAGGCATAATGCCTCCTGTCATTTTCTTCTACAATTTTCTTTGTTGCCTCTTCAGCACTGGGTCATTTTATATTTGATCCTTCATAATATCTCTTACTTTTGGTTTTTCACATTTCTGTTCCAAGTGTATTCTTAGATACATATTTTTCACTATTTGTTAGTATCCAGGTCAGAAAGTCCAGGTTACATTCTTTTAAGGGTTTAGTTTCTGCAACAATGAAGTATTAATGCCTCCTGTAAACTAGGTATTTCCTTTCCAATTGTAACTGCTATCTGGAAGCAAAGTGGAATTACAGGCTAGGAGTGTGGGGTTGATATTTAGTGTATCTAGAGTATGGCTAAATGCTGGTTTTTAATCACACAGATACATCAATTGCTTGGCACACTAGGGTATCAGTTGCTAGTTATCTCTATTTATCCATGCTGTTACAGAGGGAAAGTACAGACTGTGAGGTTGGACCAGCTGTTATACCCATATTTGGGGAGCTTTGATTTTTTTTAACCTTCAGCTGCTTTACTGTCACACGTAGCAGCTCAGGTGAAAAGCACTTTTACCGTGGGGACTTTCCCTTAGTGCTCTGTGATGCACAAGAGCAGACCTATGTAGAAGCATTTAAGTATTTTGTGCATCAACAGGACAATTAAAGGAACAAATTCTTATTGTATCTTTTAGTCCTGAAGACAAAACCACAGTGACAGTAACTAGGTCAAGGCATTGTATTCAGAGAGGGTCAGCCTTGGTCTTTGAGAGTGAGACCCCTTTACCCCACTGTCAAGACTCACTGAGCAGACGGGAACGTTCAGGCGGAACATGCAGTGAATAGCAAACACGGTGGGGGGCGCTCACTGTCATGCACTGCCATGCCTGCCGTGGTCAGCAGACCTCTTCTACTTGACAACAGGCAGGTTGAGAAACATTTTCTTGGAGAGTTTCTTGATTCTTGCCAGTTGTGGCAGGATGGACTGACTTAGAGGAGCTCAGGAAGGTTGTTAAACAACACAGAAACACAAGATGAATTGTACTCCTCAGCAGGCCTAGGTTAGAGCAGCAGGTACTTGAAGCCTCAGCCACTCCTGGGACACAACATAATGTCCCTAATGATTTGAAATTTGGTGGAAAGTGGGTCACTAATCCCTGTGCCCAGGGACAAAAAGACATCAACAGCAAAAAGTGATAAAATAAGTGGGCCTAACATCTGCTTGTGGGAGGTAGGGATTTAAGATATAAGAATTTAGCTGCAGGAGCAAGCTCACACCTGTAATCTCAGCACTTGGGGAGGCCAACGCAGGAGGACAGTTGGAGCCCAGGAGTTTGACATGAGCCAGGCAACGTAGTAAGTCCCCATTCGTACAAAAATGTTTTTGGAGAAAAGTAGTTGAGTGTGGGGGCACATGCCTGTAGTCCCAGGTACGTGGGAGGCTGAGGCAAGAAAATTGCTTCAGCCTGGGAGATTGAGGCTGCAGTGAGCTCTGATCACCACAATGCACACCAGCCTGTGAGTCCGGAGACCCGAGCTGGCGCCTTGAAGCGGGGTCCCCCTGCACCGGTAGAAGTCGGCTCAAGGAGGTTCTGAGAACAGGTCTCCCGGGGGTCCGGCCCTGGAGGACCCGAAGCCCCCACTCCCATAACGCCCCTTACTACATCCCCACTCCAGCCGCCACTGCGACTGCCACAGAACCCCCGCCACGTGTTGCTGAACCTGTTTAAAGCGGCCACAGCCGGAGTTCGAAGAGCAAAGCAGGAGTCCGCCTGGGCAATGCGCATGCGGGAGGCACGAGCCCATTCTCCCGTGACGGTGACTCCAACGGTTGGCTGAGGACGATTCCCTGAGCCTTGACAAAGCAGGAGCCCTCCGTGGCGGTGCGTCGGTGTCGAGGCTCCAGTCTGACTAATCCAGGGGGTCGACAAAACAGATTCGGGACACTATGCTACACGGAGGGCCTACCAGGATGCAGAAACAGCAGACGGAGTCCAGGGAAAGCAGTGCGGCATCCCAGCCTCAGGCCTGCCCGTACGGTGTTCGGGTGAGTCCCCCCAAAGTCGTGCCCCCCGTGATCTCGAGGACAGGTCTGCCCGTGTGCCCAAGGACTACTCTCTCACCCGAGGGTCATTCTCACAAACAGCAGAAACCCGCAGCCTCAGTGATTGCCTGGGGGTTGTGTGTCTCTGCCACTGCTGTATGTCTGGGTGCGTGTGTCTCCCATTCTCTCTTCTCTCTGTCACTCACTCTCTGTTTCTCTCACTTTCTCTGTCTCTCTGTGTGTGTGTGCCCGTGAGCGTGTGTGTTTATGTGCCCAGTGCGCTACAAAGCGGTCTCTTGCATGTCAGCGTGTCTTTAGTGGGCCTCTGTCTGCGTCTCTGCCTGGGTCATGTGGGCGGTTGTCAATCATTTCCGCGGCGGTTCCACTTTGGCTTTCTGAAGACCTCGACAATGTGAGAAGCTTCGGTCTCAAAGAAACCGAAATTTCATCACGATCCTGAGCTACCTCTTTTGTAGAATCAAGATGACCACACTCGAACCAAAAAAAAAAAAAAAAAAAGGTAAAAGGAGCTCATTGTTTTCCAGGAGGGGAGGAGACCAATGTGAAAGGAGATGGTTCTATCTCCTCGCGGCTCTTCTCTGAGAAATGAAGCCACGATACGAAACAATCTTCAAGAAGAAGCTGAAAACCGGATATGACACGGATGTCCCCAGAACACAGCAGGCATCCTGAAGCTCCGCCTCCTGAAGCTCCCCCTCCCTCGGTGGAAGTCGGCTCAGGGAGGTCCTGAGGACAGGACTCCTGGGGGTTTGGCTGCAGAATGAATTCATTAGGACTTTATATAATTTTTCAAATCATGAAATTGCGCAAGCTTTTGAATATGGAATTGGGAGGGCTTTCAGTTCATTCAGTAGAAAACTGGAACATTTTTGAAAGGTGATCTGCTTGACACCTTTCAAAGAGCACAAAACCTTGTGAAGTAGCAGATGCAATGATTACCAATGTACTTTATAAAATGACTTTCAGAGTTTGAGATGAAATTGGCTTTTCTGAAATATGTAAGTCTCTGGAAAAACTCAACATTTCTAATCTTGCTTTGGAAAGCCTTTAAGTATGTAAAAATCAATTTCTTATATCTTCTCTGAAATAAACATGGAATATCCTAAGGTTTTGTTCATGTTTCATGAATTTCACAGCATTCATCATATTTTAAAGTTATTTTTGATACTTTGCATTGTATTAAAATCTGTCTTGGAATGAGAGGCCTGAAAAACAATCATAATATACTGTTGTTGTCTAACAATATATCAAGTTTTTAATGACTCTTACGATGCAATATTTTTATCATTCTTGTAGTTTATCCACGTGTATTTAATATTACTAGCAGAAATTTAGATTTTAGTAAATTAATTCTGATCTTTGTAAAATAAAATACTTTAGTTTTCAATCTATATCTATTAATTCTTTAGTCCATGAATCCATCTAGCAATTATTATTGAACAAGTTCTAGGAGATAAGTACTATACAGTTGCTAAGAATTCTGAAAGATCATCTTATACCTATTATACAGAAGCAGAGCGAGACAAATGAACCAAAACTTACATAACACTGTGACATGTGTTTCAAGTTTAAACATCTTAAAAAATACATTTCATAAAACTAAAGATAAAACTTGATACTTGTTTCTACTACATTTGGTTTTATGTACTTAGGCATATTATTTTTGAGTCTGATATTAAATAAGCCAACGTATGTTTGCAGTCTATATCTTTATTCATGCCTTTGATTAAAAATTGA
The DNA here is from genome assembly GCF_000001405.40 of Homo sapiens. Classification (NCBI taxonomy): domain Eukaryota; kingdom Metazoa; phylum Chordata; class Mammalia; order Primates; family Hominidae; genus Homo; species Homo sapiens. Next base: position 26,249,507 of record NC_000020.11, on the reverse strand, counting down.
ATAAGCAAGATCTAAAGGAAAATAACATACTGAATATGTGACTAGAAACCTCTCTCCAAGTGACCAGGCTGGGCAAAATGCTGAAATCCCATCTCTACCAAAAAATAAGATGTGGTGGTGCACCCCTGTAGCCCCAGCTATGCTGGTGGCTACTCAGGAGGCTGAGACAGGAGGCTCACTCGAGCTCAGAAGGTAGAGGCTACAGTGATCTATGACTGCCACTGCACTCAGCCTGACTGACAAAGTGAGACACTGTCTCACAAAAAAGGGAAGGAAACCTCTCTCTAAGATGAAAAAGGAGTAAGAGGGTTTTTAAGGCACACATCCCCAGTGAGGCAGATTAAATCAATATGAACTTAAAATCCTTCCTAAACAATATTTACTTCACTTACATTGTTCTGCTATACAAAATCAAAGTATTCCTCTTAGAAAAAATATTTACCAAATTTTCCTTTAGTATACCAATTGTGATACAATTATGCCACTTCTCTTTAATCCTGCCTAGTAGTCCATGCTATCTGGTATAGTGTTCAAGTGTGCAGGCTTTAAGCCACACCATATGGGCATGAAAATTTCCTCTGCCACTTAAAATTGGGTGACTTACTTCACCTTTCTATGCCTCAGTATGACACTAGTTGCTACCTCCTATAGTTGTGAGGATAAAATGAGTGTATACAGGCAAAGCACTTAGTATTTAAATACAACTTATAGTCATAATTATTACTATTACTATGATTATGGTTATTATTTGATTAACTGCCTCGATGAAAACAAAGCATAGGAAGTTGAATTAGAAAAGATTAGAATGGTGTTAAAGTTGGGTCCTGTGAGGTAAAGAGAAGAGTCATGACAATTCCTTTGGCAAGAGAAGCCTCAAAATAGAATCTGGGTTTCAAAATCTACTTCCAAAGTAGAGAGATATGAGAGCTGGAAATGACATAAAGCTATTTAGGTAGTCAAGTGAGTTTTCTTCTAAATCCATAGCTTTCTTCTAAATCTATAACAATCAAATGAATCAACCCTTTTCTTTGCTCAGGTACCTATTTTCAAAGTTAAGCCATTCTGGATGCAAGTTCCTTTGTGTTTTGAGATGATCATGATGGTCTTCACTCAGTCTTTCCCCCAGGTTGACACGTGGTTATTTCATTTAATAAGATTAAAATCAATACCTGGAAATACAAAGAAATGTATTTTTTAATTTCTCAAAAACCAATATTCACCAGTATGGAATGAATAATTGCATGCCTAGTTTTCTGTATACTTGCTCTTTTAAGTAATATAGATCAGTTTGCTTTCTTTTTCTTTTCTATCTACAATCAAATTCAAACTGCTATCACTGGGTCATACACAATCAATCAAATAAACTAAAAAGCTACTGAAAGAATTTTCCATCACTAAGCTGCCTTTTGGGAGCTGTATAATTGGTCTGCTTTACTAGACAGTCAAATGCATGCAAATGCGTTAGTGCTCATGACTTGCTTCCAGGCCATCCCCAGGCTCACACTGCCAATTTTTTTTTGTCATTGTAGGTAGGCGACTTTATGCATTTTTGGACTTTTATTGTATAATAATAGGGACAAGAAAAATAAATGTTCACCTAGGCATCAAAGATAATTATTAAGCCACTATTTTAAATGATAGTTAACTATGGGATTCTACTGTTTTCTGAGGAATATAGAAAAGTGTTTAGAATAATTACTCTTCCTGGGACGCTTTGAGGGGTCAAATGTATTCTGTTCTTAAGTATCAGTTAAAACATCTTTTGCATTCTCTCTGATCTTAGTGTTTTGATGTTGTGTACAATGAACCAAAACATTGCATTACATAAAGAAATCTTTATGCAGTTGACAGCTTGTAGGTCTCTGAGGAATCTATTCAATTAGTGTCATGTCCTGGTTCCCTATAGTATCAAAATTCACAGAGAATTGAGATGTCTTAGAAGTCGTATCTATTTTTTTTATTGTACTTTAAGTTTTAGGGTACATGTGCACATTGTGCAGGTTAGTTACATATGTATACATGTGCATGCTGGTGCACTGCACCCACTAACTCGTCATCTAGCATTAGGTATATCTCCCGATGCTATCCCTCCCCTCTCCCCCGACCCCACAACAGTCCCCAGAGTGTGATGTTCCCCTTCCTGTGTCCATGTGATCTCATTGTTCAATTCCCACCTATGAGTGAGAATATGCGGTGTTTGGTTTTTTGTTCTTGCAATAGTTTACTGAGAATGATGATTTCCAGTTTCATCCATGTCCCTACAAAGGACATGAACTCATCATTTTTTATGGCTGCATAGTATTCCATGGTGTATATGTGCCACATTTTCTTAATCCAGTCTATCATTGTTGGACATTTGGGTTGGTTCCAAGTCTTTGCTATTGTGAATAATGCCGCAATAAACATACGGGTGCATGTGTCTTTATAGCAGCATGATTTATAGTCCTTTGAGTATATACCCAGTAATGGGATGGCTGGGTCAAATGGTATTTCTAGTTCTAGATCCCTGAGGAATCGCCACACTGACTTCCACAATGGTTGAACTAGTTTACAGTCCCACCAACAGTGTAAAAGTGTTCCTATTTCTCCACATCCTCTCCAGCACCTGTTGTTTCCTGACTTTTTAATGATTGCCATTCTAACTGGTGTGAGATGGTATCTCATAGTGGTTTTGATTTGCATTTCTCTGATGGCCAGTGATGATGAGCATTTTTTCATGTGTTTTTTGGCTGCATAAATGTCTTCTTTTGAGAAGTGTCTGTTCATGTCCTTCGCCCACTTTTTGATGGGGTTGTTTGTTTTTTTCTTGTAAATTTGTTTGAGTTCATTGTAGATTCTGGATGTTAGCCCTTTGTCAGATGAGTAGGTTGCGAAAATTTTCTCCCATGTTGTAGGTTGCCTGTTCACTCTGATGGTAGTTTCTTTTGCTGTGCAGAAGCTCTTTAGTTTAATTAGATCCCATTTGTCAATTTTGGCTTTTGTTGCCATTGGTTTTGGTGTTTTGGACATGAAGTCCTTGCCCACGCCTATGTCCTGAATGGTAAACGTTAGACCTAAAACCATAAAAACCCTAGAAGAAAACCTAGGCATTACTATTCTGTAACACTTTTATTGAGAAATTAGCATGATTTATCATTTGAGTACGCGCTCTCAGGATTCTAATATTTGGGTGTGAATAAAACTTCAGGGCATTGAAAGCAGCTGGAAGATAGACAATAGGGCAATCATCCTCTCTTGTCATTCTCTATCAAGGTCCTCTTTAATTATTGGCCTAGACAGCTATAACTTTATGGTGAAAACAAACTGCTTGGATATAGCCTTAAAGGTTGAAATAATGAATTATACATAAATCTATTTAGTTCAGTTATATTCTGTTGAATTGGAAGAAAATCCAATTTTTAAATGTCTCTGCATTTCTTGAAGTTAGGAATAAACGCTGGTGTGGGGTGTCCTGAAATAATGAGGTCTAGAATAATTTCTGTTGTTAAATTTACTTTTTAGCAGGATAAGTCTACTAAAATCAATATGAATGGAACCTTCAATGTACCACTTAAGATAATTAATCTTTGAGAGGTTAAGTAACTATTACAAGGTAATTTACCTAATTAGCAACTAAGCCAACCGATTTTTAGATTTCTTAACTTTAAGACTATTGCTCACATAGTCACATAAAGTATATCTTCCACATAGTCACAGGCAATCACAGGCTAACACGAGCAGGTAGCACAAAATATATGTTCCACACAGAATGCAGAACAAAAAAAGACACTTTTAAAATCCTTTTCCCTTTTCCAAATTCATATTTAAAAAGTTTCTTGTGGAATTTCCCAAATGCCAGCATGGCCACATATGATACAGATTGATTACTCAAACCTCTAATGAGAAACACTTAGAATTATGCTAAACAAGGAACATTCTATATTGATTTAACAAATTCTCCTCTTTCTACTTATAGTTTCTCCTAAAATAAAATGTAACATGTTTGTCTTGTTTGGAGTCTGTATAGAAAAAGTGTGATAACTGAAGATATAGACACACAGGTGTATGTGTGTCTGTGTTTCCTGTGTATTATAGTCTTTCTTTAATAGTTTTCTCTTTTTTAAAAATATACTTTAAGTTCTAGGGTACATGCGCACAACGTGCAGGTTTGTTACATATGTATACATGTGCCATGTTGGTGTGCTGCACCCAGTAACTCATCATTTACATTAGGTATATCTGCTAATGCTATCCCTCCCCTCTCCCCATATCCCACAACAGGCCCCAGTGTGTGATGTTGCCCTTCCTGTGTCCATGTGTTCTCGTTGTTCATTTCCCACCTATGAGTGAGAACATGCGGTGTTTGGTTTTTTTGTCCTTGTGATAGTTTGCTGAGAATGATGGTTTCTAGCTTCATACATGTCCCCACAAAGGATATGAACTCATCCTTTTTTATGGCTGCATAGTATTCCATGGTGTATATGTGCCACATTTTCTTAATCCATTCTATTATTGATGGACATTTGGGTTGGTTCCCAGTCTTTGCTATTGTGAATAGTGCCACAATAAACATACATGTGCATATGTCTTTATAGAAGCATGATTTATAATCCTTTGGTTTTTTATATATATTTATTTATTTATTTACTTATTTATTTATTTATTTATTTTTGAGACGGGTCTCGCTGTGTCTCTCAGGCTGGAGTGCAGTGGCCCAATCTCAGCTCACTGCAAGCTCCGCCTCCCGGGTTCACGTCATTCTCCTGCCTCAGCCTCCCAAGTAGCTGGGACTACAGGCGCCTGCTACCACGCCTGGCTAATTTTTTGCATTTTTAGTAGAGACGGGGTTTCACTGTGTTAAACAGCATGGCCTCGATCTCCTGACCTCGTGATCCACCTGCCTTGACCTCCCAAAGTCCTGGGATTACAGGCACAAGCCACCGTGGCCGGCCTCTATTTAAGTTAGCTCTGTCCAGGGCAAACCAGCATTTCACAGATACAAACTTTTTGCAAAAAGCAAGTATACACCTATCCATAGTGCAGACATTATGCCTACTTATTTCTCTGTAAATAGATCTTTCATTTTAACAAGTACTTCACCTTCACAAAATTTAGTTTGAGTCAGTGAACTCTTATCCAGATGCTATACCTTGGCCAGGCCATCAAGAATTAAGCCTCACAGATAGGTTGTTTCCATTTCCTTTAACAAAGTTTATCAGTCCTGGGTTGCTTCTTGATTTCTTGCCAGTGGCCACTTTAAGGCTTTAGATCTTTTGCTCAATATCATCTTCAGGCAAGTTCAACCATCATTTTAGTGGCTCAACATTCACATGAAAGGACCATTACAAACCTCTATTCCCCATTTTTTGACATCTTTATTTCCATTACTTTTTTCCTTTCCTCCACTTTATTGTCATCAAATCTGAAACATTTTCTATAAGGATATGTACCACCAGGATCTAGATGCAAATATTCTGCCTCCTGGACATCACTCCTTGCAAGCTCATTGGCTCGGATATCCTCATTTCTACAATCCTTCATTTTTATTGAGACTCTCCTTAGGACACAGCTGCTGCTGCTCTCTCACAATCCATCGGTACTCTCTTGCTTTCAGTTTCCACGTTTTGCTCCTCAAATGCCGTAGTTCATTTGTACTCTCTTGCTTTCAGTTTCCACATTTTCCTCCTCAAATGCCATAGTTCATTTTTAGCATTCCCTTGCAGCTACCCTGAGCTTCATTTTCCCACCATTAATAGAAGATTTATTTGTTTCTATTTCTCTTCCCAAATTTTAAATATTGATGTTTCTAAGGGTTCTGTCCTAATTGCTCTTCTTTTCTCTCTACACACATACTCTTTCTAAGCTCTAAACACTACTAAACAGCTAAGAATTTCCACTTTTAGAGTTTGGCCCAGACTTTTATTCTGGGAGTTGATGATTTACATGACAATAGCACTCGAATAATTCAGAGGTAACATGTCCTGGTTTCCCACATGTCAGTAAGTGGCACTGCCAGCCATGCTAGATGCTTATAAGTCATTTTTGGCTCTTCCTCAATATTCTGACAATATCCAATTCAACATTCATTTAAAAAATATTTTGGTTCCAAATATATCTGTAATTTCCTCCACTTATTTTGATTTCCAATGTCCCCAGCCTAGCCAGATCCACTTATTTTCTTACCTACTCTATTTTCTTAGGCTCATCCTTAGTCAACCAACTTTAATTCTTAATTTCCTACACTCTGTTAGCTACATAGACACCAAAGTGATCTCTTAACATGTCTTTCAGTTTCCAACTCTCCCACTTTTCTGGTGTACTTGGACTAAGACCTATGTTCCTCATCATCACTAATGAAGACCTGTACAGTTTCACATACCCTTCTCTTTCAGCCACATCTCACATTAGTCTTTTTGTACTTCATCCAGATTCCTACTTTTCAGTTTTTTCATTTCATCCAATTCACAGATTTCTTCCACATGCCAAGATCTTGCTCATACATTAGGGTCCTTGAACACTGTGGGTTTTTTCCTAAAAGACAGACCTTTCTGTATTGTATGAAAAGCTAACTCTTTTTATTCTCAGGTCTTAGCTTAAATATTCTCACTTGAAAGAAATAGTTAGAATCTGTATAATCCAAATTAGTATTTCTTTTTTTCTTTTTCTTTTGAGACAGGGTCTCGCTCTGTCACCCAGGCTGGAGTGCAGTGGCACAATCTTGGCTCACTGCAACCTCTGCCTCCGGGGTTCAAGCAGTTCTCCTTCCTCAGCCTCCTGAGTAGCTGGGACTACAAGCACGCACCACTACACCTGGCTAACTTTTTTATTTTTAGTAGAGATGTGGTTTTGCCATGTTGATCATACTGGTCTCAAACTCCTGGACTCAAGTGATCCATCCGCCTTGGCCTCCCAAAGTGCTGGGATTACAGGCATGAGCCACCACGCCCAGCCCAAATTCATATATCTATATATAAAAATTATATGTATGAATCTTATATAATCTGAATTAAGATTATATCTGTCTCATGTTCCCCCCAACACCCTTGTTGTGTATTCAGTCCCTTGCTTGACTTTGCATGTGAACACATTTTGTAATAATCTCCTCTCTTTGCTTAGTTGGGTTTCTGTACCTGTCTTCGTCTTCAGAATTAAAACCCTAGGAGTACAGGACTATGGCTTTCTTACTCACCACTGCAGCTCCGTAACTAAGATAGCATCTGATACATATTTGTTAAGGGAATTGATTAAATATAGACCACTAGGTCCAGTGGAGTCCACAGTCTATTCACTTCATGTAGTTTCCAAGAAACAAAGGTTTCTCAACCTATATTAATGAATGAGATATGGGCCAGGGTATCTGGTCTGGCTGGAGATGGCTTAACTTTGAGTTCACTTGAGAGAATATCAGTGTAAGCAGGAATGCTTTTACTCACTTCAAGAATTTCATGGTGTTTAGGACGAAAAACCACCCTGCTTCTCTGGAGAGACTTGAGGGCTCTATGGCTCCTGTGGGCTCTCAAACTATTGGAAGATGACTACTAAACCTGAGTTTTCAGGTCTCTTAGTTACATTCATTTAAACTTAGACATAGATGGTTTGTCACTGTTTTAAGTTGTTTTTCACTGAAAGGTCAGTCTGAATATAGAGCCTTATTTCATTCAGATCAGAAAAATTGGGTTACTGTGAAATCTGTTTATCTATAATTTTAAGTAAGTACAATTTTATAAAGAAGTTATTCCTAACTTGAGAGGCCTGGAGGATTTATTACAATGTGTATTTCAGGGCCACATCTGCAGAAGTTTTGATACAACATTTCCTTACTAATACCCCTGACAGCACATCTTACCAGGCATCCTGTGTTATTCAGAAGCAGAACGTTTATGCACTACACTTTGGGAGAGAGAAGTGCATGTTATGTTACCATTTAAAGATGCCTGGTTCTTGTGGGGGAAATTGGCAAATGATTTATCTGAACTAATGGCAGAGTGGAATTTTAATACTTTAGAGTTTTCAGGAATCTTAGAGCTGTTTTCATTTGTCTCATACATAGAGCCTGAACCTTGAAGACATTAATTAATTTGTCACAGAAATTACATGGGGTCAAAATTTACATTTCCAACCCATGTCTGTGCTCTTCATTCTAAAGCACAATGGCCTAGAGTCATATTTTAACGTCTAAGTTTTATCTTATTAAAAAATAAAATAAAATAAATAATTGTAAATACATGCATGTATTATATCTACATATACAACTTATATACATTACAATGTTAATTTGAATTACACAGGACTTTGGACATCACTATTAAAGGCCAGGTACAGTTTAGACTGAGATAAGCCCTACCTGTGAGAATTTACTAAGGTCAAAAAGACTCCTTTTAATGGTGACTCAGTGGCACCTAGTCTAAGGACAAAGGCTCCAGTATATATCTTAATCTGAGTTATTACTGAATGTGAGTCATGTGAGGGCTTCTAATGAAAATTTTCCATTGAAAAAAATCAATGTTAATAACTGGAACTCGAGAGCTGTAATGGGCTCTACTGTGTTTTTCTGGCTTAGACTGTGTGCTATAATATGCTAAGAAGAGGAATTGATGACCTGTGAGCTCTGGTCACTTCCTGACCTCATTTGATTCTTTGATCTTTAGTTTTAAAAGGGTGATCAGAGAGGTTGCTTATAATGGAGAAGTTGAACAAAAGGACTGTCAACCTGCAGGCTCACTGGCACAGCCCAAGTTTCACCGGATAAGCATTTCAGTAAAGAGGAATATTGCCAACAGCAATGCTTGCAAGGAAGCTTTGTTCCAGAGAGGATTTTTTTTAAAGAAGCTGCTAGAAAAACTGACACTAGAAGCTAACTAGAGTCACTCTTTCTAGATAACAATGAAATTGCCAGTCTGAAGACATTACTTACCTAGATATAGAAATGGACTTTATTTAAGAACCAACTTTATACATACATAATATACCCAGGCTTGTTGGTCAGGTTGGCTGGCTGGGGAAGAATAAAACCATCTAGAAGATCCACATGATGAGAGGAACCATTCGGGGAGGGCAGACAGATACCTGATGCTGGCCACAGATAGAACCCAGAGATGCTCTGTGATTGAAGTGGTTCTAATACCTGGAAGCTTCAATTTGCTCTTATAACGTGTTCTAAAGCCATTTAATTCAAGACTACCCTTCCTAGTTGGTACCTGTAGATGTAATGCATCTCTGAAACTGGGGTGGTATTATTCTAGGCTCCATCGGACAGAACAACTATCTGGAGGTAGGTTGTGGAGCCTCTGGACTCCACGACACATTTCACAGTGCTGTTTACTCCAAAACACTTGCCTAATTAAACTAATGTAGCTATTGGGTAAGACGAGAAGTAATACACGGACATTCTTAAAGTCTGTTCTCTTTTGCCTTGTGACCTTAAACATTTGAAAGACCAAGATGAACACTATTGAATGGAATTGTGTTTCCATCGTCATAACCAATCTGAAAGCTTAAGTTTTATCTCTCTTTCACTGCATATCCAATCTATTTTATGGGCCGAAGAGCACAATGGGCTCAACTATCCAGGCTTTAGGAGTTATTTTAATCTTTAAAGAGCAATAGGTACAAGTAAAAGTACATACATAAAGAAGGTATTTAATATTTAATTTTTATTCTCATACGCATGAAAAGGGTGTTCCAAAAAAAGATTAGAGAAGTCCATGGCATGTCTTTATGGTTAATCTTACTTTATTTTTTGGTTCATCTAGCATGCTTCTTACAAGTTACTTGTTTTTTGTTTCATGGAAAATTTTTTTTTCTTTTTTTTGTTTTTTGTTTTTTTTTATTATTATACTTTTAAGTTTTAGGGTACATGTGCACATTGTGCAGGTTAGTTACATATGTATACATGTGCCATGCTAGTGCGCTGCACCCACTAATTCGTCATCTAGCATTAGGTATATCTCCCGATGCTATCCCTCCCCCCTACCACAACCCCACAACAGTCCCCAGAGTGTGATATTCCCCTTCTTGTGTCCACGTGATCTCATTTTTCAGTTCCCACCTACGAGTGAGAATATGCGGTGTTTGGTTTTTTGTTCTTGCAATAGTTTACTGAGAATGATGATTTCCAATTTCATCCATGTCCCTACAAAGGACATGAACTCATCATTTTTTATGGCTGCATAGTATTCCATGGTGTATATGTGCCACATTTTCTTAATCCAGTCTATCATTGTTGGACATTTGGGTTGGTTCCAAGTCTTTGCTATTGTGAATAATGCCGCAATAAACATACGGGTGCATGTGTCTTTATAGCAGCATGATTTATAGTCTTTTGGGTATATACCCAGTAATGGGATGGCTGGGTCAAATGGTATTTCCAGTTCTAGATCCCTGAGGAGTCGCCACACTGACTTCCACAGTGGTTGAACTAGTTTACAGTCCCACCAACAGTGTAAAAGTGTTCCTATTTCTCCACATCCTCTCCAGCACCTGTTGTTTCCTGACTTTTTAATGATTGCCATTCTAACTGGTGTGAGATGGTATCTCATTGTGGTTTTGATTTGCATTTCTCTGATGGCCAGTGATGATGAGCATTTTTTCATGTGTTTTTTGGCTGCATAAATGTCTTCTTTTGAGAAGTGTCTGTTCATGTCCTTCGCCCACTTTTTGATGGGGTTGTTTGTTTTTTTCTTGTAAATTTGTTTGAGTTCATTGTAGATTCTGGATGTTAGCCCTTTGTCAGATGAGTAGGTTGCAAAAATTTTCTCCCATGTTGTAGGTTGCCTGTTCACTCTGATGGTAGTTTCTTTTGCTGAGCAGAAGCTCTTTAGTTTAATTAGATCCCATTTGTCAATTTTGTCTTTTGTTGCCATTGCTTTTGGTGTTTTAGACATGAAGTCCTTGCCCATGCCTATGTCCTGAATGGTAATGCCTAGGTTTTCTTCTAGGGTTTTTATGGTTTTAGGTCTAACGTTTAAGTCTTTAATCCATCTTGAATTGATTTTTGTATAAGGTGTAAGGAAGGGATCCAGTTTCAACTTTCTACATATGGCTAGCCAGTTTTCCCAGCACCATTTATTAAATAGGGAATCCTTTCCCCATTGCTTGTTTTTCTCAGGTTTGTCAAAGATCAGATAGTTGTAGATATGTGGCGTTATTTCTGAGGGCTCTGGTCTGTTCCATTGATCTATATCTCTGTTTTGGTACCAGTACCATGCTGTTTTGGTTACTGTAGCCTTGTAGTATAGTTTGAAGTCAGGTAGTGTGATGCCTCCAGCTTTGTTCTTTTGGCTTAGGATTGACTTGGTGATGTGGGCTCTTTTTTGGTTCCATATGAACTTTAAAGTAGTTTTTTCCAATTCTGTGAAGAAAGTCATTGGTAGCTTGATGGGGATGGCATTGAGTCTGTAAATTACCTTGGGCAGTATGGCCATTTTCACGATATTGATTCTTCCTACCCATGAGCATGGAATGTTCTTCCACTTGTTTGTATCCTCTTTTATTTCCTTGAGCAGTGGTTTGTAGTTCTCCTTGAAGAGGTCCTTCACGTCCCTTGTAAGTTGGATTCCTAGGTATTTTATTTTCTTTGAAGCAATTGTGAATGGGAGTTCACTCATGATTTGGCTCTCTGTTTGTCTGTTGTTGGTGTATAAGAACGCTTGTGATTTTTGTACATGGATTTTGTATCCTGAGACTTTGCTGAAGTTGCTTATCAGCTGAAGGAGATTTTGGGCTGAGACAATGGGGTTTTCTAGATATACAATCATGTCGTCTGCAAACAGGGACAATTTGACTTCCTCTTTTCCTAACTGAATACCCTTTATTTCCTTCTCCTGCCTAATTGCCCTGGCCAGAACTTCCAACACTATCTTGAATAGGAGTGGTGAGAGAGGGCATCCCTGTCTTGTGCCAGTTTTCAAAGGGAATGCTTCCAGTTTTTCTCCATTCAGTATGATATTGGCTGTGGGTTTGTCATAGATAGCTCTTATTATTTTGAAATACGTCCCATCAATACCAAATTTATTGAGAGTTTTTAGCATGAAGGGTTGTTGAATTTTGTCAAAGGCTTTTTCTGCATCTATTGAGATAATCATGTGGTTTTTGTCTTTGGCTCTGTTTATGTGCTGGATTACATTTATTGATTTGCGTATATTGAACCAGCCTTGCATCCCAGGGATGAAGCCCACTTGATCATGGTGGATAAGCTTTTTGATGTGCTGCTGGATTCGGTTTGCCAGTATTTTATTGAGGATTTTTGCATCTATGTTCATCAAGGATATTGGTCTAAAATTATCTTTTTTTGTTGTGTCTCTGCCAGGCTTTGGTATCAGAATGATGCTGGCCTCATAAAATGAGTTAGGGAGGATTCCCTCTTTTTCTATTGATTGGAATAGTTTCAGAAGGAATGGTACCAGTTCCTCCTTGTACCTCTGGTAGAATTCAGCTGTGAATCCATCTGGTCCTGGACTCTTTTTGATTGGTAAGCTATTGATTATTGCCACAATTTCAGCTCCTGTTATTGGTCTATTCAGAGATTCAACTTCTTCCTGGTTTAGTCTTGGGAGAGTGTATGTGTCCAGGAATTTATCCATTTCTTCTAGATTTTCTAGTTTATTTGCATAGAGGTGTTTGTAGTATTCTCTGATGGTAGTTTGTATTTCTGTGGGTTTGGTGGTGATATCCCCTTTATCATTTTTTATTGCATCTATTTGATTCTTCTCTCTTTTTTTCTTTATTAGTCTTGCTAGCGGTCTATCAATTTTGTTGATCCTTTCAAAAAACCAGCTCCTGGATTCGTTAATTTTTTGAAGGGTTTTTGTGTCTCTATTTCCTTCAGTTCTGCTCTGATTTTAGTTATTTCTTGCCTTCTGCTAGCTTTTGAATGTGTTTGCTCTTGATTTTCTAGTTCTTTCAGTTGTGATGTTAGGGTGTCAATTTTGGATCTTTCCTGCTTTCTCATGTGGGCATTTAGTGCTATAAATTTCCCTCTACACACTGCTTTGAATGCGTCCCAGAGATTCTGGTATGTTGTGTCTTTGTTCTCGTTGGTTTCAAAGAACATTTTTATTTCTGCCTTCATTTCGTTATGTACCCAGTAGTCATTCAGGAGCAGGTTGTTCAGTTTCCATGTAGTTGAGCGGTTTTGAGTGAGATTCTTAATCCTGAGCTCTAGTTTGATTGCACTGTGGTCTGAGAGATACTTTGTTATAATTTCTGTTCTTTTACATTTGCTGAGGAGAGCTTTACTTCCCAGTATGTCGTCAATTTTGGAATAGGTGTGGTGTGGTGCTGAAAAAAATATATATTCTGTTGATTTTGGGTGGAGAGTTCTGTAGATGTCTATTAGGTCTGCTTGGTGCAGAGCTGAGTTCACTTCCTGGGTATCCTTGTTGACTTTCTGTCTCATTGATCTGTCTAATGTTGACAGTGGGGTGTTAAAGTCTCCCATTATTAATGTGTGGGAGTCTAAGTCTCTTTGTAGGTCACTCAGGACTTGCTTTATGAATCTTGGTGCTCCTGTATTGGGTGCATATATATTTAGGATAGTTAGCTTTTCTTGTTGAATTGATCCCTTTACCATTATGTAATGGCCTTCTTTGTCTCTTTTGACCTTTGTTGGTTTAAAGTCTTTTTTATCAGAGACTAGGATTGCAACCCTGCCTTTTTTTGTTTTCCATTGGCTTGGTAGATCTTCCTCCATCCTTTTATTATGAGCCTATATGTGTCTCTGCACGTGAGATGGGTTTCCTGAATACAGCACACTGATGGGTCTTGACTCTTTATCCAATTTGCCAGTCTGTGTCTTTTAATTGGAGCATTTAGTCCATTTACATTTAAAGTTAATATTGTTATGTGTGAATTTGATCCTGTCATTATGATGTTAGCTTGTTATTTTGCTTGTTAGTTGATGCAGTTTCTTCCTAGTCTCGATGGTCTTTACATTTTGGCATGATTTTGCAGCAGCTGGTACCGATTGTTCCTTTCCATGTTTGGTGCTTCCTTCAGGAGCTCTTGTAAGGCAGGCCTGGTGGTGACAAAATCTCTCAGCATTTGCTTGTTTGTAAAGGATTTTATTTCTCCTTCACTTATGAAGCTTAGTTTGGCTGGATATGAAATTCTGGGTTGAAAATTCTTTTCTTTAAGAGTGTTGAATATTGGCCCCCACTCTCTTCTGGCTTGTAGGGTTTCTGCCGAGAGATCCACTGTTAGTCTGATGGGCTTCCCTTTGAGGGTAACCCGACCTTTCTCTCTGGCTGCCCTTAACATTTTTTCCTTAATTTCAACTTTGGTGAATCTGACAATTATGTGTCTTGGAGTTGCTCTTCTCAAGGAGTATCTTTGTGGCGTTCTCTGTATTTCCTGAATCTGAACATTGGCTTGCCTTGCTAGATTGGGGAAGTTCTCCTAGATAATATCCTGCAGAGTGTTTTCTAACTTGGTTCCATTCTCCCCATTGCTTTCAGGTACACCAATCAGACGTAGATTTGGTCTTTTCACATAGTCCCATATTTCTTGGAGGCTTTGCTCATTTCTTTTTATTCTTTTTTCTCTAGACTTCCCTTCTCTCTTCATTTCATTCATTTCATCTTCCATCGCTGATACCCTTTCTTCCAGTTGATCGCATCGGCTCCTGAGGCTTCTGCATTCTTCACGTAGTTCTCGAGCCTTGGTTTTCGGCTCCATCAGCTCCTTTAAGCACTTCTCTGTATTGGTAATTCTAGTTATACATTCTTCTAAATTTTTTTCAAAGTTTTCAACTTCTTTGTCTTTGGTTTGAATGTCCTCCCGTAGCTCAGAGTAATTTGATCGTCTGAAGCCTTCTTCTCTCAGCTCGTCAAAGTCCTTCTCCATCCAACTTTGTTCCGTTGCTGGTGAGGAACTGCGTTCCTTTGGAGGAGGAGAGGCGCTCTGCTTTTTAGAGTTTCCAGTTTTTCTGTTCTGTTTTTTCCCCATCTTTGTGGTTTTTGTCTACTTTTGGTCTTTGATGATGGTGATGTACAGATGGGTTTTTGGTGTGGATGTCCTTTCTGTTTGTTAGTTTTCCTTCTAACAGAGAGGACCCTCAGCTGCAGGTCTGTTGGAATATCCTGCCGTGTGAGGTGTCAGTGTGCCCCTGCTGGGGGGTGCCTCCCAGTTAGGCTGCTCGGGGGTCAGGGGTCAGGGACTCACTTGAGGAGGCAGTCTGCCCGTTCTCAGATCTCCAGCTGTGTGCTGGGAGAACCACTGCTCTCTTCAAAGATGTCAGACAGGGACATTTAAGTCTGCAGAGGTTACTGCTGTCTTTTTGTTTGTCTGTGTCCCTCCCCCAGAGGTGGAGCCTACAGAGGCAGGCAGGCCTCCTTGAGCTGTGGTGGGCTCCACCCAGTTGGAGTTTCCCGGCTGCTTTGTTTACCTAATCAAGCCTGGGCAATGGCGGGCGCCCCTCCCCCAGCCTTGCTGCCACCTTGCAGTTTGATCTCAGACTGCTGTGCTAGCAATCAGCGAGACTCCGTGGGCGTAGGACCCTCCGAGACAGGTGCGGGATATAATCTCGCGGTGCGCTGTTTTTTAAGCCCGTCGGAAAAGGGCAGTATTTGGGTGGGAGAGACCCAATTTTCCAGGTACCGTCCGTCACCCCTTTCTTAGACTCAGAAAGGGAACTCCCTGACCCCTTGCACTTCCCAGGTGAGGCAATGCCTCGCCCTGCTTCGGCTCACACACGGTGCGCGCACCCACTGACCTGCGCCCACTGTCTGGCACTCCCTAGTGAGATGAACCCGGTACCTCAGATGGAAATGCAGAAATCACCCGTCTTCTTCATCGCTCATGCTGGGAGCTGTAGACCGGAGCTGTTCCTATTCGGCCATCTTGGCTCCTCCCCCAGAAAATTTTTTTTAAATGAATTGATTTTACTTTTCATCAGCACAACTGTTGACTAATACCAAAGTTAGTTCGAAGGTTATGATTTTTATATTTATAGAATGGCACGGGCAGCATTTACATAATACGTCATAGTAACTTGACATTTATGAAATATTAGTTTTCCATGCACATCAATTCAGAGAGGAAGGTTACATTTTTTTAATTATAATAACATTTTGAAAACCATCTGTCCTTTAAAATGTTACTAAAATATGTATTGGAACTGGTGTTTTAGATGCCAGTCCTTCCTGAAGAGTGTTTTGAGATTTTTTTCAAATACTGCCTCAGTTCCATATAAAATAGTAAAAATTCTGCCTTTTAAAATGACTACTGGCTGTAGGTAAGGAGAAGTTAAGGAAATATTACATAAAAATAAATTTGCAAAAGTAATTTACGGAAGGATTATTTACACCTTGATGAGTGGATCTGGATATTTTGATACTATGTGAAAGTGGTTCCCCTATAATTATAACGGAACAAATATCTGCAAGTAGTAGTTAAAAGAATGTGTATAGGCTGGGCACGGTGGCTTATGCCTGACCTCAGGTGATCCACCCGCCTCGGCTTCCCAAAATGCTGAGATTACACTCATGTTAAGTGGTACTCTAATTATATCAGTAGTTTAAACCTCAAAAGAGATTCATTATGTACACAAAATTAATCTTGTGTAATTAAATTTATAAGTAAAATTAATCGAAGAAATCAAAAAACACAAGGTGGCTCACACCTGTAATCTCATTGCTTTCGGAAGTCTAGGTGGGAGGATCCCTTGACCTAAGGAGTTTGAGACCAGTCAAGCAACATAGTGGGACCCCATCTCTATAAAAAAAATTAGCTGGGTATGGTGGTGTGTGCCTGTAGTCGTAGCTACTTGAGAGGCCGAGGCAAAAGTATCGCTTGAGCCTAGGAGTTGGAGTCTGCAGTGAGCTATGGTCACACCACTGCACTCCAGCCAGAGCAACAGAGGGAGACTTTAAAAAAAAAATTAATATATCACAAAACACTTGTGATTCCAAATCCAGATATATAAACCACAGGAATACTTATATAAACACACGTTATACATACATATAGTATATGTATGATAAAATATACTTGTATGTTCAACTTGGGAAAGGTTGATGATTTTAGAAACAAACTAATAATTCTATTGCCTTATGCTCTAATGATTTTCAATTTGAAGATGTATTTGGGATCAAATACTTGAGGCTCCATACACACGACATCTTTTTTCCCCTCTTCTCAGAATCATTTTTTGGCTGATTATTGGACTACAATTGGGAGATCTAGAACTAAATTCCTGCTTAGTGTTTACTTGTTTAGAGGGTAGGCATTGAAATCGTCCTGTTTTGCCTCAGTCTCCACAATAGTACCTACTAACCTCATGACTAGGGGATCGTGTAGCATTTCTCTAAGCCTTGTTTTTCTTAGCTGTGAAGTGGTAAATTTTGAAAGTGTTTTGTTCATAGGATTTCTGTGAAAACTAAATTGGGTAAAGAATGTAAGGCATTTAGCACAGTAAAATAACCTGGATTACAGTAACTTTTCATGGAGTGTTTATTAGTACTTAAACTGTCATTGTCATCAAAATACTGTTTTTACATATGAACTCAGAAATGTCACTGTAACCTCAACTCATTTGTTCATTTAAAATGGAGAGGTTGAGTTAGGTGTTTCTTAAATTTCTCTTTAGCTCTGATACTATGAGTCTGAAGTTAAGTAATGCAAAGTTGTTAATTAAATCTTCCCCTTTTGTGATGTAGGAGAAAGGGAGAAAGAAAACTTCTGGGTGACTGGATTCCCTTGCAAGTTTATTAGAATTGTAATTATGTAGCATTTTGAATAAAGCATTCATTCTGGAAATCATTAAGTTTACTTTTCTGAGCTCCGTATTTTGTCAACTGTAGAAAAATTGGGATTTAGGAGTAACCTCTGATTTAAAATTCCACTTGTTAATCATTTAAATTGTAGTCTTGTAATTTCCTAACTTTGGTCTTGAAGGTGTTTATCATTCTTATGCGTTATTATGCTGTATTATATATTTATGCAACATAAAATGTATAGTTTTAACTATTGTACATGTTTACATATGAAAGGTATAGTTTTGAACTTATCATTATTCAGTTTGCTAGTTTTGCTTCACTATTCATTTTTGACACTTATCCATATTAGTACATGCAACTCAAGTTTATTCTTTTGATCTAGTGTATATCATTCAAATGTATGAATAAATAACCTTGCTTTGGTGGACATTTAAGTATTTTCATGTGTCAGTATGAAGAGCAGTTTCAAAATGAACATTCAAATATACATTGTCATATATAATATTTGTATATATGAAAGTTCCTGTGGGTTATATCTCTGAAATCAAAACTACAAGTGTTTTGTAACTTCTATAATTAATTTTACTCTCAATTTTAAGTAAACAAGATTAGCTTTTGTACATGATGAGTCTCTTTATTCAGTTAATTACTGACATAATTAGAATACCACTTAAAACTTGAGAATATTTTCAAGGGTATTTATGCTAAACTTACAGAAGTGTGTTGAAAAGTCCTTTTGTATATATGTAGAGATTACATGGTATGTTAAATTCATTAATTTGCCTAAATATCAAGTTATACTTAAGTAGTGTCCATACACAACTTTTTTGCTTGACTGAACTCCAATATGTATATTGGGAGTACTTTTTAACATTCATAGGTTAAAAGGCCTGTTTTGGAAAATGATATTAAAAATGTAATTCAGATGAATGCTTAGAATAAAGATTAAAGATGAATGAGCTTTCATATTAATCATCAATATGACAATCCTAAAGGGAAGCATGATTTTCAAATGTACCTCCTTGTAAGCAGGATAATTCAGAAATGCACAATGCATATTAGATATGGGATTTGAGTCGTAATATATTTCTCTAAGAATGTAATTTATTGTACTTTCACATCCACCCCACTGAATATGCAGAGTTTAAGACGCGATGGCCAGAAGACATGAAAGTGTCACTAGAAGGATGTGGACGTGGGCTCTGGGACTGTTGATGATGACTGTGGTCTTTTGGGGTCATCAGGGGAATGGACAAGGCCAAGACAAGTGCAAGGATGTTCTAATTCTTTGAGAGTTAGATGGAAATTTCACTTTATGATGAAATTATGTGAGTCTTTGGTTTGACGTTTAAGCAATTTGTTGTAATCTTCTGCCAGGTTTTTGTTACAGGGTATTGTAATGCCTCTGCACCAGTTAAATTGAAATAGAATTAGGTGTGAGTAAATGCATCAAAATTGAAGGCATCTTTCTGAAATTGGCTTTTCTCTGTTGGAATTGATTATATATATATATATATATGTATGTGTGAGGTATGAGGCTATATGTGTGTGTGTGTGTGTGTGTGTTTTGGGTGGGTGGGTATGCATGTGAGTTTGTGTGTGTGGTATTTTACAAGAACACGTAGCATATAAAGTTGTTGTGATTTTGAAGAAAAGTTTTTGGATGTTTGTTTCTTTTCATTAGGGTTTTTAAATTTTACATTTTAAAATTTCAAGAACCTATTCTTAAAGGATGTGATGTTCTTTAGAAATTAAATGAAAAATGTGACGTTTCTCATTCTTCTGCCAAGTGTATTTAGGGGAAATTAATGATAGAGTGGAACTGCAAGGTTGTGGCATCCTGAAATGTCTGTTGGAGAGTAGAAAAGGGCCATAGATTTTGTAATAAGGCTTTCAATACTGATTTGATCAATAGCTGTATGGAGTGGTTTGTGCCAAATCTAGTATCTGTGAATGTATTTTGTGATAAGTATTATATTATTTTTGGAGGTGTGTTGCTTGCTCAGATACAAATTGCAATTCTGTATTTTATGTGATAAAACATCCTGACACCCCTGAAATTTTCTTTTCCTTTTGGGGCAAGTATATTTGGCATTGATTTTCTGCATTTTCAAGGCTTGAAATGAAATCTGTGAGCAGGAAGTTCACAGAGTTTATTTCAAGGGATAGGTATATTTCTCCAGATAAAATTGAAAGTGTGCAGTGTTATTATATAATTGTGATGAAGTTGAGCTTTGCTAGTTTGAAGTATCTAATAAAGTTTAACACTTTTTAAAAGATCCTTCAAAAAGAGCAGTTTTCTTGCCATATGTAATATTGTTCAGTGAATTTTTGAAATGAAATAGATATTTTTCAAAACCACAAATGCATCTGTGCCTTTGTATATGAATAGTTGTATATACATGTAAGCAGATAATACATTTTGTTAATTAAGATCAGCTTTGATTTTAATTTTTCTTTCATGCCATTCAGAATTTATATTAGCATTTAATAGAATTCTCATTTTTCTTTTTTGTGATAAAACTAATGTAAAATATATTTAATACACATAGGAGTTTTTTCACCAAAGGTCTCAAACAAGAATATGTAGACAGTAGCTACGTTGGATTTCTGTGTCTATAAGAGTTGTTTATTTCTCTGGTGATGTGTAGAATTACTAAAATGCAGCATGACAACTGTTTCTCTGTAACAGTGATCCAACATGACATGTAGTATTATACAGGGTTGCTAAAACCTTCCTCTGACCATCATTTCCAGTAATCGTGGCTTGTTTTAGATGAGGAATAGGTTATTAGATATTTAAAATATTTGAGAAAAATAGGTATCTTCTCTCTTATTTACCCAAACCCTTTTATTTACTCAGTATTGATTGCTCAAATATTCTATCCTTCACTGGGGATCATCATTTATTAAAAAATGGCCTGAAATCAATTCCAAGTCTAGCTACAGTGAAGCTTCGAGTGGGAAATGCAAGTTAAGTAATTTGTTTTCTTTCTAAAAGGATAAATTAAAATAGACAATGATTCAAAGAACAAAACAACTTAATAGAAAACATAATGGAATGCTTTGATATTATGATTCAGGGAATTTTGCTTCCTTTATGGTAGCTAGATTGAGTGAAGGAGATTGCTTTGGTATAATGAGCAAATCTTATAATTGCAAGTATAACCCAAGCTGCATATCATCATTTAGATCAATAAGCCTCATTAATATTAAATATTACCTTTTAACTTTCATGCAATTAAGCAGAATTTAAAAATAAAAGTTTTAAAAATTAAAGTTTTTATTACTAAGTATCTTTTAAAATACAAATCTCATAGCTCATTATTATTGTCAAGAAAAGAATACATGAAGATTTATAAATAAGGTTTTCTCTCTATTAAGTTTACAGTCTTGCATTAAATATTGGTTACTGGAACCCGCAATGTCCAAGATTATGATTAAGTATCAATGAAGTATGACTCTTGCAGCAAATAAGCATACAAATGTTATAAGATTATTTTCACATTATTTCACATAATTTCTTAAGCATAATAGTATAAGTAAATTATACTTTCTACACAAGCTCTTCATATTTATGAATAGACTAAGTTCTAAATGTTTAAGTCATTGGGAAATCCCAATGTTCCTTCCTAGAGAAACCGTGTGAGAAATTGTAGCTAAGCTAAAAAAATGGAAGACAAAAGTCGATTTAACGAGGAATGTAGATTAATATCATAGTATTGTCTCAACTGTGTGCAACCACTACTTATAAAAATGGTATAAGAAATGCAGTCTGAAATCTGAATTCTAAATAACAATGTAGGGCCATTATCCCTCTGGGACCCTTAGGGTCAAAATAAGAGAAAAGGGATGAATGGTGGGTTGGAAGTAAGTCAATGATCCTTGTCAATTTTTTGTATCTGTCAAGAAAAGCATCTGCTTGAGGACATCCATTTTCCTACTTCTGAGTTACCAAATAATAGGTGCCTATACTGAATGTAACATTCCCTGACGTGGACTCTGTGTCTATGCTGCTTAAGTGGTTTGTGCATGAGAAAGTGTTTAACATCTGAAAATGGAGACAATCCTTAGAAAAAGATACATATGAATTTTAAAAGGAAATATACCTACGATGGAAATAAAACAAATAGCATAAATATCTAGCTGTATTTTGTCTTTTTGGTAACTATTACAATATATACATTTTCAAACAGCTAAGTTCAGCACTGACTTCGGGAGAATCTAGATAAAACTGAACTGACATATAATAAGCATGGGTGTAATTAATATCACAGCAGGCAAAACCATGGGGATGTTTCCTGAGAAAGAGGGACTATAGAGAGGCACCAGAAAACCCAGCTCATTTACAGGATTCTGGGGAGTGTCAGGAGCAGTTTTTATATTCAGAACTGAGAACTTATTTCCTCAGCAACCCGGAGTTCTGGCTGAAGTGCAGTGGTGCAATCATAGCTCATCACAGCCCCAAACTCCTAAGTTCATATGGTCCTCTCATCTCAGCCTCCTGATAGCTATGACCACAGGTGTGCACTACTATGCCCAGCTAGTTTATTTTATATTTTATTTTCATTTCATTTGTAAAGACTGGGTCTTGCTATGTTGCCCAGGCAGGTCACGAACTCCTATCCTCGAGCAGTCCTCTAACCTAGGCCTCCCTAAGTACTGAGATTACAGGCATGAGCCATTGCATCTGGCTCAAAAATATTTCTGTCTTAATGGCTTTAACAAAGAAGTGCCATTTTGGGGACATATACAATGGTGTGCTGTTTGGGAGTGACACAAAAATAATTATAAGAAGAATGGAATGAATATGTCAGTATGTTTTCAAAAGCAAGTTAGCCCAAGTTTTTAAACAAGCATAATTTTAGAGTTTTTGTAACTAACTTAGGGTTTAAATGTAGCAAAAATTTTAAACATTATCATGAATACACAGAAAATTTTAATCCATTTGGTTTCCACGATGAATTTACATGCTTAAATTCCTAATTTTGATTTGCTGCTAGATATGAGAAAGTTTGAAATTTTGAAGAAGCAAGTGGCACTTACAAATGTAGCAAACTTAAATTTTGAGGACAATTTAATTTAACTTCCATTTTTATGACCAGATTTTGGGTCAGCTATTAAGCATTCAAAAAATAAAATCTGATAATATCTGGCAATTCCAATTTTCAGTTTTATTGATCTTCACCATGAAATAATATTTAAGTTAAGGGGCAAAATTTTGGAAAAGCAGACCACTTTGTTGTGCTATTTAGCAAGTTCTCAAATTCTGCCATCTTGGAATCATTACAAGTAATTATACGAAGACAATATCTTGTATTTTGTATTTCATTGTTACACATCCAGTTTTCCTCTAGAGATATCAGAGAAAACCTACTCAAGAAGGGAAGGTTAGATAAACAGCCCTCTCTCTCTCTGTCTTTGCCTCCATTCGGTTCCTTACAATTGTTTCCCGGTGCATTTCAAAGTTACTTTTATTATTCCCTTCATTTTCTCTTTCATTCCAGAAATTTAAGTGATTGTGTAATTCTTTTGACAGCTGAAGGTGGTATCCGACTTTGAATTAAAAGTTTATAGCTACAGCTTTTCAACTAGAAAATCTCAGATCATGCGATCTATGAGTTTTAATATCTTAGGATCACTACTAATAAGGAATAATCACTTTGAAAAACCTTAATGCTACCTAGAGTTTGTGTTTTGTGAGGTTGCTTGGTAAATTATTTTCATTTGATAATTGAATATGGCTTCAAGAGAGGTGAGTTCAGACATTTGGCAATGAATATTGAATGTGTATTCCAAGAGACATGACCTTAAAATATCATCAAGCTAAGTAGTAGTGAAATTGAACTCTGCTGTATTATAGATGTCAGTGTTTCTTACATCTTTATGATATATAAATATTTTTACATTGTGGTAGATAATAATTTGTATGGAAAAATTTAATTGAAGTTAATTTATCCTATGGCAGAATTATGTTACATGGGTCATTTTAGTTTTGGATTTAAGCATCTTAAAATTATAAATGCAAATATTCAACACATAAAACCCACATGAATACACGCTCCCAAACATTTGAAATCCTAACAGTCATTTCTAACAGCTTTTTCCTACAAAAGAAGTCAACTATTCTTCAAGATTACGTGCATTCCCATAGCTTGAGAGGTTCACACTATAAGGTAAACAGAGAAAGTATTATAGCAGTTTAAGAATACCAGTGGATTAACTTTAAAGACAATATACTTTTGAATTACTTGTCTTCAAAATTTGGTTTCTTGAGAAAATTATCTGTGTAGATTAATCACGCATTTCAGATACTTTCCAGACATCTGAATGTTGTTTTCTTAAAAGTAGTCAGCAAGCCTTTTTATGCAGTCTGCATGGGAGATAGTAAGAGATGTGTATGCTGTATATCTACTAGTAGAGATTTGTTTTTGACTGCTTCCTTAAAAAATTATTTTTTCTGAAGAAAGGGATTTCTTTTTTATAATTTAGATTAGATGATTTTAAATGTTTTTATGTTTTAACCTCTCTTTCTGATCATCAGGGTCATTGCCATGGAAAAAATGCAAGTTATAGCATATTTCATTTTTATAAGGAAAGAAGTTGATAATTTAGACTTTTTTCTTTTACTAAATTGAATTACATCACTCAATATTTGGATGGCATTAATTCACAATAGTAACAAAAAAATCTTACTATTCAACATAATAAAGTATGATTTCTTTCACATTTGTTTGACTTAATTTGTTCCTTAAGATACATCTCCTAATGAAGGTTTTCTCTCCTCTGAAGCTGAATTTATTTAGGAAAAAATATTTTAAATACCATCCCAAGTAATATAACTATTTTTATTGAGCTTTGATGTTCCATTTGAACATATTTGAAGACTACAAGCACTCAATTTAGAATTAAGATTTCATTTGGAGATTTTGGTTGTATTTGAAATCTGTTGTGGAATTCAACATGAAGAATAGGTAAATTTAGTAGATGTCACTGTCTATGACACATTTTAGTTTTATCTCTCTGCCTATATGTAAAGAGGAATAGAAATAATTGGTATAAACAGGAAAAAAGAAGTAAAGTGGTAGGATCAGATGTGAGAAATATATAAGCTAAGATATTCTTTTTTTGTTTGTTTGTTTGTTTTTTGTTTTTTTGAGACAGAGTCTTGCTCTGTTGCCCAGGCTGGAGTGCAGTGACACAATCTTGGCTCACTGCAGCCTCCACCTCCCGGGCTCAATGGTTCTCCTCCCTCAGCCTCCCGAGTAGCTGGCATTACAGGTACGCATCGCCACACCCGGCTAATTTTTGGATTTTTAGTAGAGACTAGGTTTTACCATGTTGGCTAGGCTAGTCTCAAACTCCTGACTTCAGGTGATCTGCCCACTGCAGTCTCCCAAAGTGCTGGGATTTCAAGTGTGAGCCACCAGGGCCAGCCTAAGCTAAGGTATTCTAGAAGCTAATAATAGTAAAACATAATGTAAATTGTTTAAAAATTAATCTGTATATGAAATTTTTTCTAGGACTTGCCTGCCAGAAAAGTAGGAATAGAAACGCAGAAGGAAAGAGGTTCCTTCTACAAGCAGGCACACATCCTATTTCACTTTATCTTGTGATCGGTCTCATAACCATCTCCTGGTGTGAAGTGCTAAAACTGTGCTTTAAGAATAACTTAAGTCCTTTATGTACAAACTAAAGTATGAGAGCCTGAACCTTGGAAACCAAGAGATTCCAAAAAGCCTTATGTGTGAGACTGGGTGCCACAGATCTTGGCAGAAATTACTGCTTATTCTTAATTCTTATTGTTCCTTTCTAACACTTCAACTTATAATGCCAATATCTCCCTCAGCCTAAAGACAAGCTCTAGAATCACTTGTGTTACTTATTACATTTCTTTTAAAAAACTCATGAATTACACATGAATTTCAAAGTTGCCACCTGAGATTCCAAGGACTTAAAAAAAAAACCTGGCACCTTTCCATTATAAAGGCTGTACACAGTGTTCATAGTGTTTGTCTTTAAGGGACATGCCTCATCCATCAGCAACTTTTCTTCCTTAAATCATCATATTTTGCCTAAAAATGTTTTCTCAAAAGTTAGGAAGCACCAAGATTTACAGATTGTTCTATCACATCTTAATCTACTTATCAACTTTAGCATTATCAAAGCATGAACTGTTTTTGGGTTTTCATAGTTAATTATGTTTGTCATAATAATTGGGATGCAATTGTTTTTCTTATGATTATTTTGTACTTGCTTTTCTTATGGTAATTTCTGATGCTTGTTTGTAAAATCTTCCTCTCTTTTCTCCATCTGGTTATCTTCTTACTTTCTGTCCTTTAACTCAGATATCACCCACACTGTGTGTCTTTCTGAATTGCTTCTTATGTAACTGTTGCTTCTCATAGTTTACATACCTCCTCCTATACCACACTATTGATATTTCTCAAACTGCACTATAATGCTGGTTTGTGTCTTTATTTATTTATAAGCTCCTTGATAATTCGGACTACATATTTGTATATTCAAAAAATACTTATGACGTTTTTACTTTGGGTCAGGAATTATTGAGTGAAGGAAATTGACCAAATCTCTGCCATCACGAAGCTTGCATTCTAACTTAGGGAGACAGATAACAGACAATGAGCCACATAAATATGTGAAGTATCGTAAGTTAGATGGTGAAAAGTAATCCTGGATGGGGATCAGATAATTTTGATAGGGTAATTTCTAACTAGATAGTCAAGAAAGGCCACACCGAGAAGATGGCAATTGGAAGAACAAGGTAGTGAGAACTGCTGAGTCTGGAGCAAAACACACAATTTGGAGTAGTAGAAGATTCCAGAAGTAATAGAATAGAGGCGAAGAAGTGGGAATTGTGTGGAGTCTTACTTGCTGTTGTAATGACCTTGGCTATGGTTTGGAGTGAGGTGGAAAGTTGGTAGGGACCTTAGTTTTCTTTCTAATAATTCATTATGAATTTTGAATGGTCACTATTAAAGACTCAATAATTTTGCTTTATTACTCTTGCAATTGACTACAAAATAGTGTATTGAAGAAATGTTAAATTCTAATTTAAACTGATTGAAATAGGTTTTTATCTTTTTATATTTCTCATTACTGAATATATCATTATTAATTAATTTGAAAGCATTCTAGAATAGTGAGCCAATGCAATTTAGCATAATGCATAACATTATTCATCAGATTTAGGTATTTAACTGAAGATGCTAATTAGAAAGTAACTTGTTCTGTTGGATGATTTTGATAAAGCCACTTTCAAATGATTATCACATCCATTGATGTCATATTAAGTTGTGTTTCTGGAACCCAAATTTAGGCAGTGGTAATGGGTTAATATCTCTAAGTGGATACCTTTTATCTCTACAGTCAAGGGTACTTGAAAGTGGGAAAATATACTGGCTTCAAGTCTTGGGAACTAGGACTTACCAGAAATGTTTTCGTTTGTTTTGTTTCCTGGCGGAATTGTCTTCTTGGAAAGATGGTGTTTCCTTCTACCAGGAAAAAATTGATCCTATGCTGCTTTACTTTAATGCTTTGCTTTTGTCAAAATAGTGTTTTCTTAGGAAAATTAACCTATCGTAATATAATGAAAAGAGAAATGCTGAAGACACAAAGTGATGTACATGTTAATATTGAGTAGGAAGCATCAAGGACATGAGAAGAGAGGGAAGCAAAGAGAGGGAGAAGAGAAATACATAGTATAACAAAAATTAGTAAAAAGGATTAGCATATACATGTAGTCAATAAGTCAATAAATGGATATTTATAGAAAGCCTACCAGGCACTAGGGGATATAGCAGTGAAGATGGCAAAGACACAATTGGCTATACTGTAGTGAGGAGGGAAAGAGGACGAAGACATACAAATACCTAAACAAAGCAATGGTGTGAAGGGCTATAAGGTACATTACTATGAAGTCTTAAGATTACATGTGATAACATGGTTGAGTAAAACTGGCAAGTAGGAAGGCACTGATCTGGCTATAAGTATTTCAGAGAATTTTTCTCTCTCAGGAGCTAATATTTCATTTGAGAGTTGAGTGAAGACAAATAGGAAGGTACTTTGAAGATCTGGGGTGCTCTGAGCAGAAAGAAGGGCAGATATAAAGATTCTGTAATTTAAAAAGACAGCTTGATAGTTTCTTACAAAGAAAAGAAGGCCGGTTTCGCTGGAATGTCCATGAAGGAAGAGCATGGAGAGATATTACATGAGTGCCCTCAGGGACCAAATTTAGATCTTATATCAAAGTGTAAATATAAATTAACTACATTGAAAAATGTATGATGGATATGTGATATGATGAGGTTAGCTCTTAGGAGGCTGTACTATTGTGGAAGGGTACAGTAGTGAAGGAAGGGGGTTCATTTAGCACCTGTCCAGTTGAAGGATGCTGGTGGTTGGGATTATGATTGTAGCAATAAAGTTGGAGAAAATCAGTTGAGATTGGAAGTTGATTTGAAGATGATTGAATTTACTGAGCAAGAATTATAACAAGGTATTTGGATTTAGGGACATGGCGGATTATGGTCACTTTTAGTGATATGGCAACGTCTTGATGACATGAGGCAGTTTGCAAGTGACAGAGGTGTAGGTAGGTGCATATGTGTGATTGATTTTACATTTTTTAAATCTTAAATTAAGACGCTAGTTAGAATCCAAGTGGAGACATCAAGTAGGCACTGACAAGTTGACTTGGCTAGAGATGTGAGTTAGATAATCATAGCCTATAGATCATGCCTAAAATCATGAATCTAGGCTAGGGGTTGGCAAACTATTATAGTCCATGAGCCAGATCTGGTCTGCTGCCTGTGTTTGTATGGCTCATGAGTTATAAGTAGGTGTATCATTTATAAGTCTAAAATGTAAAATATAGGGAAATTTTTCAGCAGGGAAATTTCCATAAATTTGCCTCTTGGCAACACAAAGCCTCCAATATTTACTGTCTGGCTCTTTGTCAAAAATGTTGCTGACTCCTGATCTAGATGAAACCCTGCGGGGAGAGAGTGTTGATAGAAAAGAGAGAAGCATCATAGTGGAAATTAAAATTATGTCAACTGAAGTGTATAGGGTAGAGAATTTAAGCCTGAGTATAACAGTAAAAGATTAAAATAACAATAAATTCATTGTCAGCATGATCAATAAAACCTTTGGGGGCAAAAAGGAACTATCTTCATCAGACCTTTCACTCACCCATACAAACATCTTAGGCAGGAAATATAACTTGTTTGAAGATCTGAGATAAGGCTAATGTAGTTTGGACAAAGAAAGCCAATGGGAGGATGCCATTACGTCTGGCCAAAGATTTAGGGAAGAGCCAAATACTTCAGGCTTTTTAAAGTGATCTTTAGATAAAGAGGAAGTCATCAGGGCATTCCGAAGTTGGAAGATCAAATCACATCTGATGGGAAAAAATCTGGCTGTATGTGCATCTAGGATGTAAGGAAGCCAACGTGGATGTGAAGTTAAAATGGTCCATTGCAAATAATAAAATGAAGGCCCTAGGTAGCCTTGGCAAGGGCAGATTTGGTACAAAATCCTTATTGGAATGGGCTTAAGCATTAACGGGAATAAGGATCTAGCTGTTGTGTTTGGTGGAATTTTATCAGTCTTTTTGTTGTGTATGATATATAGATGGTCAAAATAAAGAACTTCTACATTTTTGGTTTTTGTTTTATTTTAATTGAGATTTGAATTAAAAATAAGAAACTTTTATTTTCAAAATTGGAGACTGTGTTTAAAAAGTATAGAGTAGGGATAGAAAAAAACATAAAACTCTCCTGATGAGGAGAATGCTAATCATGACTCTAATAATAATAAAATACTTCTCTGATAACTTAATTTTTTTACTGCTTCATTATTTATGTATGTATGGGAAGTTGTACCCTAGCCACATGCCAATTCACCTGGTGAACTTGTTCTTCAACGTGGCCCAAATATTTCCTTCTATCTTTAGCCTTCCGTGGTTTCTCACATGGACTATTGGCTCTTCCTATTTGAGCCTTCTGGTAGTACCCTGTAAGAGACATGCTACTCCATGACAACAGGCACCACGCTGTAGGGGAATTGCCATACCTGTCAATCACTATCTCTAGAATGTGGCCTTTCATGAGCCCTGAGATTTCATACTGTTTCTCTGAGCTGTAACAATATTTATATTGAAAAAATAAGCATGTTCTTCTATCTTTAATATTTTATATCTTATAATTTGAATATCCCATTTTCATTATACTACTTAGCTGCTAAGTTATGTTATAAAAACAAGTTTTAATTATCTGCAAACACCTTCAAATCTAATCCTTACCAGTGAAGACTGATGTCTGGTTAACATCTGTTAGGAAATTTATTTCCATACAGTATTTACAGCACATTTTTGTTATTGAAATGATTACTGTTTAGTTGGAAACAATGCACCCTGAGGATTGGAATGATAAATGTGTAACTCTTACACAAAGATAATATTTTTAGATGTTTGTATTTAAAATACTGGTTATCAAAAGAAAAAGCCAGATGTTATTTGTTTACGTTTCTGCTTGAGGTACTGAATCTATTTCAAGTCATATTTCTCAGTATTGATATACTTAATTTTGCTGAAATAATAACACACTATCTTTAGCTACTTTTTTTCTCAGTACGTCTCCGTGTCGCCCACTATTTCTGCCTCATCTCACTTCTCACCTTTATTTCTTTTTCTTTGGTCTACTTTTACTTTAGGGATTCTTTCAATTTAGAAGTTTTCTTGTTTTTGAATAATTACTATTATTCTTGGATATACACAGATATCATGTTCCATTTCATTTGTGAATTTATCTCAGAGGCATTTTGTGTATGCCTTTTACTCATAGCTTCTAAGAAGTCCCTTTTGAGGTTACTGATTTAATATGTCATGTACTGTAAGGTTTGCATGGCATGGTGGCAGCTGACTTTTGACTTTACATTGATTGAAATGTTCACTCAACATGGACTGGTAAGATTTTCTTTTTTCCTTAAACATTACATTGCCTTGTAAACAAACAAAAGCAAACCAAAAACTCAAAACTAACATTAGTATTGGTGCCCCTGGAAATAGCTGCCTTCTCACTAAAGTGATTTTGTCATCCAACTTTGTGTGTTGTTGAACACACATGGTGCTGTATGAGCACACACTCACTAGTCTAGAAAACATTGCTGTGACCAGTTACAGAAAAATAAATTCAGATTGCTCTTTACATTCCACAGATGACCCTTCTGAAAGCTATTTGAATTCATTATAAATTATAGTTATATTAGTATGACTTTAATTCTTTTGTAATCTGAACTTTATGTGCAATGCATTTTTTTCTCATGTTGAATCATTTTTGAATGCTAAATCATTTGCAAACAAATGGCTTGTCGTTGAGAAAGAATTTAAGACTGAAAGTACATTAAGTGCCATCTGGGAATCTGTGTCAATGGTTTTATCACTACATATGCGTGTGTGCGTGTGTGTGTGTGTGACTGTGCATATCACTTACTTTCATCACATTTATTTGATAAAATTGATATGCAATCTCTAAATCATTGTGTCTCGAACTTGTGTTATCCCACAAATACAAATGTTTATCCTAAAATTGGTGGTACCCTTTGTAAAACTAGAAGCTCTCATTTGTGCAAAGGAAGGAAAAATAAAACAAGAAACAAATTCAATAAAAAAAATTAAAGGTCAGATTTATTTTGTAGCTGCTGAGTTCCTTTCTTTCCTTTCCATCCTCCTCACATTCCCAAATCTCAACAAAGTTAAGAAATTAAAACACACATCATGAGATCATATGTTCACCTTGTTAAGGAACTGAAGGACTACATATACAAGATTATACCTTAATAAGTAGAGGGAGAAATATGAAGATATAAATAGAATATGAAAATGTATTATAATGCAGTTCTATTCTAAAGTGTTTTCTAGGCAGGCTAAGAGTATGTTGCCAGGAAATTTTAAGAGACCCACTCCATTATATAGAGGAGGATGTGTGTAGATCTCTTAATTCTGAAATGTTTAGAACTGAGTACAACAGGTCTTCGAATAACGACGTTTCATTCAATGTCATTTCATTATAATGTTGATGAGAAAAAACAAATAGATTCCAGTTGGGGTTCACTGTCTGTGTAGAGCTTATGTATTCTCCCCATGTCTGCATGGATATTCTCTGGATGCTCCAGTTTCCTCTCACTTCCCAAGGCTGTGCATGTGAGGTCGATTGACATGTCTGTGTGGTCCCAGTCTGAGTAACTGTGGGTATGTGTGAGTGCACCGGCAATGCGATGGCGTCCTGTCCAGGGCTGGTTCCCACATTGCATCCTGAGCTGACAGGATAGGCTGTGGTCAACTGCAACCCTAAACTGAAATAAGTAGGTAAATAATGATTTTACTAGTTTTTATTAATATTAAATGTATGAATAGCTCAAATTTATTTCAGCATTTAATATTAGAAGTGTTTTGATCTTTATTTACAAGTTTGTTGATGTTTTTGTTACCAAAAGCCGTAGAAGCTTAACTCTTTTTTATGTCAATCTACGGTAAAATGGGTTTCGCTTACTGTATTTTTGCACCAATTAACCATCCCCAATTTATCCCTCCTGTATTCGTGTATCAAAACATCACATGTGACCATAAATATATATACCTATTACCAGTTTTCAAGAACCTATCAATGATGTTAAGACTTATTGCAGTCCTTTTTTGACATAACAAAAATGTGTGTGTTTCGTTCGAGATTGGAAAACTTCTTTATGTGAAGAACTAGACAGTAAATATTATAGGCTTTGCTGGCCATATGTAATCTCTGTCTCTCCTTCATCTACTCATTCTTCTTCTCCCCTTCCTTCTCCTTCTTTAAACACTTCAAAAATGCCAAAACAATTTTTAGCTCTCAGCCATATGAAACAAGCCATTGATTGAATTTGGCTCGTAGGTCCATAATATGTGAACTCCTTTACATCATCAGAATGACATATATATATGAAATGTTATTTATGAGAAATTATTGGTGCTGCCAGCAGAGAGAAATTAGCCTAAGTTAAGTTTGGGCTTTGGAATTCAGTGGAATACCATGCACGAAAATGCTCTGCTTTTAAAACTAGTTACTAACAATACATTTCTGATATCAGAAATATACGAAAACTACTAATTGAAGCGGCATTATTCACTACTTTAGTGCTGCTACTCATGTGTGGTGGAAAAAAAATCCATAAAGTTTTCCTTTCCATTTGAACATTCATGCGATAAAAATTTCCAAATCTTTTTTTGAACAAATTTTTATCTGATAGCTCTCTTGTGTACTTTATAAGTACCTTTTGCTGCTTATTCTCATTAACTGTATTGAAACAATCTCTGTTTTCCTTCATCACTCAAAATAAAATAAGAAATTTAGCTTAATACTAATATTAAGCTGAAGTGCAAGATATATGAAAAAGAGAAAAAAGAAGCAGGATAAATTGACCTTTTGGTAACTGCAAAGGACAGCAGATCAAACAAAGACTGGACTTTAATGTCTTACATTTTCAGAATGTAGCACAGTAAGTCTATTGGGTCCAGAAATAGCTTTTAATCCTACATTGAGGTGACTCACAATGCTGTCATGACATTGAGTTTCGTGGAAAAAGTGAAGTTAATGTTTTTCTCAATTTTTTTTTAAATCAAACAATGATTGATTTAGCTATAAAATGGGCTGATTCTAAAGAGCTCATTCTGACTTGAGAGGTGAAAATGCTTTTACTCTAATCAATTTCTCTAGATATCTGATTTTATTCTGCTTTATAACATAAAGAATGAAACTATATTTATTAATGAAATGTAATCTAGCAAAGTGGCATAAGCATAATTATCAGTCACTTACTAAAATTGTGTGTTTTTTTCCATTGCATGAAAACCCTGCCTTGTTTTAATTTTTATTAATTGACTTTTTAAAAGCAATTTTAGGTTTGCAAAAAGAAGTGAATAAGCATTCACATGTCTTCCTCAGCCTCTACCCCAATTTCCCTCACTTTTAACATCTTGCAATAGTGTGGTACATTTGTTATAGTTGATGAGTCAATATTGGTACATTATTACTGACCAAAGTCTGTAGTTTATATTAGAGTTTACTCCTTATGAATTCTGTAGGTTTTGTCAAATGTGTAATGACAAATAATCCTCACTACAGTGTCACACAGAATAATGGATTCACTTTCCTAAAATTCTTCCTTGCTCCATCCATTCATCACTTCCTCTACTATTTTATCTAGAAGATAAATTAGTAGATTGAGGTGATGTTTATAGGAGTTTAAAGCACAGATAGACAACTAGATTGTCCTACCTACCCAGACTGTGCTTCTCACTCTCACTGTGCCCTTTCTTAATCTTTGGAAATGCTTTTATTTATATATAAAATAGGCTATAACTTCATATAGTTGTATTATGAAAAGTTAATGCACAGAAAAAGACTTGTGCTAGGTATATGGTTTCTTCTCAATTAAATGGAAGCCATTGCCTGTATTTGTCAATAGAATTCATCATACTTTGTCTCACATATTCAGTGCTTTACATCATTGTTGGCACATGGTATGTTTAGACTGCGCAAATCTCCTCCAAATCCCTCATAGCCACTGATCTCTTTACTGTCTCCATAGTTTTGCTTTCTCCAGAAGGTCATGTAGTTGAATCACACGGTATGTAGACTTTCAGACTGGCTTCTTTCACTCGGCAATATGCATTTAAAGGTTCCTGTGTGTCTTCTGTGGCTTGATAGAATAATATTCCATTGCCTGGATATACCACAGTTTATTTTTCCATTCACTTCCTGAAGGACATTTCGATTTTAGTGGTCATGAATAAGTCTCCTATAACATTCATGGGAAGAAGGTTTTTGTGTGCATGTAAGTTTTCAAATCCTTTAAGTAAATACCAGGGAATGTAATTGCTGGGTTGTGTGGTAATAGTATGTTTAAGTTTTGTAAGAAACTGCCAAACTGACTCCCAAAGTAGCTGTACCATTCTGCATTCTCACCAGCAATGAATAAAAGTTCCTGTTTCTCCTCACATTTGCCAGCATTTCATATTATCAGACTTTTGGATATTGGCCATTTTAATAGTCATGTAATAATATCTCACTGTTGTCGTGACTTGCAGTTCCCTAATGATATATGACTAGTAACTTTTCAATATCTGTATTTGACAGCTGTATTTAGACCTTTGGCCTATTTTTTAAATGAGTTGTTTTCTTTCTTATTTTCGAGTTCTTTGTATACTTTAAATACCACTAATTTATCTGGTATGTGTTTTGAAAAGATTTTCTCCCAACCTGTGGCTTTTCTTTTCATTCTAAGCACAGTTTGAATAACAAAAGTCTTTAATTTTAATGATGCTCAATTTCTCAATTTTTTCTTTAACCCAATAAATCAGAAAGCTGTTTATCATTTCACATGACTTAATATTCAGGCAAGGCCTATATAGGTCCCTTTCAAACAGTCATAAAGTTTAGAAGCTCTCACCTCACAAACAATAACAACAACAACATAGAAACAAAAATGACAGCTTTTGATGTTGTCTCCGTAATTTCTCAATTCAAGAACAGATTACTGAGCTTTACAAGCAATACATATAGATATCAATTTCCCAATAAAATACCTTATGATATTTATCAAATCACCTTAGCTTCGGTCTACTTATTGCTATTAGACTAAAATGTAATTTGTCAGACATGAGAAATCTTTTTGTAGTATTTTTTATAGAACCAAGTATTTATTTTAGCTTTTTCAGTTCTTCCCTTGCTGTTTCCCCAGTATGGTCATTCCAATTGTCTCTATAGATGTATTAATACCAGGTATATAATAAATACAATTATCACCCACGTGTACCCCAACCCCCTTCCCTGTTCATGCAGTCAGCATAAAGGAAGCAGGTCAAAAGGAAATCATGTACCCTCTGATATGCTAGGTTGTAAGGAAAGGTACAAAGTTAATTTACCATGTCTGAGTTTTCTTCTTCTCTTTATTTGTTCCTTTTAATGCATGTATGTTTTTATTTCTCAGGCCTCTCCAGTCCTACCACTCTCAAGGACACTTGATACAGGTATAAGGCTGTGTCTTCATCAGGTCCCTTTGTGTTACCCCCGGCCAGGGGTGGGAAATAGAAGAAGTGAATGTCTCTATCTTCACTATGTATCACACAGAGCAGAAATATAAAGAAGCCTGTGCGGTGAATGGGTCTCTTCTTTCTCCAAAAACCACCTACCCCTTCAACTCCCACTGCTTCAATGAAAATCTTGTATTAGTCTCCCCATTTCCCCCTCAAACTTGCTTTAACAAAGCAGTTCCTAAACCTCTGTTAATGCATGTCCCCACCCCTAACTCAAAACACAGTCTTATGTCACATCACAGAAAAGAAGTTCAAAACAAAACAAAATGAAACAAAGCCACAGTCTTACAAGAAAAATAGGTAAATTTTACAAAAGTTGTGTACTATATCTCTGCTTTGAATTTCATCATTGGCCAAGGATAGTAAAACTCTTGGAAAACTATAAAACAGGAACTTACTTAATATGTTTTACCCAAGATTTTTCAAACATTTTTGGAAGGATACTTATTAACATCTTGCAGAGGTAATGTTACATGAAAAACTTAGCATAAGACCAATCGGGTATTCTATGCAATAATGCAGA
Source organism: Homo sapiens (assembly GCF_000001405.40). Classification (NCBI taxonomy): domain Eukaryota; kingdom Metazoa; phylum Chordata; class Mammalia; order Primates; family Hominidae; genus Homo; species Homo sapiens. The sequence goes on along the minus strand of NC_000020.11, from coordinate 26,213,140 downwards.
TATATGAAAAATTAATATAATGAAATAAATGACTTTTCAAAAGGTATTGATCCTAGATCCACATTCTTTTTTTGGTTCAGGTGAGGCAATTAGAATGTCAAAAAATTAAAGAAGCATAGAACAACCGTCTAATAAGAGGGATGAATGCGCCTGGGTGGAAAGTTATTAGAAGATAAATTAGTAGATTGACCTTTTTGCCGTCTATGTAGTTTGTTTGTTTTTTGCTAGTACCAATAGAAAGAAATTCATTTCATGGTTTGTGTCACTGGAAATGTATAACTTAGTGGTAGCTATATAGCAAACTTTCAATATGTATGATAAGAGATTAGATGTAGGTTTAATATCATTATTTAATTTATTTGCTTGAATACCAGTGAGGAATTTCCACTTAAACTCTTGTTTTCAAGATGAGTGTTTAATTGAATTCCAGAATTCATTTTGAAATAGAACTTTGTGTAGGATATAAATTTCTTTGCAAGAAAAATCATTTGTACACTTGGGTTTGAGAGCAGTTTAATGTCGATATAACTTGTTTCCAGGCTTTCATTTCCTACTTTTTGGTATGGGAATAATCTCATGATGTGATTGTGAAAGTCTTAAAAGATACTGTCTGCAAAGATACTCTGTGCACTCAAAGTGTGCTCTATACACTTCACTGCCGTTCACCTTTTGGGTTTATGAGGCTTCCATTTGCTGGCAATTCGAATGTGACTCTGAGTTAGATGCTGTGGTATGGGAGATATGTTTATAGGAGTTTAAAGCACAGATAGACAACTAGATTGTCCTACCGACCCAGACTGTGCTTCTCACTCTCACTGTGCCCTTTCTTAACCTTTGGAAATGCTTATATATAAAATAGGCTATAACTTCATATAGTTGTATTATGAAAAGTTAATGCACAGAAAATGACTTGTGCTAGGTATGTGGTTTCTTCTCAATTAAATGGAAGCCATTGCCTGTATTTGTCAATAGAATTCATCATACTTTATCTCACATATTCAGTGACTTACATCACTGTTGGCACATGGTATGTTTAGACTGCACAAGGGTGAATTACGTCAAATTTATCTATCTACAGGAAAGAATATAGCCCAAGGTACCTTGTTTAGCTGAGCCAAAGTCTGCATTTATTAAAAATGTAAATTTTATCTTGAAATGATGCCTAATCTCACAGAACTATAGGTTCCAATCTCTAAGTCACTGTGATCAGTAGTACAACTATGTACTCTGTGTCCGTCCTACTAGCTATATTGCTGGGATCTGGAGCGTGACTTTTGTGTCTTTCTGTAATGCCTTACCTCTCATCAAAATTCACAAGACCTGCTCTCTGGATTGTGAGACTTATGCATTACAAATAAAAAGGTGCTGTCCTAATGGCATTCCAAAGCCATTTGAAATGAGTTGCTTTCGTTTCCAGGGAGTCATTTTTTATGTTGATTATCATTACTTTACCATTACCTTTTAATTTGGAAATGTTAAAATCCATTGCCATGTTCCTTGGAATATAAAGATCATATAGGGTCACTGAGATGAGTCTGGAAATATCAATCACTGGAGCCCTTCTAGTGGGATAATGTTGTTGCTAATATTGCTGGTATTCTATTCTTCACGTTTCCTCCAGTAAAATGTAAAGCGACCAAAATATAAGCGTCATGCAGGCAAGGGTTCTTTTATTTGTTCAATGAACACTGCCTTCACGTAGTAGTCAGTTAATATTCACTACTAGAATGCATGTTGAATGGCAGCTCCTTTATTTGCCATTAGCATTGGCCCACTTTATAGCAGTTGGACCAACAGTTGGACAAAGTGTGTTGATCTTTTATGACAAAATAGATATCTCTTTCTTTCTTTCATTGTTGCTTTTTCTGTGGGCAAGTTGATAGACATTGTAGTCCTGATGTTATTTAAGGGCATACAGTTGAAGTTATTAGATACTTTAGAGTTTATTTAATTATAATATGAAGCTTTGAGTTTCTGTTTCATTATTAAATAATTTATTTTATGATAGTGTTGCTTAACTTAGTGTGCAAGGCCTACAAATAAACCTAATAAATATCTTACAAACTACCTTAAAAGAAATCTAATGTTTTTCACTGAAGTATTTTTAAACATATTGAAGTTGGAATTCCAGGTAATTGTATACACACACACACACACACACAAAACACACACACACACACATACACACATTAGGTTTTCATTTGGTTTCTTTGTTCCTATTATTGAAATTACTATGCTAATAACCATATCAATTTATGAAACTCATTTTGAGAAAAATTGCCTAAAATATAACTCATTTTTAAAATTATTTTCTCTTAATTTATAATGTAATATTTTAATAAAATATGGTAGGGCAATTTTGTATAAATATTTATGCTAAGCTTTCTACATAAGTTACTGCATATAGTCTAGTTTTTAATAGAAGGTTTTTTTTTTACTTCAGTATCCACTTTAAAGTCATTGACATTTAGTGTTTTTTACTTTACAGTTCTAAGTTACTTATGCTTAAAAAGTCATCTGACTTTTAAGTTAATGTCCAACTTGATTGTTATCTCTCTATATCTTATTGATGTGTTCTTGAAAGTAGTTAGAATTTAAAAAACATTACTAAGAGGGTTTTTTATTTTTCATCTTTGGAAAGAAACTTGGGATAAATGGTTGTCTTTCATCTTTGTCCTCCTCTCTACTCACAACTCCCCGTTCCAGATCATTAGCTAAACTTGTGTGCTGAGGTTAATATTCTGTTTTACCTTTCTTGTCAAATTGCTAGATACAACTTTGTTCAGTTATATACTGTACAAACAGCATCTTAACTTTTTAATCTCTCTCTTTTTAACAAATGTGTTCACCCTCAGATTTGTTGTCATTTAGAAGAGGACTTCCTATTGGAAATATAATAATTTTTCTTCATGTGGAATCTTCAATACAAAAAAAAAAAACACGTATCAATGGTTTGCATGTGTCATGCTGATAGTTGGAGGGCAAATGATATTAGAAAAAGTAACACTATATTTCTGAACATAAACCTTGTTTCATCTTAGAATTTGGTGTTGAACCAATTTTGTACCTCATTGCTATAAACCTTATGTATCTAAAGAGTTGTTAATATGTGATTAACTGCCTTGGCCAAACTCAAAATCTTATTCACACATACAATACACACAGATAACTTATTTTTATTTGTTCGATCACTCCTTTAGTCCCTCATTTATTTCACAAACATTCATTGACACTTACGTGGCAGCACTCTTGTAAGAATAGAATATGGTGATGTCATGCTCTCCCTGGCCGTGTCCGAGCCGCGACGGGCGAGGGGCGGACATTCGTGGCGAATGGGACCCTTCTTCTCGTCCCGCCCGCGGGGGCCCCTTGTCTCTCCTCTTCCTCGCCTGCGGGTGGTGCGTTGGGAAGGCATGGGGTGCGGAACCCGGCCTGACCTCGCTGTCCCGCCCCCGCCTTCTGCCTCGCGGGGTGGGTCGGGGGGTCCTCTGACGCGGCAGGCACCCCTCGCTCTCGCCTCCTGTGGTTGTCGACTTGCGGGCGGCCCCCCTCCGCAGCGGTGGGGGTGCTGTCCCGCCGGCCCGTCGTGCTGCCCTCCCGGGGAGTTTGCGCGAGCGTTGGCTCCCCCTGGGCCTTTGCGGTGCTCCTGGAGCGCTCCGGGTTGTCCCTCAGGTTCCCGAGGCCGAGCGGTGGTGTGTCGTTCCCACCCCCAGCGCCCCCTCCTCCGGTCGGCGCCTCGGTGTCCGCGCGTGGGTCCTGAGGGAGCTCGTCGGTGTGGGGTTCGAGGCGGTTGAGTGAGACGAGACGCGCCCCTCCCACGCGGGGAAGGGCGCCCGCCTGGTCCGGCGAGCGCACGTCCGGTGCTCCCCTCTGGCGGGTGCGCACGGGCCCTGTGAGCGATCGCGGTGGGCTTGGGCTGGTGACGCGTGCGCCGGCCGGCCGCCGAGGGGCTACCGTTCTGCCTCCGACCGGTCGTGTGTGGGTTTACTCGGAGGTGCTTTGCCTCTGAAGAAAAGAGGCGGGTGGACGGGGTGGGGGGGGGGGTGGGAGGCGGGGGCTTGTGGAGTTGCGCTCACGCTCGCACCTGCCGGTCCCCGCCCTGACCGCGAACGCTCAAGGTTGCCGCACGCAGGTTTTTCCTGGTACCACAGGCCCCCTCCCTTCCCCAGGCCTCCCTGAGCGCCTCTGCGGGCCCCTCGGGCCCCACGAGGGGCGGCTGGCGGGTGGGGAGTGTGACCCATCCTCGGTGAGAAAGCCTTCTCTAGCGATCCAAGAGGTGTGCCTTGGGGTACGGGATCCCCCGGCCTGCCGCCTCTGTCTCTCTCTCCGTTATGGTAGCGCTGCAGTAGCGACTCGCTTGCAGAGGAACCCTCCTCAGCTTCCCCCTCGACGGGGTGACGGGGGGAGAGCGAGGGTTCCGCCGGCCACCGCGGTGGTGGCCGAGCGCGGCTCGTCGCCTACTGTGGCCGGCGCCTCCCCTTTCCGAGTAAGGGGAGGATCCCGCCGGCAGGGCCCAGCGTCCTAGCGGGTTGGGACGCGGCTGACAGCGAGCGATGGCTGCGCGCAGCGTTCCGTCCGGCGAGTGACCCCCCTCCGCCGCGAGTCAGCTCTCCGCCCGCTCCCTTGCCGAGTCGCGACCGGTGCGGACGACGGCGTTTGCGTGGCACGTGGTCGGGCCGCCTGGCCCTGGGAAAGCGTCCCACGGTGGGGGCGCGCCGGTCTCCCGGAGCGGGACCGGGTCGGAGGATGGACGAGAATCACGAGCGATGTGGCCCTGGCGTTGAGTTTGTGGCTGTGGTCGCTTCGGGGCCCCGGTGGCGGGACCAGGGGCTCGTGAGGCAGGTCTTGGTGGGTGCCGAGGGCCTTCCGGCGTCCCAGGCGGGGCGCCGCGGGACCGCCCTCGTGTCTGTGGCGGTGGGATCCCGCGGCCGTGTTTTCCTGGTGGCCCGGCCATGCCTGAGGTTTCTCCCTCAGCCGCCCCTCTGCGGGCTCCCAGGTGCCCTTGCCCTCGCGGTCCCCGGCCCTTGCCTGTCTGCGCCCCCTTCCCCGCCCGCCGCCCGCCGATCCTCTCTCCTCCCCGAGCGGCTCACCGGCTTTACGTCGGTTGGTGGCCGCGTCTGGGACCGAACCGGGCACCGCCTTGTGGAAAAAAAAGAATAGAATATACCCTGTTAAATCAGACATGATACTTGCTTTTGTGGAGCTTATGCTTTAGTGCAGAAACAGAAAGTCAAGCAAAAACTCAAACTATGTAACTTTAAATTGGATATGTGCTAATGAAGGAAAATGTGGCACTGTAAGAAAAAATAATAGGGAGTTAAAGGATAAATAGGAGTTTGCTGGATGAAATTTATGAAGAGCTGAAGATTTCAAACAAAAGAAACTGATGCAGGAGGGTGCAGCTTTGGAGTCAAGAATGAAGTTCTAGGAGATAGAGAGCAAAGAAATGGTGGGAGAGGAGGTCAAAGTAGGTAGGATTTTATATATTATCAATGGGAAAATATTGAACAATCCTAAGCAGAAAGGCAATGATATATGTTCATCTTCATTACAAATTCTTATATTTTTAGTAGACCTGTTTTCAGGCAAAACTTCATAAGAGAATAGTAACAAAGAGAAAAAAAGCAGTGGTCTCAAATTATCTCTAACTCACCTGATGACTTTAAGTTAAATGGCCTCAACATTTTGTGATGCTTTTCCTTCTTATAAAGTAAGGAGTTTAGATGAGGTGAGGTATCCAATTTCGTTTAGCTTCAATTTCCCGTAATTCGACTGCTGTCAAGTCATGCTTTGCTTTGTTCTGTTTGTGAGCCAGAGTAACTTTAAGGTAGTATATTAACTAGAATAACTATTTCTTTACTTTTAAACTTCAAAATTATGATGACATAAGAAGTGTTTCAAAGAACATTTAGAAAGTAGATAAATGAAAAATTTTTAACATTTTGGAATGCTTCTTTTATTTCTTTTTGAAACCTAGGTTTTTGGTGCTAGTGGTGATATTTATTTTTTGCCAAACTAACCATTCTATGTAATTTTGTAGCATTTTGGGTTGATGACCACCGTAAGTCTAGTATTCCCATATGTGTTAAAATTTATCTTTACAATTAATATATTTTCACTGAATTATTTAATTAAAAATTAAACTACAATTTCTAATACATGTTCAATGAGATATCATTAGGCATTACCTGAAAAGGATTTCTGGAGAAAGAAAGAATTTCTGGTTAAAAAAAGGTTGAACAGGTTTTCCTAGTGCAGTTCTCTCGGTCTCTAGGATGGAGCTACAGCATAAAGTAGCTTCCAAATTTACTTCACAAATTAGCCCTTAGATTTCAAGAATTACTTGTAATTTTTTTTTATAGAGCACAGTTTCTTTGCTCTTCAGTATTACACTTGCTTATGTGAGTTCCTAAAACTAAGTTTAATTTTGGAAATTCTTAATTTTATATTTACATTTTGAGTTGTGTTTAAATAAAAAATTAAGTTTAGTAAAAAGCTAGGTTTTTATTTCCACCTACAAATTCAGTGTCCCATCAATAGAAAAAAAATTCTCAATAATATTTTAAAGTTACTTACTTTAGTATTTGTCATTAAAGAATAAAATTTACCAGGCAGAAATGCCCCCAGAAGCTACCTATGGAGGAAATATAAATATTATTATTACCTACTAATATTAACATACAAACTAGTCAATTATGGTATAGCAGTTAAATATACATAAAAGTTAAATATTTATAAATGATACAGGACTCACATGTTTGTATGCCTGTTGTGCAGTCACAGTCTGATAAATTGATAAACAGAGTTTGCAGTAGAGAAAGAGTTTAATGATTGCAGGGCAGCTGAGTGAGGAGATGCGAGCACCCTCGAATCTGTCTTTCCAGAGAGTACTTGGCTGGGGTGAAGGGATTGTAGAGGACCAGGGGCTGGAAAATTGGGGTCACTGACTGGTTTGGTTAAGGGGGATTAAATCACCAGGATGTAGAAACTTTGCCCTTTAGTGAGTCGGCTTCTCCTGGAGCCCTTCGGAGCAGCTGATGTCAGTAGTTTCACTGGTATGTAGGATCTGAAAGAATACCTCAAAGAGAAAACTTAACATTTTACAATGCTCAAGTTGTTATCTATGAGTAGTTAAGTTTAACTATAATCTTGTGACAGGATATAAATGATTGTGGGGCCATACCTAGTGAACAATTATGAGGAAGCAGGACAGACAGCAAGTTAACTTAACGTTTAAGGCTGGATGTGCTGGAAGCTTATTTTTGTTTCATCTGCTCCCTCCTCTCCCAAATAATTTTATAAAGATTATAGGGGTTGTTTCATTATATATATATATATGTATATATATATATATATATATGTATATATATATATATGTAACTTCTAATATGTTATCAGTTAATAAAAGCTCAAATTTTCTAGACATTTTTGTTGATTAAGCTAATAAAGTGGCTTCTACCAATGGATCTTGAAATGTGGTATGCTAAATGAATTTCTGTTTTCAAAAATAATTGTGCATGATCAATAAATCACTAAAACATTGAGACAGTAGGCAAGTAAACTATATTTTTAAGTTTACTAGTGGTGCAATCTTGTGCAAGTCACGTGACACTTTATGCCTTAATTTCTAAAAGAAAAAAGAGAACTTCCTAAATTAGAGCTGGGTTCAAATATGAATTAGATATATAAATATGAAGATATTGGAAATATTAGAAATATGAATTTGAAGGTAACTGCCATAGTGTTAGTGACTAACATATAGTTAACTATCATTGACAAAATTATTATTATTTTCTTGTTTTTTATTGGGGGGGTTTCTTTTTTTTATTGTACTTTAAGTTTTAGGGTACATGTACACAACGTGCACGTTTGTTACAAATGTATACATGTGCCATGTTGGTGTGCTGCACCCATTAACTCATCATTTAGCATTAGGTATATCTCCTAATGCTATCCCTCCCCCCTCCACCCACCCCACAATAGTCCCCAGTGTGTGATGTTCCCGTTCCTGTGTCCATGTGTTCTCATTGTTCAATTCCCACCTATGAGTGAGAACATGCAGTGCTTGGTTTTTTTGTGCTTGCGATAGCTTGCTGAGAATGATGGTTTCCAGCTTCATCCATGTCCCTACAAAGGACATGAATTCATCATTTTGTATGGCTGCATAGTATTCCATGGTGTATATGTGCCACATTTTCTTAATCCAGTCTATCATTGGTGGACATTTGGGTTGGTTCCAAATCTTTGCTATTGTGAATAGTGCCACAATAAACATATGTGTGCATGTGTCTTTATAGCAGCATGATTTATAATCCTTTGGGTATATACCCAGTAATGGGATGGCTGGGTTAAATGGTATTTCCAGTTCTAGATCCCTGAGGAATCGCCACACTGACTTCCACAATGGTTGAAGTAGTTTACAGTCCCACCAACAGTGTAAAAGTGTTCCTATTTCTCCACATCCTCTCCAGCACCTGTTGTTTCCTGACTTTTTAATGATTGCCATTCTAACTGGTGTGAGATGGTATCTCATTGTGGTTTTGATTTGCATTTCTCTGATGGCCAGTGATGATGAGCATTTTTTCACGTGCTTTTTGGTTGCATAAATGTCTTCTTTTGAGAAGTGTCTGTTCATATCCTTCACCCACTTTTTGATGGGTTTTTTTTTCTTGTAAATTTGTTTGAGTTCATTGTAGATTCTGGATATTAGCCCTTTGTCAGATGAGTAGGTTGCAAAAATTTTCTCCCATTCTGTAGGTTGCCTGTTCACTCTGATGGTAGTTTCTTTTGCTGTGCAGAAGCTCTTTAGTTTAATTAGATCCCATTTGCCAATTTTGGCTTTTGTTGCCATTGCTTTTGGTGTTTTAGACATGAAGTCCTTGCCCATGCCTATGTCCTGAATGGTATTGCCTAGGTTTTCTTCTAGGGTTTTTATGGTTTTAGGTCTAACATGTAAGTCTTTAATCCATCTTGAATTAATTTTTGTATAAGGTGTAAGGAAGGGATCCAGTTTCAGCTTTCTACATATGGCTAGCCAGTTTTCCCAGCACCATTTATTAAATAGGGAATCCTTTCCCCATTTCTTCTTTTTGTCAGCAAATAAACTAGAAAATCTAGAAGAAATGGATAAATTCCTCGACACATACACTCTCCCAAGACTAAACCAGGAAGAAGTTGAATCTCTGAATAGACCAATAACAGGCTCTGAAATTGAGGCAATAATTAATAGCTTACCAACCAAAAAAAGTCCAGGACCAGATGGATTCACAGCCGAATTCTACCAGAGGTACAAGGAGGAGCTGGTACCATTCCTTCTGAAACTATTCCAATCAATAGAAAAAGAGGGAATCCTCCCTAACTCATTTTATGAGGCCAGCATCATCCTGATACCAAAGCGTGGCAGAGACACAACAAAAAAAAAGAGAATTTTAGACCAATATCCTTGATGAACATTGATGCAAAAATCCCCAACAAAATACTGGCAAACCGAATCCAGCAACACATCAAAAACTTATCCTCCATGATCAAGTGGGCTTCATCCCTGGGATGCAAGGCTGGTTCAACATACGAAAATCAATAAACGTAATCCAGTATATAAACAGAACCAATGACAAAAACCACATGATTATCTCAATAGATGCAGAAAAGGCCATTGACAAACTTCAACAATGCTTCATGCTAAAAACTCTCAATAAATTAGGTATTGATGGGACGTATCTCAAAATAATAAGAGCTATCTATGACAAACTCATAGCCAATATCATACTGAATGGACAAAAACTGGAAGCATTCCCTTTGAAAACTGGCACAAGACAAGGATGCCCTCTCTCACCACTCCTATTCAACATAGTGTTGGAAATTCTGGCCAGGGCAATCAGACAGGAAAAGGGAATAAAGGGCATTCAATTAGGAAAAGAGGAAGTCAAATTGTCCCTGTTTGCAGATGACATGATTGTATATCTAGAAAACCCCATCATCTCAGCCCTAAATCTCCTTAAGCTGATAAGGAACTTCAGCAAAGTCTCAGGATACAAAATCAATGTGCAAAAATCACAAGCACTCTTATATACCAATAACAGACAAACAGAGTGCCAAATCATGAGTGAACTCCCATTCACAATTGCTTCAAAGAGAATAAAATACCTAGGAATCCAACTTACAAGGGATGTGAAGAACCTCTTCAAGGAGAACTACAAACCACTGCTCAATGAAATAAAAGAGGATACAAGCAAATTAAAGAACATTCCATGCTCATGGGTAGGAAGAATCAATATGGTGAAAATGGCCATACTGCCCAAGGTAATTTATAGATTCAATGCCATCCCCATCAAGCTACCAATGACTCTCTTCACAGAATTGGAAAAAACTACTTTAAAGTTCATATGGAACCAAAAAAGAGCCCACATTGCCAAGTCAATCCTAAGCCAAATGAACAAAGCTGGAGGCATCATGCTACCTGACTTCAAACTATACTACAAGGCTACAGTAACCAAAACAGCATGGTACTGGTACCACAACAGAGATATAGACCAATGGAACAGAACAGAGCCCTCAAAAATAATGCTGCATATCTACAACTATCTGATATTTGACAAACCTGACAAAAAGAAGGAACGGGGAAAGGATTCTCTTTTCTTTTTTGAAATAATGGAGATATAGTAGAGAAGATTTTGTTAATTTGAGGTGTTTTAACTGTTTATTCAGTAAGTTCTTTGTAAAAATTTACAGGAAGAACTGAAGGGATACAAAAGGTTCATAATAAACACAGCAGATGATTTCTGATCCTTAAATCCAGAAACTGGGCCCTAATCTATTTTGCTCTCTTATTTCTAGCAAACTACCTAGAAAAAGTTGGAGAATGGCACTATTTTTTTGTTGATCTGAGCTTCAGTTTTTCATTAGTAGTAGTAATTCAAGCTAGAACATATTGTATATTCAAAATTACACCAAGTGATTTACTTTAATATAAGTTATTTCATTTAACCTTAGGAATACTTCATGGATATATTTATTTTTACAGATTAAGAGATTGTTATTAGCAGAGGTTGAGTAACTTGCCCAACTCTGATACATTGCTAAGGAGTAATTGACCTCTAATTGAGTCACGTTTCTTCTAACTACTATGCTCCACTGTAAATAAATGAGATTACAGGTTAAAGTTTGATAATTACTTCTAAGTAATAAATAGCACACTCAATTTTAATATCGATTCTGGTAAAATTCTTTATAAAGGGTTTAGCATTCTTTACAATGTTTGGGGTTGGGTCAGGGAGAAGATAATGAAAAGAGAACAGAGCAGATAAGAAACATTTTGCACATCTTGACTTCCAAACTGATCCTCTAAATAGATTTTTATGCTATCTCATCACACTGAAACTTTTTGATGGATATAGAAACAAAAAATATTGTATTAAAAATATTGAGAAAGATTGGGGAGAAAGATAGAAAATTGTTTTCAAGAGAATCAAAGTATATTATTTAAGGTATATTTCTCTGTGAATCTTGAAACTAGGGAAAGAAATATGTCAGCAAAAATACTGGAAGTAATTTATTCTTTCATTGACACAAAAACAATGATTGAATGATTAATATGTAGCAATCACTAATCTAGGATGCTCTTGCTCTGACTTATATTCCCTTCCCAAATATTCCAATGATTTTGTATTAATAAAAGAAGACATTAAAGTAGTATATTGATATTCTTATATATTGATATATACAAGAATATACATTCTAAGTATGTATGTTTTGAAATTTTGTGGTGATCTGATGAGTGACTTTGAGTCTCAAATTTAGAGTTTCTAATAATTCTGGATTAAACAAAATGTGAAGGGAGTTAATCTTGAAAGCAAAAGAAAAATAACTCATCCATACAAGGAAATGACTTTATGATTAACACCTGACTTTTCATCAGAAACAATGGTAGTCAGAACACAATGGGATAGCACATCCAAAGTGCTGAAAGAAAAAATAAGTGTTTTGTTCTGTTTATCTTACCAAAGTGGTAATGTGTGTAGGATTTATATGTAAAGGGAAAAAACTTTAAGAGGAATTAGACATAGTCAATGGAAAGAATATGACCAATAATGTGTTCTAGGTCTGGCTTGGTTAGATATAACATGTTTAACTTTGGATAATTCATGAATCCTTTGCAAATCTTTCTTTGCCTCCGATATATCTCGGCTGGAGTCAACACTAAAAACTTGAACTCCATATATTGTGTATATCTGTTATTTCAAGTTAGTATATTTTATGTTTCCTTCTTGATGGAAGCTTGTCTTATTTTGTTCTCTACAGTCTGTATTTTTTTCTTTTCATAATTCTGTAGCAATCGTGTTCCAAATATAAAAATAATTCTTTTGTGCTGTGTGAAAATATGTGTTCTTTTATTTAAGCTTCCAGACGAATGTGTTATTTCAAGTGGGAGACTATGATTTTTCTCTAAAGATGATGGGTAGGGTTTTGTTGTTGTTGTTGCCGTTTGTTTGTTTGTCTAACTTTACTAGTAGGTAGATTATTTGAATGACTGATCTCATTAACCATCTCTCCTGCTAAGTCTGTCTCCTTTTCCTTCTAAATCTATCTCCTTTCCTTCAAGTCTTTCATCTGAGTGACATTAGAAATTCTCAATACAACTGGTATTGTGCCCAGCTAAATCCATCTGATTTTTACTTTTAAAAATGGCAAGTTGATGTAACATTTCATTATACTATATACAAGAGAAAAATCAGAGCAAAATGTAATTGACAGTTTTCTGAGTTTCTTTAGTCTTAAGTTTTGAAATTGTTTTTATCTATTTTTATTTATTTATTTATTTTTTACAGACAGGGTCTCACTCTGTCACCCAGGGTGGAGTGCAGTGGTGCAATTATGGCTCACTGTAGTCTTGATCTCCTGGGCTCAAGCAGTCCTCCCAACTCAGCTCCCAAGTAGCTAGAACTACAGGTGTGTGCTTTATAATAAAACACATTATTATAAAAACACCCAGCTTTATTTTTTATTAAAGAAAAAAATTTGTAGACATTGGCTTTCATTATGTTGCTCTGGCTGGTCTTGAACTTCCAGCCTCAAGTGATCCTCCCACCTTTGCCTCCCAAAGTGCTGGGATTAAAAGTGTGAACCACCTCATGTAACTTTTTTTTTTTAATTATCATTATAATACTTGATAAAATAAAATAAACAAACTAAAACAAACATCTGAAAATGATGCTAACGTAGTTGGGTGCTGGCTTTAAAAAGTCCATTATGTCTTTTGTCAATTATATTAGTTTTCTAAGGTGGCACTTAAACACATGCACACACACACAGACTGGGTGGCTTAAACAACCGATATTTATTTTCCCACAGTTCTAGAGGCTGTAAATCCAAGGTCAAAGTGCTCCTCTGAGGACCATGATGGAAGGATCTGTTCTAGGCCTCTCTTCTTGGCTTATAGATGGTTGCCTTCTCACAGCTCTATCTTCACACAGTTGTACTTCTGTGCATACATGTAGCTGATTTTTACCCCTTTCTAAATTTTATTTTATATGGACACCATTTTTTTGGATTAGGACCCACCCCGAGGGCCTCATTTTAAATGAATTCTTATTTAAAACATCCCAATATGGTTACTTTCAGAAATACTAGGCTTTAGAATTTCACCATATGAATTTTGGGAGAGAGGAGCACAGTTCAGCCCATAACTAACACACGGTAAGTAACTATTGACCAGGTTACTCATGTTACTCAAAAGAGATAATTCACTTTGTTAATATGAAGCAATTTTTTTCCTCAGTAGGTGTAAGAGTGTGTGTCAAACAGAAGTAGCATTTTAACATATAAGAGACATAGCTGAGCTCTAAATATAGGAGACAGTATGATAATGTTTTACATTTCAAATTCTCTGCCTGCATTAGAATATTTTTGCAGAATGTGTAAAACAATCTAATGAATTGATTGGGATGTGCAGGAACAAGAAATATGGTTGTGATTTTTGCATAAAGCTTTTATATAGTTCCTTTAAAAATATAATTATCTCATTTACCTATTTCCTTAAGGCAATGGGTATATTTTGTTTTATTATTTTTGATCCCGATTTTTCTGACTATGGTTCACAAAAAACCATAAGATAAAGTACCATCCTGTACCTTATCTTCATGCAACAGTTTTTTTTTCTGCTAAATTAATATTTTGTATATTTTTATTTTGTATATATTTGGTATAATTCTGTTAATATTTTATATATTTCATATATTTGTATATGAAATGCGGATGCTTTAGACAACATGAAAATATCTTTGAACATTCATATTTTACCAAGGAAGAAAGATAAGCAAAGCACATGATTAATAGATTTTAGAATTAACTGGTAAGTTACACCAGTTTCAATTTCCCAGAAGTCTAATATATATCCCTGCATTCTTATCGTGAAATATACAGTAACAAGGAAAGAAATTAATATATTAAAGTATCTTAATCTATCCAATTAAATGGTATTTGAAAAAGACTTTAATGCTCTGTCTTTTGACATTGAAATAAAGTGATTTTATCTTGAAATTCCGTAAGATAATGAAGAGTTGGTAATTACATCTTTACATTTTATTGCTCTTTAAATTGCAGAATCTTCATTATTTCTGCGAGAGGTCACAAGCATGTTCATCTTAACTTGACTATTATACAAATAAGGCTTTATTAATGCATCTATAGAAGTAGCCAAATCATTCATTCCATGACTAGGCAATTAAGTAATCCTGTTAAGATAAAGAAGTAATGACTAAAATTGGTTGGGTAAAACTGTAAGACACAATGTCAGCAAGGTGAAATAACTTCTCTTTAGCACTTTACCTAAATAACTTTTTTTTTAAAAGAGACGTATGCAAAAAGAACATGAATGTGTCATGAATTAATTTGTGCATGGTTTCCCTATACAACAGTCACAGTAGCAACCACAATTTTGGTAAATTAAAAGTTGTAAAACTAAATGTTTTTAGATCAACAGTTTTCTCTTTAATGCTTTTTTCAATTTAATGCTGGCCTATTTTTCTGGGCTTTCATACAGACTTTATAATTAGGTGGATATAGTGGTTGTATGATTAATAAAATATAGACTGTGGTGCTGCCGTGTTTACATTTGAATCCTGCCTCAGCCACCCAATATGGCATGAGTGACATCAAGTCAGAACCTGGGTTTTCTCATACAGAAAAATAGTCTTAGAAACATCAATTTCATAAAGTTTTGTGTTGGTTAAATAAGACAATTATGTAAAATTGTCAAAGCACAATAGCTACACATAACAGGCATTCAAGTATTAGTGCCTATATTCCGATCTCTGTTGCCCTCACTTTTCTATTCCCTCAAATGATAACAGAAGCTGTATTTAAAATCACTATTCCACTCTTTAATTTCTGTTGTGGAAAAATAGAGAAATCTCTATTTTCTTATGTAGTAACTTTTATCTGTCTTCTTGAGTCTCTAGAGTTATATAATTTTCATATATACAATTAATTTGACCTCCAGTCTCTACAGATAGTTTATCAACACACTGCTACACATAGACTCAGGTCTTTGATTTCCACAATGTGTGTGTGTGTGCATGTGTATTTATTAATATGTTTTATTTTCTGCCTGTTGAGTTGATGGGAGAAAAGTGAAGAAATCATAAGTAAAATTTTACTCCAAGATAATGTGCTGATTTTTCTTTTAAGGAGTATACCAATATAACTATTTAAACTTGGAATTATTAAGCTATCTTTTTTCTCTTTTTTGTAAGTGTATCAAACTGAAATGACTGTCAGCAGGATGAGGCACATGCCAGTATATGCTGCCAATTTGAGATAGTTCATATCCCAGGACATTTTTTAGGATTGTCTATATGCCAATCTTGAGAAAATTTCAGTTACTCGCAGAGTTTTCCTTTGTGCAGAAGTGAACTTAGTTCAGATATTTTGACTTCGCTACTAAAAGTGTATAAGTCAATTTTCTATAACTGAAGACAACTGACTCACCTTTTAAAATAATTCTAGGTGTCTCTAGGATTACTGTATATTAACACAAAAAGGGTTATAAACACATACTGTAATAACTACAATAATTAAAATAACATAAAATTACAAATTCATGGCACTCAGATTTAGTAGGTATGTATGGCCCTTACACATTTATTTATCCCAATAATTTGTTCTGATGTCAACAGTACCCAAGTAGAAATAATACTGTTAGAAGGCATGGAGTAATCTTGAATTTTTCATTATAATTTCATATATAATTTCATTTTTCATATATAATTTCATTTTTAATGAATAGTTACCATGCATTAAAAACCACCCTCATTTTTAGCCTCTTTAAATAAACACAGTTAACACAATCAAGATGGCAGAGACTTTCAGGAATCACCTTATCAAGTTGCCCATTTCTAAGAGTATTTGGAAGCAGATATTATATTACTAAAAACAGTAATTAGGATGCCATAACTGCCTTGAAGTAATGTTGACTGTAAGTATCTTCAGTGTCCAGAAGTTTTCCTGGCATACAGCAAATATTCAACTAGAGAGTGAAAAATTTTTAAAAAATTTAAAGGCCACAGGATAAGTATAATCTTGAAAAATAACTTCAAATATAAACTTCACGTGATAATTCATTTTTAAAATTTACAATAGTTTATTTTTGTTGCGTTATTTTTGAAAATGGTTTCGATCAAGGTGACACATGCACACATGATCAGAGAGCACACATGATCAGAGAGGCAGTTAATTAGGACGATAGATGCCTGAATCAAGATTTGCTGTTCTGTTTGTGTTTCATATGTTGCAAAAATAATATATTTACACCAAAGTTTTTGATGGTTTGGCTGTCAACACTATGGATATAATTACTGTCCCCTCAGGCTTTGCTGATGAGTCTACATTTATCAGGTTGTCTCCTTCCTCTACATATCTTCCATCATTGCTGCTCTGATAGTGTTGAAGGAATTGTAAATCTCTCCCATTGGATTTTTTCAAGTTTTGAAAGTTTTAATGTTTAAATTGTTAAGTTTTGATAACCTACATTTTAGTTTATTTACTTATTTATTGTACATATTTAAGGCATACATATATGCCATGAAATTATTACTATAATCAAGCCAATTAACATATCCATCACCTTTCATAGTTATATTTTTATGTGATTGGCAAGAGCACCTGAAAATATGCTTTTAGAAAATTTTCAGTATAGAATACATTATTATTAACTATTGGTATCATACTATACGTTAGGTACAACTTACTCATCCTACATGACTGCCAGTTTGTACCCTTTGATCTGCTTTTTTTCATTTCCTCTTAATCCTTATCCCTGATGGCCACCATTCTACTGTTTCTATATACTTGGCTTGTTTTTAGATAGCACATATAAGTGAGATCATGAAGTATTTTTCTTTCCATGTCTGGTTTATTTCACTTAGCATAATGCCATCCAGGTTCATCCATATCATCAAAAATGGCAATTTTAATTTTTCTAAGATTGAATACTATATTCATAATATTTATATTATTACAGAGTATATAAGATTATAATATGATATATAATATGTTATAACTATATATCATAATTTCTTTATCCAATTGTTTTCATAGCTTGGCTATTGGTTATTTATACCGCAATAAACATGGGAATACAGATATAGCTTTCATATACTGATTTCAGTTCCTTTGGGTATATACCCAGCAGGAGGATTGTGGAGTCATACAGTAGCTCCATTTTAAATTTTTGAGGAACCTTCATACCATTTCCCAAAATGGCTGTATCAGTTTACTTTCCCACCAACAGTGAACATGAGTTTCCTTTTTCCACACCCTCATCACACTTATCTCTTTTTTATATAATAACCATCCTAACAGTTGCGAAGTGATATAGTTGTTTTGATTAACATTTTTCTGATTAATGATGTTGAACACCTTTTCATATACTTGTTGCCCTTCGTATGTCTTTTTTAAATAATGTCTATTCAGATACTTTGGCCATTTATCAGTCGGATTGTTTTTTGACTGAGTTGTGTGAGATTTTCATTTCACATATCAACCCCTATCTGATATATGGTTTGTAAATATTCTCTCCCATTCTGCAGGCTGCCTTTTCATTTTGTTGAGTGTTTGCTGTGCAGAAGCTTTTTAGTTTGATGCAGTCTCACTTGTTTGCTTTTGTTGCCTGAGCTTTTGGTGTGATAGCCAATAGCCAAAAAACCATTGTCAAGGCCCATATCAAGGAGTTGTTTTCTCTGTGTTTTCTTCTGGGAGTTTTATAGTTTCAGGTCTTACACGTAGGCCTTTAATCCACCTTGAGTTGTTTTTGTGTACAGTCTAAGGGTCCAGTTTTATTCTTTTATATGTAGATAACCAGACTCTCACTGTTGCTTCTTCACAGGAACCCCTCTTTGCCCCAGTTTTGGCCAAGTATCTTCTACACCACCTTCAGGTCTAAGTGCAACAGAAAATACACCTTTCTCAGGAAAGACATTTATTGTTCACTCATAACTCTATCTTTAATAGACATATCCAATAGAATATACAGTTTGCAAGATTAAAAACAAGGTTTATATTGCTTCATAAGGAGCAAGCACATTTTTGAAGCACAGGGTAATTCTTGACAATAAAACCTGCAACTCATTATGATTTTTAAGTTGTGTGAGACGTGGATACCCAGCATTTTCATGATGAGGCTGTGCTTTCTTACATTTTCAGTGATGAAGAAGACATGCCAACAGAGGGTTAATTCCAGATAAAATGAAATGTTCCAAACAGTACGTTTGGTTATTTGATTCATCTGTGGGGGAAGGAAAGATAATTTTCCAAAGGACATTCCTCCTAAATTCTGTCTTAAAGTTGTTTGTGAGTAGAAGATTGAGTTTATATTACATTACAAGACTATAATGTCTTCATTAAATTCACTGTGCAATCTTTAATCAAATAATTAAATGCATTATTTATTTCCAAGTTTGAAGCACACATTATCTTCAGCTGAAATGCCAATTCTGGAGGAAAATATATCCAATAATATATGAAACTGAAGGCCATTTTTATTATTATTTTATTATTATTATTATGTTATATTTATATTTCCTACTTAGACATGGCCCCTTAACTGATGGCTTTCACCATGAAAAAGAAACCCTACCAAATACTATTGTTATTTTTTAAGTTAAAAAAAATTCAGTTAAACAAATCAAAATAAAATAATGGCAAAGAAAGACCTACAGGTTTAAATCTGTAAATTGAGCTTCTGAACTTGATTCATTTTACCCTGGATGGGTCAGATTTTCATAATAGATTGATACTAGGCCACAGATTGGTGACAAAAAAAAAAAAGACTACAGCATGAACTACTACAAAAGCTTACTTTGTCTTTAAAACTTTTTATGTAATTACACTCCATCTATCTTCTGTGTGAAGGGCCAGGAAACTATATATCACAGGCCAAATTCAGCTTACCAAATGGTTTTTTATACAAAGTTTTATTGGAGTGCAATCATGCCTATTTGCTCACACATTATCTATGACTGCTTTCACTGTACAATGCAGAGTTCAATAGCTGTTATAGAGACACATGGCCTAACATATTCTTCTGCTGACTGTTCAAACTTTCCAGATGTTGCTTTCCCCAGACATTGAATTTTGTCAGATGTTCCCTCCACTAAGGGTGCAGCCTCATCAGGTGTTTTTTCCACCAAGCTTTCAGCCGTGTCAGGTGTTCTTCCTGCCAAGGGTGCAGCCTCGTCAGGTGTTCCTGTAGATGTTCCTTCTGCCAAACACACAATCTGGTTAAATTTTCTTTCTGCTTAAATATCATCCTCCTGATTCTTCACCTGGCAAACTTCTACTTATTCTGTATGCTTTCCTTAAATATTACCAAACTTTTCTTTTCTCTTTTCTCTTTTTCTTTTTTTGATGGAGTCTTGCTTTGTTACCCAGGCTAGAGTGCAGTGGCGCGATCTCAGCTCAATGCAATTCAAGCGATTCTCCTACCTCAAGCAACTCTCCTACCTCAGCCTCCCAAGTAGCTGTGATTACAGGCACGGGCCACATCAACCGGCTGATTTTTCGTATTTAGTAGAGACGAGTTTCACCATGTTAGTCAGGCTAGTCTCAAACTCCTGAGCTCAAGCAATCCATCTGCCTTGGCCTCCCAAACTGCTAGGATTACAGGAGTGAGCCACTGTGCCTGGACACTACCAAACATTTTAAAGCTTTAATTCTTCACCTTGGATATAAAATTTCTGACACATGCTGAATATGGTAACAACATGACATAATAAGTAATAATTATAAGCTCCAAAAGGGGTTCCGGCACAGAGTAAACACTAAATAAATAATAAATAATAAAAAAGATAATAATAACAAGAAAAATGTTTAGTATCTTAATAAAGAAGCAAATAAAAATGACAATGATAATAACAAGGAAGATGCTTAGTACCTTAAAGATACCTGACAGTTATTTGTTAAGTGGACAAGTGGATAAATGAATAACAAACTTTTTAAGGAAATTCTGTTGGAAAAATGCAGAAATTCAATAGGCACAGCTCTTCTGTATTATGAGCACCTTAAAGACCCAAACTGTGTATTCCATCTTTGTCTCCTGCAACTTGCCAAACCTAACTTATAGAGGTCCTTTGTTAAATATATAATAAAGATGTGCTCATACAGTTCATATTGTACAATGTGTCACATTTAGGTATCAGTAGCATTTTCATTGTTGTGAAAAGTTTTTGTAATATTTTTATAATTTTTTTGAGTTTAGAGTTAAGCTATCTGAATATTTATAATGATAATATTTTGGCTATTAGAAACAGAGTATCTTGCTGTAACAAAATTACTATTAACACACTAATTATCCAGTAGATAGAACAACATACCTTGCTCTAATGGAGTAAACATATCTTATTTGGTTTCAACTTAGACGGAATGAAGTTGATAATAGTGAGACCTTGTTGGTACAAGACTATGTAACATAACCTGCGCTTCTCAACAAAGAATTGCTTTTCTGACTTCTGCACTCAGTAGGTATCTTTGAAAGATATTCTCCTATTGGTACTGATGCACCCTGGCTAAGTTTTGTAATTCTTGCTGACATTTGTTTATGGTGCCAGAAAAGTATTATTAAATTCCAAATTCTAAAGATAGTTACTTTTTTAGTGACACAAGTCACTATGTGACACAGTTGATCCTTGAATAAGGGTTTTCACTCTAGGAGCCCACTAATAGATTTTTCTTTTCCTTTGCCACTGCAAGATAGCAAGACAAATCTCTCCTCTGCCTTCTCCTTATCAGACTACTCAACATGAAGGCAATAAGAATGAAGACCTCTATGTATAATAATTGACTTCCACTTAATAAATAGTGAGTATATTTTTTCCTCCTTATAACAGGTTCTTTCCTCCAGCTCACTTTATTGTAAGAACCTTGGTGTCTGTAATCGGCTCGGAACCCTTGCTGCTCTTTCACTGAATATCGCTGTCTGGGTATGTGTCTCATCCGTCATGCAGCCGGGGTCTGCAGGATAGACCCCCGCAGGTTATAATATTCAAATGTTACAGTTTTCTGTTATTAATTCCTACTTTTTGTTATTAGATGTTCAATTCTTTGTGGCTTGTAATTCAGGGCATGTAAACTAATTTTAATTTGTAATCAAATCTATTTATAAATATATTAATTCATTAAATTGGATAACCTCATCATCCCACATTACTGAGCTCATCAATCACACCAAGGTTTATACATTTTATAACAAGTCTCAGTTGTTATGACACTTGAGGAATCATACAATATACAAACTTAAAAATTGTGTTACTTATATACACAAAGGTATTATATAGGATTTTAGGGACCATAATTAAATATTTTTTCAGATAATTTTTTTGAGATTATAAACTACCTACAACTAAATTCTTAACTAATTCTGAATAATAAACTAAAAAAATTAAAGCTATATATACATATATATACACACACCCACATACGTATATATGGAAACACATGCTATTTACACATTGCTTTTTGAATTGCTTTTTTGTGATCAGCGCTTCCATAATCTTATGGTAGCACGATCAAGAGTAGTTTGCTATCTGAAGTCTTACCTGAATTGGTATTTTGAGGATTTTTAGATAATTTTCGTATATGTTTCAAAAGTTGTTGATGAATGCTATGTATAAAAATGTAATAAATAAAATTACTATTTTAACACGGATATAGAAAACATTTACCAAATTTATTAAGTTCTTAGAGTATTTCAGACAATATCAGAGCTAACATCAGAACATTACTTATTTCATAGACTTTAAGTTTGTAAGCTCTATGAACTTATTAAGCTTCTAATTAAATAATAAATAAAGTAAGATGAAATACTCATGAATTGAGGGCAGTATCACTCAGTAAATTAACTAGAGTTAGCTTGGCTTAATGGAAAATGTCCCTAACTCATAAAAAGTCCTAGCGCAGTTACCAACAGGTATTTTTTCTTGAACAAGTTGCTTCTCTTAGGTTCAATGTCTTCTAAAAATGAGGATTTTAGAGACTTATTTCACTAGGTTATTACAAAGATTTAACAAGATAACATTTTTAAAATGCTCAAAGAAATGGTGAAGCAATGAAATAATTTATTCTTGAATCTTATTGCTGAAACTATTTTAAAATTCCCAATAAAACCCAACGTGTTGGCCTGGTGCAGTGGCTCATGCCTGTGATGCAAGCACTTTAGGATGCTGAGACAGGGTGATCGCTTGAGCCCAGAAGTTCAAGACCAGCCTGGGCAACACAGGGAGACCCTGTCTCTACAAAAAATAAATTTATTTTTTCTTAAAAGTGTTTCTTCATAGGTTGTAATGTTGAAATGTTGCAGTTTTCTGTTATTAATTCCTACTTTTGGTTATTAGATGTTCTATTCTTTGTGGCTTGTAATTCAAGACATCTAAGCTATTTTATAATTTGTAATGAAATTTATTTATAAATATATTAATTCATTACATTGCATAACCTGATCATCCTCTATTACTGACCTCATCAATCACACCAAGGGCACAAAACTAACAGATCTCAGCATCTGGCGTGGACTACTACTACTCTTTATCTACCTCCTTAAACCTGAATCAACAAATCTTTGTTAGAATGATGCTTAAGTCACGATGTTCATTTCCAGCTGCTGTGGAAGACAAAACTCTACCTTTATTTTTTGTAAGTTCCACAAACAAGATGCAAGTTGGTATGTTCTCATTTCTGAGAGGCCTACTAACAACATATTGCACACAAGATCCTATGTGTTACCACACCTCTTTTCATAGATCACCTTACATAAATATTTTGTGTATGAAAATCACAAGTGCAATACTGGGTGTCACCCATTTTGCTTTGACTCACACCATTTCCTTGGAGCTAATTAGTCAAATGTCCTTTTGGGGACTGCAAGAAATATGCAACACTTCACAGATTTGTGTGTCATCCTTGTGCAGGATGACACTTGATTTTAATCTTAAGCTTTATGGTCAGTATGTCCCACCCTTACAAAACCAGTACTTTACCTTAGTTCTTCAGTAAATATGAGAACCATTCATAACATGCAACAACAGAGAAGGGAAGCTTTAATATCATTTATGGATTTCTTATTTTTCTATCATTAATTTTTTTATCTGATAGACCGATTTTTCTTTATCCTCTTATTTATTTAAGTTAAACATATTCACATACTTTCAAAGTGGATAGACATATATAATATATATATTAAAATTCATATTGTAACTTTTGTCTATTTACTTGTTAAATAAATTTATGTAATATTAAGTAGGTAACTACAAGCCTGCTTATACAAGTCATATCTTTAAAGTCAGTCATTTTTGTTTATTGTAATTTTATTAGTCAATTAAATAATTAAACATTATACTTTTACAAATATAATTGTAATTATGAAGCTCCTGTGTGTATATATAATGATGCCTTATCTTTGTGTTGTATTTTATTTATAACTATCCTAAATATCTGATTTCTGTAAGCCATGTTTCTGAAATGCATCGCTCAGTTAAGTCACTCTACCAGAACTAGATGATTACTAAATAAATATATTTAGAGAATTGCTTAGAAATTACAAACTTCCCCACCCCACTTTGCTACTTTTGTACCACCTACCATGTTCTCTGCAAGTCACCTGTTAAGATTTAATTTATTACTATAAAGGTATCTATTCATGGTTTTCCATTTCAAACACAATATATGTAGTAATTTTAATTTATTTCTGAGAATGTTCTCATCCATTCTGCTCATGGGTGAAAGTATTATATTAGTATGGTATATAAAGTGAAGTGTTGACAACGGTGGTGGAATTTTTCACAAGGAGGAGGACAATATGGAAAACATAAGAATGGGGAAGAGGAACTAGTCTTACATCCACTTTAAAGATCCTAGGTGTTTTAGGTAAAATGTAATCTTCTTAGCTTGACATCAATAGCCTTTGATAATAATTTCCCATATAACTTTTCAGGCATAACTATTTTTTCAATTTTGTCCCTGCACTCAACATACATGTAATTCCAACTGAAGATAATTATTAAAATCCCCGTGCCTTTTACAGCTTTCTTGATTTTTGGAAAGGAACTTTCCTCAGTCCATTATGTTCTTTTCATCTCCAGCTAGTGCATTTCCATTCATCTTCCAAAATCCAATTCAAATGCCAACTCTGTGACACCTTTTTGTATTCTGCCAGACAAAAATAATTGTGTTTCTTCTGACCTCTCCTTGTGTATTTCATGGAATATGGCAAAGTACTTAATTCCACTGAATTGTAGCTACTGTCTTGCTGTCTTACCAACTAAAACAAGGACATTTTGGGGAATATGAGAATTTAAATTGAATAGTAACCACAAGATAAAAACTCTGGGCTTTGCATGATCTTCCTTTTAACTAATTAGAGGCCAAGTATATTGATGAAAAATCATTATATAGAATTTGATAAGACTTTCTTCTAATATTAATTTTTATTTTATGATTTTCCTTGTTTCATAAAATTTTGACAGAAATATATTTCTTATAATTTGCCTTCTTTGTAAGTCCCCACTTTTGTTCCTAGAGCAACACGCTGTCCTGGATAGCTAACGTGTTTATGAATGCAAGGAAATTTTCAAAAAGGGAGTTTGAAATTTAACTCCACAAACTACTATCTGGATTGGAATGCTACATTAAATGTATTATAATTTTGTATGGACATATAAGGATGGGGAATGAAAAGCATCCAAGGCCATATGTTGATAATCTTTTGATATGTTAAGAAATAATCTAGTGTTATTTTCTATTTCTTCTCAAATGTTTTTAGAGGTTACTTGGTACACTGGTCGACAAAACCTTGAAATGTTGATGTTTAAGGGCTGTTGATTGCTGGCAGCAAAGAAGTCCAACTGTGCTGGTACCCGAGATAGCGTCTCCACATTTTCTTCCAGGATCATCACCTTTGTTCTAAATAGCTCCCACATAGTGTGAACAGAAGTCATATGTTTTAGATTTTCTGCCTTGGCACCCAGGAAACCAGTATGATTGAGTAAACATATTAAACTTCCTCTGCATTTCCAGCCTGAACAGATGTTGAGTACAAGCTGATCCACCTACGTTCAACCTGAGAGAGTCCACATCCACAGACTGTTTCATTTCCCTTTTTCAATTTACATAGAAGCATAGATTCTTGCTGGCATATACAAATGCGCCATTTAAGGCAATCAAAAATGGTTCCACATCTCATCTGATTTCCACAATTGTTGCTGTAACGATGGACTACTGAGGAGAGAGACAATTTCTCTGGCACATCTTCCCACATTTTAGCAACATGTTCATGGAGAGCCAATATTCAGTAATTACAGCCCAATTCCTCACAATTTCACAATTCGCTAACAATATGCATTTTCACAATGTAAAGCTGATTTTCCTTTAACCAAATCAAACATGAAAAGATAGCTGCATGCAATGGGCAATCTAGATCATTAGAAGATTGATGTAAAATTAGAGGACACTGAGACTGGAATAGATTGCAAACTTCAGGGAGCTCAGAAAACTTGTAAACTCTACATTTTGAGGAAATATGTTGTCGATGCTTTTGCAACTCTATGCAGTAACTTAACAAATAAAGCCTTAAAGTAACTTATCTACGAGTTACTTTGTCATTATTTGCAACTATTTCACATCATACAGCTTCTCTAGGAAGTCCTCAGCTTATTCACCAAAATAAAATTTCTAGTTATAATTCCATTCCTCTGTTGATACTATTTCTCTTGCCTAGGAGACAAAGAATCAAAAACAAGTAATCAAAAGTGTAGAATATTGTAGTGGTTATGTTTAATTTTCTAATGTTGTGAATGCTATCTAATCAAATGAATTATATGATTTAACAGTCCCTATGAATAAGTAAAAAGTTACAGAAGTAATATACCAAGTCTGTACACTGTAAGTAATCATATATTCCAAATATTATTTTGTATGGTCATGAAAGGTACTATGTATTGAGCACTTAAATATGCATAAGCATGATGCTAACCTCTTTAGCTATTTCAACAATTAACTGTGTAAATACTGTAACCTACATTCTTTTTGAAGCACAGGTAGTTGTAACATGGGTACTCACATTCCTTATTCTTTATAGTAGGGCAAGGTTAAAGAATGAGGCAGACAGACACACACACACACACACACACACACACACACACAGATATGGAATGTACATGAGAAATATTCAATCTGATAAATTATATAATAAATCTTCACTTAACATATAGTATTATGACAGCAAGGGACTGGCGGATAAAAGGAGCATTTCTATTTTTAAGTAGCACTGAAACACTGAATTTTAAAATGGTACGGGCTTGTTAGGTCAAAAAAGAGAAATCTAAGCTCAAGCAAGGAAATAGCATGTAGAATTTGACAAAGTTATAAAATGTATAATTTTTTTAATTGTATTATTATACTTTAAGTTTTAGGGTACATGTGCACAACGTGCAGGTTTGTTACAAATGTATACATGTGTCATGTTGGTGTGCTGCACCCATTAACTCATCATTCAGCATTAGGTATATCTCCTAATGCTATCCCTACCCCTCCCCCCATACCATGCAGCCATAAAAAACGATGAGTTCATGTCCTTTGTAGGGACATGGATGAAGCTGGAAGCCATCATTCTCAGCAAACTATCGCAAGGATAAAATGTATAATTTTATTTCATGTCAGGGAATACAAAAAAAAAAAGAAAAGAGAACCAAAAGATTCAAAAGTGCAACAGACCAAAGGAACAGGCTTGTCGGTGGTTAAAAAAAAACTCCCCCTGGTTTGTGGGTACAGATCAGTGAAAAATTTTACCTGGATGATAGATGTGAGAGGATTAACAACACTTGACAAATGCAACCTGCACTTTCCTATTCTCCTAGCCCTCCTCCAATTAACCAGGACCAAGAAACAAGCTGTAGCCAAACAGCTGTGAGTAGAAATCATGTGTGTCCCTTTGGGTCAGTAGAAAACCCTCCAGTATTCTGTTCCTCTGCCAGGGCAATGAGGAGACTTTGTGTTGAGACTGTGGAACCGGAAGACAAAAGCAAACTCAATGAATTCCTGTGTAGCAGCCAAATCCCCCAAAACTCACCCGGACTAGAGTGATTTTGTGAAAGGAAGAAATAAAATGTTTGGTTGCTACATCTGCAATGCCAGTCCTATCTTAATTAGTACAAATTATCAGAAAGTAGGAAAAACAAGAACATGAGCATTCTGGCACCATCGTCATTGGTTGTGAAGCAGAACATTATCTGTAACATTCCATCCTGTATGGTAGTGAGGGTTTGTTATATTTGCCAATGTTTAGAGCCACAGTAGTGTATTTACATGGGTTCAGTTGGATTAACCAGTACATATTCATTTTCTTTAGATGGATTTAATTTAAGTAACAAGCCTACCAATGTCATTAAACAAACGGACAAAATGAGCAATGGAACATTTTATGCTTCTTATTGAAAAATGAACAAATATTATTCTAGTAATGAAAGCTCCGAATGCAATACAATGTCAAGATTGAAGTGGTTCTCTCCTACCATTTAATGGATGAGTTCTAGAAAAGACAAGTCCTGTAAACAAAACACTATTTCCATGGCAAACACATACTTCAGCTTTTGGCCTTTCATCGCACAAAAAAAATTTTAAAACATGTTTTATTTTCATAGTTTGTAATAAAAATGGTGACCTCTACATCTGGTATTTTCTGGAAGCTAGTAATTGGCAATGCCTCAGGCCTTACACTTTTTGGCCAATCTTCTAGGAGAGCTTCACCCAGGTTTCTCATTACTTATGAAAATTCAGTTCATTTTCCAAGGGCAGATACTTAAAGACAAAATTAGCCCAGCCATATATTTTGAAATGCATATTTTAGAAATAAATATTTTAAGTGTCAGATACACCTCTCTCTGAGTCAAACAACTGTATATGCACATACGCTGTGTGTTTGGGCATGTGAAGACATATATATGATTGTGTATGTGTATATGTAAATTATTTCTTATTAAAATTTCTGGAAGTGATAGTATAAATAGCCAGTGATAAAGCATGATAAGGTATAAATGTAAGAAATAATATTGTGTCTCTACTGACACACAGCATTATTACTATGAAATGTGCAGATTAAACAAAGCAAGTGAATTATTTTATGGTTTGTGTTGGTTAGGAATTTGGAATGGGATTTAGCTGACTCTTCTGCTTCAGAGTCTTACAAGGCTGCAATCAAGGTAGCAGCCAAGACTATGGTCTTACCTGAATCTCAGCTGGGGAAGAATCCTCTTCCACATCCATATGGTTCCTTACAGTATTCATCAAGTACCTGGAAGGCTATTACCCTGAGGGCCTCAGCTTCCTGCTAGCTGTTAGCTGATGGCCACACTCAGCTCTGTAAGCTGTGATCCTCTCCATGTAACAGCACAACACGACAATTTATTTCTTCAAAGCCAATGACAGAGAGTCTCCCAGCAAGACCAGTTACAATCTCATGTAATGTAATCATGTTCACATAATCACATGGTCTCATATTTGCCATTTGCTACTGTTAGAGGTAACTCAGTTCCTGCCCACACTTAAGAGCACAAAGGTGTTATCGCGAGAAGGTAGGGATTACAGGAGCCACACTGGAGCCTTATACCACAGAGATTTTCACCTAAGTCCACATGATTAGAAATTATAGGAAGACAATCTTGTGGATCTCAAAAAATAAATTTTTGCTTATTCAGCATCATAAAATGTAAGTAACTGCTATGTGGCAATTAGAGATTTTGTAAAATTGTGTTACAATTACTCTTTATTCCCTTTCTCAAGGAAGTAATTTATAAAAATTTTGCTAAATACCAAAAATAACTATTTTTGTATTATTAATTTTTACCTGACACTATACATTTTTAGAGGCATAAGAAAAGAAATACAGACACACCAATAACCAAAAAGTTCTAGATTCAGATCCTGGTATAATTATTTTTGAAGTCTGTAAAACCTTTTGTAAAGACATAATATGCCTGATTATTAGTTTTACTGTCTATAAAATTAATATAACATGTGCTTGGTATGCTTATTATGGATTTTAAATATTATACGATTTGAAATGGCCTGCTTTACAGTAGCATCTACTTAAATGACTGATAAATTATTGAAACAATACTTAATCTATATATATAAAAGAATATTTAAATTCACATATTATTAAATTTTCATATACTCATTTGGAAACTATTCCCTGTTTGGTTATTATTTGAATTTCTTATACTAGGTGAAAGCCATACCCCAATCTATTAGAAATTAATTAATTTTTGCTAGGGAAAGATACAAAGTAATAATATAATCAGAATTATACGTCTATATACTATGCTTAGAAGGAATACATCTCACAGAAATGGCAAAACAATTCTGCCACAGCTGTAAAATTATGTTCAGTTTATCTGATTTGACTTTCTTGTGCCATGAAGTAAGAATTTGCAGAAAATATAATATTAATTAAAATACACATAAAGAGTTTTGCTCATGAAAGGAGAAAGTTATATTTTGACATCATTCCAGCTCTGGTTAGGATGTTGGATTCCCTGGAGTAGATGTGGGATTCTGCTTCACTTGAAAAAATACCTGAGCCTGTCTTCTTAAGGAATTACTAAATATAGAGTTTGGAAGTCAGGCTTTTCTCAAGTATAGGTCACTATGGCAGCTCTATAACTATATCATCGTTCCATATGTCAGAGGAGTGTCATTTTCAACATTCTCGTATCTCATTTTAGGGTGATACTCTATGGTGACTACTGATAAAACTGCTGGTACATTCGTTCTTTTCTGCTTCTGTACACCAGGGATAGCAAATGCTCCTCCAGGTTCATCTTTACTAATTTGGGAGTGGTTGTGAAGGATGGCTATGACAACCAATTGGAGATCCAAAGGAGAGCACACCACCATCAACTCACTCTGCCTGCCGCAAGGAACAATGGCGGCCCATACGCTACCAATCTAACAAATGGCCTCCAAGCATGGTGACAGCTGTTTGTGCAGACTCTGGAATAACAAATTACAACTTCCTCATGCTTTCTATTAATCTGGCATTTGAAATGTACTATGGACTGAATCATGCCCACATTCCCCAATTCATATGTTGACGTCCTAACTCCCAACATGACTGAGTTCAACAAAATGGATCTTGGTACAGAGAAGGGAATGCTGCTGTAAGAGGCACTTAAAATGTGGAAGCAGTTTTGGCACTGGGTAATAAGAGAGGGCAGTAAGAGTTTTGAGGTGCATGCTAGAAAAAAATCCACATTGCCAAGGAGGGACTGTTGATGGACATTGGCTATGAATGGTGACTCTGATGAGGGCTCAGAAAGAAAAGGAGATAGAGAGAAAGCCTCCAACTTCTTAATGAAAGCATATACAATCATGAATATAATTTTGGTATAAACATGATATTAAAGGTTATTCTGGTGATGTCTCAGACAAAAATAGGAACAGATTATTGAAAATTGGAGAAAAGGTAATCCTTGTTATAAAGTGGCAAAGAACTTGACTAAAATGTGTTCTAGTGTTTTGCAAAAAATCAAAATTGTGAACAATGAAATTAGATAGGTAGTTGAGGAGATTTCAAAGCAAAATGTGATGGTGTGGCCTGAATACTCCTAACTGCTTATAGTTAAATGTTAGAAGAGAGATTAATTGAGGAAGGTATTGTTAAGGGAAAAACAATCAAATGTAGAAAGATGTAGAGAATTCTCAACCTGAGTGTGTTGCAAAAAAATGAGAAGAGCATGTTCTAAGAGAATACCAAAGGTATAGCCAGACTGTCACTTGATAAAGAGATTATGGAATAATACAGGCAGAAACACTGCCAGTTTGAACTGACGGGGATGGAGATAAGATAAAGTGAAGGAAGCCTGAGGGTCTTCTCGGATTCTACAGGACAGGACAACAGAGTTATTTGGCTGCAAACATACACTGTTTTTCAAGACAAGGGAAAAATAACACTGTAGGCAATTCAGAATTATCAGGGTCACCGGCTTAGTTTCAACTGGCCAGATGGCCTCTGCCAGCAGGGCCTTGGGAGGAAGACCTGAGCCTGGCAACAACCCCATTTAGGGCCTTGGGGGCAGAGTCACCACCCCAATCAGTCCAGAAGATGAGTCATTGAGCCAGAGGGAATTATTATTGAACCTTAAGATCTAATGAAATTTGCTTTGCCTGTTTTTGGACTTGCTTGGGAGCTGCTACTCCTTTCATATTTCTCCTTTTTGGAATGAGAATGTTTATCCTATGCCTGTCCCATCATACTATGAAAGTTAGGTGGTATTTTGGAACCACATAACTTTTCTAGTTTCACAGGTCAGCAGCTTTAGAGAAATGTTGTTTCATGATGAATCATACCTAAGGTCCCACTCATACCTGATTTAGATGATATTTAGATGAGACTTTACACTTTAGAGCTGATGCTAGAATGAATTAGGATGTGGAAGACTGTTGGAAAAGGTGAATATGCTTTGCATGTGAAAAGAATATGAATTTTGGGAGACCAAGAGTTAAATATCATATACTGGTTTGTCTCCACAATTCATAGATTGAATCTCTAATACTCAATTTGACTGCATTTGGAAATAAAGTCCTTAGGAGGCAATTAAAGTTAAATAGGTCATAAGTGTAGAGCCCTAATTCAAAAGAATTGGTGTCCTTATTAGAAGAGATATCACAGAAGCTCTCTTTTCCCATGCATGCACAAGTAAGAGGTCATTTGAGCACACCAGCAAGATAACGGCTACTGAGAAGCAAAGAGAAGGGGCCATTTTACCTTGTCAGCCTTTGATCTTAAACTTCTCAGCCTCCAGAACTGTGTGAAACACATTTCTATGGTTTAAGCTATCCAGTTTATGCCATTTTTGTTATGACAACCTGATTTGTCCAAAAAATGCATCTTGCTAAGTTAAGAAGCCAATCTGACAAAGGTTACATACTCTGTGATTCCAACTCCATGATATTCTGGAAAAGGCCAAACTAGAAGATAGTGAATACCGTGAATCCCTGTATTCCACCTATTGATCCCTCTTCCTCCCCTCCTATGTCCTTGGTAACCACTGATTGGCAGTCAAACTATTCTGTGCAAATGTATAATGGCATGTATATAGATAAATATAGTAAATACATGCCATTATACATTTTTCAAAACCCACAAAATATACAACCAGAAAGGGGAAACCAAATATATACCAAGGATTTTAGTTAATATTTCAATATTTTCTCATCAATTTGAACAAATATACCATATGTTAGTGGGGTAGATATATGGGAATTTTCTGAACTTTGCACTCAATTCTTCTATAAGCCTGCAGCAGTTCAAAAAACTAAGTTTGTTAATTTAAAAATAAAAAGTAACTAGATATTATAAACTCATTATTTTTTTTTTCATTTAAACAAGAAACAATTATTGAATCCTTACTGTGTTGCAGGCCCTGTGAATGGTGCAGGGAAACTAATTTACTTCATGAATAGTCATGAATTTGCCCAATGGTAAATAATAGCTAAATGTAATTCTAAAACAAAGTTATTTGCTCAAAATTCCAAATTTTAAGTCAAATAGTCGGTTTTCATTTTAGAACAAGGTCTGTTTTTGTTTGTTTTCCAAGCTAAGCTTATGTTGTAAATTAGTCCCTGGTTAAGCTTTAACAAATATTATTTTGGCATTATATTTAATTTGAATAGTAGAAATTCCTTTAAAGGCAATATTTCCAAAATGTATTTTTCAATCTCTGTGCCTTTTTGCTCTGCAGATATTTAAAATTAAGTTATTATAATCTAAGAAAAGTAAATCAGAAATGTGCAAACTATTTATTTTATCCATTTATCTGTTGACGGACATTTGGATAGCTTCCACCTTTTGGCTGTTTTGAATAATACTGCTATGAACATTGGTGTAAAAATTTCCATTTGAGTCCATGCTTTTAATTTTTTTAAATATATATTTGGAAGTGGAATTGTGGGATCATATGTGTGCTATTAATTTTTAAGTGACTTTGTATCAAAAATAATGAATATAACTTCAACTAATACGCACTTTCATTATAAATTGTGTTTTTAGTTTTTAAATAATTCTACATAAATTAATCTAAGGAAAATTACATGAAGCAGTTATAAATCTGAGAGCAATGAAGATGGGAGGAATTATGTATTCACAGAGTTGTAAGTAAACAAAGTTTAAATTTGGGTTTCATAGGAACCCAATTTCTGTGAACATTTCTATGAAATTTGGGTTTCATAGAAATAGAGTGGACTTACCCCAGATGCTTGCAAAATTGAACTGGTCTTAGTTCTGCAAACATAGATTGTTTTTTAAAATTTTGATACCAGTGTGCTATCACAGCATATTGTTACCCTGCTTTAAGTCACCATATATATGAAATAAAGTAAAATAAAAGCTCCTAAGACACATCTAATTATTCCCTTGCAAAGCCTGATACTGTAAGATTTCCCCGGAATGGTGATATTCACATGTATTAAACAATATCACAAGTTGGTGGGTTGATCTGGTACTTACTGAGCTAAATGCTCCCAAGAAGCAAATCACAGCAGTTATTTAAAAGTTTTAGGGGCCAGGCACAGTGGCTCACACTTGTAATCTCGGCACTTTGGGAGGTGGAAGAGGGTGGATTATAAGGTCAGAAGTCCAAGACCAGCCTGGCCAATATGGTGTCTACTAAAAATACAAAAATTTTCCGGGCATGGTTGCAGGCACCTGTAGTCCCAGCTACTCGGGAGGCTGAGGCAAGAGAATCGCTTGAACCCAGGAGGTGGAGGTTGCAGTAAGCTGAGATTGCACCACTGCACTCCAGCATGGACAACAGAACAAGACTCTGCCTCAAAAAAAACAAAAGCTGTAGTAACTCTTACACCCTCTAAGGCATTTTATAAAATAGCAGTAAATCAATAAAATTTGAAAGTGGGCAGCATGTTAACCTTTGAACACGTGTTTTACTTTAGGATTCTATTTAACATATGAAATTTGAGGCTGTATATTGTACAACTGTACAATTTTAGGGAATGAGAGATGAGTTTGGAGAAGTAATGCTAGTAGATGCAATCTTTGTCTACTTTCTCCTATGTAACTTGATTCTTACCCATTACTTCAAATACTGTCAATATACTGAACCCTCAATCAGTATTTCCAGTACTAAATCCTCAGTTGATATAGGTTCATGTATCAAGTTGCTTTCTGAACAGCTCCACTTAAATGTCTAATGGGTGTTTTACATTTAACGTTCTCAGTACACTCCTTCCCTCTCTCAAACCTTGCCCCAGTAACAGTCAGTTTTAGGAAATGGCAAAACCAAGAACTCCAGTGACACAAACAGTGGAATAAATCCTGAGTGGTATGTTTCCCTGACAGAAAGTGCTTCATTAGCAAGCCTGCTTCTAAAACTCATTACAAATCCATACACTTTTAGCTATTTATAGCTTTCTTAATCTATGTCACACTAGTCATATTCTCTCACTTGGACTTAGGAACGTAGTCTCCTAATTAGTTTCCTTTCTTTCTCTGATTCTCCTCTTCTTTTTCTCACTTATAATCCATTCATCACTCTCCTTAATTGCTGCTATAATTTTTCCTCACTTATTTAAATATATTTAAATAAGAAAGATATTTCCAATATCTTTATTACGGTTCTTTGTATGAATGGATCCTGCCCTCTTCTCCAACGTGCATCTTAACTTGTATGCAGACTTCAGAGTAATTAGCATTTAAATATTTTTAATGTGTTAGTGTTTTGTTTTTCTATCAATTTTACCATCTTCTTTAATGTTTAGGTGATTAATTTGTTTGAGTGACAGCATGCCTATGGAGTAAATCATAACATTAAAACTTGGTCAATTTCATATCAATTTATTTTATATATGATGGGTTTCAGTGGGTAAATGATTCAATTTTAGCCAGAAGTGTGCTGAGCGACTTCTGGGTAAGATTTTGTTTTCCTGAAGAAAAAAAGAGAAATGAGAAATCGAAGTATCTTTTCTTCCTACCTTGAGTGCCGTTATAACAAGAAATGGTGCTTTGAAATGTATCAGTCATCTTGTAAGAAACACTGTCAGTGTAAAGAGAAAAAATAAAAACAAATGAAAAAACAAGCAAAAATATGCTGAAGCTGACAGAACATCTGGGTCCTTGGTGATACTGGTATGCAGGGTGAGCCAATTTGAAATTTCTTATAATGTAAAGTAAAAAATCTATTATTGCTTAAGATTGTATCAATTATCTATTGCTGATTAACAACCCTCCTTAAAATTTAGTCACTTAAAATAATAATTCCTTGTTGCTACAAGATTCTATATGTTGGGTCTGCAGTTCTTTTGATCTTGATCAAGCTAGATTGATCTTGGCTGGACTTGATCATGCAACCGTGGTCATCTAACAGATCAGATGCATTTCACTTTGGCTCTTCTTGGCTGGGCTTTCTCATATAAGTTTTGGGTCCATGGCTTGGACAAATGAGATAAATAAACTAAGTTCTGTATAATGTTTTATCTTCCAACAGGCTAGCTTGGACTTGTTCTGATGGAAATAGCAGGAGTCCCAACTACAAGAGTTGCAATGTCAAGGCCTCATCTTATAACTGGCACATAGGTCACTTCCACCATATTCTTTTTGCTAACGAAAGTCACAAAGTCAGTCCATGTTCAAGTAGAGGGGAAACTGACTCCACCACTTGATGTGAAGAGTTGGAATATCATAGTTATTGTTTCTTGTGACTTGCCATAGCGTATTTTCTCACACTAACAACTCTGTATTTCTTCCCAAATTCTGAAAAATTCTTTTGTTGGCTCTTCCTGTACTTGATTCATTACATTAAGTTTTCCATTTAAATGTTATTTCCTTGGAAAGACTTTATCATTTGTCAAGTAGGTGTATTCTCTTCATCAGTTACTCTATTTTCTCATTACAATATGAACTTTGTAAAAATGGGAACTTTACTTTGTTTATGCCAGTAGTTTATATACATTTTCTGTTACGTGAAAAGTACAAAATGTTTTTTTCATGGTTAAAGAAATAAAAGAATAAATATGTAATCACTGCAATGAGAAGAGTGAATTTTTATTTTCCCAAATTATTTTATGGGTTTATGAGAGTAGACTTTATTATTAGTTTAGAATTGGGTAATGAGGGGAAAAATGCTATAAATCTCAATCATTTTATCAGTCCTTTGCCATTTATACACACACACACACACACACACACACACACTATATTTATACATATATAGTCCCAACTATATGAGTTGGAGGAGTCCCAACTACATGAGTATATATATATGTGTGTGTGTGTGTGTGTGTGTGTATATATATGTGTATATATATAGTGTGCATATATATAGTGTATATATATCTGTATACATAGTGTATCTATACTGTATAAATAGTGTATCTATATAAACTGTATATATAGTGTATCTATATACTGTATATATAGTGTGTATATGTATATATACGGAAAATATATAATTATATATGCATATATGTATAATTATTTTGACAAATTAGAATATATTCACTATTTTAATTCTTGAACTTTTTTACGTATTTTTTCCTGCATAGAATGTATATCCACCATTTTTCTTTTTACTATATAGGTTTTTCTTTTTTTATTTCCAAGCAAATATCATATTTTAAAAAAACTTTTGTGTTCCTACTAGATAAGTTGTTTTCCTCCACTGCATCCCTTTAATTATCTCTTTGTATGCCTAATATGGAACTTGGCATACCTTGTTTTTTCAGTTATCCAAACATTGATTTATGTCCCCGTAAGTTGAAGTGTAATTTTCTGAAAATCTGAGTCTTACTCTCATTTATTTACTATAATTTATTACATGTATATAGCAAGCTATCAAAAAATATTTATTAATTTGAGTTTAAGTATGTGATATATAGTCAACCCGATAGCATAGATGCCTGATTTAATTTTGAAATTAATTGTAAGATAAAATGCAGTTTCTATTTTTGTCTTATTGAATTTGATTCTGCTACTTAAAACTTAATGTCCCTGTGCTAGCTCTCTGAAGGAGGTTCTTACTTTTTGTAATTTTGCAAGCTACAATAATATTGCATAGGCACATTGATACAATGGCCTAGTTTGCTTTCTCCTAGCAATTGTTTAAAGCTTGTTCCATGTTCCTACTTCTGTTGGCTTTGTCTCCTTCATTATATCTTATTTCCCATTATGCTGCCTTCCAATCACTGAATTCCATTCCCACTGGCTCAGTGCTTGGATCTCGTCTTTCTCAAATTCCCAGAACCTTCCCAGATAAACACCTTCAATTACAGTGACTCCTTTCCTCTTCCACAGAGGCCCCTAACAATAAACAACTTGCTCAATAGGTAGCTGAAGAATGATTCTCAGATGAGCTTAGTGTAAGAAGGAACTGGGATGTAATGTCTTTTTTACTCTTTGAATTCCCATTAGTCTCCTCATTGTAGAGGAGTAGACTGTTTGATATTGCCCATAAGCAGAACTTAGGCAGTGTGATGTCTAGTACAGAAATGTTCTGCAGTATTAAATATATCCCATCATGTACTAAGAAGCTACTTCAGAAGCATAATAAATTAAACATCACTATGGTGTCAACATAAATAAGTAAACAACAAATAAATATTTAACATATAAAAAGAAAATTTTAGATTTTGATTTATAAGGTAATTATAAATGTGTCCTCTTAAATTTAAAGTAATTTTTGAGGATGAGAAACTGAAAAGTAGGTTCCAAATATACACAATTTCAAGAACAAGAGGATTTAGAAACTTCCATTTATAAATACCTCCAAACACAAAAATATGAGCTTGAAGATGTCTACCAACATGCCCCATTCTGTCTCGTCTTCCGTTTTTCTTTGAGAATATTAGACTCTACACTCACATACTATCCTCCATTCCGTTCCTGAAGAGTCTTGAACTCAGGACCTAACAGATTTAAAGTTATAATAAAAATCTTATTTTTTTACAAGGCCATGTGAATATCAGTTGGTACAACTGACGGTCAAATAGATATCAAACATTCAAAAAAAAAAAAAGAAGGAAAAAAATGACATACCATAAAATAACTGACAAAGGTTTCACTCTTTCGACAGAGAATGCTACCTTCCCTCTCCTTTAGATTTCTCTATGAAGGTCATTGTCAACTCAGCCAACCTATTAATTTAGCTGCTTAGCTCAAAGTTGTGTTTCCTTCTTTATTACAAAAAGCCATCTGTGTGTGTGTGTGTGTGTGTTATATGACAGAGAGAAAGAGAGAGATGAATTGAAAGAGAGTGAAATAAGAGAAAAATTCAAGAATAATTTTAACAAAGTCTACACTGACACAGGTAAAATTCAAATAATGCAAAAACTGTAATAGTATATATATATTGTGAAATTTTGAAAAAATATGAGTGTTTTATAATAACTATTCTGAGTCTCTCTTTCTCTCATGCATTCACATATACATACACACATACAATTATACACACATACTCACAAGCTTTCATTCTCAAAAGGTAGACTAGAATGCTCAGAGAAGACCAGGCCATTCTGAAATCTTACCTGAAGAAGTCTTAATGTTTCATCAAAGTCCCTAACTATGCTCCCCAGCAGTAGTTCCCCTATCTCTTATTCTCCAAAACTCTTGACTATAACATTTGAGAAATTATTCCTTTTCCTTTATCTTCTATTAAAAAATCTGAAGAGGACTCTAGAAAATATGTCCTCCTTCTGGGGGAGCAAGGGAGATTGGAATACATTTTCTAACCTTTATTCTGTCTGTAGAATATTAGATGTTCCAAAGTCATTTTAAATCTTAAATTGCCATAGTCCATTTGAATCTAGTACTGTGGCCCTGTTGGCAGAACCATTCTCTAAAACTGCAATGGAATTTTTAAAATTGTTTGTCTTATAGTCATCTTAGCATACCTGTAGTTACATCCATGATATTTTGCATATGCAAGCCTATCTCTAAATTAAGATAGAGTTTTATTAAATTTTCAGACTTTCATGTAAAAGTCCATCCTTAGTCTCTTTTCATGGAGCCCTTTTGTCCAACTGAAAGGAATTATGGCATGTTGCTTAATTAGTTGGTTTCAACGAGGATATGAAAGCTATTCTCTGGATTTTGTCTAAATCAAAGACTGAGTCCTAATGGGACTTGTCACTCAAAACATTTCTTAATTTATCTTTTACAAGTTGGATATGAAAAATACTTACTCTTAATCCTGCAAGTCCGATAATTTCTGTCTTTCTTTCTTTTAATTCTTCTAAACTGGCCAGTGTTTTTCTGAGCTCATCTTTTTCTTGTAGCAAGCACTTTTTGTAGCTCTAGTAAATGTAGCTAACTAGTGGTTGGGGGAGAGAGTGATATGCTAGTAACATCACCAGGAGCCTGTTTGCTTAATCAATTGCCTTTTAGGTACTTGCAGCTAATAGTTTTACCAAATGGTTTGTTACTGCATTTTATTCAACCTTTAATAATAAATCCCTTGCTGCCTGAGGCCTGACTCCAAAACCAAAGCCACATAATTTAATAAAAGCTTTCTATTTATAAGTAATGATTACTTTATTACTTAGCTCTTGCTGGGCTAAGTTGTGGTATCAAGAGTCATGAAAGTCTCAAAATCATAATGGTGAAAACAAAAAGATTTACTTGATTTTCTTCTTACATGGTACTAACAAGTAGACTACCGCTCTGTTCAATGTCCTGTTTAATCCAGAGCCCAGGGTAAAGAGGTAGCGTTGTTTGAGTACCTGGTGGCCTCATGGCAGAGGGAAGAGAACTGTAGCAACCATTAAATGGATCTTTCATCTTTTACTCAGAATTTGCAAAAACTTTAAATCACGTTCCATTAGCCCAGGTGTTATGGACTAAATTTTGTCCCCCCAAAATTCACATGCTGAAGCATACAACAGCCCATTTGAGTGTATTAAAAGATACAGCCCTTTAAGGAGGCAATTTAGGTTAAATGTGGTCATAAAGGTGGGGCCCTAATCCAATAGTACTAGTGTTCTTTGTTTTTTTTTTTGTTTTTTTTCATATTTGAGACAGAGTCTGACTCTGTCACCCCAGGCTGGAGTGCAATGTCGCAATCTCAGCTCACTGCAAGATCCACCTCCCAGGTTCAAGCCATTCTCCTGCCTCAGCCTCCTGAGCAGCTGGGACTACAGACACCTGCCACCACGCCCGGCAAATTTTTTGTATTTTTAGTAGAGATGCGGTTTCTCCCTGGTCTTGATCTCCTGACCTCATGATCCACCCGCCTCGGCCTCCCAAAGTGCTGGGATTACAGGCATCAACCACTGCACCTGGCCAGGGCTAGTGTCCTTCTAAGAAGAAAGCAAGAGACACCAGGGATGTGTGCACCCAGAAAAAAGGCCATGCAAGGACACAAAAAGAAGGTAACCATCTGCAAGCCAAGGAGATAGGCCTTGGGAGAAAACAACCCTACAGGCACTTTGATCCCAGGCTTCCAACCTCCAGAACTGTGAGAAATCAATGTTGTTTTAGCCTCCTAGTCTACAGTAGTTTCTTATTACAGCACTAGCTGACAAAGGCACCAACAAAGTCACATCCTCAACCCTGACAGTAGTGGTGTGAAGTATTTTCCTCCCACAGAGAAGCAGTGGGTGTTACATGATATTAGCAAGGAATATATGAGCTGCTTTGATGAAGACAGCAATAATTTTGAACAATAATCTCATCTAGCATGGGTATTTTGCTGGCTAAGTATGAAGAGATATAAAAATAATTTTAAACTTGATTCCAGTTTTCACTTGACCTAGTATTTTCATTGTAATCAGCATTTATTATCTAGACTGGTATAGCACACATCCAAATTCCTAAAATCTGTGAGCTTTTTGATGGAATAAAAAAGATGAAAACAAAACAGACTCCAAAAACACCTGAAAATATAACTAATTATTCAAAAACAAAATTATTAAAGATATACTTCAAGTTTACATTTTTAGACATGGGCCATTAGTTGTGAAACTGTAAGTTGTATAATAGGTGTGTCTTTGTCTGGACTCATGGGTGAAGCCTCCAATATCAGGAAGTCTTTTATGATACATTCATATTTTAACAACTAATACGTTGTCCCATATAAGTTAACATAGATATATGAATATTTACCAATCATGAGCCCTGTTCTTCATAGAATGTTTAATCTTGAAGGAGGGATGGAGGTGGAAAGATATTTCCAATTATGAACATTGACTAATAAAAGCAGAGACTTAAGGGATAAGTAAGACAGTATATCTCCAGAGATGGTAGAAATGGATATTTTAAGAAGAAAAGGGTAATAAACCCTAAAATAAATCTCAAAACTTTTTTTCATTAATTTAAGTAGAAGAAACAGGATGTTGTTAGCTACTTATTCATTTTAGAAATTCTTGCATGGTTTAATCAGCCCTGCATATACATGGAGTGATAGGTGGTAGTTCCCTCCCTCCTGCTCCGAATTAGGCAGCCAGAATACCACTTCCCTTCTTTTCTCATGGCCTTACTGGCATTACATTGTGTTTTGATGATAGCTGGTTTAAGGCAAAAGACATAAAGGGAATACTAATGGTCTACATTTATGTTGTTTGAAGAAATAATATATTGCTATATATTAAAGGTATCAATGTAAATATAATTATGCCCTTTTGCTACATCAAATCTTGACTGTAACATTGAGGGCTATGGTTTTAAAACTGGTTATGTGAGCAGAAATGCATGGTCCCTGAAACTATTTCCACATTCCCTGAGGTATAGTCGAAGCTTCAAATTTCCTACTGTTTTGCCAATTG
Source organism: Homo sapiens (assembly GCF_000001405.40). NCBI lineage: Eukaryota > Metazoa > Chordata > Mammalia > Primates > Hominidae > Homo > Homo sapiens. Next base: position 26,170,837 of record NC_000020.11, on the reverse strand, counting down.
AACTTCAGTTCTTATCTAAGGTCCATGTTAAAGTAGCTCAAAAGCTTTCTTTCTAAAAAAAAAAAAGATATCCATAACTAAAGTGTAGTTGGAAACCTCCATGAAATTCTTTACTTTCACATACCATATTTTTATGTTCTGTTTCCTCTTTATAACAATTTAAAACAAACAATCTTGAAGCATTTTGTTGACTTTTTTATGTTTTCCTTGCCCAGAGGCTTTCTTCAGTCTACCACTCCCACATTTTACATAACACCACTTATCACACTGTACATTTATTTTCTTAGCAGTATGGAGAACAAAATTTCACAACTGGCCATGAAACAATGGCACAGGGAGAACTGGGGCAAATTTAGTATTTGGGAGTGTAACTCGGTGAGATAGAAATGTATCTAATAGATAGAGACAAGGTCTAGGTAATAAGAAGCAGGTGTCTCTTTCATGCACAATCCTCCACTAAAAGCACTTGAAAGGGTTAAATTTTGAGACAAAAGAGACTACTCTAAAACTTCAGGATCTCAGCTTACTCTTGGTCATTCCTCATGCTCTCCTAGACATTGTCCCAAAGAGCTAAAAGTGTAAGCCTTGAACTCTGTGGTATTTTATAACTTCAAATCAAAGGAGCTCAGAGATGGAAAACTGAGGCTCAAAGAAGTCAGGACAATGTGGTATCGGAAAAGAGGAACCCTTAAAATACCAACTGATCTTTCCTCCTACCTTTAAGTTGAATGGGTCATAAATTATCTCGTATGTCTCTACATCTTACAAGAAATAAAATTCTATGGTTGCATGGTCCTCTGACTAAAATTCCCATTAGAAATCTATAGACAAAAATCTCTTCTTCATGTCTCTCATATTAAGTCTAAGCTACATCTGACTTCAATGAAGATGGCAAACAGCTGTTCCTCTTCCTTAAGCTCACCGTATATTTAACAAAAACTCTATTAAATAACTAGCCCTTCCTCTCTCTTCCTTAAGCTGAAATCAAATTATATTTTATCATTATTTTAGGTTGGCATTTATCTTACACAATTAGCCTCTTTTTCTGTTGTGTGTCTTTTTACAAGGAGTTTTGTAGGTCATAATGTGAGTCAGTGCAACATGAAGATAAATTGCTCGGAGTAGGGAAAAAATAGCAAAAGAGTGGGATTGACGAAGAGGAAAGGAAATTCATCTGGTTAGCTAATGAGCCAAGAATGTGAAAAGATATATTTACTGATTTTTTTTTCCTTTCTGCATCCATAAAGTGTCTCCATTTAACAACCTCCTGGGCTTACAAATGTATAACAAGAAAAAAATATTTGAAGAATACTTTACTGTCCCTAATTACCAATTTTGCCCTGGCAAAAAATCTACTAAAACTAGTAATGAAAAGAAGCATGATTTGTTTCTCCTACGTTTGGCTGAATTTAGTTAAATTAAAAATAAGGTGTTATTGACATTAGCTTCAGAAGATAAAGATCCAAAGCTGACTTGAACAGTGAGTTAACCAGAAAGTGATTAAATTCAGTGAACATATACGACAGGCCTTATGTCTGAAAGATTTTTATATTGACTCTTCTTATGGGCCTTGTTTTAAAAGATCCCAGAACAAATATCTAACAATAATCTAAGGCAATGGCTGATGGAAATGCTACTTTTACAGCTCAAGGGTAACATATTTGTTTAAGAAATAGGTGTACTAGCCTTCCCTGAGACTCTTTCCATAATTAATGAGTTGATTAATTGTATGTGTACTATAAATGATGGTGTCTGGATAATGATTACTGACCCATATGCAGCTCCCAAACCACAGCAAACTTTGAAAATTCAATTACAAGGTCTAGATGCTATATACTGCATATGTAAACTGTTTCAGGAAGGAAGATTGCATATTAATAACATAGTCTATGTGGGTTATCTCTGCAGGCTAGTGAATATTTTGCAGAAATAGTTCTTGGGGAAAGCAAAAGGTATGCAGACACTAGAGTGTTTCAAGTTTATTTCAACCTACAGCTACATTACATGTTTAGTCTTATCATAATTAGTATTTTTGTTTCAGTTATTAAAATCTCTTTGTTTTTATAAATTACTTATTTTATTAATATCTTTCAAAGATAAAAATAAATCTGAAGTATCAAGCTGTGTATTCTTGATACTGCAGAATATTATGTCATTTTTTTTTTTTTTTTTGAGACGGAGTCTCGCTCTGTCGCCCAGGCTGGAGTGCAGTGGCGCGATCTCGGCTCACTGCAAGCTCCGCCTCCCGGGTTCACGCCATTCTCCTGCCTCAGCCTCCCGAGTAGCTGGGACTACAGGCGCCCGCTACCACGCCCGGCTAATTTTTTGTATTTTTAGTAGAGACGGGGTTTCACCGTGTTAGCCAGGATGGTCTCGATCTCCTGACCTCGTGATCCGCCCGCCTCGGCCTCCCAGAGTGCTGGGATTACAGGCGTGAGCCACCGCGCCCGGCCTATTATGTCATTTTTATGTGCTCAAACTGACTTCCTTCTGATTGTATAGAGTACAGAATAGCAATTGACATTTTTTGGAAAAGTGTAAAAACCAAAACTTTGGTAAATGAACACCACCACTCAAAGTTTGTATCTAGTAGTAGATATATACAATTAAAAAAATACTAGCATTTATTAAGTTTTACTACTTATTATAGTTATTAATTCAATTTAACTAATTACCTATCATGTATTTTCTAGGCACCTCCTACGAACCAGGATCTGTACTTGCTGTCCCAGTTATAAAGTAAAACAGCCTGTCCTTCCTGCACTCAAGGAGACAGCTCCATAAGCGGGGAGCTTGTTAAAAATGCAGAATTTGGGGAACTATTCACAGAGATTTTTACTAAGTTACGTGGAAAAAAGCCTGGGACTAGCTACGATCTCCCCTCTGGTGATTTGGATGTGATAGTCTCTTAAACATATTTTGAAATATACTCGCCCAAAGAATGGAGAAAGACCCAGCCGGCCCTCCTCATGTGGCTGCTGAGGGAGATATATGTATAATTAAAAAACTGCCAAAAACAAAGTCTCCTGTTCTGTTTTTTTTTTCATTTACTTTTTTCTGCCACTTCAGTTCACATCTTATTTTCTTCCATTTAATAGTTTTCTGCTGTTAGCCAAGGAAACAGGAAATGTGAATGCTCCATTCCACACCAAATGAATCACGACCTCCAGGCAGAAAAAAAAAAAAAATGTGGAGAACTGCTTTTTCTTCTTTTTTCTTTCTTCTTTTCATTAATCTCTATTTGGAGAAACACTGGTCTTGGAAATAAATTGACAAATAACATGACCTTAGACAAATCAATTAAGTTTCTTGACCCCTGACTTTTTTTCATCTGTATAATGCTATTTTTACTAAGGATTTATTAATGTCCTTCCAGCTCTGATATTTTCTCATTGATTCTAATTACATTTCAGCTTTATTCATTTTCTTTTTGATACAAATTCCTTTGATGGGAACCTCTTTCAACAAAAGCTTTGAGATTTTAAAAAATTGTAATCTTTGATAACTTCTACATTTGTCCTCCTTATTTTAAATTTATTTTCTCTTGTTTACCACTAGTTAATCTTCATGTCTTGAAGTCAGCTCAGATTGGAAAATATATGAAAGCCCAGTTCTTGTTTCTTTCCTATTTGCATTTGCTTTTTATAGAAATCTGGAAAAATTAACAAATTATAAAATGGTTTGTAATAATTATTTCAAATATCTTTTCTAGGGTTTCTAATTGCTTTTCATTCATTGGAGATGACAGTTCCAAATATATTCACCTTTGCAAATGAAGAGGATAGAATTTTAATCAGAAGAATGAGAAAATAAAAGTGCTATGATTAGAAAAACTTGAGGATTATTCTAACCAGCAAGCAAAGATCTCTTAAAAACTTCAGAGGAATTGCAGAATTAAAAAAGTATATATATGTGGCAAGAACTCGATTGGATAGATAAATACAGGTAATAGATATCTTTGAGGTAAAATAGAACCTCAACTTAAATAGATTAATGTAAGAATTTAAAAAATGCTGATGAACTTGATATATTACAATAATCCTTTCTGGGCTGAAGGAAATATAAATCGGAGCAAGTCACAGTGGAAAAAACATACAATCTGTCTCACTGGGTGAGAGGGTTGTCCTGAAAACATCTGACATCTGGAATGCCCTTGTCTCCAAGTATGCAAGTCCTCCAAATATCCTAAGGCTAATATAATGCCATCAAGTAAATGGACTTTGTTTATATACATGGGAACTTTTTAAGAAATCTAAACAGATTAAAATTCTCGAAAGCAGTATGATTGATCAATAACTAAATCTATCCATAACTGAGAATTTGCACAACCTAGGCAACAAGCATTTTCTAGGAATAAGTTGCTATTCATCCATAGTGTGTAAATGACCCTTCCAAAACAATTTTAAGAGATGTCACCATTTTATCTTATTTTTTTCTTCCTGTTCCATCTTCCACCGTCTCAAACTCTCTTTACTTCATTCCTCAGGAACAGCTTTCATCTGCTCTTATTTCCTTTAAATATGTGATAATCTTTGCTCATTGACTCTATTTTCCTAGGATACGGTTGTTCTAATTAATTTTACCTCAGCTGACAATAGGAGCATTGTAAAAATTAATAATCTTACACAAGAATCTTTCTGAATACTATGAAATATAATCAGGTTTACCATTTTTATAAATGTCTTTGTTTAGAGTAAAACAGGTGATGACATGGCTTTATCATCAAGGGATTCACCTCAATGCTAACCTAAAAAGAGAGTAAATTAGTTCTGATATAGGATCCAACACAATTAAGCATTTTAACTCATGCATATAACAATCTCTTTGTCTCAATCAACTGCTACTCTTCTGTTATACAATGAATTTCCTTCTTTCAATTATTTTCTAAGAAGCATTCTATTTTTGGCATAAAATATTGATTTACATAAACAAAAATTCATGAAGGTACAGCATAAGTGTGAAGACTTTAGATTTATGTATGATTTCTGAGCAGAGGCTATTAATTTTGGTTGACTTTGAGAGAATATTTGAATTGATTAGTATTAACTATTTTTAAATCAGTAGAGACTGAGTTATCATATACATATAGATGTGTATATGCATATGTATGTATGTATTTTTCTTCTCTTTTTTTAAATAATAGGAGTAATGGGGCAAGATAAAGTCATATAGACTAAAGAAAATAAACTCTTATAGGCTAAATAAATTGGCACATTTGAATTGTAGTATGCAAAAGTACAACCTATTATAAATGTATGTATGTATTAAGTATGATGAGTAATTACTCCTGTAATGACTATGTCTCCAAAAGTCCTTCCTGGAAAATTGTTTTCTCCTAAATGTGCTGCTGCAGTTAACCTGTATTTTCCTTTTGAAACACTATTGCAATATGCTATGCTGCTTCCTTGCTTGAGTACACGTTACTTGAGTAAACTTTGTGACAGCAGGGAGGGACCACACGTCTCTTTTCTTTCTTTTTTCTCCAACACCTTGTCTAATATATGAAGAGAGTTTTGGCTTCATAAATACTCATTGAAATAAATGAGAGGCATATTTTAGGCCCTGGTCATTCCTGCAAAGTCATGCTCAACCTCAACGCCAGTAATCTGGTATGTTATTTTTTGTTATCTTTTTTTCTAACAGTGGAATAAGTACTGCAGTGATTTTATATTATTATGTCCTATGTTATTGACCCTGACACTTCCATTGGATATCTTAACATCATCTGTTTTATGCATCACTGCAGAGAAAGGTTGATGAAAGATTGATACTTGTCATCTTAGGAAGTCATTTGTGTACTAGTTAAAGCAATTAGAGGTGGGATGATAGTCTCTGGAAAATGTCCATTTTCCTTTTGTAAAGTAATTCTGTTGTTTATGTCATGTCTCCATTGATGAGCCCACAGTCTCTCAAACTATTCACTTGCCACTTTCTAATTTTATAGTCTCCACACCTTTGGAATTTGCCAATACAACAGAGCATTAGACGATTTTCTTGGACTTCATGCTTGATCTGCTTCAATCTATACTATTTGTTATAAACCTTCATGACTGACAGATCAGACCTATAATCTTGGATCCTCTGTAGTGGCATAATTTTGTCTTTGACAGATTATAACTTAAAATGGCTGAGAATACTCTGTCAACTTTAAAATGTATCTGTAATATTTACAAGTATATCATTTTTGTCTTAAGTACTACAAAATACCTTCCCCTTATGAGAATCAGTTAACTATTTTTAACTAGTTGCATTAAAAAGTGAAAACTATTTTTCATTTCTAAATATGCTATTCTCTTCTAAGTAAATTAGGATAAAGTACTTTCTATTGAAAATCAAACTTACAAATCTGTTATCTTCAAACTTACTATGTACTTGTGAGTTTTTTATGTTAGGGACTACTTGAGTATAATGGGAGATCAATATAAAACCTCGTTTAAGAAACATTTTTCATCTAAAATCATGCCTAAGAGAAAGCTGAGGCAGTAGAAGTCATGAGCGTTCCTGATAAAATTCTTCTTTATGAGTAAAAAAAATTCAAGACAAATGTATTATGAATCTGATTTTTTTCATATTTCTACCAAAATAAAGAATGTTACATTATTAAGTCATGGGTGGTTTTCACTGAGAGTGTTAAATTGTGGAGAACTAGTTATTATCTCATAAGCCTTTTTGTCTGTGGTTACTGTTCAGTTACAATTGATGTCCTTAATGGCTGAAGAAACATCCATATCCACCATACCCGTCACATTCCAAGTAGCTGACTGTTGAATGCTTGGTGCATTAAGTAAGAGGCATCAGCCAAGAATTTTGAGAACATTAAAGGGCTGTTAGAGTAGAAAGAAAAAGGCTGAAAAAATATGGTTAGTGAGAAATGCTGTACAGTATCATCCTTTAAATTTGACAGAAAAGTTGACTTCATCGAGAGTAGAAGAGTGGTTACAGTGTCATTTTTAACATAAGTTGAATATGCACTTAATTTTTAGTATGAATGGTATATTCTCTGAATTTGTAGATAACGTTATTTTTATTTAATCAGTTTCTACAGCCTTTCACCTTTCTTATGATCCATTTTATTATAACTATCTATAAATGTTTATCACTTATTATCTTGTATATCTTCTTTTAAATTTTCTTACGTGGATCTCTTGGAGTGAAGCGACCAGATGGTAGACACTTTTTATGAGTAGCTGTGATATGGGAGTGCTGGGAAGGGAAGGGCATGATCCCTTTAAATGATACGGAAGTGGGGAAGGGAAGTGCTGGGTAAAGGAGGGCATGGTCCCTGGCTAGGGCTTCACCTGCCTTCTGCCCAAATGTTGCATTTCCTAAGACCACCCTTGAATGCTATGCCCCCATCCTGTATGTATAAAAATCTCTGAGACCCTAGCAGGCAGACACACAAGCGGATAGACATCCAGAGGATGTCAACAGGAGCACGCAGGTGGAAGATACCGGCAGGCCAGCAGGCCATCGGCCAGTAGAATGATGCAGAATTTGGCCAGAGCAGTTGGAGAAGCTCCACGGCCCCACATCAGGGAAAAACCATCTCCCTTCTGGCTCCCCCATCTGCTGAGAGACACTGCCACTAAATAAAACCTTGCACTCATTCTCCAAGCCCAGGTGTGAGCCAATTCTTCCAGTACATCAAGGCAAGAACCTGGGGTACAGAAAGCCCTCTGTCCTTGCAGCAAGGTAGGGCGTGTAATTGAGTTGGTTAACACAACCCTATAGATGGCAAAACTAAAAGAGCACCCTATAAACACTCACCCACTGGGGCTTCAGGAGCTGTAAACATTCACCCCTGGACACTGCTGTGGGGTCGGAGCCCTGCAGCCTGCCCATCTGTATCCTCCTCGAGAGGTTTGAGCAGCAGGGCACTGAAGAAGCAAGCCACTTCCCCTGTCACATGCCCTGCAAGAGGGACAAGGAAACCTTTCCCCTTTCAGGTGCTATCACATTACCTGTATAAGTAGTCATTCCACAAATGTAACTTGAGCTAAATTTAATAGATTTACTACGGAGATTAATTGGAATAAAAAAATGCTTCAAGTATAATCATTTCTTTTCCTCTGTTATCTGGGGCATAACCAAAAGTTAGAAGTTTAATACTAAAAAGATAATTCTCACACAAACCTAGGATAAACATATTTTAAGATTATATACAACTCATTAATGAGGGAACCAAAAAGAAGGTAAAACTGGTTTAAAATACATTTTGTGGAACTGGCATACAAAGATGATGTGGGGAGAAATGTTAAAATAAGACTGGTAGATAAAATACAGCTCTTGTTAACGGTCTATAAAACCATACGTTAATCTTTCATGTTTTCTTTTCTACAAAGAAATCTACAAGTTGGCATGTAAATTCATACAGTCAAAGTTACATACATATAATAATTGTTCTGTTGGTGTGTTTGTAAGCCAATGTTCAAGCTTTAATGTTCAAGTTTCAATGTTCAATGTTCAGCATTGAAAGTTACTTCCACACTGTCTTTGCTTTTTCTTTTGAAGTTTTTAATGATTTTTTTAAACAGAGTGAATAAACTCTTAAATAGGGCCTAATAAATATGTCTGCTTTTTCCCCAACTGTTTATATGGAAGAAATCTTAACTCCTTTATCCAAAAGAAAACAACTGCTATCATGTTTGTCTCTCTAGGCTGTGAATGGTAGACTTGAATCCCAAAATCTAAGGGCCAACCATAAACGGCAACCAGAATTTAAGAAGAATTAATGAATTCATTTTCTCAAGAATTTTGCAGAAGAGTCTCGGTAGAGGAATTAATAAGAAATTAGTCACTACAATATACACACATTGTTGAATAAAGAGTAATAGATTAGACCTATATAAGGAGACTGGAGAACAAAAACAAAAATGTCTTTACCAGAGCCTTGGAGTGGTGGGAGGGGAGAGGGAAACAAGGAGAAGCATATGAATACCAGCCATACTTGGATTGTTTTAATCTCATTCCAGTAGAATTGAATGACTGGTTTGCAAGAACATTGCTAAAGGTCAAAAGTATAGGCTGCTCCAAAGTAACCTCTGAATATCTAAAAGATGCTGTGTAAATCACGCCCTCCAACATGACTGTATTAATAAATATGTTTAAATGCATATGCACAGGCAAAGACATGGTGTCTTATTTGTTAATTACTTCAAGGCGTTAGGTCTTGGGTTCACTAAATTTTAAGACTTGATATTTTTATATATTACTGAATCTAAAAAGAAAAGCAAAAAGTACGAAAAAGCAAAATCATATTTTATAATGTAAAGTGAAAAAAGGGCATTATATCAAATTTGATGTATTGTGATACTAACATGTCACATCTAGTTTAGTCAGATGTCCTGTTAGGCTTCATTGCCTACATGCTACCATAACTAGAGGTGACAGTTTAGAACATTTTATGTGTTAGAAGACATAAATAGAAGTAAATTCTTTACAATATCAAGCAGGGAATTCTAAGTCAATTGGTCTGGGCTATCAAATACAAGTGAAAAAATTTCTAAGTGCACAAGAAAAAGGAAAAGTTTAGCTTCAAAAGTTGTGCTAGTGGGGTACTTTAATTATGCTATCAAATTATATTTGAAAGAGGACTGATTATTTCAATGCTGAAACATATACACACAAGGGCAAAAGATCATTTTTAAACACAGCAGGCTCCTCTACATCCTGCTACAGGATCCTACTTAAAATGCCAAATGCAGATTTCATTGTGATGTTGATACTCTCTTCCTTCCCCCAAGGCTTGCTTTTCAACTTTTCTTGCTTGCAATTTTTCATCCTATAGCGTTAAGTAAGCATTTAGAGGATTTCACTTGGGATAATTCATTCTTACAGTCAGACTCAGTTATGTGTGCAACAATGGCCTATCTATTCTGACATTATCAGAAATGAAGAAACGATTTTTTTTCTTTCAGCAGACGATAAGCGTCGTAAAATCTTTGTTTCAAACACCTTAAGATTCCCTATGTATTTCCTAGCTACTTTTAGCTTAAAGTCTTGTACTGTTTGGTGACTTGTTCAGCGTAAAAAGTATTTACATCCTACAGATTCAAATAAAAAATTGCCATAAATCATAGGCAAAAATCAGTGGTTAGATCATCTGTTAGAATATCTGCCAATGACAAGGTTTTTTCAATATCTAGATAGATTTTGTGTGTTAAAAATAAAATGCTACAACCCTTTTCTCTGGAGGGCAAATTTAAAAATAAATTTAACCTATTTATAGGGCATTAATTTAAAAATCAGTTACTTGTTTTACAAATGAGATGTGGAAGAACTACAGAATGTTAGAATTTAAGTTTTTTTTAAAGTATTGAGTCTATATCATTTTATTTATGTATTTTATATTGGGATGAATATACATTTAAACAGGGACAGGTAATTTTTTCTAAAATATAAATTCAAAAAATAAAAGTGAGAATCTCCAATGGTAGACATAATTTGAGCACACTGGTATCACAAGTTTTAATACCTAGCCTTATGATTTCTAAAGAATGTATTATTAAAAGAAATAAAGAAAATTATTATTTAAAAGATAGAGTAAACTTTGCTCCCCCAGGCTCACTTCCGATGTCCTTGATTTTTTTTATACTTCCTATTTGAGATAATTTCATCTTCTTATTTTCTGTTCACAATATCTTATGCTTCTAACTATGTTGCTAGCCATATTTCATCTATGTAAATAAATATCTAAAGATATCCAGTGACCTTTAGATTACTTCATTTTCATTGATAAGATCCTAATTCCCAGCCCCAAGTTCTTCCTTCAGACAATGTTGGGTCTAATTTTAAGAATTAGAGAGAGTAGAAGAATAAGAAAAAGACTTGGTGTTCGGGACAAGGGATACAAGTTATAGTGACACAGTTGAGAATATCAGAAAGTGTATAGAACTAAATTGGCCCCACAATAGTGGAGGGCCCTAATGTTTTAACAGCAATGACCCCTACATAGTAGAATTTCAGGTGACAATTTTATTTTCAGATTAATTGATTAGTTAGCTTGCCTTTATTGGATCATTTTACTATTCTGGCCTTGTATTACCTATAAAATATTGGCAAATTCATTTTTAAAAAAGACATTAAGAGATGACTGGGATTCCATATGATATTTGGAGTAGCAGTAAATTCCCCAATTAAACAATGACTACAAACTATTGGAAGCAAATCTAATGAAGTTCACTGTATCTACCTGGAATATATGGATTTGGGAAGAAAAGCTTAATCAAGCCATATAGACCTAAAATAAACAAAAATAAAGGCATTTGCAACTTTTTCTTTCGATAAGTTTTTTTCTACTAATTTTTCATGTGTCCCCAGCTTCGGCTTATTACTTGCCACTCTAGTCTTCTCTTTTTTTCATTATTCAAACTTAGTCAATCACATGTTTTTGTCTAATCAACTTACTATTTATTGATCTCCTAAAGAAGACATTCTTCATACATTAGAACCATGTTCTACTGTTTTTATCCTAGATTCATAGTACCTCTCACTTATTTTCATGTTCTAGGCAATGGGTAGCTTTCTTCTGCAGCTAAAATATTCTATGACACTATGATCAAGAGTGCCATGAACAAAAGTGAATGGACTCTTAATGATGAGAATGTGGGGTTCACTAAGTGTGTTGCATTCTATATGTAAAAATGTAAGTTTTGGAGTCAAGATTGGAATACAGATTTTAACACATATTACAATCTACTATGACAAACTAAAAGTAATTTGCCATTGCTTTTAGTGGCAAAACCACAATTGCTTTTGCACCATCCTAATACTTTCCATATATGATCTTAAATAGAAAAATATAACTAGAGACTTACTCATATTTAAAATGAAGATAAATAATATTAATGATAGTCTTATTTTATCTAATGAGATAATATGTAAAAGTTTTTAGCACAGTGTTTGAAATATAGTAAATTTTCAATAAACATATTCTCATTACTAGTTAGTATTTTATACTGTAGGTGTATATTTTTGGAAAGAGTATGCAATAAATGTTTAGCAGTTCTTTTTGCCAATTTTCTTTGATGGAATAATGTTTTTAAGTTTGAATCAATGTGGTTTAGGTGAACCTGATAAATCTGCAAATTCTAGAAGTTGTCCATGACCCAGTTCTGACTAGTGTATTCTAACTGGATGGTTGTAATTAATTTGTCCAGATATGAACATGTGACCCAATCTAGATGTAAAATTAAATCCTAGCTATTCCCTAGATGAGAGAATTAAAATTCTGACCACTTCATTTTATTTCCTGACTCTAAAACTAGCTATAATTCTAGACTTTTTAGTTATACACAATTGTGTTTGAGAGCTATCTCATATCAACTCATGAGATCCAACTATTAAATTTTTAGAAATATTCTGAGGTCCTTTTTAGACACAGAAATTATTAAAAATAAACTTTTTAATTTATAATTAAATTATATTAAAAATAAGGAAAACAAATTACTTAAATTCATCATTTCCTAAGTATTTCGCTATATTTTGCTGTGATTTATGCTACCAAAAATATTTACATAGATGATGTTTGTATCGTGGCAACACTATATAATGGCAAGCTAATGTGCATCTCTCCAACTTCCTATTAATGGCCTCAGGTTGTAGCTTGTAATTCAGTCATGAAGAGAGTATTTACAGCATGAAAATTAACACCGCGTATCAGGGTTCGATTTAGTATTTTGTTAATTGTGTAGAATAAAAATAATTAATAAAAGTAAAAATAAAGAATGAATAAAAGTATGTTAATAATGCAAATTTTTTTTAAATTATGTCTGTAACCATTACATTATGAACTGCCCCAACATACACAGACATATTATCCTTGTATTAAAAAATTATGATTCTCAGAAGAGTGTATCATTGGTGAACAAGTAAAGGTTTTAATTTCACTTTAACCACTAACGTATATAAAAATAGTAACCAATATTCATATTGAAACTCTATTTATTTGCTAATTGCAGTCAGTTATCTATGGATTTAAGAGTTTGGCAAAAATTAACAAAAACTCCCCCTGAAAAGGGAACTAATATTTTATTACTTGTCCGTTATATGCTATGCATCTTCATATTAGTAAAACATAAAAAAAAGTTTCATATACAACTTTTTTGAGAGATAATTTTTTTTTTTTTTTCTGAGATGGAGTCTCGCTCTGTCGCCCAGGCTGGAGTGCAGTGGTGCAGTCTCAGCTCACTGCAAGCTCCGCCTCCCAGGTTCACGCCATTCTCCTGCCCCAGCCTCCTGAGTAGCTGGGACTGCAGGTGCCCGCCACCATGCCCGGCTAATTTTTTTGTGTGTTTTTAGTAGAGACAGGGTTTCACCGAGTTAGCCAGCATGGTCTCGATCTCCTGACCTCGTGATCCACCTGCCTCGCCCTCCCAAAATGCTGGGATTACAGGCATGAGTCATCACGCCCGGCCAGATTCTGAAATTTTAGAGAAGCTACAAGCCTAGTCAACAAAAAGCTATTATTGCTCAACCTCTAAGGCAAATTCTGTGATGTGAATCTCAAGTTGTTACTTACTAAAGTATGACATTTATCAGAAAGACAACTTTTCTCAATACCTTTCTAAAATATGATCAACATTAAAAAAATAAAAACCAAGACCCATCTATCTGATGTCTTCAAGAGACCCATCTCACATGTAATGGCATCCATAAGCTCTAAGTAAAGGGTTGGAGAAAAATCTACCACACACATGGAAAATATAAAAGTGCAGGAGTCACTAATCCTACATCAGAAAAAACAGACTTCAAACAATAACAGTAAAAAAGAGCAAAGAAAGGCATTACATAATGATAAAGGGTTCAATTCAACAAGAAGACTAAGCTGTCTTAATTATATTTGCACCCAATATTGGAGCACCCATATTCATAAAACACATACTTCTAGATCTACAAGGAGCCCTAGACAGCCCACACAGTAATTGTGGGGAACTTCAACAACTCACCAACAGTATTAGACAAATCATCAAGGCAGAAAATTAACAAAGAAATTCTGGACTTAAGCTTGACATTTGGTAGCTGGACCTAACAGACATCTAAAGAATTTTCCATTCATCAACGACAAAGTACACATTTTTCTCATCTGTATATAGAACATATTTCAAGATGGACCACATGCTCAGCCATAAAGCAAGTCTCAATAAACCAAAAAAAAAATAGAAATCATACCAACCACATTCTCAGAACACAGAGGAAAAAATATAAATCAATGCCAAGAAGATACCTTAAAATCACAAAGTTGCAAGGAAATTAAACAACTTGCCCCTGAATAACTTTCAGGCAAACAACAAAATATAGGCAGAAGTGAAAAACATTCTTTGAAATAAGTGAAGAGAGACAAAACATATTAAAATTTCTGGGATATGATGAAAGCAGTGTGAAGAGGAAAGTTTATAGCTAAACACCTACCTCAAAAATTTAGGAAGATTGCAAACTAATGATCTAACATCACATCTAGAGGAACTAGAAAAAGAATAACAAGCTAACTCCAAAGCTAGCAGAAGAGAAGTAGTAACTAAAATCATTGTGGAGTTGAATGAAATTGAGACCCCAAAACCCATACAAAAAATTAACAAAACCAAAAGTTTATTTTTTGAAAATATAAGCAGGATTGTTAGACCACTAGCTAGATGAACAGAACAGAGGGAAGGTCTAATTATGCACAAACAGAAATGAGAGGTGACATTACAACCAATCACACAGAAATACAAGATCCTCAGAAACTATTATAAGCACCTCTATGCACACAAACTAGAAAATCTAGAAGAAATAAATTCCTGAGAACATGCAATCTTCCAGGATTGAATGGGAAAGATATTGAAACACTGAACAGACCAATATTGAGTTCTGAAATTGAATCAGTGATTAAAAAAAAAAAAAACTACTAATCAAAACAACTCTGGACCAACTGGATTCACAGCCAAATTCTACCAGACGTATGTAGAAGAGTTGTTACAAATTCTACTGAAATTATTTCAAAAAATTAAGAAGAAAGGACTCCCCCACAAGTCATTTTACAAAGCCAGCATCACTCTAATACCAATGCCTGGCAAAGACACAACAATGAAGAAAACTACAGGCCAATATCTCTGATTAATAGAGATGCAAAAATCTTCAACAAATTACTAGGAAACCAAATTCAATAGCACATCAGTTAATTCACCAAGATCAAGTAGGCTTCATTCCTGGGATGCAAGGTTGGTTCAACATGTGGGATTTAATAAATGTGATTTACCACATAAACAGAATTTAAAACAAAAAAACATATGACCATCTCAAGAGATGCAGAAAATATTTCAACAAAATCCAACATCTGTTCATGATAAAAATTCTCAAGACACTAGATATTAAAGGAACATGCTCCCTAATAACAGCCATCTATGACAAACCCATGACTGACATCATACTGAACAGGCAAAAACTGGAAGCATTCCCTTAAGAGCTGGAACAAAATATGGATGGCCACTCTCACTGCTCCTATTCAACATAGATTGGAAAGTGCTAGCCAGAGGAATCAGCAAGAGAAAAAAAAAAAGGACATCCAAATAGAAAAAGAAGTCAAACTATCTCTCTTCACCTGATATTATCCCACACCTAAAGACTCCTACGAAAGGCTCCCGGAACTGATAAATTATTTCAGGAAAGCTTCAGGATACAAATCCAATGTACAAAAATCAGTCACATTTGTGTACCCCAATAACGTTCAAGCTAAGATTGAAAACAATAACATAATCTCATTTAAAATAGTTACAAAAATTAAAATACCTAGAAATACATCTAACCAAGGAGGCAAAAGATCTCTAAGAAGAAAACTATAAAACACTGGTAAAGGAACTCATAGATGACACAAATGCAAAATTATTCCATGCTCATGAATTGGAAGAATCAATATTGTTAAAATGACCATACTGTCCAAAGCAATCTACACATGCAATGCTATCCCTACGAAACTATGCATACCATTTTCCACAGAATTAGAAAAAAAAAAACTATTCTAAAATTCATTTGGAGCCCCTAAAAGCCTGAGCAGTCAAAGCAGTTCTATGAAGAAAGAACAAAAGATAAATATCTAATATCCAAATTGTAGTTGTAGGCAAGCCATGGCATTTTGCCTATGCCCTTTCCTTTTTACTCCGTAGTAGGTTTTACAATTGCAAATGTCTCACGTGTGTGCATACATATCTGTGTATGTGTGTGCATGAGTGTGTGTAAACTAAGAAAGCCCTTTTAGTCCACATTACCTGGGAGCAATTAATAGTCATATGATAAATAAAAATAAGTATAAAAATAAAAATTACCTTTACAGAAGCTAAAAATCAACATAGTAAAAATCAACACTCTTAATATTCATGTGGAGAAATGTGGAGACACACCCTCTATTTCCATAAGATGTTCAAACAATGTTTGAGTTAAGCTTCTCGAATTCTCAATAGTTTATACAGATGTCAGTTCATAAGCAGTGCACATAGAACACGGAGACTAGTATAATTCCTGAAGGGTTAATTTACAAGTGGATGGATTAGGGTTGGGGTAGAGATACCAGAAAGGATAGCGAAGTAATCTGTCACTTCCTAGCAGCCATTTCCTTACCACAAGGACATCTGAAGGAGAAGGTGCATTACTCAAAATCAGGAGTAAAACATCCTGTACAGTCTGTGCTTTGTTCGAATCAGTGGTTAAAGATGTAGCTACTTACAGGGAAGAAGCAAGATGAATTAGCATGCTGGTCTAACTCTTCATCCTTCGCAGCTCCTGTTAAGGGTTCACCATGAGCTGAGGCCATTTATAAGTCAAAGGACCCAGAAGACGTAATGTATGTTAAAAAAGGTAATGGGAAAAAGTGGCACATGAATTTAAAGGAGCAAATGAGGTATCTTTCACAGTTTAGAAACATTAGTTTCATAGGGATAATTTTTCAAACACATACATGAGATTGTGTCTCTAAAATGCTTAGGACAATGTCTGGCTTGCACAAAAGAGGTTCTAAAGAATTATTAGGTTTGGCCGGGCGCGGTGGCTCCCACCTGTAATCCCAGCATTTTGGGAGGCCGAGGCTGGCGGATCACCGGAGGTCCGGAGCTTGAGACTAGCCTGACCAACACGGAGAAACCCCGTCTCTACTAAAAATACAAAATTGGTCGGGAGTGGTGGCGCGTACCTATAATCCCAGCTACTCGGGAGGCTGAGGCAGGAGAATCGCTTGAATCCAGGAGGCAGAGGTTGCAGTGAGCCAATATCGTGCCATTGCACTCCAGGCTGGGCAAGAAGAGCAAAACTCCGCCAAAAAAAAAAAAAAAAAAATTACTAGATTCATTCTTCTTCCTATATTTGCAAAATTTTCCAGCAAGAATGAGTAAATAGAAGAATCGAGGCCCCTTTTCTCTCAGAAGAAAGCATTTACTATGTTAAAGGAACACAAACTGCATGCTAATGATACATCATTACATAAATATTTGACAATATTTGCTCCTTTATGAAGTAATTGGCATCAAGATTTAAGCTATCAAATACATTTACTATGTGCCATTTTGTATAAAACATATTTATATTGCTTTGAAATGAGCAGAAATTTGCAATGATACTGTCCTTGAGTGGAGATGTTGTGCTCATATTACTTTAATTTGGTCTGATAATTGTGGGTAGCAAAATCTAATGGTTGTGGGACACAAACCCTGTTAACATTGCTAACTGAGGTATGCATTCAACTATTTTTGTATATACTTAATAGTTTTTGATGCTTCCTGGTGTACCTCTTGCTGTGGATTTCAAGCCAGTGTCAAAGATCTTGTTTGTATATACATATATTGAGGAGATATAGCAAAGTAAATAGTTTCTACTGGAATCCATCTCATTGATTTCACACCCTGATAGGCAGCAGTTGTTCCAGGATCTCTGCTAAAACTCCTCATATCTAATAGCACTGCAAATAAGAGAATGGACTTTATTCACGCCAAAGTCAAACAGAATCCTCTAAAAATTTAAGGGAATAATGGTTTTAATGCAAATATTTCTTTTTTGATTTCTAAAATATAGCTTTATAAATTTATTGAAAAAATATATATGGTCTACTCTTGATACCTTGAAGAAAAATCTGTCCTGAATTTTGGTACCTTTTTTTCTCTAGACATAAATGAAAAAGGATTTTAGAAGACTACTTTACCAGAACTGTTAACTTCTAGCATCTTTCAGTTGCATGTGAGTTGGGGAAAGAGAAGAGGAAAGAGATAAGGTATTAGATGGACATAACATCGCTGGCCAAGGACAATTTCATTGAAAATATCTGTTCAGCTCAAAGCAATATAAATCTATTTTATACAAAATGCTATACAGCAAATATATTCAATAGCTTCGATCTTGATGACAATTATTTCATAAAGGAAAAATATTTCAAACATTTATGCAATGATATATTGTCAACGTGCAACAAGCCCATGCCAAATACGTATTTCATTGTTTTCATTATCAACAATAATTCTTTAAATCTCCTCTTGTTCTAAGCTGCCACTTAATTTGTCAGCAGAATTTTCTAGAAAGGTGTTAGAGATCAAGAATGTTTTTTAAAATGCTGACAATAGAGGAAAAAGACATTATTAGGAAAGAACAGAGAGACAGTGGTAATAACCAATTTTAACATTTTTTCAGAATACAAAAGTAAAACTAAAAAATGATAGTAGATTCACGTTATGACATGTGAAAAAAAGTATGCTTAGGAAGAAGTGTTTCTATTTTTTGTTTTGTCTACCTACTGGCAGCCTCCTCTGTCTGCTGTAAAATGCTGCTAGGAAAAGATGTTGTAGAGAACTTACAGATAATTGTATAATTTTATATCTCATTTTAAAAAGTATGGCAATGACCAATAGATGTATACTAATTAAGGTAATATGCATGGATCAAATTGAGCACCCCAGATTTCAAAAGATATTCAAAATAATTTACCTATGTGTATCTTGATTCTGGTAGAGGCTGGCTGTAGACTTGGTGGTCAGTGAGTAATTACATCATAGTAAAAATCATGTGGGTTCAATTAAATATTATTTCCTTAAGAATATAACAGTATGCCTCAAATATGTATGAAATATATTTCTACTCTGATACGTAAAAACCCAATTTTCTAATATATTGTGTACAAGAAACATGACGGTTTGATGTTGCAAACCATAGTTGGGTGGTCTGTTAGATTTTACAACAAACATACTGCTCTGTAGGATCATAGAGGAATGTGTGGGAATCAGATGAGAGTGATGAAGTGAATATATTGGCAACCTGGAGGTTTGAAAAAGACATCTGAGCATTTCTTGTAATTCTTTATATTTCCACACTATATAGCAAAGGCAGAACTAAGCGCAGAAAAAAAATGGTAATAAGGCAAAAAGGAGAAAACACGATATCCTTTCATTGTCTAGTATGATTTTTTGCATGATCCATGGAATAAAAATACAAAAAAACTTTCATAAGCAATATAATCTAACTTGCTTATAAACAAAAAAAGCTGTCTTGATCATTAATATCATGTTTAATCTAAAATAATTTTCATTTAGGGAATTTTATAGATTCTTTGAAGTATCAAAATATATCTGTACATAATTATAGCACCAATTATATGAGTTGCAGAGGTAAATTCTGCTTGAGCAAACATAAGAGCATATGTTTTCTCTTTTTTTTTTGCTTCAGAGACATTTTTTCTTTTTAGAATAAAACTCTCTTCAACCAGAAAAATACATTTCAATATGGTTTTTAATTTAAAAATAAGTCATGTGGTTTTTCATGATTAGTCCCTGATTTGAAAGCTTAGACATTTGGGAAAAAATAAATATTGTTCAGTCAACACAGTATTTTCTTCTTTAAATCTTTTATTCACATGTCTTTGAGGGTTTAAAATTTCGCATCTTTAATATTCTTTTTTAAATTAATACCCCTTTTAACACCTAGAACTCATTGCCTAGTGAATTCCTTAATGTAGTCTCCAATGCATAATACATAGCTAAGCTTCCTTTGGACAGGTAATATCTCCTTTTTGATTGATTAAAAGGAAGTAATAAGGTATTAGTAAAACACTAATTGAAATATAAATATTTTAGATTATTAGATAACCATCATAAAAATTATTCATACATGAAATTGAAACCATTTCATTGCACGTATTTTACTGATTACAGAATTTGTAATGCATATTCTACCCTGTGAAGAATAAAAATACTATCTTTCCAGAGTATCAACTGTCATTGAGAATTTTATAGAATATGCTGCCTGGGAAGAAGTAGAACCACCTGACATTGTTAAACATTAGCAAAGACAAATAACAGCTTGTGCCGATGCAAATTGCCTGGAAGTTTGTTGATATAGATGAACACGGACAGATGGTTTTCTGTAAGCAGTATCATCATTGGTTTTCTACTTAACAGAAATGAAGGACCTCATATTTATGATGACATATTAGAAATCATGAGAATGAAGTTGCTCATTTTTCTTCTAATACTTTTCTCTATCAAGTAGAGACACTACTAGGAGAGTGCCTAGTGAGTACTTACACACAGTGTAAAGTTATCCATTCTGTTTAGGTGATCTTGCCCATAATCATGGTCCAATATAGTATTCCACTCTTGCAGTAAAGAGTGGTTATCCATCGATTTTAAACGTTCTAAGTCTATATCCTTATTGAAAGATGCAGACAGAAGAGGGAATTGTTTGAAGTTTATGTGTGTAGAGTAGGAAAAAGTAGCACATGTTTGCATCTTACTTAGAGTTGTCTGAGTGGTCATAAAATCAAACCACCTGTTTAGAGATAAGACGTACTTAGTGGTAACAGAAACCAGTAAGACAGAACACATCTTCAATGACCCCAGAAGAAGATGCATAAAGAGCTATCACAAAAGGTTAAAACTAAAGGAGAGAAGAGGAATCAGTGAAACAGGAAGATGTGTACAGTGATAGTTCTGAGAAACGTTCTTTTATCCTAAAATGGCTTGTTTGTTTTTGTTTATTTTTTTGAGATGGAGTCTGGCTCTGTCGCCCTGCTGGACTGCAAGCTCTGCCTCCCGGTTTCACACCATTCTCCTGACTCAGCCTCCCGAGTAGCTGGGACAACAGGCTCCCGCCACTATGCCAGGCTAAATTTTTTATATTTTTAGTAGAGACGCAGTTTCACCGTGTTAGCCAGGATGGTCTTGATCTCCTGACCTCGTGATCCGCCCGCCTCGGCCTCCAAAGTGCTGGGATTACAGGCGTGAGCCACCGCGCCCGGCCCCTAAAATGGCTTTTAAGTGTTTTCTTGAATGAAAACACCAGATATATTCAACAGCAATATTAACACAAAAAGACTTGGCAGCTGGACGCAGTGGCACATGCCTGTAATCCCAGCACTTTGGGAGGCTGAGGCAGATGGATTCATTGAGGTCAGGAGTTCAAGACCAGCCTGACCAACATAGTGAAACACCATCTCTACTAAAAATACAAAATTAGCTGGGCATGATGGCGGTTGCCTGTAATCCCAGCTACTCAGGAAGCTGAGGTGGGATAATTGCTTGAACCTGGGAGGCGGAGGTTACGGTTAGCCGAGATCACACCACTGCACTCAAGTCTGGGTGACAGAGCAAGATTCCATCTCAAAAGAACAAAACAAAACAAAACAAAAAGACTTGGCAAACAAACCATTGTCATTCTTTGGATAACAATGTTTTAACCATTTCCAATTGAAGATCCAAGTGTCCAGACCCCCACGTCTGTAAGACATCATTGCTAGTCACAAAAGTTCAGGAAAACAATCCTAGCTTGTCCTTCCTAATAACTAATTAGAAGTGTCTCTTCTGCAATTTGATTGAACCATCTCCAAGGAAAAACACTGTTGTAAAAAATATATATATAAATATATATAATTATGTATATATGGGTACAATTTTAAATACATTTCATTACATTGATGTGCTCTCAAAAATAATAAACATGCAAACTAAACTCCTAACTGTTGCTTAGACAACACTATAGATACATGTAGTCAATAACCTTTCTCCTGAACTGTAATCTTAATGAAATAAACTGATCTCTAACCCAAAGAAATGTGAAGATCATCAGTATGGGATTATGTTTCCTTTATAATGGCTTTAATCAAGTGTCACTATACTGCTGAGTATAACTACAATTGCATTAAATTGCAATTTACTTAAGGATATTCAAGAGTCCTTAAATTTTCAAAATATAAATAAAACCTAACTCAATATTAAAACTGATTTTCAACAGAAAATGTTTTTACCTTGTATTAAAATTATTAGACACACTACAATTACCCAACTTAAACCTGGTTCCAGTTAGATATTTTTCTGAATCCAGATGCTAGTAACATATATATCTCTGTACATTACATCTTTACAAGATAGTTTAAAATATGACATGTTTACAATCACTTAAATTTTGTTTTTGCTACCAATTGACTAGTGAAAATTCATACAATAGCCTCATTTTTCAAGTAATAAGCTATTTTATAGTAGTTAGCATTGAGATTGCTCCACAATCCATTTTCCTCAAACTACATTTTCTTCCTCTGAAATCCAAATTAATCATAGATGGTAATATCTTTCGTGGAAGTAGAACTAAGAGATTTAATGGGAGATTAGTGGACAATTATCTTAGTTCTTTTTGAAAAATTCTGTATTTCTTTTTTGAAAAAGGTCTTTTTATAGGTGAAACATTATTGCCAGAGAAGAATTTCAAACTATATAAATGAGAAAAAAGTAATGTTTGGCTTTTTTGAAATTAAGGAAAATTTCATAGTGCAAGATGTATTGGTAATGCAGTATATAAACACAAAAATTTCATTCATTTTTATAAATACAAGACTGTCTCACAGGAAGAATACAAAGTTTGAGATACACAGGTAAATAAAAGGGTTGCATTTCCAGTCTTCATGGAATTTAGAATCTAGCAGGTAAATAAATGGGAATCACAAACAATTTTTAGCCCGATGAGTTTTTAATAAAGAGAAGACTACAATACTATGGGAATATAGAGCAGCAAAATTTGCCCTTGTCTCCTCAAAAATAAACCATTAAACTGATTCAAAATAATAGACAGTAGCTAGTAAATATTAGAGAAGTATGCCTTGAAGAAGCAGCAATAGACATAAAAGCTGTGAGAAGAAAGAATGCAGAACATCTTAGTGAAATCGAGAGACAACTAGTGTGTTTGGGTCATAGACACCAGTAAGGGCACGTGACTGGAGAGAGAAGTCAGGGCTATGTGAAAAGAACCTTTAGTAAATTACTGAATTTCTCTTAAGGACAATAGTATATTATTCAAAGGGGTTAAGCAAGTGATTTCAGATATTTGTTTTAAAATGTTAGCTAAAGAACGCACAATCTATATGACTCTCTGGAGTAAAACTCTTAGGGATTTTCATACTTTTTTTCCCTTTTGATGCTCATGACATACCCTCATTCAAAAAAGGTTTGGGCATTATTCTTCTATAATTATTCAACGGACATAAGAATACTTGATTTATGATTTGTACTGCCATGCCCTGATTTAGGAATCAGAAATATAAAGCCTTTTTATCACATACATGATTCAACTGGCAAAACTATTTAAATTTATCACTATGTTGTTTCATGATTTTTTAAAAAAAATCCTACAGAATGAGGTTACACTCAACTGTATCCCAAGTATAGCAGGAAATTTCATAGAAATATATTTAAAGAGGATTAGTTAAGTTTTGAAAAACTAGTGTGTAGCTATATATAATTACTAAACAAGAAAATATTAAATTATGATAAACCTCATATTATTTTTGTCATAGTATCAAATGTCTATATATTTGCTTCACATTTAACTATTAACACTTGTAGTTTGAAAGCCTCTTAGTCTTTCTTGCTGTCTAATGGATGTTTGCTTAATAGGCCTTGATACTATTGTAGGCTTGAATTTATATAAATCTTACCTCCAGAACACACAATATAATAACTACCTATCCTATACAGAGGGTCCAGATATTCTACCTATGTCTTTCTGATCTCATTCATAGAACTTACTTCTACTACTAGTACACTCTTCTCATGAGAAAACAAATAAAAAACAAAAACAAAAAGAAGTCTACTTCCTCTTCTCTCTCTTGCTTCTGCTCCCTGTCTCGTGAATTCAATTTGTTGGTTCTTTGCTCATGAAAACTTTGCTTGGATCCAGAATGTGACTTTGCTTTCTGTGGTGCCGGCTCTTCTGCTAGTTTCTTTCCTTTTATCCTTTTATTAAAAATTATTCTAACATATTTTATTTTCAGCATATTTTCTACCAACATTCATCAGAATTAGTAAGGAATCTCTGATTAAAGTTAAGCATTATGGCTATGTAAGTTAAATGAAAGTTAAGTATATTCAACATATATAAATATTGGCATATAGCATAGCATCCAAGGACATAGTCTTAAAAGATAATTAAAACACTTAACTTTGATATGTGAGCTTGGTATGAAAATTAAACTCTGCACCCACACACAAACGTAACATTTACCAGAAAATTTTTAAGTTATTTTTTTCAAAGGAATGTCACCTACTATGATCACAAAAGTTGGATGTCAGGAGTAATTAATTATCTCATACTTTTAGCCACAATGCTTAGACAGTAGGAATTAAAGTTTAAAATTGGGACATAAATCTGGAAAAAAGTTGGCTCTGTGGGATCTTATGTATAACTAAGAATGCTTATATTTTTCATCAAACTCTTCTCTTTTAAAGGTTTGCTTTATAGCCAATTAGTTTTGCTGTATTCCGAGTCATATATTTAATAATGAGAAAAAAACACGTTTTCTATATGTTGTTTTGGAAGAGATGGAAAAGCACTTCAGAATTTTGTCAGAAAAAAAGAAATACGTATCAAAGTAATTTTTCACTTTGTTACAAAATCGAGTGTGTCAACATCTACTCTATAAAGTCTATTCAACACATGCATAAATAATGGAATTAATAATGTAAAATATAAATGACTGCAAATACGTTGACAAATTGTTGAAAGTTATTTGCTAGAACATGAAAGTCAAATAATGAAAGTTGGGAAATACCAAAATATCATGTGCTTTTTTATCTGTCTAGGGAGATTGATTACTTAATCCACTTCTTTTTAAAGCTTTATGAGCACTCAAATATACTGTAACTCATTCTGAATGAAAAGATATTATACATACAATGAATGTGAGGGTTTCATGTTGATCTTCCTATTGTCTTTTGTTTAACAACAAAACAACCTTTCAAACATAACAATCTCAAACAAAAATTATTTGAGTATCTAGCAGACTTCTCTTGGAGAAAGAAATACACTGACACCCAATTTGCTGTAAGAGTGAGATTCCAAAGCATATTTTAGAAGAAAGAAGAGAAAGTAACTTAAAGAAAACCTTAATTTCCTTGCATAAGAAATAAATGCAGAAGTTCCACCTCTAGAATGGCAATGTGAAGAGCTCCATGGATCTTTTATAAAATTGTTGAAAATTATAAAACAACCATCACCTATGTCACTTGAAAAGTCATAATGGTACACAGAAAATGATGAAGTATTTATTCAAGAAAATCTACTGAAACTCACTAAGAACAGTGAGAGTTTTTTTGCATTTCATCCACAACCCATTCTTACCTCTCTTTCTCACAGCCTATCTTGATATAAACTCTACTCAAGGCAATGTAGCCAAGAACACAGGACTTTTACTAGACCCCATTGGGGGGCTATAGTATCTTTCTGGGAGTAACAGTACATCAGAATTTTCTGGGAGTAACAGTACATCAGAATTTTTCATTTGAACCCCCACCTGCTGCCACTACCTGTTCTTGAGGTTAAGCTTTTGTTGAATGTGGCCAAGAAGTAGAATGTCACTTCTTCCTACCAGCTCTAACTCATGGAATGAGGATTGTTTGGGTGCAACGCACTGAGAACACTGAGCCCTGATTGCCTTCTTTCTGGTTTGGCTGTAAGGCAAAGTTCTGATTCCAGGAGTGGCAAGCTGAGATTACCAACGGCTACTTCTCATCCCAGTGACCCTGTCTCAAAGTAGGGCCGTCACTCTGAGAGGAGAATGCTGCTCTCTTTGCTGCAATCACCAGAGCCAAAGCTCAGAAGTTTTGCCCAAAGGAAGGGGCACAACATACAGCAGAGAAACTAAAGCTTTTCCCAAAAGAAAAGTTTGGGGAAATTCAACCGTAAGGGTACTTCGAAAAACAATGAAGTGATGGTAAAAAGCAAATAAGAGAGACTGGCACTTTATTAGAGACATATGCTTTGAAACAAAAGTCAGCTAGTTTACCAGGAATAACCCAGGAAAAAGACAGCTAAGAAGAGCCCTTCTGCTGTCAGGAAGAAGTTTCAAATGCTGAACAAATGAAAAGACCTGAAATAATAAATAAGACTGTTAATATAACAAAAGCCGTAAATACATAGTACGTTTCTTTTTATCTTTTTAAGACATAAAATTATGTCAAGTGTGTTAGTCTGTTCATGCTCATACATATATATACCAGAGACTGAGAAATTTGTAAAGAAATTTATTTATCATAGTTCTGCAGGCTGGAATTTTAAGATCAATTTGCTGGCAGGTTTGGTGTCTGCTGAGGTGCCTTGAATACTGCATCCTCCAGAGGGGGTGAATGCTGTATTTTCATACAGTGAAAAGGATGCAAAGGCAAAGGGTCCTAATTCCCTCCAGCCCTTCTATAACACACTCATACCATCCATGAGGACAGAGCCCTAATAGCCTAATCATATCCTCAAGGTTCCAGCTCTTAATGCTGTCACATTGAAATTAAGTTTCAACATGAACTTTGGAGAGGACAAAGCAACAAACCATATCATCAAGTAACAGTTATAACACTAAATTATTGGGTATATATCATATACAGGTGTAATGTGTACAGCCATAATAGCACAAAAAGGACAGCCAAAGTATACAAAAGTGAACAAAAGTAACATTTATATATACTTATGTCACTAGAATTGTTGTGTATCTAAAATTGATTGTGATAAGATGTCTACAGTAAACCCTAAAGTAGCAATTCAGGGAAACATTGAAAATATATAGATAAAATATTATTAAATTTAAATTAAATGTTTTATAAAAAATATCTAATTCAAAAGAAAGCAGTAAAGGAGGAATAGAGGAATGAAAAGACATAAGGTATACAGAAAACTGAAGTAAAATGATGGATGTAAATCTAACTATACTAGTAACCTCAAGTAAAAATGAATTTAAATATTCAAATAAAAGACAGATTGTCAGACTGGAGGAAAAACAAATTAAATAAACAAGATCCATCTACATATTGTCTGCAGAAGACACACTTCAGATCCAAAAATGAAAATTCATAGAAAAAAAAGGATGGAAAAGTTATATGATGCAGGCAGTAACCACAAGAAAGCTGGAATTGTTACATTAATATCAGAAAAAAGTAGACTTTAAAACAAAAGGGTAACTACAGAGGTAAAGAGAGATATTTCATAGAAATAAAGATCCAATATCTCAAAAATAAATAGCAATTATAAGCATATATATGTGTAATGAAAAGACTTCAAAATCCATTGACGTAGAAACCTCCAAAAATGAAGATTAATTAGACAATTTAACATACTTCTTGCAGCCTTTAATACTCACTTTCACAAGTGGATCAAATGACTAGGCAGAAGATCAACAAAGAAATAGAACACTTGAACAATACTATAAAATAACTAGACTGATTAAATATTTAAGGAACACCGTAACAACAGTAGATTCTCAAGTGCACATGCAACATTACCCAGGAATACCATACCCCAGGCCATAAAATAGACCTCAATGAATTTAAACATTGGAATAATACGAAGTATATTTTCAGACAATAATTGAGTAAAATAATAAATCAGCAATAGGAAAATTTGGGAAACTCAGAATTATGTGGAAATTAAACAACATGCTATTAAATAACCAATGGGTTCAAGAAGAAATAATAAGATAAATTAGAAAATACTTTAAAAAAGTTAAAATACTTTAAGAATGCATAGTATCTCTGTGATGCAATAAAAGTAGTTCTCATACTCAAAAATAACATTCTCTAACCTGCCACCATAAGGCACTGAAAAAAGAAGAGCAAATTAAAACTACAGCAACCACAAGAAAGTATTAGAGATATACAAATTAGTGAAATACAAAATAGAAAAACAATTGAGAACCTCAACAAAGCCAAAAATTGTTTCTTTGAACACATCAACAGTGGCCACAATTTAGATAGACCGACCAACAAGAAAGAGAAGCTATTCAAGTATTAATGAAATTTTTAAAAGGACACTAAACTTAAAGAAATAAAAAATTATTATAAAAGTACCTATGAAAAATTACATCTAAAATTTAGATACTTTTTAAGAACTGGACAAATTCTAAGAAAGGTTCAAATTAGCAAAAATGAGTCAAGGAGATATATAAAATCTTATCAAGTAAAGAGATTAAGTTAGTAATCAAAACTACCACCTCAGGAAACAATGACAACAGCAACAAAATCTTCTAGCCAAGAATGCCTCTACCAAACATTCAAAGTTGAATTAATACAATTATTTACAAACTCTTGCAAAAGAAAAAAAAGAGAATACACTTCCCAGTTTATTCTATGAAGCTAGTATTACCCTAATAACAAAACCAGACAATAGCATCAAAACAAAAACAAAAACAAAAACAAAAACACAGAACAATATCTTTAACAAAAGTAGATGGAAAAAATCTTCAGCAAAATGCTAATGATCAAAATCCAGCAATACATAAAATACATAATATACTATAACCAGGCAGGACTTATCTCAGGAATGCAAGAAAAATGTAAAATAAATGCATCATTACATTAACTAGAGTCAATTATATTGAGTTTCATTTTTCCCTATTGATTACCTACTAAGTTGCTTCCAGTTTTACAGTATTTCATACTGCCATTCCTAGACTCATATCTGGACTGTTTCACAGTATCGACTTTAGAGAATATAGAGGGATAATCTTGGAAATAGAGAAACAATATTGTTCATTGATTTTAAAATCATATATGTATATACAAATAGTCAAAAAGTCATTTTAGCCAAAATGAATTCCATGTCAATGAAAATGAAATAATGAAATGATACCATCAATCAAAAAGAGATGAAAAAATGGAGGAAATGAATATTGGAAAATAGAGTCACTGACTTAATTGTTGGATTTCTAGTGAAGCAGGTAAACAAATTAAATTCTCTTCTGTAGAGTTACCCTATCTAGGGCCACATGTCTGTAACCTGGCACCAACGAAGTACTAAAACCATATAACAAAACATTCTTTTATTAATTCCATGTTCATCAAATGATTTTCTGGTATACATTTGGGTCCTCATGTAACTTTGTCTGTCTAGAAGAACACTTTTGTTAATTTAAAAGGAATATTTCAGTTCCTACAGCATTTCTTTACGTTAACTGGTTTAAGCACCGATCTCCGTTAGTTAATGTTAGTATACCCCTAACAAAAACGGGATTAATAATCAGGTATCTGGGCAGGAAATGCTGTGCCTCAGGGTCTACTAGCAGTGAGTGAGTAAGGAAATGATTCTTTGTGTCTTTCTGTAGTAAGGCATTCATAGCTTCTGTTTTACAAAGCATAATTATAGCTACCAATATTTTGGAGCCATAGATCATCAGTAAAAGGCTATAATTGTGTGCAGAACATTTGATATAAAAAGTTAAGACTTCCAGTCTTATTTTATTATAACTTTTCTAATTACATGGTATTATATTTTCAGATATGAATACACACAATGAAAACAATTAAAAAAACAAAGTTACTATTCATAGTTTGCCTTCTTTTCATCAAATTGTTCTCATGTCATATAAACGTAGTTTATTTTAGAGATGCAGTATTCCTTTGTATTTGTAGCATCATCACTCAAGATGGAAATTATTATGGTGCACATTTGGGTCATAAGACTGGCTTATACTTTAACAGATTGCTATGAAATTGGATATTATCCTTAAGCTCCAATATCTGTATGGCCCTGATAATGTTGAAGATGCAGTCCTCATTGTATCTAACCTTAGGAAATGAATAAATGGCTATATGGAGTCCTGCCTCCCTTTGTGCTTTTATATTCCTGAGGGCATGGTTTTACAATACTTCACAGAATATGTCAAAGATTAATTGTGAAATATTTGGATGTAAGTTGATTTGGATGTCCCTGATTACACAACATCTGCATGTAAGATAATACACTATTTTCAATTATGATTTTGTCAGGTTCTCAAAATACAGGATTGACTTTTAACTGAAATTGTTTCTGTGTGCTGGCATAATACCATTTGTGCTCTTTTCTTATATTTATTCTGTATATTAAAAAGGGATATTAATTAACTAAAAGGGCTTTTGTGCTTATTTTAGACAATAAAGAAATTTATTATGAAAGTTTATTCATAAATATGCTGCATAGTCATTTCATAATAAAGTATGACATTATTTTATTTATGTCTCCCCAAGGGTAAAGATCATTCAAGCAGAATTATCTCCTGTATCGGTATTTATTCTCCTAAATAGACTGTTTGGGTTAAAATTTTAATGAAAAGCATGCTTATATTACTGTATAATTTTGTATATGCATGGATATTTATCTGTTCAAAGTAGAGATGTAGTTGACATGAAGGGATGTCTGCCTAGTTCACAAAAGTATGACCATGAAAATATCATTTCTATGATACTCCCTCGTTATGGGAGCTATCCCTTTGTCACTCCAACCTTGAAACTGTAATGTCAGAGATTATAGTATCTACTTCCCTGTGCAGTACTTTTTGATCCAAGTAATAGATCCATGATCTGAGAATAGTCAAAATGCATCTCAGATTTTTCAAGAGTTGGAGCAAAGGTTTCACTTCTGATGGTGTCTGTTGTAAGAATGAGTCTGTATCTGTCATGCCAAATTAAGTAAGATGGAATAAGAATAAAGCTGATGCTCAGAGAAGAGGGAATGAGAGAGGTAGCATTGACTATTTAAAATCCGTCCTGAGGTCAGACCCACAAATGCATTTTCTGTTATTTTATTTCAATACTGATAAAACCTTCTTTTTATGGTTATAGTTAGTTCAACTTAGTTCTTTT
The DNA here is from genome assembly GCF_000001405.40 of Homo sapiens. NCBI lineage: Eukaryota > Metazoa > Chordata > Mammalia > Primates > Hominidae > Homo > Homo sapiens. Next base: position 26,139,749 of record NC_000020.11, on the reverse strand, counting down.
TTTCTATTTCAATTGAAATAACACGTGTAAAGAACCACAAAAGTACCCCATTTCCCCTTGCAAATGTATTGTTCTGAAGCTAGACTGATGTTGAAATACTCGAGGTCAACCTAAAGTGATACTATTTTACTGATGCCTTCATTTTTAGTATATTTTCCTTAGATTTTACAAGAGGTAAAAACATCTACTATAGGTGTGTTACCTTTTGAGGTTGCTTTTCGTTTTGTTATCTGGTGTGTGTGTGGCTGGGACAATGGAACACATGGAAAGACTGAAAATGATACAATTCCAGAAAGCTGTTCTTACAGTTTTGAAACCTAGCCTCAGAGTAAAATCCCAATACTATCATGCAAAAAATTACTAGGTTTGCACCAAGTATGAATAGGTTGGAAAACTAAAAAGGCCTGTGAGGCCCTATAAGAAGAACCTTATTAGTGTTTAATAAAGGTAAAGATAAAGTACAACAGAAATAAAATGCAGGAAATCATTGAAAGTCTGTCTTTCAGGATCCTTTCTCAGTCTCACGGACACATTTTATCTGTATATTATGAACCTTCAAGATTTGAGCTTACTATAATAATTTAAGGGAAGTGTAGAAAAGTCTTTATAGCAGGCTCCCTCATACATTGTTGGTCATATACTTCTTAAGCCACGTTGTGTAAACCATCAAACTAAACATTCTCAACGACGTAGACCAGTTGGCACGAAACTTAAAGCAACAGATTATGAATCACTAACTAGCATATGCCATTTACATCTTGCTCATGGTCAGTGTTATGCTTCCAATGCATCTCTAGATATAAATATCAAGCTGTTCCAGTCCAACTGTAAAAGAGTCCTCTCTTATGTAACCATACATCAACATATACGAGAATATAAGGTGTGTTGAGAAAAAAGTATCAAAGGATTGAGAAATCTACATAAATTTTAAAAAGAATTAAGAGAAGGCCAGGCTATATTTCATGTCATCAAAGACAATTCTAGTGCATTGGCATTATTTTTTCACGTGTTTTTTCTTTCTTTTCCCCTTGACTGATTCTCTCCTAACTAGTTTTAATCAATTTTATAGAATAATTTGCGTATAAGGCACACATTTTAGTCCAGTTCAGTTTTACAAATTTATAAAGCTAGATAATCACCTACACAATCGAATATAGAATATTCCCTTCACCTACACATTTATTGCATGACCTTTGCCAATGAAATTCCCAACTTCAACCACAGAAGGGTTTAATGCATTGTCTTGGGAATTTCAAATTTTATTTACATGGAAGCATACAGTATTTATTATTTAGTATCTGCCTTCTTTCCTCTAGTATATAATAAAAATTCACCTTTAATTTTTTTTTTTTTTTTGTATAAAGGAATGACAATCCTTCAATTGTAAAAACTAAAGAACATGCCACCCAACTAATCACATGCCTTAGGGTATATTTCTGAAAAATAAGATACATATTTTAAAAGCAACTTTATTAAAACTAAAGGCTATTTAAGTATATATACAAATACAACACTAGAAAATAAAGTTGTTTCCAGGCCGGGAGCAGTGGCCACACCTGTAATCCCAGCACTTTGGGAGGCCGAGGCGGGCGGATCACGAGATCAGGAGATTGAGACCATCCTGGCTAACACGGTGAAACCCTGACTCTATTAAAATTACAAAAAATTTGCTGGGCTTGGTAACCTGTGCCTGCAGTCCCAGCTACTCGGGAGGCTGAGGCTGGAGAATGGCGTGAACCCGGGAGTCGGAGCTTGCAGTAAGCTGAGACCATGCCACTGCATTCCAGCCTGGGCAACAGAGCGAGACTCCATCTCAAAAAAAAAAAAAAAAAAAAAAAAAAAAAAAAAAAGCTTCTGCAAAACAGAGGAAGCAGTCAGTAGAATGAAGAAACAGGCCAGGAGTGGTGGCTCACGCCTGTACACCCAGCACTTTGGGAAGCTGAGGCGCGCCAATCACGAGGCCAGGAGTTCGAGAGCATCCTGGCTAACACAGTGAAACCCCATCTCTATTAAAAAGACAAATGTCCAGGCGTGGTGGCAGGCGCCTGTAGTCTCAGCTACTCAGGAGGCCAAGGCAGGAAAATGGCGTGAACCCAGGAGGCAGAGCTTGCAGTGAGCAGAGATCGTGCCACTGTACTCCAACCTGGGTGACAGAGAGAGACTCCGTCTAAAAAAAATTAAATTAAATTAAAATTTTTAAAAAATGAAGAAACAACCCAGAGAATGGAAACAAGTATTTGCAAACTATGCATCAGGCAAGGGGTTCATACACAAAATATATAAAGAACTCAAACTGCTCAAAAGCAAAAATACAAATGATCTTATTTAAAAAAATCTACCCGAAACCTTTGTCCCCCACCATTATTTCCCTACCTTCTTTTCCCGACCGCCTTTGGCCCCCTCCCTCTCACCACCCTTTTTCTTCCACCATCTGCCCCCCAAACTTCATCATTTTTTGCCCACCCTGATTTCTCAAAGCCTTCTCTACTCTCCTGCTCAACACCCTTTTCCCCATCCATCTACCCAAACCCTTTCCCCAGTTTCTTCCCACCGTCTTTTCCCCTTATCCCTGGCCTCCCTCTTTTCCCCCTCCCGCTCTCATCACCTTCTTTTGCTCCTTTATCTAAGCAAAAACATTTTCCCCCATCTTTTCCCAAAACCTTCTCTCCACTCCTGCTGCTCACTACACTCTTTTCCCCCTTCATCCACCCAAAAACTGTTTTCTTCATAGTCTTTCCCCCGTTCCTCCTTGCCATTCTCTTTCCCTTCTCCATCTACCCAAAAACATTTCCCCCGTCTTTTCACAAAGCCTTCTCCCCACTCCTATTCACCTCCCTCTTTCCCCCTCCATCTACACCCCAAAACTTCCCCCTTTTCAAAGTCTCCCCCCTTTACCGCTCGTGCTCTTCTTTCCCCTATCCTGCTTGCCACCCTCTTTTTTTGCACTCCACCTACCCCAAACTGTTTTTCCGTCGTTTTCCCAACCCCCATCCCTGCTCCCTCTTGCCACCCTCTTTCTTCCTCCTCTCACCCTATTTCCCCCCTCCATCTATCCAAACACTTTTTACCCATCGTCTTTTCTTTCTCTACCGTCTTTCTTTTCTGCCACTGTCTTTTCACAAAACCTTGTCTTCCTCCTGCTGGCTACCCTCTTTTCCCTTCTCCCACTTGCTACCCTCTTTTGCTCCTCAACCCGAAAACTTCCCCCACCCACTGTATTTTCGCCCCACTGTCTTTTCACAAAACCTTCTCTCCCTACTGCTTGCCCTGTTTTCCCCCATCACCTCCCTCATTTTCCTCCTCCCACTTGACACCCTCTTTACCCCCTCCATCTACCCTTAAACTTTTTACCCACTGTCTTTCTGCAAAATATTCCTTCCCTCCCGCTTCCCACCCTGTTTTTACACCTCTATCTAGCCAAAAACTTTTTTCCCCACCATCTTTTTGCCGCCATCTTTTTGCATTGCCTTCTCTGGCTAAGCTATCCTTTTTTTGCTTTGGCACTAATTACCGTCTTTAATCCCCTCCATCTATCCCAAAACTGTTTTCCTTCTCCTACCGTTCCAGCCGCGCTGCTATCTCTCCGTTGCTGCCAACAACCACAGCGAGGGGAGCCACGCTCCCTCGGCTCCAGCCTCCAGCATACGGCCACTGACTCCTGATTCCTAGTCCTCTACATCGGGCAGCCAGCAACTCGACAGGAAGATACAGGAACCTGAAAAAACGTGATCACGCTTCAGCATCATTTATATACTGCGGTTATGCCTATGGAGGTTCCTGCACTGCATGTTTTGATTGGATGAGAAAAAAACCTCCAGGCTTACTCTGATTGGGCTTTATGATCATGTTCTGATTGGATAAGAGCAAGTCTTAACACAACCAATCACAGCATGAAAATAAAGTCCAATCAGAGTAGGCCTAGAGGTTTTTTTTTCTTGTCCAATCAGAACATGTAATCCAGGAACTGCATTTGCATAACCTCTTATGCTGAGGTCATGTCAGGTCATTTCAGGCTCTTCTGTGTCGAGCGGAGGAGCTACTCTGTGCCCAGCTTAGAGGACTGGAAGAGGCCGCAACCTTCCACCTGCTGGAGGTTGGAAGATGGATGGAGGCTGGAGGATGGATGGAGCCTGGAGCCTGGAGCCTGGGTCACTACCTCGCTACGGTTGGTGGTGGCGATAGAGCAGTAGGAGGGCGGCGGGCAGCAGGAGCTTCTGCTGGGCTGGAGAACTAGAAGGAAGAGGCACTGCCACATGCTGGAGGCTGGAACCTGTGCCATCATGGCTCGCCTCGCTGTGATTGTCAGTGATGTCGGAGACTGCAGCTCAGCCACAGTGGTAGAAATGTGATGGGGTAGGTGAGTTTCCGTGCCTGCCCTGTACGCCTCTGGGGGCAAGGGTTGGGTGTCCTATTGGGGCTCACTGCTAGAGGCTACCCTGCCTGTGGCAGTGGTCTGGTTGGGGGCACTCTCTGGTGTTGCATTGCTGGCTGTGGGGCAGGTTGGCTGGCTATCTGGGGCTATACTGCCCGTGGTGGCAGGGGTGGTGGGGGGAGGCAGATTGTGTACACTAGCGTGTATTGCCGGCGGCTGGTGAAGGATTAGGGGTGCTATCTTCTGCTGCACTGCCTGCGGCAGGGGGTGGGTTGGGTGGAGTTATCTGGGGCTACAATGCTGGCAGTTGGGGGTGGTTTAGGGGCGTTGTTGGGTGCTGCACTGCCTGTGACTGGGGGGTGCACCATCAGGAGATGAACTGCCCGTGGCTGGGTCAGATTGTGGGCACTATTGGGTGGTATGCTCCCTGAGGTGTGGGGGGAGTGCTTTGGGGGGGTATTGGGGTTACATTGTCTGAAACTGTAGGGTGTGTTGGATGTGCTATCCATGGGCTACACTGCTAGTGGCAGGGAGCAGATTAGGGGTGCCATGGGGGCTACACTGCCAGCGGCGTTGGCGAGCTGAGGAGGTGGCAGCGGCAGTGACAGCAGTGACCTCCTTCTTCTGGTAGCCTCCAAGTAAGGGATGGTTCTCCTCTTCTTGGACTCCAGACTCTAGAAGGCGATTTTCTCCCATGCGAGCTAGATTGCACGGCAGGGCCTCCACACCCACTGTGGTTTCCTGCCCCGTGCTCATGCTCTGTGTTGCGAAGACCACCTGGGACTACCAGGCAGGGAGTAGTGGGCATGATGGGGGAAGTGGGGTACAGGGCACTGTGGGTGGAGGTGTCAGGTATGGGAACCAGCCCTTGGGTGGGGAGGGCTGGCTGGGTCTGAGTTTCTCCTACTCAGGCTCTGCGAGGAGGGCAGCCTTGGTGGGCCCAGCAATTGTTGGCCAGCTGGACTTGGCCAGGGGCCGGTTTCAGTGAAGGCACTCACTCCCACCCCAGGCCCCAGTTCCTGGCCAGCTTTTGCCAGAAGAAGAGGTTGGACTTTGGAAGGTGGGTGTGAGTGCCTTCAATGAAACTGATCCCTGACACCCAGTCATCAGCATGAGAAGGTGAGGCTCTAACGGTTCCACTCCCTGAGTCCTGTTTTGGGATCTTCTGGCTTTGCCTGCCCAGCTGCTCCAAGCCAGGCTGAAGGAGGAGAAGGAGGAGTCGCCTGTGGTAGGGTCGAGCAGATGACGTGGCTCTGCAGCTTGCCTCATGCAGTTGGTGGTGGAGATGGAGACCGCAGCTCGACTGGAGTGGTATGAGGGCACCCACGGGGGCCAGGTGGTAGGAGCCTGGTAGGGTGGGCTGGTACGTTGAGGGTGACTGGTTGTATTGGCATTGGCGCTAGTGGTGGTAGCAGTAGGAAGTCTGGGGGCCGGGACGGGGGAGTAGGAACACTGCAGGGCCCATCCCGTTCTGGGGTGGGGAGGAACCTGTGGATGCTGTAACAAAGGTCTCGGTGGCAGTGGTGGTGGTACACCTAGGGCAAAGAGGAGTCCTCCCTCTTCTCCTGAAATCTCTAGAGTGTGCCCTCCTGCTGGTGCCTGAGCTAGGCGTGAGTGGCAGCATTCTCTCATTCTTAACAAAATATAGGGGGTGACTATTTGTGTATACTTTTGCTTGTTTTCTCTTGTAATACTCTTGCAGTTACTCAAATTTTATGAATCGAGGAGGGGATAAAAAGTATCATACTGAGCCTTCTAATTCCCACGCCTGTTCCTTTTCCTTTCTTCCATTGTGTATTTTCTTCTCATTTTCTTGTTCCTCTTCATTTTCTTTTGCTATTGCTTCTATTTCATGTTTGTATTATTGTTTCTCCTCCTGTTTTTTTTTTATGCCAAGCAAGGGCCTTAACAAACCAAAACTGAGTTAAAAATAAAATAGTTGTCACTGTTGTATTTTTTAAATAACTGATCCCTTACTATGTTTTAGAGATGAGGAAAAAAGTCAGTTGTATAATTAGTTACTTGAAAGCTATGCTTTCATAATTGTGTTAACACACTTATGCCTAGTGTTCCACGCTAAGCATGTGGGAATTACTTATATCCTACTGCTAAATGTCATCGACAAGGTCTGATTTTTCACTTATGCAAAAATTCAAAAAATTGCAACCTCTGGCATAAATAGGCTAATGCGTTGTAAGTGTTATTCAAGGAATCAAAAAATGAAGCATCACATAAAATATTGGTAGCAAACAGCCATTTCATCTCTCTCACATATTTTTTCTGGAGCTATGCAAGAGTCACAGGGGTAATAAGTTGTAATTTATGAGATGATTAAGTGACCCATATTCCCTTCATATTTTTCTCTGCCCCTATTTTCAAGAGTATTGTCATGTGCATGAGCAAACCTGGATCATCACCACATCTTTGCAAGAGGAAAAAGAATGGGAGGGAATCATGTGTATAATGTTGTTAAGGCAAAGATTCACAACCAAAAACAAGGTTTTATTAACTTTCTCCTTTAAGAACCTGCAGTGTTTAGCCCTCTTTGATTCTTAGTATTACTACCTTTGGTATGAACTCTTTTTTTAAACTGGTCACTCCAGAAGTTTATGCATTTCGTATCATTTTTCAAGCCAACAGAAACGTGTAAGGCCTATAATTCTGACACTTTTTAGTTATTTTTAAGACTATGAGCATGTAAGATACTGTTGATATATGGAAGAATATGTATAAATACCACTAGGTAGCTTATTTTGAAGAGATAGTATCTAAATTTTTGTCCAGAGTAGATTGGTTGCAGTTTCTTAGGTGTGTTTCTTAATACTTTGCCTCAATGTTTTTTTTCGTTTTTTTTTTTTTTTTTTTTTTTTGAGACGGAGTCTCGCTCTGTCGCCCAGGCTGGAGTGCAGTGGCGCGATCTCGGCTCACTGCAAGCTCCGCCTCCCGGGTTCACGCCATTCTCCTGCCTCAGCCTCCCGAGTAGCTGGGACTACAGGCGCCCGCTACCACGCCCGGCTAATTTTTTGTATTTTTAGTAGAGACGGGGTTTCACCTTGTTAGCCAGGATGGTCTCGATCTCCTGACCTCGTGATCCGCCCGCCTCGGCCTCCCAAAGTGCTGGGATTACAGGCGTGAGCCACCGCGCCCGGCCGCCTCAATGTTTTAAATCATGTAGAAATTTGAATACAGTTTAACTTCATATAGTCCTTTGTTTATAGGCTTAATATTTCTAAAGACTAAAGACATCACAGCTCCCTTTAAGATTCAGTAATATTAATAAAATTTTAGAAATATAGGGTTAGAATCCAACAAATTCAGAGGAAAATTGTTAAATTATATAGCTGTAGAGCAGGAATGAAACCCAGGTTCTAAGCACTAAGGGGGCCATAAGGTACCATACAGGTGCATCAGTCACTGGGCATAGATTCAGCAAAATTACAGTATGGTTAAGAGAGTGAGCTGTGGAGCCCAACTCTATGTAACATGAATTTTTAAACTGCATGGTGCCTCACTTTATCCATCTTTACAGTGGGGACTGTAGTAAGTTTTTCTTTTTCTGCTCAGTTGTCTGTCTTGTTGCCAGCTGTTCCCTAGTCTGTCTTGTTGCCAATCAGTGCCCACATGACAGGACGTAAGGTAATTTCTGACAGGCTGGGACTCCTTAAAGAAAAACAGAAGGTGCTACTAACCCCATTTTAGGAGAAACCTCTGTTGTCCTCATGGAACCCCAAGAACATCAGGCAGACAGGTCTCTCTCAAAATCTAAGGCTCTCCTCTGTTTTGCTTTGCGTTATCTGACCTTTTAGGTTTTGGTGGGCATCAGAAATCAGTCAGGGAGAGAGATCTAAAGAAAGTTGTGGATATGAAGATGCATTTATGGTAAGAAAAGTTATGAAGGAAAGAAATGTTATATGAGAGGATCTTGTATGGCAAATTTTTGTTCTAAAGTAGAATGACTGATTATGAAAGAGGGAAATACAGGAAAAGTCAGAAAGTTCATGTCATAGATGGTCTGTGGAAGTTGTGTTAGGATTCATAAAATGAGAAAGAAAAACTTACAACTGCTAGATCTTTTCCTGTCTAGAAGTGTTCTGTATGTGATGGATATATAAAGGAGCCCTAATTACTTGGCTTAGAAGAAAAGGAAGGCTCTTAAATATTTTGTCAGAAAAATAGAATCTCTAATGCCTTTTATTTCACATGACTTCAGTAATCTTTGGGAAATAAAGACAGTGTTAAAATCATTTTTTAGTAGAGACAGGGTTTCTCTGTATTGGTCAGGCTGGTCTCGAACTCCCGACCTCAGGTGATCCGCCCACCTCGGCCTCCCAAAGTGCTGGGATTACAGGCGTGAGCCACCGCACCCAGCCTACAAATAGGTTAAATTATTTTGTAAATTATCTATTGTTTGTTTTGCCTACTCTCAGGCTTCTGGATTTTTTTTTAAGTATGAAGGATTTCAATTGTTTTATTAATATAAAAGCTTAGATAAATAGCACAATCATGAATTTTTTTTTTTGACAGAGTCTTGCTCTGTTGCCCAGGCTGGAGTGCAGTGGCACAATCTCAGCTCACTGCAACCTCCACTTGTCAGGTTCAAGCGATTCTCGTGCTTAGCCTCCCAAGTAGCTGGGATTACAGGCATATGCCACCATGCCTGGATAATTTTTTGTATTTTTAGTAGAGACGGAATTTCGTCATGTTGGCCAGGCTGATCTCGAACTCCTGGCCTCAAGTTATCTGCACCTTGGCTTCCCATAGTGTTGGGATTACGGCATGAGCCACTGCACTTGGCCGACTGTATTCTTTATGAATTTTTTTTACATTAAAAAGCTCATTTGTAGTATTCATTTTCTGTAAGTATTCATGCTATAACATTTATTTTATTTTATTTTAATTTTTTAAAAATACAGATGGGATCTGATTGTTTTGCCCAGCCTGGTCTTGAATTCTGGGCTGAAGTAATCCTCCTACCATGGCCTCCCAAAGTGCTGGGATTACAGGCATGAGCCACCATGCCCAGCCTATAAAATTTATTGTAAAGGAAAAGGCATATTTTTATTAAGCTGATAAGCTTTACATAAATATTGAAGCATGGCATATTTCTTTATTCTACTTGGGCTATTTTGTGTTGCATTAAGAAGAATTTTTTGTTTGTTTTTTCTTGTTACGATGCTTGCTTCTGGAATACTCCTTTCCTCCCTTACTCTTCCAAACTCTACTACATCTAAATTTATCCTATTTTTCAAGGGTTTGATCACATATTACATCATCCAGGAAGTGTCTCTCCTATTCCCTCTTCTCCAAAATGTTTTTTTTTTTTCTGGAAACTCTTGATCCTTTGCCTCTAGACCATAAGCCCTTTGTAGGCATGTCTGTATCTGAGTTTTTAATTTTTTTTCCTCTTTTCCCACTCCCAGAATAACACCCTGTGCCCAGGAGTAGTAGATACTTGTTGAATGCATAAAAGAGCTTAGCAGCTAGAGTTAGTGTGGATGCTGTAGAAGATGTCTGATACACATATGGTAGTTTGATGCTGAATAGTTTTTGGAAATTAAAAAACAGGTAGAAATTTCACCAATGTCAGTGACTAACATAGCTGTATTTAGTAAATTATCAAAATATTTCTTTTTTTTTCTTTTTTACAGAGAGGGTCTCTCTCTGTTGCCCAGGCTGGAGTGTAGTGGTGTGATCATTGTTCAATACAGCCTCCAAGTCCTGGGCTCACGTGGTCCTCCCGAGTAGCTGGGACTACAGGTGTGTGCCACCACACCTGGTCAATTTCTTTTATTTTGTAGAAACAGGGTCTCATTATGTTGCCCAGGCTGACCTCAAATTGCTGGGCTCAAGTGATCCTCCCACCTTGGCCTCCTGAAGTGCTGGGATTATAGGTGCAGGCCACTGAGCCCAGTTAAAAGCATTTCTTTAAAAAAGAAAAAAAAAGTTCTGTTTATTGGGATTTGGGGGAGGAAGAGAAAGTAAATATGGGATTGGTTCATCCTAGACAGCACTCATGGTTCTAGATAATATTAGAATGCAATAATGTTTTAATTTATGTATTCAGGAAATTTTGGAGTAGTTTCAATCCTAGGAAAAAACTGGATATTAGAAATATGGGAAGATTGGCCGGCACCGTGGCTCATGCCTGTAATCCCAGCAATTTGGGAGGCTGAGGCAGGCGGATCACGAGGTCAAGAGATCGAGACCATTCTGGCCAACATGGTGAAACCCTGTCTCTACTAAAAATACAAAAAAAAAAAAAAAAAAAAAAACTAGCTGTGCATGGTGGCACGCACCTATAGTCCCAGCTACTCGGGAGTCTGAGGCAGGAGAATCGCTTAAACCCAGGAGGCAGAGGTTGCAGTGAACCGAGATTGTGCCACTGCACTCCAGCCTGGTGACAGAGCGAGACTCCATCTCAAAAAAAAATAAATAAATAAAAGAAAAGAAACATGGAACAGTTGGTTGATTATAATAGAATTTAGGACTCCCTTTGAAAGAATAATATCGACTAGTTTTATATAAAAAATTAAATTCTTAAGTAGATTAGTCAGGAGTAAAGGAAACGTCAAGATTCCCAACTTATTTGGATTTCTTTCCCCCATTACAGCATACTCAAGGAACAAAATTTGGGCTGTTTGGCTGTTTTTATTCTTTGTTATACACAAGTAAACTGATATCAAAACCAAATATATTGAGGTTACATTTTTCTTTCCTTTCTTTCTTTCTTTTTTTTTTTTTTTTTTTTGAGACGGAGTCTCGCTCTCACCCAGGCTGGAGTGCAGTTACATGGTCTCGGTTCACGGCAAGCTCCACCTCCCAGGTTCACGCCATTCTTCTGCCTCAGCCTCCAGAGTAGCTGGGACTACAGGTGCCCGCCACAACGCCCGGCTAATTTTTTCTATTTTTAGTAGAGACAGGGTTTCACCATGTTAGCCAGGATGGTCTCGATCTCCTGACCTCGTGATCGGTTTGCCTCAGCCTCCCAAAGTGCTGGGATTACAGGAGTGAGCCACCGCGCCTGGAGAAGGTTACATTTTTCTAGGAAAATTTGACTCAGATTTATGATGAGAGTCACCTTTATGCTTATAGATTGCCCCTTTACCCCATACTTGGTTGAACTGACAGATATTCTTCTTGCCATTATCACTGTCGTATACTGTTCACATTCAGAGTAATTTGTTTTAGGCAATTCATTTCCCTTGGCAATAACATAGAGATTTATGTAATTTTGAAAATGTTTAAGTAGTCATCATCATGACTTTGAGTTTCTGTTCAAAGATGTTTAACTTTGCATTACTTTTAAGATTTTTAAATTCATTTTTAATTACAATAACTTTTATGTATTTGGAGGTATTTGGAATGAAATCAAAACTTGTGCTATCTAGGAGTTATAACCTAAAATATGCAGAACGTAAATATACCTGATGTGGGAGTATATACATTCTGTTGAGGGGGGAGAAAGACGTTACTTTATATCCACACAAAATCATTTTAATGCATGAAGGAGGATATGCTATTTTAAAATCTTATCTTTCACTAATTATAAGTAATACATTATTTTTTATATATAATGAAATTGAAAGAACCACTTCCTGGATGTAATCTACTGAGACTGTTGCATATTCTTCCATTTTTTTTTTCTGTGTTTGTATAATTTTCTATATTATGGGATCATAATATACTATTCTTTTATATACTACTGTTCCAAGTTTGTCTATTTATTTCAGAGTTATCAATCATTAACAGCAACTTAATACCCCATTTCTAGTACATGAAAATACCATAATTTGCCAGGCACGGTGACTCACTCCTGTTTTCCCAGTATTTTGGGAGGCTGAGGTGGCTGGATCACCAGAGGTCAGGAGGTCAAGACCAGCCTGGCCAACATGGTGAAACCCTGTCTCTACTAAAAATTCAAAAATTAGCCAGGCATGGTGGCATGTGCCTGTAATCCCAGCTACTTGGGAGGCTGAGACAGGAGAATCACTTGAAACTGGGAGGTGGAGGTTGCAGTGAGCCATGCCACTGGACTCCAGCCTGGGCGACAGAGTGAGACTCTGTTTCAAACAGAAAAAAAGAAAATACCATAATTTGCTTAATCAACATACGGTCACTGGATTTTTTTTTTGTTGTTGCCAGAAAAAGAAAGCAGTAAACAATTGTGTGTGTGTGTATGAATATTTATGCACATGTACGTATGTATATGTATTTTGTGTACTTGTACAAACAGCTTTGTAGGATAGATTCCTAGAAGTGGAGTTGCTGAAATCAAAAGATGTGAATAATGTAGATATGGATAGATATTTATACATTTTCCTTCCAAAAGGTTGTTGTACCAATTTGTAAAGCTACCAATAGTATTCAGGTATGCCCCATGCCCTGGCCAATACTAGATATTACAGTTTAAAACATTTTGACAATTTAGGAACTGAAAAAATGTGATTCTGATGGCCTTTTGTCAATCACCATTGAGGCTGAACATTTTTTATTATGAAGAGAGTTGTAATTCTTTCTTTTCTTTCTTTCTTTTTTTTTTTTTTTTTTTTGAGACGGAGTGTTGCTCTTGTTGCCCGGGCTAGAGTGCATAGAGTGCAATGGCTTGATCTCAGCTCACTGCAACCTCTGCACCCTGGGTTCAAGCAATTCTCATGCCTCATCCTCCCTAGTAGCTGGGATTATAGGCATGCACCACCACTCCCGGCTAATTTTGTATTTTTAGTAGAGATGGGGTTTCTCCATGTTGGCCAGGCTGGTCTTGAACTCTCGACCTCAGGTGATCCACCCGCCTTGGCCTCCCAAAGTGCTGGGATTACAGACGTGAGCCACCGCACCTGGCCTTTTTTTTTTTCTTTTTAGACAGAGACTCGCTCTTGTTGCCCAGGCTGGAGTGCAGTGGCACGATCTCAGCTCACTGCAACCTCTGCTTCCCATGTTCAAGAGATTCTCCTGCCTCGGCCTCCCAAGTAGCCAGGATTACAGGCATCTGCCACCATGCCCAGCTAATTTATGTATTTAGTAGAGACAGGATTTCACCATGTTAGTCAGGCTAGTCTTGTACCCCTGACCTCAGGTGATCTGCCCACCTCAGCCTCCCGAAGTGCTGGGATTACAGGTGTGCGTCACTGCGCCTGGCCATATGTCTTTTATAAATTGCCTACTTTTGTTCTTTGTTCATTTTCTGTTGGGGTTACTGGTTTTTAACAGGTTAAAAGTTCTCTACATATTCACTTTTTTATTTCTTTCTTTTTCTTTTCTTTTTTTTTTTTTTTTTTTTTTTTTTGAGAAAGAGTTGTGCTCTTGTTGCCCAGGTTGGAGTGCGATGGTGTGATTTCAGCTCACCTCAACCTCCGCCTCCTGGGTTCAAGTGATTCTCCTGCCTCAGCCTCCTGAGTAGCTGAGATTACAGGCCTGCACTACCATGCCTGGCTAATTTTGTATTTTTACGAGACATGGGGTTTCTCCATGTTGGTCAGGCTGGTCTGAAACTCCTGACTTCAGGTGATCCACCTGCCTGGGCCTCCCAAAGTGTTGGGATTACAGGCGTGAGCCAATGTGCCTGGCCTTACTCACCTTTTTCGTACGTGTGCTCATATCCCCCTAGCTATTCTTTTGTAATCCAAACCCAGCACTGTGCTGCTATGGGAACTTGGGCACATTATTTAACCTCTGTACACCTTAATTTCCTTATTTGTAAAATGGAGATGATGTAAATAGCATTAGGCATAGTGGCTGGCACAAAGTAAGTAAATAATAAATGTTAGCTGTGACTGTTATTAATTTATTTATGTGACTTTTGTGTTTTGTGCTCTACTTAAGACTTTCCGTGCTCCAAAATGTAAAATATTCACCTATCTACTAAACTAGAAAAACAAAGTGAGGAACATTATATGCCTCTATGTGTCTTTGCTTTAAAGATGAAAAACAATGTATACATTTTTGCTTGTATATCACAGGATATATGATACTTGGAAACATTGGTTGTCATAGTAAGAAGAATGAGTGAGAGGAAGACTTTTAACTGCATGCCTTTTTGTATTTTTAAAACAAAGAAGTCCCCAGATTGTATTTAATACTTCAATGGTTTCTTTTTTTCCTTTTCCTTCTCTTTTTAAAACTTCTAATTGTTTGATCCATCTGGAATTTTTTTCTGGTATAAGAAGTGAGACATATTTTGGGGGATAAAATTGTGTGTGAATTCTACCCCAACTAGCTAGTTGTGTCAGCACCATTTAGCGAACAATCCATTTTTTGCCCCACTATTAAAATTGCAGCTTTTGTCATTTACTAAATGTGTTTGGGACTATTTCTGATTGGTCTTGTTATTTTTGTCTCTTGTGTATTACCATACACTTTAAATTACTATCATTTTATAATTTTAATGCAGATGGGGTTAGTTACCTCTTCATTACTCTTTTTTTCAGACTTTGACAATTCTGGTCTATGTGTTCTTCTAGATGAACTTTAGAATCATTCTGTGACATTCAAAAAGAAATCATAGAGATTTTTATTGAATACTGAATATTGATTGTGAATACTGAAATTGTAGGTGAAGTTTGGGGAAATTGACAGCGTTATGCACTTTCTGTCCTGTGTTCTCATAGATTTTTATGTCTCTCAGTAGATTTTCAAACTTTGCTTCAAATAAGTCCTGTACAAATAAGTCTTGTATATTTCTTGTTTATTTTAAAAAACATCAGACCCATGAATGGGAGTTTGTTTATTTTATTCAACAAATATTATAGAGAATCAAACAGGTAGTTTTTATTCTAGTGAGAGAAGACAGAATATACTCAAATAAAATGAAGTACGTAATCCATTTCAGATTATGATAAACCTATAAAGGAACCAAAAGGGTGATGCCAATGAGAGTAACTAGTGGGAGCTTACCTTATATGCAGGGTGGTTGGAAAGACTCTTCTGAGATGACATTTGAACTGAGACCTTAAGTTTGAGGAGGAGCTAGCCACGTGAATGAGCCAGGAACAGCGTTCCTGGCAGACAGTGAAGAAGGACAAAGGCCCAGCTAGGAAGGACCTGGCAGAGAAGGGCTCCTGAAGAAACTGAAGGGAAACTCATGTTGCTGGGTCCTAGTGAGCAATCTGGAAAGTAAGCAGGCCAAATCAAGTAGGGCCTTGGGTCATCGTAAGTAATTTAGACTTTATTTGCAGTGCGTAGGAAATCCTTGGGGAATCTGAAGCAGGAGAGTGACATGTTCTGATTTAAGGTTTAAAAAGAACACTTGGCCTTCTGAGTTGAGAAAGTATTGAAGTGGGAAGACCAGTTAGTTTTTGCAGCAAGAGGTAAGGATGGTGGTAGTTAGATGGAGAGGCCTGGGAAGCTTCAGAGTCTGAGTGTGTGTGTGTGTGTGTGTGTGTAAGGAACAGCTAAACAAGTTGCTGTTGGAGTGTGTGCTACTGAGAGCTAAGTACTGCTAGCTGCTGCAGAGGCCGTGTAGAGCAGAACAGAGCTGATCTTTGCCTTCACAGGTGTTTGTTAGTTCTGTTTGTTTCTAAGGTGTGTACCAAAATAAAGTAGGCTAAGAGCGTTTGACTTTAAGATTTATGGAGCTCGGCGGTTTTGAGGGGAGTGCAGCAAAAAACAGAGTCGTTAATAACCCCTTTTTATATTGCTTAATAACCTGTAGTCTCTGTTAGTGGGTCAAAGGGGAGGCAGCAGCAGATGATCTTTAAGGTATCTGTCTCTGAGTTAGAAAAACATAGCTTGAGGAAGTTATGTAGCTTCCCTACAGCCTTAGAACTAATAGTGGAACCAGATTTTTAGGTGAGCTCATGCACACACCAAGTCTTAGCACACTGCCTAGAGCACACTATCTAGAGCTCAATAAATGGTAATTCTTTTAGTAATATCCACTTAGATATTGTTACATCTATTAATCCAGGCCAAATGTCTACATTAACATTTTTCTTATCTCAATTTCTTTGTTATTTTGTGTTAAACAGGGAAGGAATTGGCATGTAGTCATCCATTTTGCTTTTGAAATATATTTGTTCTTTTTTTGTTTGTTTGTTTGTTTTGAGATGAAATCTTGCTCTGTCGTCCAGCCTGGAGTGCAGGGGTGCGATTTTGGCTCACTGCAACCTCTGCCTCCCAGGTTCAAGTGATTCTCATGCCTCAGCTTCCTGAGTAGCTGGGATTACAGTTGTGCACCACCACACTGGCTAATTTTTTGTATTTTTTTTTTTTTTGAGATGGAGTCTCACCCTGTCACCCAGGCTGGAATGCAGTGGTGGTATGATCTCTGCTCACTGCAACCTCTGCCTCCTGGGTCCAAGTGAATCTCCTTCCCCAGCCTCCCAAGTAGCTGGGATTACAGGTGCACGCCACTACACCTGGCTAATTTTTATATTTTTAGTAGAGATGGGGTTTCACATGTTGGTCAGGCTGGTCTTGAACTCTTGACCTCGTGATCCTCCCGCCTCAGCCTCCCAAAGTGCTGGGATGACAGGTGTGAGCCACCATGCCCAGCCATAATTTTCGTATTTTTAGTAAAGACAAGGTTCCACCAGGTTGGCGAGACTGGTCTTGAACTCCTGACTTCAAGTGATCCACCTTCTTCTGCTTCCCAAAGTGCTGGGATTAGAGATGTGAGCCACTGCACTTGGCTGGTTTTGAAATATATTTGTTCTTAGAAGTTGAGTGAGTGAGTGTTGTTCGGTTCAGAAAATTAGTTCAATGTAGTGCCGACATACCACAGTTCACAGTTGGATATTGTTACATTGTACTGCTGTCTTGGGACAGCGCTTTATGTAGAGGGCATCATTTTTCTTTCATTTAAGAATTATGTATTTATTATTATTTTTTGAGATAGAGTCTTGTTCTGTTGCTCAGGCTGGAGTACAGTGGCACGATCTTGTCTCACTGCAACTTCTACCTCCTGAGTTCAAGTGATTCTCATGCTCAGCCTCCTGAGTGGCTGGGATTACAGACATGTGCCACCATGCCCGGTTAGTTTTTGTATTTTTAGTGTAGACGGGGTTTCGCCTTTTTGGCCAGGCTGGTCTCAAACTCCTGGCTTCTAGTGATCCACTTGCCTAGGCCTCCCAGAGTGCTGGGATTACAGGCATAAGCCACTGTGCCTGGCCAGAATTACTTATTGAATATGTGTACCCATAGATTTATCAAATAATTATATTCTTATTAAAATTTTTCTTTCAATATCATACTTTATAAGAGGTAGGATAGTTTAACTAAAAAGCTTTTTCTTTAGCTTCCATTTGTTTCTCTGTCTTTAAGTAAGATGTCATAATGTCAAAAGAGGCTGCAAATAAAATACCTTGTCAGTGGCATTCCCCCAGATTAGATCTTAACCAAAAGGCTGAGAAGCAGTAGCTTTTTTCCCCCCAAAGGGAAGAATGCTTTAGTTTATTTTACAGGAGAAAATTCATTCCAGTACAGCACCACTCTGGTCTTGTACAAATTACCGAATTCACTTAGATAATTTCTAGTCTTTCCTCTCCTGGATGCTGGACTCAGTAATAAGTTTAGGAGGTCGGCTTTCTTTAAATTATCCCTAGGTTGGAGGATTTTAGGTGTCGGGATGCCCAGGGTGGTGGTCTTTCTTAGCCTTGTCTTGCCTAACGTAATTTTAGAATTGGTCTAGAGCTGGACAGCTTTGTGGGAACTGGTGTGACCTAATTTGCTTCAGTTTAATAACTAATATTTTAGCATTTGAATGTCATAGAGACATTGCCCTATCCCATACTTTTGTATCAGGAGGTTTTATTATTTTATCAGTTAAAAATTGCATATTTTGTAAGATCCTTTTTCTGCTTTGGTGAAATGTAGGCTTCACCTCTATTGTGACGCTTGGTGGATCTATTCTTGCTCATCTGAAGTGGCATCTGCAGTCCTGCCACTGTGAAGTACATTTTTTTCTTTTTTTTTCTTTTTTTTTTTTTTTTTTGAGATGGGGTCTCACTCTGTTGTCAATCTGGAGTGCAGTGGCACGATGCCAGCTCACTACAACCTCCGCTTCCTGGATTCAAGCGATTCCCCTGCCTCAGCCTCCTGAGTAGCTGGGACTACAGGTGTGTGCCACCATGTCTGGCTAATTTTTTCTTTTTTGTATTTTAGTAGAGATGGAGTTTCACCATGTTGGCCAGGATGGTCTTGATTTCCTGACCTTGTGATCCACTGGCCTTGGCCTCCCAAAGTGCTGGGATAACAGGCATGAGCCACTGTGCCCGGCCATTTTCAGCTTTTTTTCCAAGGTAGTTTAGGCCACCTTGAACACCTTTGCATAACATATTTTCGTTATGCAAAGGTTATGGGCCAAAAGCCAGGAGTTCCTGCTGAGAGGAAAAATTGCTTGTTTTTTGGCAGGATAGTATTTGAAATTTTGTTGTTGCAAGATTTTCCTGTTGAGTAAATATGTGTGTGTTTATTTAATATGAGAAGATTTAAAAAGGAACTTAAATAGATCAATTTCATTTTGCAATATTGTATTACCTGTTTGCAATATATAAGAGGCTAGTTCTGGGTTTATCTGTATAATTCAGTTAGAAGTGCTATTGTCTTTTATGACAGTGACATATAATTATTACTATATTATTCTCATCCTAAAACATTATGTGTTGATATGTAAGAGATGAGGAAGTTGCTCATAAAATCTTGATCAGATTTCTTAAATAATTCATAGAATTTTTTTAGTTCATGAGTCAACCATGTAACTACCCTGAGTTAATGAGTTTTGGTGCTAAGAACTGAAATCATAATTTGATACTGCCACTTAAGGTGCTCCCTTCCCCTTCAGTCTGAACTTTAGATTCTTTCATTTCAGTGGGTTTCAAATGTAAAGTATTCTGCCGAGGTATCTTAGTGAGCCAGGACTGGAGTGAAGGGTGGAGGGAGGGATGGGGAAGGGCAGGGGGAGACTGAAAAGATGAATCCTAGGTCTCCCATTCTCACTAGATCAGAATGTTTCCCCATTGTACCTTTTGTACATTTAGCTTTCATTTAAGACTTTTGAGGAAAACATTCTGGTTAAAAAACAACATCTGAGCACTCTTGCCATGTATCTCGTGGATAAGTTTTGAGGAAGGAGGTTGTAGTGGTCTCCAGGCTGCAGTTCATGAGAGGACAGGAAGGGCTTGCTTTGACCTGTAAATTTGTATGCCAGTAGGGGCTAATTTCCTGATTTTGCTAGTGTTTTTACTTTTTTTTTCCTTCTGTATTGGGCGAACAGTACTTTTAAATAAAACTGACTTTTTTGGTTTTTTTTTTGAGATAATAATGTTAAACTCCATTAAAGTCATACCACAAAACTAGGACAACAGGAAGGATTACTGAGATGAGGGAAAAAATGGAGAAGTCACTTAACTTGTGACTTTGAGAGACATTGAGTGTAATTGTTGAACTCAGGACTCACCATAGCTGAAAGTTAAACAATGTGCATTAAAAAATTGTACCTCATGGGTTTCTAATCATTTAGGCCACTGTTAGAAAAAAATGAGATGACCCTGGGTTAAAATCTTTTTTTTTTTGACTCTGCATTCCATTTATAGCTTTATTTATTTGGGATGTCTGAGTTGGGAGGAGAGTGCAGAGATAGATCACTTAAAGCATGTTTTAGGACAGCAGATCAGAATTAGTTGGACAACTTTTATAAAATGCATGAACGTTCATATAGTGAAATACTCTTTTGTTTTTGGACAGAGTTTCATTCTTGTTGCCCAGGCTGGAGTGCAACGGCATGATCTCAGCTGACTGCAACCTCTGCCTCCTGGGTTCAAGTGATTCTCCTTCCTCAGCCTCTTGAGTAGCTGGGATTAGAGGCATGTGCCACCATGCCTGGCTAATTTTTGTATTTTCAGTAGAGACGGGGTTTCAGCATGTTGGTCACGCTGGTCTCGAACTCTCAACCTCAGGTGATCCACCTGCCTCAGCCTCCCAAAGTGTTGGGATTACAGGCGTGAGCCACTGCGCCTGGCTCATAGGGTGAAATACTCTTTAGCAATAGAAAGAACCATAGATGCATGAGAATAATTGCCAAGATATATGTATTTTTTTTGGGGGATGCAGTCTCGCTCTGTCGCCCAGGCTGGAGGTTGGTGATGTGATCTCGGCTCACTGCAAGCTCTGCCTCCTGGGTTCTTCCCACCTCAGCCTCCTGAGTAGCTGGGACTACAGGCGCCCACCACCGTGCCCAGCTAACTTTTTTGTATTTTTAGTAGAGATGGGGTTTCACCATGTTAGCCAGGATGATCTTGATTTCCTGATCTTGTGATCCACCTGCCTCAGTCTCCCAAAGTGCTGGGATTACAGGCGTGATCCACCACGCCCAGCCTACCAAGATATATTAAGTAATAAAAGCAAGATACAGAACAGTGTGTTTCTAGTATGCCACTATTTACATAGGGGAAAAAGTGTGAGTGTATGTATGTGTAGGATATTTCTAAAGGACACTCTAGAAACTAGTAACTTTGGTTGCCTTCTGGGAGGGTAAATGGGTAGCAGCTGGAGGAGAAGGGTGAGGAGATTTTTCACTTTGTATTCTGTGGTACTTTTAAAAACTCTTAAGTCCTGCATATAATGTTTATTTCCAAAAAGATCAACCCTCCCCACAATGCCACATGTTGGCTTTTCCCCTTCCACCTGAAGCAGTTGCAGATGTATAGATGAGGAGACAGCTCCTCAGGTGGTTTTAATGTGTGGTCTCACTGAACATCTCAGCTCCTCCTAGTTCACTATTTGCTGAGAAAGCTGCAAAGCATTACAGAAAACATTAGTTTTTCCCATTTTGCCACAGACAATTTTATGATATTGGAGGAATTATTGACTTTCTCTGATTGTCACGTTTCTCACCTGTCAAATCAGTGTTAGTTGGGTAATCTCAGCCTTCCAATCCTTAAGATTTGCTGACCTCCATGCCTCGGGCCTTGGAAGGGAGCAGGGAGAAAACAGACTGAGGGACAGCTGGTGAGTCTTCTGACTCTTCTCCTGGTCAGCTTTCACAACAGCAGGAAACGTGACATCAGGAGAAAGGATGATATATTTATTTAAAATATTTATATGTCCCATCAATACCTGATTTATTAAGAGTTTTTCGCATGAAGGGTTGTTGAATTTTGTCAAAGGCCTTTTCTGCATCAATTGAGATAATCATGTGGTTTTTGTCTTTGGTTCTGTTTATATGCTGGATTACATTTATTGATTTGCATATATTGAACCAGCCTTGCATCCCAGGAATGAAGCCCACTTGATCATGGTGAATAAGCTTTTTGATGTGCTGCTGGATTCGGTTTGCCAGTATTTTATTGAGGATTTTTGCATCAATGTTCATCAAGGATATTGGTCTAAAATTCTCTTTTTTGGTTGTGTCTCTGCCCAGCTTTGGTATCAGGATGGTGCTGGCCTCATAAAATGAGTTAGGGAGGATTCCCTCTTTTTCTATTGATTGGAATAGTTTCAGAAGGAATGGTACCAGTTCCTCCTTGTACCTCTGGTAGAATTCGGCTGTGAATCCATCTGGTTCTGGACTCTTTTTGGTTGGTAAGCTATTGAATATTGCCACAATTTCAGCTCCTGTTATTGGTCTATTCAGAGATTCAACTTCTGCCTGGTTTAGTCTTGGGAGAGTGTATGTGTCGAGGAATTTATCCATTTCTTCTAGATTTTCTAGTTTATTTGCGTAGAGGTGTTTGTAGTATTCTCTGATGGTAGTTTGTATTTCTTTGGGATCGGTGGTGATATCCCCGTTATCATTTTTTATTGCGTCTATTTGATTCTTCTCTCTTTTTTTCTTTATTAGTCTTGCTAGCGGTCTATCAATTTTGTTGATCCTTTCAAAAAACCAGCTCCTGGATTCGTTAATTTTTTGAAGGGTTTTTGTGTCTCTATTTCCTTCAGTTCTGCTCTGATTTTAGTTATTTCTTGCCTTCTGCTAGCTTTTGAACGTGTTTGCTCTTGCTTTTCTAGTTCTTTTAACTGTGATGTTAGGGTGTCAATTTTGGATCTTTCCTGCTTTCTCTTGTGTGCTATAAATTTCCCTCTACACACTGCTTTGAATGTGTCCCAGAGATTCTGGTATGTTGTGTCTTTGTTCTCATTGGTTTCAAAGAACATCTTTATTTCTGCCTTCATTTCGTTATGTACCCAGTAGTCATTCGGGAGCAGGTTGTTCAGTTTCCATGTAGTTGAGCAGTTTTGAGTGGGATTCTTAATCCTGAGTTCTAGTTTGATTGCACTGTGGTCTGAGAGTTAGTTTGTTATAATTTCTATTCTTTTACATTTGCTGAGGAGAGCTTTACTTCCAACTACGTGGTCAATTTTGGAATAGGTCTGGTGTGGTGCAGAAAAAAAATGTATATTCTGTTGATTTGGGGTGGAGATTTCTGTAGATGTCTATTAGGTCTGCTTGGTGCAGAGCTGAGTTCACTTCCTGGGTATCCTTGTTGACTTTCTGTCTCGTCGATCTGTCTAATGTTGACAGTGGGGTGTTAAAGTCTCCCATGTATACATATGTAACTAACCTGCACATTGTGCACATGTACCCTAAAACTTAAAGTATAATAATAATTAATAAATAAAAAAAGAAAAAAAATAAAATATTTAAATGTTTCATGGTACCACATGCAGTTTTTAAAGTTTTTTTTTTTGTTTTTGTTTTTTGTTTTTTTTTTTTGAGATGGAGTCTGGACCCCTCACCCAGGCTGGAGTGCAGTGGCACCATCTCAGCTCACTGCAACCCCCACTCCCCAGCTTCAAGTGATTCTCCTGACTCAGCCTCCCGAGTAGCTGGGTTTACAGGCATGTGCCATCATGCCTGGCTAATTTTTTGTATCTTTAGTAGAGACTGGGTTTCACCATGTTGGCCAGGCTGGCCTTGAACTCCTGACCTCATGATCTGCCTGCATTGGCCTCCTAAAGTGCGTGAGCCACCACGCCTGGCCTTAAAGTTCTTTCTATACATTTTTTCTTTTATTTTTTGAGTCAGACTTTCATTGTATCACCCAGGCTGGAGTGCAGTGGCACAATCACGGCTCACTGCAGTCTTGACCTCCTGGGCTCAAGTGATCCTCCTGCCTTAGCCTCCCAGGTAGCTGGGACCATGGGTGTGTACCGCCGTGCCTGACTAATTATTTTTTTCTTTTCTTTTTTTTTTTTTTTTTTTGAGACAGAGTCTCACTCTGTCACCCAGGCTGGAGTGCAGTGGCCCGATCTCGGCTCACTGCAAGCTCCACCTCCCGGGTTCATGCCATTCTCCTGCCTCAGTCTCCCGAGTAGCTGGGACTACAGGCACCCACCATGACGCCCGGCTACTTTTTTGTATTTTTAATAGAGACGGGGTTTCACCGTGTTAGCCAGGATGGTCTCGATCTCCTGACCTCGTGATCCGCCCGCCTCGGCCTCCCAAAGTGCTGGGACTACAGGCATGAGCCACTGCACCTGGCCACCTAAATAATAATAATTATTATTATTTTAATTTTCTTGTAGAGATAGGTCTGGCTTCATTGCCCAGGCTGGTCTTGAACACCTGGCCTTAGGGGATCCTCCGATCTTGACTTCCCAAAGTGCTGGGATTACAGGTGTGAGCCACTGTGGCCAGCCTATAAGTTTTGTTTTAAAGTTAGATTGAAAGACAATTCCTTAGAAAATTTTGTTTTCTAAACCTAACTGGATAAAGAATATATTGATAAAAACTGGGAAATTGATCAATTTGTCATACTGAATTATTTTTTGAATTTGCCCTCTTCCCAAATACCTTGAAATGATGGAAAGAAAATTAAAACTTTACTAATAAAGTATTAAATGGGTGGAGATTTTATGTAAATAAAATTATATCTGTTATATTTTTATGTATACAATTATATAATTTTCATCTTATATTTAAATTCTATTTTTTAAAACCACCCAATTAGGTAATAATAGAACTCTGGTCTTAAAGTAAGAGTGTATGTGCACACATGCACATGTGTATATGTGTATATAAAATTTTTGTCTTGGGAGTTTTATATATAATTAAGATAGAAATTATATATTATTGCACACATTTTTATATATGTGTAATATTCTCTACCACATGTATGTAAAATATTCCCATATTAATTATGTATAACATAAATATTTGTGTTATCCTGAAACATAAACATAGATAATCATGTTTTAAGATTGGAGTACTCAGACGTATAAGGGTACCTGTTCTCCCATTAGTCAGTCTGTGAATTCAATATTTATGTGTTCTCATCCAGAATTTCTCTGGGACCTGACAAGCTGACTCTGATGCTTGTGTGTAAGAGAAAATGTGCTAGAATAGCTGGGAAGGTGGTGAAAGTAGCAGCAACAACAAAGCACAGTGAGGTGAAACTTGCCCTGCTGGATATGAAACCTCGTAATACTAGAGTAATTTGAAAAGTGTGGCATTGGCACAAGAAAAGACAGACAAATCAAATTAATCTAGAATAGTGGACAAGTAGGAATATACTTTATAATGAAGATGGCTTTATTTTTCTTTGTTTTCTTTTTCTTTTTTGAGATGGAGTCTCACTCTGTTGCTCTGGCTGGTGTGCAATGGCATGATCTCAGCTCACGGCAAACTCCGCCTCCCAGGCTCCAGCGATTCTCCTGTCTCAGCCTCCCAAGTAGCTGGGATTACAGGTGCATGTCACCATGCCTGGCTAATTTTTGTATTTTTAGTAGAAAAGAAGTTTCACCATGTTGGCCAGGCTGGTCTCGAACCCCTGACCTCAAGTGATCCGCCTGCCTCAGCCTCCTAGAGTGCTGGGATTACAGGAGGAGCCACCGCTTCTGGCCTTCTTTTTCTTTATCTGCTATTTCAGTTCCATAGAAGCATGCAAAGAGTAACATAACAAATGTCCATCTACCTACCATCTGTGATTACAAAACTTAGTATTTTATCATCCTTGCTTCAGAATTATTTAATAAAGACAATACTTCCTCTGCACAAATGCTTACCTTAAAACTACTCTTGAATTCTTTTCACAATTGACTTATCAACTCCCAAATTTAAAACCATGTATTTTTGTCTTTATATTCCTCAGACATTTGTAGAAAGGTATTTACTGAGCAGTTACTATGTGCCAGATATTATGCTGTTTTTATATACTGTTTTTACTTTATATAGCTAATTATATTATTTGTCACATATTAACCTATTTTAAATATAAAAAATGACACATTAATGTTTTCAAACCTTGGTAACTTTTATTAAGTAAATACTTGAGAGGAAGCTTTTACTGGTAATTGTGGTTTTATTTATGTAGCTATAGTTATAATTTATTAGAAGTACACTTGGTGTTTTAGTTCTTATTAATTCTATTTTTTTCCCATCCTGTTTAGATGTTTTCCTAGAAACATGATTGTTTATTGGCATTGATCTCACAGTCTGGTGAGGACTTCTTTACTGATAATGTCAAGTTCAGGTTACCCTCCCAACCAAGGAGCATTCAGCACAGAACAAAGTCATTATCCTCCTCACTCTGTAAAGTATACGTTTCCCAGCACCCACCACCAGCAGGTAAGGAACAAATACTATGCAAATTGCACATGTTTTTTGTGTTTTTCTTTACTTTTCCTATTTAATACACATGTTGGTAGAAACCACCAAATTTACCTTTTTTTTAAATGGCAAGAGCTATTTACAAAGATGAGGAACCAAAGGTTGGGAATTAATTATTTCTGTCTTCCTACTGTGGCTTTATGCCAATTTGAGGAGTTGAACTTGTCTTTGCTTTTGATGAAAGGAGTTGATGATAAATGGAAAACTTATCAATTCTCTAGAATTTCTAGGGTAAGACCTATATTTATACTCCCAAGTTGTGGTTGAGTTTTAAGCTGGCCAGATAACTTGGCATGTCTTGAGTGATGGCCAGGATAGACCTCTGTCTTCTTGAGAGATTGATGGTAGGAAGATTTGCATAGTAGGTAGGAAGGAAGGGATGGTAGATAGGAAGGAAGACTTTATCATAGGAAGAGTTTGTAAGAGATTGATTTACCTTGTGAAAAATAAAGTATGAGGTGAAATAATCATCTCAGAGTAGACCAAGGATATGGGTGTAAGAGGTTTAAAGAAAAATAGGAAAGGATGGGATAAAACGGTCATCTCAGAGACTAAGAAAGCAGATTTGTCATCAAAATGTACTACGGGGTCCTACTGAGGACTCCTTTGAAGTGTAGTCATGATTACAGAGTTAGAATGGACATTCTTGTTGTTCCTGTGTAGGGAGGCATTTAGTCTTTTACCATTACGTGTAATGTTAGTTGCACGTTTTTGTTGATGCCTTTTTTGGTTGAAGAGGTTGTTTTCTGTTCCTAGTTTGAGAATTTCTGTCATGATTGGGTGTTGATTTTTGCTTGTGTTGTCCCCCTACCCTGGTGTTACTCATCTGATTACCAATTTTCCGGATTATTGTTGCTGCTGTTTTTTTCATAAAATCAGGCTGGGCGCAGTGGCTCACGCCTGTAATCCCAGCACTTTGGGAGGCTGAGGCAGGTGGATCACTTGAGGTCAGGAGTTTGAGACCAGCCTGTCCAACATAGTGAAACCCCATCTCTACTAAAAATACAAAAAAATTAGCCAGGCATCATGGCAGACACCTGTAATCCCAGCTACTTGGGAGGCTGAGGCTGGAGAATCGCTTGAACCCGGGAAGCAGAGGTTGCAGTGAGCCAAAGTCGTGCCAGTGTACTCCAGCCTGGGCAACAAGAGTGAAACCCCATCTTAAAAAAACAAAATTAACTTTGCAGTTTAGTTTATATATATACACATATATCTATATTAGAATGCACTCATTATATGTGTACATTGTAACAAATTTTGACAAATTCATAAACTCATAGAACCATCACCAAAATGAAGATGAACAACATTTCTAACACTCCAGCACATTCCTTGGCACCCCATTCTCCTTGACACCCACCCATGTCAGTCCTCCTCCCCCACTTCCTACTAACCTCAGCTCCTAGGAAACCACTGATCTGCTTTCTATCATAAATCATTGTATACGTTCTGAGCTTCATGGGAACTCTTTTGTCTATGACCTTTTTTGCTTCCCATAATACTTCTGCTATCTATCCATGTCTGGAATGTCCCAGTTCATTCCTTTTTATTGTTGAGTATGGGTATACCACAATTGGTTTATCCGGTCAACTTTTCCAGTTTTTGATTATTATAGGTAAAATTACTTAGAAAACATATATCTATATATTTGTTGTATCTAGATTATTAGGAGAAACGCAGATCAAAACCACAATGAGATACCATCTCACACCAGTTAGAATGGCAATCATTAAAAAGTCAGGAAACAACAGGTGCTGGAGAGGATGTGGAGAAATAGGGACACTTTTACACTGTTGGAGGGACTGTAAACTAGTTTAACCATTGTGGAAGTCAGTGTGGCAATTCCTCAGGGATCTAGAACTAGAAATACCATTTGACCCAGCCATCCCATTACTGGGTATATACCCAAAGGACTATAAATCATGCTGCTATAAAGGCACATGCACATGTATGTTTATTGCGGCATTATTCACAATAGCAAAGAGTTGGAATCAACCCAAATGTCCAACAATGATAGACTGGATTAAGAAAATGTGGCACATATACACCATGGAATACTATGCAGCCATAAAAAATGATGAGTTCATGTCCTTTGTAGGGACATGGATGAAATTGGAAATCATCATTCTCAGTAAACTATCCCAAGAACAAAAAACCAAACACCGCATATTCTCACTCATAGGTGGGAATTGAACAATGAGAACACATGGACACAGGAAGGGGAACATCACACTCTGGGGACTGTTGTGGTGTGTGGGGAGTGGGGAGGGATAGCACTGGGAGATATACCTAATGCTAGATGACGAGTTAGTGGATGCAGCGCACCAGCATGACACATGTATACATATGTAACTAACCTGCACATTGTGCACATGTACCCTAAAACTTAAAGTATAATAATAATAAGTTAAAAAAAAAGAAATTAAGCCACTTTTCCCAAAAAAAAAAAAAGTATTGCCTCATTTTCTTAACAGTATCCTTTGGAGAGCGTACATTTTTTATTTTTATCAAGTCCGATGTACTTTTTTTTTGAGACAGAGTCTTGCTCTGTTGCCCAGGCTGGAGTGCTATGGTACCATCTCAGCTCACTGCAACCTCTGACTCCCAGGTTGAAGCAACTCTCCTGCCTCAGCCTCCTGAGTAGCTGGAATTACAGGCTTGTGCCACCATGCCCAGGTAATTTTTGTATTTTTAGTAGAGATGGAGTTTCACCATGTTGGCCAGGCTGGTCTCGAACTCCTGACCTCAGGTGATCCGCCCTCCTCGGCCTTCCAAAGTGCTGGGATTACAGGTGTGAGCCACTGCACCCAGTCCCAATGTATTATTTTTATTGTTCATTTTTTGTGCTTTTTGCGTCAAACCTAAGACGTTTTTGCCAAATTCAAGGTCACTAAGATTTTCACTTACGTTTTCTTTTTTTCTATTTTTCTTGTGTTTTGTTTTTGTTTTTGTTTTTGTTTTTTTTGAGATGAAGCCTTACTATGTTGCCCAGGCTGGAGTGTAGTGGTGCAATCTCAGCTCACTGCAAGCTCCACCTCCCGGGTTCACACCATTCTTCTGCCTCAGCATACCTAGTAGTTGGGACTACAGGGGCCCACCACCATGCCCAGCTAATTTTTTTTGTATCTTTAGTAGAGATGAGGTTTCACCCTGTTAGTCAGGGTGGTCTTAATCTCCTGACCTCGTGATCCACCCGCCTCAGCCTCCCAAAGTGCTGGGATTACAGGTGTGAGCCATCGCGCCCGACCAATTTTCACTTATGTTTTCTTCTCTAAGTTTTATAATTATAGGGCTTTCATTTAGGTAAATTACCTATTTTGAATTAAAATTTTATATGTGGTGTGGTAAGCATTGAGTTTCAGTCTTTCTGCATTAAGAATGATGTTAGCTTGGAGAGTGCTCTTTACTCCTGTGTTTTCTTAAGGGGTTTGTGTAGGATTGGTACTTTTCTTTGAGATGGAGTCTTGCTCTGTCATCCAGGCTGGAGTGCAGTGGTGCGATCTCGGCTCACTGCAACCTCCATCTCCCAGGTTCAAGTGATTCTACTGCCTCAGCCTCCTGAGTAGTTGGGATTACAGATGAGTGCCACCACACCTGGCTAATTTTTGTATTTTTTGGTAGAGATGGGGTTTCACCATGTTGGCCAGGCTGGTCTCAAACTTCTGAACTCAAGTGATCCTCCCACCTCAGCCTCCCAAAGTGTTGGGATTATAAGCATGAGCCACTGCGCCTGGCCTCTTTCTTGCTTTTTCTTTCTTTCTTTCTTTCTTTCTTTCTTTTTCTTTCTTTCTTTCTTCTTTTTTTCTTTCTTCTCTTTCTTTCTTTGTTTTTCTTTTTCTTTCTTCCTTTCTTTCTCTCTCTCTCTCTCTCCTCTTTCTCCTCTTTCTTTCTTTGAGTCTTGCTCTGTCACCCAGGCTAGAGTGGGCAATTCCGTGATCTCAGCTCACTGCAACCTCCTCTTCCTGGTTCAAGCAATTATCCTGCTTCAGCCTCCCAAGTAGCTGGGATTACAAGCACCCGCCACCATGCCTGGCTAATTTTTTGTATTTTTAGCAGGGTTTCGCCATGTTGGCCAGGCTGGTCTCGAACTCCTGACCTTAGGTGATCTACCAGCCTCAGCCTCCCAAAGTGCTGGGATTTCAGGTGTGAACCCACCACGTGTGGCTGGGATTGATATTTTTTCATCCTTAGATATTTGATAGAATTCATCAGTGAAACTGTTGGGCCCAGAATTTTTTTGTGTGGGAAGAATTTAAATATGAACTCAATTTCTTTAATAGTTATAATTGAGACACTCAATTTTTTCTTGAGTCAGTTTGGGTATATTTTGTTGTTTAAGGTATCAGATTTATTGAAATAATTTGTCACAATATTTCCTCATAATTTCAGTGCCTTTGAGATATGTTGCGATGTTGTTCCTCATGTTGATAATTTTTATTATTATTTTTTAATCAGTCCGCCTAGAGGTTTATCAGTTTAATAGATTTTTGAAGAACTAGCTTTGGTTTCAATCATTTTCACTATTTTTCTAATTCACTGATTTCTACTCTTTATTGTTTTTTTCCTTCTCTAGTTGCCTGTGTATATATCATTTCTGACATCCTTCATTCTTTTTTGTATTCAGGTTTTCTTCTGATATTATTGTGTTTTTGCCTGAAGCACTTCATTTCTCTCAGTTTAGGTCTTTTGGCAATTAATTCTCTCAGCTTTTATTTGCCTGAAAATGTTTTTATTTCTGAAGACTATTTTCACTAGATATAGAATTCTAAGTTGACAGTTTCAGTATTTTAAGAGATGTCATATCATTGTATTCTGGCTTGTATGGTTTCTGACTAGAAGCCTGTGGTCATTCTTAATTTTTGTTCATTAATATATAAAACACATTTTCCCCCCTGTGGCTACTTGTTTTTTTGAGGCATTCTTTCTCTGTCATTCAGGCTGGAGAGCAGTGATACAATCTCGGCCCGCTGCAACCTCCACCTCCTGGGTTCAAGCAATTCTCATGCCTCAGCCACCTGAGTAGCTGGGGCTGCAGGCATGCACTACCATGCCCAGCTAATTTTTTTTTTTTTAAGACGGAGTTTCACTCTTGTTGCCCAGGCTGGAGTGCAGTGATGCGATCTTGGCTCACCACAACCTCTGCCTCTCGGGTTCAAGTGAATCTCCCGCCTCAGCCTCACAAGTAGCTGGGATTGCACACATGTGCCACCATGCCCGGCTAATTTTGTATTTTTAGTAGAGACGGGGTTTCTCCATGTTGGTCAGGCTGGTCTCAAACTCCTGACCTCAGGTGATCCATCCGCCTCAGCCTCCCAAAGTGCTGGGATTACAGGCGTGAGCCACTATGCCCGGCCCCAGCTAATTTTTTGGATTTTTAGTGGGGACAAGTTTTCACTCTGTTGGCCAGGCTGGTCTCGAATTCCTGGCCTCAAGTGATCTGCCTGCCTAACATATTCTAATATTTTTCCCAGTGTCTTTTTGTTTCAATTTTTCTTTTTTTTTAAGCATACTGAAGTTTAAAATGTTTTTACTGCCATCAAATCTTTTTTCTATAATGTTTATTAACCTTTATGCCTAATTGCCCTTTCTTCCCTGATATCAAATAAATAAGTACCCCCACATTTTCTTTGAGTTTTCAGGCAATGAAGAGTAATTTAAAAGATAATAAATGTATCTACAATTTATTTTCAAATAGTTCAGCCAAAATGAAGTTTTATACACATACACAAACACACACAGAAAGCAAATATGTTAAAATGTTAACTACTGGTGAATCCAGATGAAGGATAAATGAGTGTCCACTATACTGTTCCTTCAACTTTTAAGTGAATTTGAAATTTTTTGGAATAGTAAGTTGGATGGGGAAAAATTCTTTGCCGTAAGCTAGAAATTAGCTAAGCTTCTAGGTGTTTTGTGACCCACCTTATCATGTGAAATATCTTTTATCATACAGTAGTCTGTGGGGTTTATAAGAAATGTTCTGCTGCATTAAAAAAAAGAAATTTAAAAATATAGTGAATAAAGGTCATCTTCCATGGCTGAATACATTACCACAAATGTAATTTATAGAATTTCGTTTTTTAGCAGAAAAGTGTCTTAAAAACTCATTCATTAAAATGAGACGTGTTGTGTTGTAGTGTGATGCATTTCCATGTTATAGTTGAGAAACTGGATGTTCAGAAAAATTAAGTGACCTAGATAGTACCTCCCGAGTTGGAATTAACCCAGGACCCCTGACTCTAGTCCTGCTTTTTTTCCTCTAAAGTGTAAACCATGACTACTACTACTAACTAATACTTCTCTTTCCATCTCCCTCTCCCCATTCTCTCCCAACTGCCCACCTCCAGAAGTAAGGATTTAAAAAGAACTAACATTTGTTAGATTTTTTTTTTAATGTTAAGCTTAGGTATATCATTTATAGAAGAGTTAAATAAGCTTGAAAGAAAAAAATTACCTACAGTTTTACCACTTAAAAGTTATGAACATTTTCATGTTGATTCTTCCCTATTTGTGTGTGTATGATTTAAATTTAAATTGAATTTAATTTAAATTTATGGTTTTTTTTTTTTTTTTTTCTGCTGCTCCTTGTGGAACAGGGCTAACCCCTAGGCAGTGTGTCCAGAGTCAGCCCGTATGAATACTTTAATGTGCTCACTTTGTACATTCTGTTTAACTTTACTTTTGCTTAAATACGTGCTTAGCTTCTTTTTGTGCCAATAAGTTTACAACTGTATTGTTAGTGGCTACTTAGAATTCCACATATGAATAAATAAAGTTCACTGTTTAAAGTTATTTATATAACTTTATTTAAATATAGTTATTTATTTATTTATTTCATGCCTGTAATCCCAGCACTTTGGGAGGCCGAGGCAGGCAGATCACCAGAGGTCAGGAGTTCGAGACCAGCCTGGCCAACATGGTGAAACCCCATCTCTACTAAAAATACAAAAATTAGCCGGGCATGGTGGCAGGCGCCTGTAATCCTAGCTACTCTCAGGAGGCTGAGGCAAGAGAATCTCTTGAACCCGGGAGGTGGAGGTTGCAGTGAGCAGAGATTGCGCCATTGCACTCCAGCCTGGGGGACAAGAGTGAGACTTTGTCTCAAAAAATAAAAAACAAAAATAAAAATAAATAAAGGTACCCACTCCTTCTGTATCCTTGCTGACACCACGCTTATTGTTTAACAAAAAGATTGTTAATTTGATGATTGTTTTTAACTTATACTTATTTGTTAGTAAAATTTAACATTTTTTTGTTTATTGGTTATTTTTCTTGTTTTGTAAATTATTTTTTCATATATGTTTCCCATTTTTCTGTTGGTTTATTTTATATTGAGTTGTTAGAGTACATGTTTTGCAATGGTTTTCCTATTTAATCATTTGCCTTTTTAATTTGTTATTACTGTTTTGATAAGCAGAAGATTGTGTTTTTGCATGTGTGGGTTTTTTTGTTTTGTTTTGTTTTGTTTTGTTTTCGAGATGGAGTCTTCCTCTGTCGCCCAGGTTGGAGTGCAATGGTGCCATCTCTGCTCACTGCAATCTCCGCCTCCCGGGTTCAAGCCATTCTCCTGCCTCAGCCTCCCAAGTAGCTGAGATTACAGGCTCACACCAACACACCTGGCTGATTTTTGTATTTTTAGTAGAGATGGGGTTTTACCATGTTGGCCAGGCTGGTCTCGAACTCCTCACCTCAAGTGATCTGCCTGCCTCAGCCTCCCAAAATGCTGGGATTACAGGTGTGAGCCATTGTGCTGAGCAGAAGACTGTTTTTTATTTTATCCATCAATTTTTCATTTTTGAAAACTAATGTCTTTTATATCTTTTGCTTTTGGCCTTCCTGAACCCAAGATAATGTATTCTTTTTTTTTTTAACTTGAGGCTTTTTGTGATTTGCTAATAAGCCTCTTATAAATGTTTGCTGTTACTTGGCTTTTTTTTATGTAAGATATGAGGTAAGAATCTAATTCTTTTTCTTCAGGATTGGTATCTGGCTGTTTCAACCCAAGATTGTAAGCTTCATGAAGGCAGATATCTTGTCTGTTTTGATCCACCACCCTATTCCTGTTATATAAGTAGGCACTTGAGGATTTGGTTTCTTATTAAATAATTAATATTTAGAAAGGAATTCAGTGGAAAATATTCATTTGTAATATTAATTCTTTGGGCATGCATCAGAATCACCTGAGGAGCACTTTTGAAGTCTGCTGAATCAAAATGTAATCTCTTTTGCTATTATATATGTTTCTGTAACACAAATTTACTCATATGCATATAGTGGGAGAATGAAATTAATGTATCATGAAAGTCCTGGTGGTTCACCAAAGATCTTTCTTTATGCATTAACATTTCTAAGTTCTCAGAAGTACGCTGTCTCATAATGAAAGAAAAAGGCTTCACAACACATGAAGACTTAAAAATATTTGAACATTCTGCATTTAGTTTTCATTTACTGCAAGTAGTAACTGACTTAGTGAATTTAGGAACTGTTGTGCTTTTCATAGTGTTAGTGAAGATTCGAGCACTGAAAAGACAATGTGAAGACAAATTTTCTTGTATGTTTTTTAACGTTGATAAAGGAGGGAGGGGGAGAAAAAGAGGTTGATAAAGATGGTTATATGCCAAATCTGACTTTTTTTTTCTTTTTTTTTCTGAGATGGAGTCTCGCTCTGTCACCCATGCTGGAGTGCAGTAGTGCAATCTCAGCTCACTGCAACCTCTCCCTCCTGGGTTCAAGCCACTCTCCTGCCTCAGCCTCCCGAGTAGCTGGGACTACAGGTGCCCACCACCACACCCAGCTAATTTTTGTATTTTTTAGTAGAGATGGGGTTTCACCATGTTGGTCAGGCTGGTCTTGAACTCCTGACCTTGTGATCTGCCCACCTTGGCATCCCAAAGTGCTGGGATTACATGCATGAGCCACCATGCCCGGCCACTGATATTTTATTTAGATGAAACGTACTGGTTTACTTTGGAAGCCAATGACCTCACGGATTTACATCTTAAGAGAGGGACATAAACTGTAGGGCTTAAAGCTGCCAAAGATTGACTGTATGCCAGATGCAAAGGATACTGGAGCTTTAACTCTATTAAGTTTATTAGAATTGTTATTGCTTTTATTGGTGCTTTCCTCACAGAATTTTTCAGGTTTTAGGGTATAGCCATAATTTATTTTCCCAGAAGGCCTCTTAGATTCAGTGCATACTATTAGAGAATATGAGGCTTTTCATCAATGTATACTAGCTGAAATATCTGTACTAAAGTGTTTTGAAGCAACTGTCCAGTTATCTCCTGTATGCATTCTTGGCTCAGAACTATTGACTTTTCACAGTTCCTTAATCATTATTTAATACATTTTAGGGTTCTGTAATCCTGTGAACCACCCTCATTGTAGGTTTCTCATAGTCTAAATAAAATTAGTACTCTAAAATTTATCTGTTTCATAATATTGCTTATATCTTTACAGCAGACTGGAAATTAATAGGGTGTGTGTGGATGTGTGTTGGAGGGTAGTGGATTTTGGGTGAAGGGGCTTTCATTCTGCTACAGCTCTGCTGATTTGGAGGTGCAATGGGATGTTTTTGGCTA
Source organism: Homo sapiens (assembly GCF_000001405.40). Taxonomy (NCBI): domain Eukaryota; kingdom Metazoa; phylum Chordata; class Mammalia; order Primates; family Hominidae; genus Homo; species Homo sapiens. The sequence goes on along the minus strand of NC_000020.11, from coordinate 26,104,252 downwards.
AGGAAATGTTACGTATGCTGTAGTGTGGGCTTTATGAAAGTAGGCCCAGAGATAGTAGCAGCTGAAGTTCCCAGGTCACTTCTCTGACTTGTGTACCTCACTTTTGGTTTGGAAAGCCTGAAAACTTTTGATAGGAACACTTGGCCATGTTACAGTTGTTAAGTTGGGTGGACACACAAGTTTTACCTGGAATAATACTCTTTCCCAGCTAGTTGTTCAGACCATTTGAAGAGCCATTGCAAGGAAATGGCTGAGAAGTTGGTATCTTCCTTTGTCATGATTGCATTATTTACCTATAAATTCTCTATAATTTCAGTATTGTTACACTAGAGGCTGATCAACACTAACTCACCTGACTTTGTATAGCTTTTAGGCTCTTCAAAATAGTACAGGGTATATCTAAACTATAAAAGTGAGGTGAGAATTTGCATATATGTAAATATGAAAGTTACTACTAAAGGTTTCATTAGACACATAGTACACATGGCTCTGCTGTGGTTTAAAACTGACTTTTTCATTTAAGGCAATCTGGACTCTATTAGTGAGAAATGAATTGTTTTTCTTGGTTTTATTCTCTAAAGGATCCAGCATTTGGAGGCAAACATGAAGCTCCATCCTCTCCAATTCTGGGGCAACCGTGTGGAGATGATCAAAATGCTTCACCTTCAAAACTTTCAAAGGAAGAGTTAATAGAGTGTATGGATCGTGTAGATCGAGAAATTGCAAAAGTAGAACAGCAGATCCTTAAACTGAAAAAGAAACAAGTAAAAGTCTTCGTCTAATATATTCTAAGAATGTATGTTTTTCTCCCTACAGAAGATATTTTTGAGTTTTCCATATTTTGAAACTTTACATAAAAGGAATCATTCCTTATATATTCTGACTTGCTGTTTTTTGCTACCATTGTGGTTTTCTTACATTCATTCATTTTCCTTGCTGCACTGTCTGATTATATGATTGTAGAGAGTGAAATTTGTTTGTCCATTCTATTTTTGATTTTTTTTATAATCCATACAAACGATGGTGCTGGTTTTTGGTTCACATGTAGAGATTTTCCGTTGCATGTGCCCAGTAATGGCAGTGCTTGGCCCCAAGATTATGCACAGTGAACTATTTAATAGATGATACCAAATTTGCTAAGAAGTAACACCATTTTACATTCCCACTGGCAGCTTATGTGGGTACTGGTTTGTGCACATTCTTGCCTTTACTTGATATCATTTTTTTCAGTTGAATATGAAATAGTCTTCTGTGGTTTGAAAGGAGGCTGAGCTTATTTTCATTTATTTGTGGGTTATTTGGGTTCCTTATATGCATTGTTCAAGTCTTTTGTCTATAGTCTCCTATTTCATCATTGAAACTTTTAAGATTTCCTGAAGTCCCTTGTCAGATATGTGTATAGAAGATTTGCCTAGTTTGAGGCCTGTCACTTCACTTTTAGCCCAGTATCCACTCTTAAGTGTACACTAAGTGCATTTTTTTTTCTGGAATTGGAGTCTCACTGTGTCACCCAGGCTGGAGTGCAGTGGTGTGACCTTGGCTCACTGCAACCTCTGCCTCCCAGGTTCAAGCGATTCTCCTGCAACAGCCTCCCGAGTAGCTGGGACTGCAGGCGCTTTAAGTGCTTTTAATGTATTCATACAGTTGTACAGCTATCACCACTCTCTAACTCTAGAACATGTTTATCATTTCAAAAAGAAACTCCATACTTACTAGCAGTTACTCCCCATTTCCCCCTTTCCCCAGCCCCTGGCAACCACTAGTCTATTCTCTGTCTCTATGGACTAGCATATGCCAAATATCAGAAAAAGCAGAATCATATGTGACCTTTTGTGTTTGGCTTCATTTATTTAGCATGTTGTCCTGATTCATCCATGTTGTATCTTGTGTCAGCACTTCATTGCTTTATATGCCTGAATCCCATTGCATGAGTATACTATGTTTTGTTTATCCATTCATTAGTTGATGGATATTTGAGTTGTGTTCATTTTTTTACTATGATTAATAATGTACTGTGATGAGATTCATGTAATCATTTTTGTCTGGACGTATTTTTACAATTTTCTTTATATATCTAGGAGTGGACCTATGGTAAATCTATGTTTAAATTTTTGAAAAACTTCAAAACTGTTTTCCAAAGTCTCTGTACCATTTTATATTATTACCAGCAGTTTATGGAGGTTCCATTTTTTCCTACCTCCTTGCCAACATCTGTTATTTTTGTTTTTTAAAAAAATATAGCCATCCTTGTAGATGTGAAGTTGTATCTAGTTGTAGTTTTCACTTGCATATCCTTAATGACTAATGATGTTGAGCATCCTTTCGTGTGCTGATTGGCCATTTGTATATCTTTTTAGAGAAATGTTCATTTAGACTGTTTGCTCATTTAATTGGGTTGTCTTTTTGTTATTCTAAGAATTCTTTATATATTCTGGACATTAGTTCCTCATCAGATGTATGACTTAATAGATATTTTCTCTCATTCTGTGGGTTCTTTTCACTTTCCTGATGGTATCCTTTGATGTACAAAAGTTTTGAATTTTGTTAAAGTCCAGTTTGTTTTTTCCTTTTGTCACTCTTGCATTTGGTGTTGTATCTAAGACCCATTGACTAATTCACGGTCACAGATTTATACCTATGTTTTCTTCTACAAATTTTATAGTTTTACCCCTTATATTTGGGTCTTTGATCCTGATAGTGTTTTTTTGGTGAACAGAATTTGTTTAGGTTTTATATGAAAACCCACTGGGACTATTAAGGTAGTCTTACTATATTATCTTTAGAAGTTTTATGGTTTTGCTTCTCATCTTATTCTTAATCCACTGGAAACTACATGTTGTATAGTCAATGTTCATTTATATTTACTCACATATTTGTCTTCTTACGTACTCACCATTTCTTCTCGCAATTCAAGTCTTCCATCTAGGGGAACACCCTTCTAATGAAGAACATCTCTTAGAATTTCCTTTAGTGAAGGTCTTTTAGTTAGCAAATTCAGTATTTGTTTAGTTTTTATGACTTAAATATTGTCTTATATTTGGCCTGTTTAGTAAAAGATATATTAATTTCGTATGTGATTATTTTTTCTTAGTACATTGTCTCCTTGCTTCCATTTTTAAGACATTAGCTCTTGGTCTAAATCCATATTCTTTCATGGATAATGTGAATTTTCTCTCTGTTTGTTTTCAATATATTCTTTTCTTCAGGGTTCCGTTATTTTTATGATGATACATTTAGGTGATTTTTTTTTCCCTTTTAAATTGAGCTTCCTGAATATGAAGGGTGGAGTTTTTCATCACTTTGGGAAAATTCCAAGCTATTATCTTTTTTACAAAACCTTTCTAACAGTTTATTGTTCTACTTATGAAATCCTGTTAGTTGTAACATCTTATCATTCTTGTCTTCCATGTCTCTTGTTTCTTTCTTACTTTTTACTTCTTTGGGCTTCATTCTGAGCAATTTCTTCAGCCTGTCTTCCAGTTTACATTTTCCTTTTCAATTATATGTAAGCTGCTGTCAAATCTGTCTTCAATTTCAACAATTATGTTTTTATTTCTGGAACTTCTGTTTGGCTCCTTCTCAAATCTGCCTGGTCATTTTTTAAAATGTTTTTTTTCATTTCATTGAGTTGTATTAAATTTTTATTATATGCCCAACAATTCTGATTAAGTCTTTATTGGTTTGATTTTGCTGAGTCTCTTTTCTTTTTTTTTTTTTGTCTTTATTTTCTTTACTTGTACAATGGTAATAATCTAGTAATAACACCAACTAAATCACATGATTGTTTTATGAATTGAGATAATGAATATATTCATTATCTCATAATATGTGGTACATAGTAAATGTACATGTGATCCATTATAATAATTAGAAATAATGAAATATAATGTATGATTATTATGAAATGTACCAGAGCCACAAATTTTATTGAGTGATATAAAAGACAACTAGAGAAAAAAAAGAAATATGCCATAGCTAGATGGAAACAGTAATAATAATGTTGTGTCTTCATCTTTGACTAAATCATGTCTCATAAAATTTCAATAAAATTCCAATTAAATTTATTTTTAAAACATGGCAAATACATTGTAAAGTTAATGTAAAAGAACAAACAGGGCCAGGCCCAGTGGCTCAACCTATAATCCCAGCACTTTGGGAGGCTGAGGTGGGCATATCACGAGGTCAGGAGATCGAGACCATCCTGGCTAACACGGTGAAACCCCATCTCTACTATAATACAAAAAATTTGCCGGGCGTGGTTGTAGGTGCCTGTAGTCCCAGCTACTCAGGAGTCTGAGGCAGGAGAATGAAGTGAACCCAGGAGGAGGAGCTTGTGGTGAGTGGAGATCATGCCACTGCACTCCAGCTTGGGTGACAGAGCGAGATTCCATCTCAAAAATAAAATAAATTATAAAAAGAAAAAGAATTTGTGTCGTTTCCTCATTAATGTTGGTTGAAAGCATGTTTGCACTTGTCTTTGACTTATATTTTATTAACATCGATTGGCATATTAAAAGTCCCTCTGAGCTTACCTTCTCTAAAAAAATGTAAGAAAAAGAGCCTGTGGGAAGGACTGTGAGGCAGAGGGGCTGGTGTGAGCACATGCTGGGCAGGAGGAAAGAGGTAATGACCAGGACCAGGGAAATCCCCAAACCCAGCAAGTCAGGGAGCCAAATGAAAGCCTTTCATCCTGTATCGGCCACCTAACCCCATCGATACTACAAGTGAACATTTTCTTTTAGAGATACTCATCGTCCTGTTTTTTCTGTAATCTTGGAATCTGATTTCTCCCATTAGCCTTTCACAGGACTAAAATTTCACATTAGAATGCTATTCTTTAGAAGGCATCTTCTTAGATTAGGCTGCAAGGAGATTGAGGAAGTTACTGTCAGTCACTTATACCCCACAGGGACATTAATTCACCAGAGCTTTGGTGGGGGAGTAGACGAGCTCATTACAAGCAGGCCTGGATGCTGCACAGAGTGTAAAGGGGGCAGAAGGATCCAGGACACCTAGGCCTGGAGATAGCGCTAATGCTGGGAGGTACCGTTATTATCCCCATTTTACAGAGGAGGAAACAGACACAGGCAGGTAATGTGATCAAGACCATGCTGCCGCGCAGTACAGGAGCCAGGATCTAAACCCAGGCAGCCTGCCTTGCCATCAGAGCTCTCACCCATAACCTCGTGCTGCCGTTAAGCAGGATTGCCCTGTGGCCAGGGGCACAGCTTCTAGGTTCATGTTCCAGCTTCTCTACCATTTCCAGCTGTGTGACCTCGGGCAAGTTACTTGTCTGTGCTCAGTGCCCTCTGCATAGTGGGTATAGCAATACCTGCCTCATGGAGTCCCTTAAGTGAGTTAATAGCTGTAACATGCTTAGAATGGTGCCATGCACATCGTCACCATCCAGTACGTATGGGCTATCATGCCTGAATCCCAGATGGACACATATCCTTGAAGGGTCTAAAATCTAGGATCCTGAAATGCCTGGCACTGGGATCCTGAAATCCTCTGGCAGCATTCTAACATATTTTGGCTGCAGAATTGTACCCTGCTTCCCGGGCCTAGAAGGTGTGGGATCAGCTGCTTACTCAGTTCAGCCCCAAAGTAGGCAAAGAAGGTTTTGTCACAGGCCTGCCTGGGGCCCAGCCCCTGTAACCTCCCCTTGTCCCTCCCTTGCCTGCTCCCTCACCCAGATTCACACATGCACTCCAGGCCTTCTGGGCCCCAAGGGAAGGAGAGAGGGTGGGGATTGGGTTCACTGGTCCACCAAAGCATGCTGCCTCCAGCCCTGCTGAACTGGTGGGTCCAGGGAATAGGCCTGGAGCTGAAGGGGTCTTGCCCTCCCTTTACCTTTAAGCCTTTATTTGCAGTGATCCAAGAGCTTCATCTCTTCCTGTGAGCCTGTCTGGATGTTTATGCTGGATGGCATGGGCCCCTTCTGGCAGGGGTGCACAGGGGTGCACAGGTGCACATGCTGGCAGCCATGGCAGGTGAGGAGACCTTGGCAGATGAGAAGACCTTCCGCTTCAGCTTCAATGTATGGGTCTTCTGGCTCTCAGTACATTCCTCCTGAGCCATGATGGGCCCCAGTCCAATGAAACCTTCTGTGGCAGCATCATGGTGTCCAGGGGTATAATCTGGAGCATGTGCCAGTGCTACCCCAAGGTATGTGGCTGTGGGGCTGAGTGGAGCCAGAAGGGCTGGATCTTGTACCTCTCTTCCATGTTTCAGCCCCATCCTTCAATCATCTTCTTGTTCTTTTCATTTTGACTCACTGTTTTATTCTTTCTTCTCTTCTGAGCACCCATCCATTCATTTATCCATTCATCCATCTATTCATCCATTCATCTCAGCATCAATCTATCAATCCATGCATCCATCCATTTATTTGTCCAACCACCCATCCATCTATCTGTCCATCATTTAGCATAAAGATTGATCAGAAGCCTCCTGGTTCTGGAGCCATAGACCAGACACCATGGGGAGACATGATGAAAAACAACGTATGATTTGTGTGCTTGAAACAAAAGTTAATGAGTGCTTACCACCTGCCTGGCAGTCCTGCATTCAGGGTGCAGTTCTCCCCTCATCCTGAGCTTTTTGGTACCTTCTATAGTTTCATTTTGCAGTAGAGAAGGCTGAGCCTCGTAAAGTGGGGTCACACAGCTGTGTAGTGGAGTTTGGATTGGAGCTCAGATGTGTGTGACTTAGGCATCACCCTCTGCCTTGAGTCCTCCACTCCAGGGTCCCAGAGCTGCTGAGCATTCTGGGGTTGGTCAGCTCTAACCTGGGTGGCATACATTGAGCAACTCTCCATATTTTGGAGTCTAAATGTATTCCTAGCCTTAGTGATGGCAAGGACCCTGCTTTGGGAGACCTGGGTTCTAGTTCCAGTCCTGTCCCAAACTTCCTGTGTGGTCTTTGTCTTTCTGAGTCCAGTATTTGCATCTGCATAATAGGACACAAGCACCAATTTTCACAGCCTCATAGAGGTATTACAGAGGTCAGAGAAGAGAAGAGATATATGAATATTTGTAGACTGTAGAGTGTTTTGTTTAGGTGAAGGGCTGTCAGGTCCTGACAACCCTCTGGAATGAACATGTCAGAAGTTGTAAACCTTCAATGCCCAGAGAGGTGGAGTGCCTCTTCAAAGGTCACGTAGCTAGTCAGAGACAGACCTAGGGGAAAAAAGGGAGAGAAACATGGATTCTAACTTGGGCTCTGTCTCTAACTGCCTGAGAGACTGCTCAAGCCCCTTCCCTCTCTAGGCCTGTTTCCTTGTTTTTAGAATATGTGAGACAGGATGAGGGGATGGATGGGGAGGATATCTGGGGGCCCTGCTAGAACTCACCTCTAGGGCCCAGGCTTGGGAATCCCCAGAACCCCCATATTGTCCTTTACACCTGGGTGGCTGTGCTCAAGGGCTCAGGGAGGGGGGACTCTTGCAGCCCTGGACTCCCTAGCCCTTCCCCTTCTGTGGGCCCACCCTGAGCTGTCAGCGTGTTAGGTGCTGAAATGGTCTGAGCTGGTTTGTAGTCATTTCCGAGGCAGTTTATGGTACCCTCACCTCTGTCCATGCTATGTCCTGAGCAGAGGTCCGGGGAGGAGTCCTGGGGGCCAGAGCCACCCATGTCACCACTAGCCATGGTAGTCCTCTTCCCCGTGAGGAGGCTGCACCCTGGGAGATGGCATTGGGTGGAACGGAGCATCTGTCCTGACCTCCCCGTTAAGCAGAGGTGGCTCTGGGACTGTGGGCAGAGATACTGGAGTGGCAGTGAGAAACGAAGTGGAGGAGGAAATATTGCTGGGTACTAATGAGTCACAGTTGATAGACTCATGTCTTCATGTGCTTTGGAGGCACTGTGGTGGGGTGCAGATGGCATATGTTTTGGTGACCTACAGGCTTACATTCAAATAGCTGTTACCTCATGTTTCACATCTGTGACCTTGGCAGGGGGAGCTCCTCAACCCCGAACCTTGCACAGCTGAGTGGGAGAAACCAGAGGGGTCTTGTGTTGTCAAGGACCTGGCATCATGCCTGGCACAGAGCACTTGCAAAATCTTCATTCTCAAGATTGGCATTTGTAGCTCTGGGGGATACACACAGAGGTCTCTCTATGTATGGGCAAGGTACCTGTGGATAGATGTGGGTCTGTTTGTGTGTGGGGGAGTGCATGTTTCAGGGACACAGGCTATCAAAACCAGCACAAGGTGACTCCAATAAGGGAAGAGAAGAAAGCGCATGGTAAACCAGGAAGACACTCTAGAGATGAGGCTTCCTGCACTCCACATGGCCTCTTGGTGCCTGTGCCATTGTAGCCTTCAGTACTCATGCTTGTCCTACCCTCCGGGTCCTCCCCTGGATCTCAGTGCCTGGCCCGTGGAAAGCTTCAGTAAATGGGGAAACACAAATATAAGGGAATATAACTAGCTAATTAGGGTAATTAAGTGAGGAGTAGCCATTTCCAACATGCATTAAGCTGTCCCTGATTTTTAGGGGCTGGAGGTCTAGTGAGAGAGACAATTTGCGGCATAATGGGAAGGAAGTAGGATTCACAGAGAAGGTGAGCTTGGCTTTGTAGGTTAAGTAGAAATTCACCAGGCAGAGAAGATGTGGGAAGACCCTCTAGGCAGAAGAGTAACAGGATCAAAGCCTTGTGGTGAAAGAACAAGGCAAGTGGGTCAGCAATGCTACTACAGGGGGAGGGGAAAAAGTCAAGGTGGAAATGGAGGGGTCTCAGCTCCTCAGTGCCTGGGGTGTTATGTTAAGGGATTTGGATCTTACCCTTTAGTCAAAGGGACAAGGGAGGGACATGACCAGGTTTGCAGTGAGAAGATTATCAGGCTGATATCTGGAAAGAGGAAGGTCTGGAGCAGCGAGACCAATGGGAGGCTTCTTTGCTCAGGTGAGAGACAGTGGTCATCTGGATTAGGCAGAATTTGAAGCCAAGGCTGTAGGAACTGAGAAGACAGTTCCAGTTTACCATATGAGAAGTACCTGCTGTTGCTGGCAGAGCACCAGCACTTCTACCCAGATTATCTCATTAAAATTCGAAAGTAGACCTGGTCAGATTGCTCAATGTTCTGCCGAAACACAAATCTGACTGCATACTCTCCTGCTGATAAATCTCCAAGGATGCCTCTGATTCTAGGCAAAGCCTGAGCTTCTTAGTTTTCTGTTCTGGGGGTCTCCATTGTTTGATATCCCCTCCCCAGCTTCAACTCTGCCTGTTCCTTCCCATCAAAGTACCTGTATTTTAATATGCTACCTCCTCTTCTTTTCCTCCAAGATTTTCATAATTGTGGTTGTGATGATGATAATGATGGTGATGGTGAAGGTGGTGATAATGATAGTAATAGTTATGTTGAGGATGATGGTGAGGATAGTGATAGTGATAATGTTGGTGTTGATGAGGAGGGTGATGGTGAAGGTGGTGATAATGATAGTGATAGTTATGCTGAGGATGATGATGGTGAGAATGGTGAAGGTGAGCATGGTGATGGTGATGATAAGGATGGTGATGCTAAGGTGATAATGATGGTGATGATGAGGAAGGTGATGGTGAAGGTGGTGATAATGATAGTGATAGTTATGCTGAGGATGATGATGAGAATGGTGAGAAAGGTGAAGGTGAGCGTGGTGATAGTGATGGTAAGGATGGTGATGATGAGGTGGTAATGATGGTGATGGTCAGGATGGTGATGGTGATAATGAAGATGATGGTGATGGTGAGGATGGTGATAGTGAAGGTGGTGATAGATACTGATAGTTAAGGTGAGGATGCTGCTGCTGATGCTGGTGAGAATGGTGAGGGTGAGACTGATGATGATAATGAGTATGGTGATGGTGAATATGGGGATGGTGATGGTGCACCCCTTGATTTGGCAATTCGACATCTAAGAATTGTTCATTTCTTCTAGGATTTTTGTTTTTTGAGTCAAGACTTCTCTATGTTGCCCAGGCTGGCCACGAACTACTGGCCAGAGTGATCCTTCCACCTTGGCCTCCTGAGTAGCTGTGATTACAGGCATGAACCGTGGTGCCTGGCTTTACCCTAGAAATTTATCCTGAGGAAATAATCAGAGAAGTGTGCCAAGTGGTACTTAGCGAAGGGTATTTATTGTTGCATCGATGATAGTAGGTAAGATGTGGGAAGAATGTAAATGTCCAGCAATAAGAGATTGGACTACATACAGCAATAATTGTGCTACAGCTAGGCAAGGGGCTGGCTTATGGCCATTCAGATCACAGACCCTCCTGATTGAGTCAAATCTCCTGTCAATGCTCTCACACACCACACACCTCCCTCCTTTTCAGCACAAATTACAATCGTAATTTTACATTTCTTTGTGAACCTCTTTGATGAATTTCTGTATCCCTCATTAGATGCTAAGCTCCATGGAGACAAGGAGTATACTATGTTCATTATTGTGTCCTCCATGCCAAGTTAAGTTCCTGGAACAGAGTACACTCTCAATAATTTGTTGTTAAATGAATGACTGAATCTATATTTCTTAGTATGGAAAGATGTTTGAAATATGCAATTAAGAGAAAGAGCAGATTATAAAACAGCATGCATGCTGTAGTACAGACTGCAAATTCCCTCCTTTCTTGATCTTCTTTGGGGGACCACATGTGCACTCTCAGTCAATAAATTATGATTGATCCAAAGTCAATCATGACAATGCTATTCTCTACTGCTAGGGATGGTCATGAGATCAGGTTCTGGCCAATCTAAACTGATTTCCAGACCTAAAGAGAAATCCTCTGGGGGTCACCTCTGAAGTTCTTGCTTTTCTAATAAGAATACAGAAGTGACTGCTTTTGCTGGCCTTGTAAACTCATGTAGTGGTTGGAGCTGCAGTAGCCGTCTTACAGCCGTGAGCTAAATTCCAATAGACTCACAAAGATGCTGGGCCTAACATTGTTGAACCAGTGAACCATAGCCAGGAACCATAGGTACTCTAACTATGTAAGAAAAATGAACCTGTCTTTGTTTAAGTGACTGAATTTTCAGATTAATGCACTCCCAACAGATACAGAGCATGATCCCATATGTACCTGTATGTGCAAATATGAATAGAAAAATAATTAAAGTGATTATCTCTGTGTGGTAAGATTCTCCTTCATATTTTTTTATTTTATAAAGTTTTCCCAAAGGGCATGTAAATAATAATCAGACAAATATTTCTGAACATTCAGAAAATAAACAATGGTACTAATTTTATTTTTAAAAAATAAACAAAATATTGGGGCCCCAGAATGTAGTTCACTACCATATGGTAAGTTAATTAGCCATGACCAAGATGAACACTTGTGGGTGTCCTGGAGGACAGGTTCTGCAGCAGTGAGAGGTCCCCTCCAGAACAGTATGTGGTTCCAAACTCCTGAGGGAGGCGGGGCAAACCCCAAGGAAGTAGATGAGAACCTGAGTGAGGCTCTGTGGGGAGAGAGGATGTTCCTCAGTCCTCACAGGGACATGTCAGTTTCACTTGAGATTAGGCCCCAGCCTTGGCTGGGAAGCCTGCCAGGCAGGTTCTCAGCAGCATGGGGTGATAACAGGAGGAGGGGAAGCCTGGCAAGCTGGGGCAGCTCTGGGGTCTTCAGGTGGAGCTGTCTCAGGCAGCAACTGTGTTGGATGTAAACACAGATTTCCAGGAAGCAGAGCGTTGCAATCTCTCCCACCACAAACCTGGACCATCAGGGATGTTTCCATAGCAGCAGGTATGCCAGTGAGGAATCTGGACATGATCTGTGATCCCCTCTTCCACTTTTCCTTTTCTCTTAGAATGGGACAGAGCAGCCTGGAGCAGCTAGTGTCCTGTAGTGACTCCAGTTTGCTGCTGTCTTCCTTATCTTCTTCCTCCTGCCCTCTGCCTCCTCTGCATCCTTCACCTTCTACATCAGGAAGCTCAAGTCACTGGGCCGAGCCTGGGCTTCTCATCTAAATCACGGAGTGCCAGTCAATGCCTCCCTTCCTCTTCCCAGGGAGCAACTTCAATCTTCCCTGCCTGCAGTGGGGAGTTAGACCCTGCTCCTTATTCCCTGTGCGACCATCCGCAGCCTGTTTCCTCACCCCTGTAATGGGACTGCCGTCCTCCCTGCCCACCTGGCAGTGCTAATTCCAGGCCGGGGGCCCTCCTGGGAAAATCACCAGTGTGGGTGACACGATGGGTGTTTGTGTGTGTGGAGGGGTGGGGCTGCCACCTGGCCATTTACAGACCCCTCACTTCCTCTCTCCCTGTGCTTGTCACATGTCAGGAATCCCTCTCCTTTGTGCCATGAAACATAAGGCATTTTCCGATCCATCATCTCATGGAGCCTAGCATCTCCTTGGTGAAGTTGGAGTTATTGTCATCATTTTACTGATGAGTAAAATGAGGCTCAGAAAGGGGAAAGTCGTTGCCCGGGTTCTGCTGTGGACTTACAGTGGAGCTGGGATTAGGATGTGTGTTCTGGATTCCTGGCGGGGTCCTGGCCCATCTGCAGCTAAGGCCTGTCTTTCTGCTCCCATGAGGTCCCTTTTCCATTCCTTTCCTCCCCATGACAGCCACTGTCACCACCACCCAGGGTCTGTGCTCACTGTCACACCACCCCTCGCTGACCCCTGTGTCTAGGCTGAAACCCACCATGTCCGTCAGATGGATTTTCCTCAATGGTGGTTGGGCTCCAAATCCACTCTCCCTAGACTGACACAAATTGCACTACAGGGGGCCGCAACTGTAGGCGTTTCTGTTCTAGAGAGAGAGAGAGATGGTCACATAGAAATGTCAACATCACTTGGTGAAGAGGAGAGTGGAAACACAGGAGAAAGTTCTGGGAGTGACGTCAGGAGGAGGTAGCCCTTGAGTTGGGTCTTGAGGGATGTGTAAGAGCTACCAGGCAAGGAACACTGGGAAGGGCATTCCAAGAGGAAAGAGCAGCATTCTCCAAGGCTGAGACTGGTCTGGTGGCTACAAGATAGAGCTGGGTGACCGGGACCCCTTGAGACAGTGCTCCCTTTTCAGGAGGAAACCTGCAGCTCTAATACTTTGGGCTGTCTCAGAGTTCCCCAGAGATCTTGGGAAATTCCTGGGTCCAGTTCCCAGGGATTCTGGTCCGGGCAGAGGAATCCGCACTTCTCACAGGCAGGGGCTATGACCTCACCCCACAGTTCTGATGCAGTTGGTCCCTGGATCACTCTTGGAGAAATACAAGCAGGACTGAGAGGCTTTGACCCAAGCACTGTGCAGGGGGTGGGATGGGGATAGATGTGGAATGGGCCAGAGGAATAGTGGTTGGAGCTATACCTTCCTGGACCACCCTGTCTAAAATGTGGCTCTCCCATCCCCCTTTCCCACTGATACATTCTATCCTCCTTCACTTTTCCTTTATTTTATTTTTTGTAGATACAGGGTCTCACTATGTTACCCAGACTGGTCTCAAATTCCTGACCTCAACCATCCTCACATCTCGGCCTCCCAAAGCACTAGGATTACAGGCATGAACCACCATGCTCTCATCACCAACTCACATGCTGAATATTTGACTAGTTTATTTATTATCTGTTTCACCCTACTAGCATGAGGGCTACATGAGGAAAGGGACTTTGTCTATGTCATTCACTGCTGTAGCCAAGTGTCTACAATGTGTAAGGACATGGAAGCTGTTTCTGTTTTGACTTGTAATTTTAATTTTGGGAAGCAGAAGATATCTGAGTGGACTCAGTGGCTGACAGGAAAAGGGAGAACAGTCTTGGTGTGCACTAGAGTGACAGGGAGACCTAGACAGAGAGATGTCAGAGGACATTTCCTGGAAGAGGCTGACGGAAAGGTGGGGCAACTGGGGAGGGTCTCTCTGGACATCAATGCCTTTGAAGCTGGCAGGGAGGGAGGAAGTGCATGGGTGGAGAAGAATGCCTGAAGAAGACCTCCTTGGCTTCCATATTCTTCATGAAGTGACAGGTGAGGGGCTTCCTGGAAAGAGAGGGCAGGAGGGGAGCAAATGTAGGCTGGTGATGGTGGGCCTGCAGCAGTGCCCCAGGGTGAAGGGGTGAGTGCATTACTGAGGCTGGACCCTGGTCATGACCCTTGCCTTGGCCTCAAGACTCATTAAAAACCAGCCTCCTCCAGTGAGCTTAGATCATGCCACTGCACTCCAGCCTGGAGACAGAGTGAGACTCCGTCTCAAAAACAAAAACGAAAAAACAGCCTCCAGTCCCAATGTGCCCAGCTGGACCATGCGCTGCTTCCTGGATGTGCCACCATCACAACTGGAACACAAATCCTGAGTCACTGCCTCTAGAAAGCCTGCCTGGATTCAGTGCCCTTCTGACTGGGCTCCTGCAGCACCTGGTCTGACACTACTATGTGACTTGCCTCTGCCTGCCTCTTATCACAGGTGCCTGTGTTTTTACCTGCCTCAGTGAGGGCTGTTGAGGACCCGACCAGGCTGATCCATCTTAGGGGCTACAGCAGGTGCCAGCAATGGCTGGGCTGTGTCAGGGCTGGGCAATAGGCAGACCAGGTTCTCACGCTGGGCACGGGTGCCCTTTGTGGGCTCAACTGGGTGTGAGCACTACTTCTGAGTGGCCAGAAGATTCCTGGGAGAGACCTGGTTATCTTGGGCTGACCCTCGCTCCCCAGTTCCTTCCTCCCTCCCTCCCTTGCTGAAACCCTTTTGCATGTCCTCAAAATCCTGCTCCAGCACCAGCAGCCCTCTGGGTTTCAGCAGCCTCAGGGAACTCTTCCTTTTCTTCCTTGCTGTAAGAGGCCCGATCCCCTGAGGACACTGCTGCCTTGCTGTCCTCTGCTGCAGCCCTTCCCTGGGCCTGAGCAGGATAGGTCCTCCTTGCTTCCCATTGCCTCCCTCTTTCAGCTCATCATCCTGCTCTCCCATAAAAATCCATTCATGCACCACGAAATGATGTTTCCATCAACCCAGACCGCATGTGCAGTGGTGGACCCATGAAACTATAATGGGGCCGAAAGACACCTACTGCCTAGCCCAGTGACATAACAATTGTAACGTTATGGCACAGTTACTTTAAAAATATATTGATTAAAAAAGATTTATAATTCTATAGAAAAAGAAATATATATCTCGTAGTGTAGCCTAAGTGTCCAGTGTTTATAAAATCTACAGTAGTGCGCAGTCACGCCCTAGGACTTCAACTTCACTCACCACTCACTGACGCACCCAGAGAAGCTTCCAGCCCTGCACGTTCCATTCATGATAAGTGTCCTAGACCAGTGCACCATGTCTAGGTACCATACTATATTTTTATATAGTGCAATACTACGATTTTACTGTACTTTTCATGATACGTTTAGATGCACAAGTACTGACCATTGTGCTACAACTGCCAACAGTATTCACTGCAGTAACCTGTGCCCAGGTGTGCGGCCTGAGAGCAGTAGGCTGTGCCACAGAGCCTAGGTGTACAGTAGGTACAATATTGAGGTGTGTGTAAGCACACTCTGTGATGTTCACACAAAGAAAAATTACCCAAGGACACGGTGACACACGAAGGGAATCAATATTGAAGCTCTTGCCCTCAGATTGCACCCAGGGCCGCATCCCTATGCATTGAGGACTTGGCTCCCGGTTCATGGGCACTTTCTCCTGCTGAGGTGATGTCAACATGCACATAGAGAGTCCTCCTCATGCTCTGGCTCTTGGTCCCTCCACCCCTAGAGACCTTGTCTCCACCCTCCCTGTGTCACCCACTCCTACCTGTAAATTCTTGTCCTTATCACTGCAGAAACTGTAGCTACTCCAGACCCTCAATTTCAAACACCCTTTTTTTGACCACCATTTTCCTTTTTCCAGCTGCCTCCCAACTCCGACACACTTCAATGACTCCAAATTTTCACTTTTGTGTCTCACTCACTTTCTTGCAAATTTCCCCTCCTCCCAGCTGAGACTATATGGCCCAGCCTGTCATCCACCCTCTCTAACACTCTCCACTCTCTTGCCCCACAAATAATTGTACTCCCAGGGGAAAACTGCACTCTGCTGAAAACCAGGCACCCACTCCCTCTGCTCCTGCACTCAGGTGGCTGTGCACAGCCAGAGAGAAACACACATGCCTTTTGCTCTCATTTAATCATCAAGCCCAAACCTCCAGTGGGCACTGGATGATGTTCTACAGACTCACTCATTTCCTGAGTCCATAAGTCTGCCAGACTTCTTTGTTATCTTAATAAAAAAATATATAATCTAAGCATGTTATGAATACCAACTGATTTAATTATCATCAAACTCTATGAATCTGTTCTATAATAATCACTATTTCACAGCTGAGGAGATGCTGGCACAGGAAGAGATGAAGTGACTTGCCCTGGAGCCCAGGCACCCAGCTCTAGAAGTGCTGCCCTGTCCCCAAGCAACAGTATCTTGCCTCCTCCTTCCTCCTTAAACCTCTAAAACCTTCCTCAGCCTTCCTTACACCTGTTGCCTTGCTTCCTATTTCAATTTGAAAATAGATGCAATAAAGAGAGAACCTTCCCTGGATCCCACCCCCACATCTCCCCAGCTGCTTGCCTCTGTGCTTCCTTCTCCACCTTCGCTTGTTATTGTAGCTGGAGTGTCTCCACTCATGTTAGGGGCGAATTTCCTCCATCATATCCACATCATATCCACATTATATCCACAGCTCAACCCTCAGGTTCTTTCCTGAGTGTCCGCTTTGCACACTGCCTGGTTCCACAATGCGGTCTCCCACCCATCTCACACCCTGCATGCTTACTTATTCATCATCTGTTCTGCTCTACTACAGTGAGGGGCAGGGATTCTGGGTATCTTATTCACTGCAGATTCCAGCATCTAGAGCAGTACCTGGCACCTAGAAGGTGTTGGTATTTAATGAAGTCAGTCATTTTATATGTCAGGCTCTGGCCTGGTGCTGGGGACACTAGGGTGATTCAGACAGGTCCAAGTTTACAGTCCCATAGGGGAGACAAACACATTACCTGACAAATTTGCAGGCAGCCATTTATATTTTCCATCTTACAAAGCAGCCGTTATTGTACTTGAGAGGAAATGCACTCAAGCCGTGAACTGTAGCCGTGAGCTCCCCTACCTCAGGACAGAAAGCCCCAGGCTCCAGCCCTTACATTCCTGGGCCTCCAGGGCTCCCTGGACTTTAGGAAACATCTAGTAAGGGAGACCAAGTCCACTTTGACTCAGAGCTGTGGGATGTCAACAAGGTGCTTCCCCTCTCTGGTCCTCAATGTCTTCGTCTATTACAAGAGATGATGGTGCCAGCTCAGCGAGCTCCACAGGGCTGGGGCAAATGGGACAGGGAGGGTGACAATGCTTTGTGGACAGAGAGGAGGAATTCTGAGTGGCTACTGGAAAGGCACCATGTTTATTTGACAATTTCAAACATGACAGAACTGCAGAACACAGACATCAAGATTCCCCTGTAATTCCATTTGGAGTCTAAAGCTTAGATTTTGTTTTGTTTAAGCAGTGGCAAACATTATGTATAGATATAGATGTGGGATCATAAAATGTGTTTAAAAGTTATTGATGCAGGACAACTTTGCATATCAATACACAAGCATTTATTTGATTTGTTTTAATAGCTGTGAAATATCCCACTGTATGAAGAGACTAAAATCTGTCCTTGTGTTGTGGATATTTGGATTGATGAACCATTGGAACAAAACAGAGAGGGCAATCAAAGCATTTGACAGCCTGGCAGATCAAAGTGAGAGGTTTATTACAGAAGACAGTAATGCTAAAAGGGGAGGAGAGCTAAGTGAATCCACCTGCTGCAATCAGAGCCGAGAATCCCACCACCCTAAAAGCCAGGAGACAACGCGGCCAAAAGGGCAGAGGCCCCCAGGGCTCCCAGCCGTGCCAGATGCAAACTTGTCATCCCACCCTGTGTGTGGGCTTCCTATGCCCTGGACAGTCTTTCCTGAGGCAGAGCTGTTTTAAGAGCTTAGAGCACACATTCTACAGCAGAATTTCTTATGAATGAGGTCCCTGTTCTGTGCTCCTCACCTATCCTGGGCCCTTTTCCTAACTTGACTTTCGGTAGTGGGTGGATAGAGGCCCCAGGTAAACACCAGGCCCCAGGTGGACATCAGGGCTCAAGTGGACACACAGGCTCCAGGTGTATATCAGGCCCCAGGTATATACCATTTTCCTGGTACGTATTAGTAACCAAGGGGACACCGGACTCCAGGTGTACATCAGGCTCACAGGTGAACACCCAGGCCCCATATGGACACCAGCCTACAGGTGAGCATCAGGCTGCAGGAGGATACCCAGGCCTTAGGTAGATATCAGGCCCTACAAGGACACCAGGCCTCAGGTGGACATCAGGGCCCAGTTGGGGACTCAGGTTCTAGGAAGACACCCAGGCCTCAAGTAGCATCAGGGCCAAGGCGGATACTAGACTCCAGGTGGACATCAGGCCCTAGTTGGTCACTAGGCCCTAGGTGGACACCTGGGTCCCTGGTGACCATCAGGCCCCAGATTAACTCCAGGCCTTAGGTGAACATCTGATCCCAGTTGGATATCAGACCCCAGGAGAACATCAGTCCCCAGGTGGATATCAGCTTCCAAGTTGACATCAGGCCACAAGTGGACACTGGACTTGAGGTGTACATCAGGCCTCAGATGGACACCCAGGCCCCAGGTGTACATCAGGCTCAGGTGGAAATCAAGGCACAGGTAACACCAAGGCACAGGTGGTTACCTAGGCTTCAGGTAGACATCAGACCCCAGGTGGACACCTGGGTCTCCGGTGGTCATCAGGCCCTAGGTGGAAACTCAGGTCCCAGGTGCACATCACGTTCCAAGTGGACACCCAGGCCCCATGGTGATACCCAGGTTCCAGGTGGGCACTGGGCCCCAGATGAACACCAGGCTCCGGGTGGATACCAGAACTTGGGTGGACACCCAGCTCTGAGGTGGATATCGGGCTCCAGGTGGACATCAAGCCTCAGGTAGATATCTAGTCCCCAGGTGGACATAAGACCCCAGGTCGACACCAGAACCTGGGTGGATACCTAGGTTTCGGATGGATGCATCTCCAGCTGAACATCAGGCTCCAGGTGGACACCCAGGCCCTAGGTGAACACTAGGTCTTAGGTGGACATTAGGCCCCAAGTGGACAACCAGGTCCCAGGTGGACACCCAGCCTTAACATGGACATCGGGCCCTAGGTAGACAGCAGGTTCAAGGTGCATATGAGGCTCCCGATAAACACTGGTCCCCAGGGAGACCCTTGTCCCCAGGTGAACACCAGCACCCAGGAAGACATCCACCTCCACCTGCACATCATTCTCCAGGTTTATACCTAGGCCCTGTGGGAGCACCAGGCCCCAAGTGAGTACATAGATCCCTGGTGGCCATTAGGCACCAGGTTGACACCCAGGGCTTAAGTGGACATGAGGCCCCAGATGAATGCTAGTCCCCAGGTGGATAAATAGGCCCCAGGCATACATCAGATCTGAGGTCTATACTCAGTCTTCAGGTGGACACTAGGCCCCAGGCAGACACCAGACCCCAGGTGGATACCAGGCCCTATGTAGACACCAGTCTGCAGGTGGACAGCAGGCCCCAAGGGGACATTATGCCCTGGGTTGACACCTAGGCTTCAGGGCAACACTAGGCCACAAGTGGTTACCTATGCCCCAGGTGGACATCAAGCTTTAGTGGAATTCCTAGTCAGCAACTGAACTTCAGGCCACAGGGGGATGCCCAGGCTCTAGCTGAATACCAGGCCTCACATGGACATTAGGTCCCAGGTGAACAGCAAGCCCCAAGTGAATACCTAGGTTCCTGGTGAACATCAGGAAGCAGGTGGCACTCAGGCCCTACACTAAGGCCAAAAGAGAAATCAGAACATATGTGGACACTCAGGGCCCAGGTGGCTATCAGGCCCCAGGTTTATATCACTTTCCTGGTAGACATCAGTACCCACGTAGACACTGGACTTCAGGTATACATCAGGTTCCTAGGTGGACACCCAGGCCCCAGGTGGACACCAGCCTACAAGTGGACATCAGACCACAGGAGGACACCCGGGCCCCAGATAGATATCAGACTCCAGAGGAACACCCACGTCTCAGGTGGACATCAGGTCCCAGGTTAATTCCAGGCCCCAGGTGGAATTCAGGCCCCACCTGGACACAAGTCCCTAGGTAGATACATAGGCTCTGTAGGCCCTGGGGAACATCAGGCCTTAGGTGAAGTTTTAGGCTGCAGGTGGACATCTTGCTCCAGCTGGACATCTGGTCCCAAGTGGACATCGGTCTCCAGGTGGACACAAAGTCCCAAGTTGGACACCAGGCACCAGGAGGACTTTAGTCCTCTCTGGTGAACACCAGCTTCCAGGTTGACATCAGGCTACAAGTTGACACCTAGGGCCCAGATGGACATGTGGCCCCATATGAACACTAGTCCCCAGTCAGCTAGGGCCTGGGTCCCCCTGGAGCCTGATGCTTAGCTAGAGACTGGATATCCACCTGAGGCCAAGGTATCTACCCAGGGACTGGTGTCAAAGTGGGGCCTGATATCCACCTGGGGACTAGGTATCCACCTGGGGCTTGATGTCCACCTCGAGCCAGATGACCTTCTGCAGTCTGATGTCCACCACAGGCCTGGGTGTCCATCTGGGGCCTGGTGTTGATTTGGATTCCAATGTCTACCTGGAACCTGGGGCTATGTTGTCCATTTGGAGCCTGGGGATTTCACCTGGGGCCTGGTAGACATCTGGCCCCAGTAAACATCAGCCTGGAGCCTGGTTGTCCACTTAGAGCCTGGAGTTTTCACCTAGGGCCTGAAGATCACCTGGGACCCAGTTGTTCACCTGGGACATCAGGCTCCAGGTGTACACCCAGGCTCCAGGGTACAACAGGCCCCAAAAGAACTCCAGACCATATTAAACATCAAGTCTCAGGTGGATGCCCAGGCCCCATGTGTACACCAGGCCCCAAGTAGACAGTGGACGCCAGCTGAACACTAGCCCCAAGGTTGACACCCATACTACTGGTGGGTATCAGGCCCCAGATGAATACCTATCCTTCAGGTGTGCATCGGTCCCCAGGGGAACATAAGGCCACAGATAGACATCAGGTCTCAGGTGCACATCTGGCTCCAGGTAAACATCAGGCCTTAGGTGGATACCCAATCCCCAGGTGGACATCAGAGACCAGATTGACACAAAAAATTCCCAGTGGGTATCATGTCCCAGTGGATGTCCAGGCTCCAGGTAAACACCCCAGCCCCACTGTAACCGCAACCACCATAACGAGAAATGGTAGGTCTAAGTACCATCATGCTCCTTGCTCACAAAAGGATGCGTGGATATTTTATTCAAAACACAACTCCATTCCTCACTCTGAGCAGCGATCTGTAGAAAGGAAAAGAAAAATAAACCAGGCCTCAAGGATTCCATCCAAAATGAGGTAGACATTATAAGGGACAGAAATCCCCAAATTAAATGTTATAGTTGACATAGAATAGTCTTTAAAACCCATTGATTTTCTCACACATTTGATTCAAGGCATTATTTCCAGAGACTGAACCTAGAAAGAATTGCTTAAGACTAGGAGTCTTGTTCCAGCCTAGATCCCACACTGTTGAACATCTATACTTAGTACACCACATTATACATAGCACTGACATGACCTGTCTGCATTTAATTTTCTAATACTTGTTCATCTCTGGCATACTTTATATATATATACATATATATATATATATATATATATATCTCATATGTAACATACATACATACAAGTACACACACACAAAAAAAGTATATGAGGGTAGGATAGTATAATTGTGCAGTAACGTTTTTTGTGAAAGTGGTGGAAAGTGGATTGCGTTGGCGACATGCTTGAATGTGCTTCCATTGGCAGAGGTGAGGCTTTCAAAACTAGTCGTTTTCATTTTTCTCTAGCAACTGGGAATATTAATAATTGAAGATGTGTTGTTATAAAAATAATCATAATAATCACAATGAAGTGGTGTTAATAATTATATCACAAGATATAATAAACATTATAGATATTATAAGATGTCAAAAAGAAGATGCCATAAAATCTTTGAGATGATTGACACGTTAAATGCGGCCTCCTGTGCCGCCCTGGGGCGCCACTCTCACTGGGTTCTTGGCGGAGCTCACCCTACTCCACCTGCTCAGCCCAGGCTCCTGTGCCCCGGAGCCATGCCATGGGAGCGAGGACCTTGCCGCGGCCCTAGACAAGGACAATGAGGAGGGGGTGCACGTGGAGTCTCCGCGGATAGGCTGGACGCAGGGCAGGAGCCTTTGCAGGGGTGCACAGCCTCCTCTGGAAGCCCTGGTCACTGCCCGATGCCTGCTGCGCCCTGCGAGCTCCGCGGCGGTGGAGCCAGGCCTGCACTGCCTGCACTCGGCCCCGCCTGCGGACCCTCTGCCCTTTGTCTTGCCCATGGGGCCCGGGGCCTCAGCTGGCCCGGGGTTCCTGAAGTTAGCTGACAATGGGCTGGCCTCTGGGACTGGGTCATGGGCCTTGTGCACTGGCCGCCACTTCACCAGCGCCAGGCCTACCCGCGATGCTGGCTGGAGATGCGGGATGCCCGGGCTCGGGCTCTGCTGGGTCCCCTGGCGCTGCGAACCCCATCACCTTCCATCGTGGCCACCATGCTGCCCGCTGGTCAGCCCTGGTCTGCAGCCTTCCTGGGACCACTCCGGCCCCAAGGAGGCATCACTCACAGCCGCTTGCGACACCGGGGCCGCCTGAACCTCCGCCAGGGCTGCGCCGCGCAAGTGGCTCCAGCCAGCCAGCCCTGGCCCATGAGCAGGACTTTCCGCTCCCCCAGAAGATCGCCCTCGGCAGGGATACACGGCTATGGAGGATGTAGCGGATACCTTCCGAAGTTTGTGGACACTCTTCTGCCACACCAAAAGTTTCACCATCAGCTGCGATGCCGACTGAGGCGCAGAGACCCCTCCGGGATGTGGACCAGGCAGTGACTTTGCTGGGCACCCGCAGTGCTGACCACCCCAAGTGGAGATCCCCACTTCGTGTTCCTCCTCCTCCACGTTCCACATCCAAAGTTCTCTCACCATTTCTAAGCAGGAGAAATCAAAAGAAACTGAAATCAGAAAGAAAGAGAGAGAGAGAGAGAAAGCCATGAGCAAAAAAAAAGAGCAAAACCTTTTGGAAAGCGTAAAACGCCCCAAACCCAAAAACTAATTCTTACCTCTTTTAAACCTTCTGCACGTCTCCAACGATGAATGATTTATTTTATTTATTTTTTTTTTTTTTGAGACGGAATCTTGCTCTGTCGCCCAGGCCGGACTGCGGACTGCAGTGGCGCAATCTCGGCTCACTGCAAGCTCCGCTTCCCGGGTTCACGCCATTCTCCTGCCTCAGCCTCCCGAGTAGCTGGGACTACAGGCGCCCGCCACCGCGCCCGGCTAATTTTTTGTATTTTTAGTAGAGAGGGGGTTTCACCTTGTTAGCCAGGATGGTCTCGATCTCCTGACCTCATGATCCACCCGCCTCGGCCTCCCAAAGTGCTGGGATTACAGGCGTGAGCCACCGCGCCCGGCCGAATGATTTATTTTTTTTAACCACTGGCAATTCGTAATTATTAACTTCTCTGCCATTAATAGAAATTGAATCACATGTGGGAGTATAATTTGTATTATATGAAGCTTTTCATATTTTAAAAAATAATTGTCCAGTTTTTCTCCATGGATTAACAATTAATGGGAAATTTTCAACATTGCTGTGTTGATGTCTCCTGAGATAATTAGATGTGAATAATTTTTTTTTTTTGAGACGGAGTCTTGCTCTGTCGCCCAGGCTGGAGGGCAGTGGCGTGATCTCGGCTCACTGCAAGCTCCGCCTCCCGGGTTCACGCCATTCTCCTGCCTCAGCCTCCCGAGTAGCTGGGACTACAGGCGCCCGCCACCGCGCCCGGCTAATTTTTTGTATTTTTAGTAGAGACGGGGTTTCACCATGTTAGCCAGGATGGTCTCGATCTCCTGACCTCGTGATCCACCCGCCTCGGCCTCCCAAAGTGCTGGGATTACAGGCGTGAGCCACCGCGCCCGGCCGTGAATAATTTTTATAACCAGAATTTCCTGGGTGGAATTTCTCATCTTCAGGAGCTCCATAAATAACCGTGTCCCAAGAGAACTGTGAATTTGGCAACTGAGTCCCAACTCGTCCAGCCTGGAAGCTTTTGGGTGATCACTCTTGCAGGTGACTTCACTGCCTTCTGTTGAAGGGCCAGTGAGAGCCTGGGGGTTTCAACCTGCAAGGGCCTTACCATTTTAGGGTTAGCATTCACAATGAGGAAAAGGCATACTTTTTTGATATTCTCCGTATGTAATAAAAATAGTTACCAAAACAAAGCAAAGTGTGAGTGGTGACTATTGAGAGGACCCTTTCTATCTTTGCTGGATTCCCAGAGATTTCTGAGTTTCTTTTGGAGTCAATAGTATTTCCATGTTAATTCTGAGCTCTTAAAACCCACAATATGAGTTGCAGCCAGTGACTAGAGTTGCAGCCAGTGATTAGTGTTGCAGCTTGTTAAACTGATCACTGGTGGTAGAGCCTTTTCGTTCTGCTCACTTCTTAAAAGGTCAGCTTGGTCAGGGATTAGTGCTACCCTGCCAGAAATAAGCAGTTAGGAATCAAGTAAAGGAGTCAGCTAAAAGCGTAATTACTAAGTAGTGAGGTCACAGCTAGATGGTTGTTGATCTCATTTTCTCTCTGCTGCTGATTTCAAGGCTTTATACCGTGTTTTGATGTAACATAGAATGTATAGTATGAAGTACAAACAGTCTATTAGCTTCTTGGAGCTATACTCCGTTACTGGAGCAGGGGACAACAATTTGAAGGACATTACTACTTAGACAGTTTAATCTGCCTTTGGCTAGAATAAACTTCAAGTTCCAAGGGCTGGGTTCAGTTGTTATGCAAATTTAGATTGTTGCGGTAAAATTTCCAAAAAAAAGGATAGGACTCTTTAGATGAAATAAGAATTTAACTGTATTTGAACCCTGTTGAAGGCCAGACAAGTTTAGGCAAAATCCCACGACTGAATACTCTGATGAGTCCCTTTAAATTCTGACATATAATCTATGTTGGTAAATATGATACGTGCACTGGAAAAGGATGTGTATTCAGTAGTTGTTGAGTGTCACGTTCTGTATATGTCAGTTTATGTCAAGTTTGTTCATTGTGTTCATCCAATCTCCCTTTCTCTTATGGATTTTTTTCTCTTGGTTCCATCGGTAATTGAAAGGTATGTTAAAATCTATATTGTAGATTAGTCCATTTTTCTTTTAGTTATATCAGTTTCTGTATTAAATAACTTGAAGGGATATTTTATATTTATACATATTTAAAATTGGCATACTTTTCTAGTGACTGACATCGTAAAATCTTTTTTATCTTAGCAATATTTCTTGGCTTAAGTCTAAACTGGCAATAATAACATAGCAACATGAGCTTTGTGCTGATTAGTGTTTGCAGGCATGTTTTCCATTGTTTTACTTCCAAATGTCTGGATTCATGTATTCAGATAAATTAATTAAAACATAAAAGTAAATATAATATAAAACATTAAAAAGTAAATATTCTAAAAATCCAGCCAGAGATGTTTCACTTTTAATTGAAGTGTTTAGGACCACGGCTCTCACACTGTGTGCTAAGGTGCCCTGAGATGCTGTGTTTAACTGACAGGGGCACCAGTGGATAGCGTGTGAGTCTGTGTATGTGTGTGTGTGTATTCGAGATGGGGGTCTCACTCTGTCCCCCAGGCTGGAGTGGAGTGGTGAGGTCTACGCTCACTGCAGCCTCTGCCTCCCTGAGTAGCTGGGACAACAGGCATGCACCACTATGCCTGGCTAAGTTTTCTAATTGTAGTAGAGATGGGGTTTTGCCATGTTGCCCAGGCTGTATATTTTTGAGAGAAACGAAGCAACATTTGCTGGAGACCTTAAGAACTACTAGCCTGAGGCAGTTCAGAGTTTCAAAAGTAGTTAGTTAGAAGTGCATTTCTTTACCTTTAAGGTGGGTGGTGTTAATTACCGCGATAAAAGCAAGTATTGTGCTAAAGTCAGTGTGGAATAGGAATAAGGTCCAGTGGTTGAGATCCAGTCCGATTTTAAGATTTGAAAAGTTGTGCTGTGTGCCCAACAGGCACACACATCCCATTAGTAAGTAAATTGTGCTTTTTTAAGAAAGAAACAAAATTACTGTTTCTACTTCCATTGCATGTTATTTTTTATGTATACTTGCAAATCCATCACCAAAATAAAAATAATGAACATATCCAGCACTCATAAAAGTTTCCCCTTGCCCTTTTATAATCCCAAACTTTTTCTATCTTCCTACCTTACCACTCTCCCTGGCAATCACCAATCTGTCACTATAAAATAGTTTGCCTTGTCTAGACATTTATACAAATGAAGTGTAGTATGGACCCTTTTTAGGAGGGGTCTGGCATCTTTCACACAGCATAATTATTTTGAGATTCAGCTATATTGCAGGCATCAATAGGCCATTAATTTTATGACTGAGTAGTATTCTATTGTGCAGATCGGTCACAACTTATATATACATTTGCCTGTTGATGGGTTTTTGCATTGCTTCCGGTTTTGGACTTATGCAAATACATTTGCAATGAACATTCATGTATATAAGTTCTTCTAACTTTGAGTAAACATTAGGAGTGTAATAATTAATAGGTTTAGGTTTAGTTTTAAGAGACTGTCAAAATGTTTGCCAAAATGGTTGTACCATTTTATATTTTTATCAGCAGTATATAAGAATTCCACACTCTTGCCAACATTTTGTATGGGCCTTCTTTTAAAATTTTAGACATTTTCCTGTTTGTACAATAGTATTTTATTGTGGTTCCCTAATGCCTAATAATATTTAGTATCTATGTACGTACATGCCATCTGTATATATTTGGTAAAGTGTATGTTCACGTTTATTTTGCTTCTTTCTTTTTTGTTTTTTTCTTTGCTTATTTTCTCATTATTAAATTTTAATAGTTTCTTTATATACTCTGGATTCAAATCCCTTATTAGATATGAGACTTGCCAGTATTTTCCCCTTGAGTTTTCTTTTTTGTTCTCATAACACTATCTTTCAAATAGCAGATGCTCTTAATTTTGATGGGGTCCAATTTATTAATTGTTCTTGTGCATTTGGTTTTTGGGGCTTCATCTAAGACATTTTTGATTAACTGAATATTACAAAGATTTTTTTTCTGTATTTTCATCTAAAAGTTCATAGCTTTTAATACTTTATTTTATATTTAAGTCAATGGTCCCATAAGCGACAGAGCTTTAACCCAAGTTGCTGTCATGCATAGCTGGACCCAGGGGCTTATATAAAATCATCAAGAAATGTTCTCCTTCTTTCTCTTGACACTTTTCCTTTTGTTTTAGCCTCATTTTTTCCTTCTGAAGATGACTCTCTTCCCTCTCTGTAGCAAGAGATAGTGCTACAAATAACACACTTACTTTGTCCTCACAGACCACAGTGCTAGAAAAAGCAAGAGTCCTTCCTGATGATTCCAAAAAAAAAGTACTGAAACAGTTGCTATGATCCAAGGGTAGAGTCTTTCACCAGAGCTGGGCATCATGATCACCTCTAGGGCTGGGGCTGGTAGGTTGGGTCAAGCTTAGTTGGTTCTCATTGAAATGGTCCTCAAAGAAAAGGGGGGCTCTCAAGAGGAGAGTTGCTGAACACCCCACCCAAAAATAGCCACTGTGTACATACCTACAATTCCTTGACATTTTATAAGCAACTTGTTGGGTGGAAAATGACTAGAAATTCAGTTGTCATTAACTTTCCTGTATAATGTCAGTAGAATGAGCCATACATTTCACATGTTGTGGGTTATGTCCATGATAGTCATTTCTGTATATTAAGTATCAATTTGGAGTATCATCTGAAGAAATATAATATTTTGTGACATTATCCTTAAATTAATATTTTTAGGATAAAGAATTATAGGATAAAAGAAAAGTCTAGGATAGAAATAAAAGAATAGAGAAAATAGGAACATGGATATACCGCAGAAAATGGCCAAACAGGAAAAGTACTTGTGAGAGGTATTGAAGTACATAATTGATATCACATAGACCTCCAGAAAATTACAACTACTGGCATAAGAACAAACTATCTGAATAGTCTTTGCTAATACTGAGTCTTTTCTGCTTGCAAAAGAAGTAAGAATGGTAAGGAATTGGGACATTGTTCAGATAGGCCTCAATGCATTTATTCATTTACCTGTTGATGGGGTTTGGGGGTATTAATGAAAGATGTTAATAAATAATAATGGGCATGTGAGGTAATCATAATTGATTTGTCCATTTGGTCTGAAGAAAATGTTGCCTACCTTCTTTTTTGTCGAGGGATTCATTTTTAATGCCATGTTGGATTCTATGGCTTACTAAATGTGTAATTGCCTATTTATGGATTCTGAAGAATTTTATAAAATGTATTTGCCAAACATTTTGAAAGCTTAGAACTTCTCCAAGGAAGAAGTTCTTTAGTGCTTTAGTGCTGCCCTAACAAATATGGTAGCCACAGCCATGTGAATATTGAACACTTGAAATGTGGCTAGGCTGGACTGAGATGTGCTGTCAGGGTAAAACACACACCAGATTTTGAAGACTTAGTAGGAAATAAAATTAAACATATCTAATTAATAACTTTTATATTGGTTAGACATTGAAATAATATTTTGTATGTATGTTACATATAAATATGCATTCATGTGTATGTGTAATTAATATCTTCATATGAAATACTTCTCAATTACAATTGGAAGAATGATGACTTTGTGGTGGACAAATCTGGCACAAACTTGATCATGTGCCTCCTGCTGGGATGTCCTAGGAAGACCACAGCATTATTTCTGTGATTTTCTTGTGAAAGATACATGACCTAAGTCTGGATGTGGAAACACATCAGATGGAAAAAGGTGAACACATCCTTCATAAATGCTTATGCTCTTAAAACTCTTAAGGTTATGAAAAATAGGGAAAAAAAGAGGAACTCTTTGAAGTTGAAAGAGCTTAGGAGACATGACAATTAATGCAATGGGAAATCCTGGATTGGATCCTGGATTACAAAGTTCAAAAAAACTGTATTTAGGGCACAACTGAGAAAATTTGGGTGAGATTATAGCGTCTGTTGATTGGACAGTAGTGTTGGGTGAATGCTGATATCCTGATGTGGATGATTATATTCTGGTTATGAGATCTTTTCCCAGATTCCTCATCATTTGCCCAGTGGGTTCATGGACAATGTGGCGATGGTAGCAGGAGAAGATGCTACATGTTTCCAATAACGTGAACTTCCCTGCAGCAGTGCTGCCTACTGCCCAGATGAGTGCCCTGACGGCCGACAATGAGCAATAATGAGACCCTGGATAGAGGAACTGCCTTGCCTAGACCAGACAGATTTCTGGTAATGTGGTAATAATATTTTTTCCCTTCCTTCATGGAAGTGGTAAAGAATTGCCCTCACTGGAATAGATGCATATCAGAATATGGACTCCACTTCATATGCTTCTGATAGCATCAAATTATTTACATTTGCTGAGTTCTTATTCTCTGCTATCATACAATTACTACTGATGATGGAGCTTATTTTACAAGAAAAGAAGTGATGCGATGGGCTTCAGCCCATATTTATTGGTCTTGTGACATCCCACATCACCCAGAGGAATATGACCTCACAAGAATCAGTTACTTCACCAACTGTGAGACCCTGAGGGGCTGGGTTTCTATCCTACAAGATGTGTTAGAAGCCCTGACCCAAGAGCCCTGCTACCCAGAATGCATGGTTTCATGTAGCAAGGATCCTTGTGATGGTGGTGATGATGATGGTGAGGATGGTGATGGTGAAGGTGGAGGTGGTGATAATGAAGTGATAGTTATGTTGAGGATGATGAAGGTGATGATGATGGTGAGAATGGTAAAGGTGAACAAGGTGATGGTGAGAAAGGTGATGGTGGTGATTGTGATGGTGATGATAAGGATGGTGATGGCAAAGGTGGTGATGATAATAGTGATAGTTATGGTAAGGATAATGGTGATGATGATGAGGATGATGGTGAGAATGGTGATAGTGACGATGATAGTGATAGTAATGATGATAATGATGGTGAGAATGGCGAGGGTAAGAATGGTGATGGCGATGATGATAGTGTTGGTGATTGTAAGGATGGTGATGGCGATCATGGTGATGAAGATAATGGTGCTGACAGGGCTATGAGGTAATGGAGGCAGAAAAGTGGCAGTTTCCAGGAAGTATAGAGCCAGCTGGGAACTGCAAGGTAACCTTAGTGGGGGTGGAAGATGTAGGGTCCCTGCCTCATTTCTAGACATCTGGAGAAAGCTCACCCCTCACAGTAGTTCCAGGAACCCCTCCATCCAGCATTTCCTTCTCACAATCAGCATGGAGCTTTTGGGGTGCAGAGAAGTGTCTTCTATTCACTGCACTCTGTGGGAAGGGAAAAGGGGGAGTGCTATTTATGAACCCAGTATAATACAGTAGTTACTATGTGCCAGGCAACATGCTGGGTGGTTCCTTATATGTTATCTCATGAAATCCTACAGCAACACAAGGAGACAGGCATAACTACCCCATTATAAAAATTCTGGTAAAATAAACTAAAATTTACTGTCTAGCTATGTTTAAATTTACATTTCAGTGGCATTAAATACATTCGCAATGTTGTGCAACCAATTTCCAGAATGCTTTTCATCTTGTAAAACTACAATTCTGTAACTCATTTAAAAACAACTCCCCAATCACCACCCTCCCCAGGACCTGGTAGCCACCATTGTCCAGTCTGTCTCTATAGATTTGATGACTCTAGGTGCCTTAGAAAAGTGGAATAATACAACATTTGTCTTTTTGGTCTGGCTTATTTTGCTCAGCCTAATGTCCTCAAGGTTCATTCTTGACACTGCAGGTGTCAGAATCTCCTGCCTTTTCAAGGCTGAACACTATTCCACTGTATGCATAGACAGCATTTTGTTGATCCGTCCATCCATCCACGGACACTTGGGTTGCTTCCACCTTTTGGTTATTGTGGATGATGCTGCTCTGAACATGGTTGTGCAAGTATCTCTTCCAGGCTAGCCCCATTATATAGAAGAGTATAGAGAGATTCTGGGAGGAGGGATGACCTTCCTGGGGCCTTTGTTGAGGTCCTGGTAGAGGATCTCCCAGACCTCAAAGGCAGATCTCCTCTCCTCACCCCACTGCCTTTCTTAAGACCTGCCTCCTGCTCCACCACACAGTGCCCACTCCCTGGTACTAGACTTGCTAAGGCCTCTTGATCCCTGAAAGTTCAGGGACAGGAACTGGTGGGCACAACTACAGTCACTCACTTCTCTGTCCCCTACTGCAGATTCTGTGCCAAACAATACATGATAATGACCTGCTTTCCACTCTTTCACCAGATGTGGATGAGGCACCTACTACATGCCAGGCATGTGTGGGCACTGGACAGAGACCCCTGGGAAATAAGTAGATGTGAGCTCCTCAAGGCCAGGGGGATCCCTTTCACTTGCTGCTACCCTGTGAGGGATGGAGGGGCACCCTGAAGCATTGGAGAGGTGCATGAGTGACCTAGCTCAGATGATGATATCATAGTAACCCTGTTTATTATTTATTATCACCTACCATGTGCCAGGCCTTATGGGAAGTACTTTGCACACATTACCTGCTATAAAGCTCAGAGACAACTGTAGGAGTGAATCTGTTATACCTCCCACTTTACAGGGGAGGAAACTGACACCCAGAGAAGTGAACCATTCTTCCTCAGGCCTTGCAGCTAGTCTCTGGGATGTGGATCCAGGCGGTCTGACCCAGAGATCCCCTCATCCTCTTGGTTTTTGCTCCTGCAGCCCTCTGGCCTGTCCCCAGGACCCTGTAACCTTGGCCACCCCCAAGATGACCTGGACATGGGCTTCAGCAAAGGCAGCAACCTCAGCATATCTCCATTTGATAGGGAGGAACCTCAGGCCCACCACAGGAGCCCTGGGCTGCAGGTGGTATAGGTGCTGGCTGAACCACAGTGCACCCATGTTGGAGGATGCAACATAGGATGGGCAGCAGCAGGAGGTCTCCCTGCCCAACAACTGGTAGTGGTACCTGAGAACAAAGGAGGAGAAGGAAGCTTTGGATACAGGTGTGGAGAAGCCCAAGGAGGAAGAAAAAGACTTGGACTATGGGCTGCTGGATGGCCTCAAGGACCCCCTCCCCGAAAAGGAATTTTGAGACTTATACCCAGGGCTGAGATGAAAGTGCTTCCTATTTTCTATCCTGGAACTGCTGCAAACCTCGGTGTGACATCACAGGGCCTCATTTCCCTATTTGTAAAATGGGATTTTATGGGGGTTCCCATGAGAGACTGGACCGAGAGCATTTTGAGAATTGTAAAAAATGTACATTGAGGGAATAATTATTATCAATGGGCCATTGCTCTTCCAATAGTTAGTATTCTTTAGCAAATATTGGAAGGTAAAATATGATTTATTGAGGAGGTTTGCAGCAGCTGAGGCCCTCAAGAGTCTTTTCTGTCTCCGTTCAAAGCTGGTCTCTGACAGGGACCTTCTTGGTGCTACCCCTGGGCCCCTCATTCTTTGTGCAGGCTTCTCAGGGTTCTTATTTCTATTGTATCTTGTGGTTCCCTGGTGGATGGCATGCTCCATCTTCACTCAGAGCTAACTGCATCTCCTCCAGGCCCATGTCCCTTGTGCAGCACCCATTGCTCCCTCACCAGGATTCAAAACCTTCTGTGACTGACCTCTGCTGACCTCCCAACTTTATCTCCCCTCATTCTTTCTGCTCCTCCAGTTACATGCCTGAGCCCCTCAATCCTGTGGCTCACACTCTCACCCAAGCTGTTCTCCATCAGGATTTGCTTGGCTCCCTTTTCTGCTAGGCAAATTTGTGTTCATCCTTCCAAGCCTTGCACAGATGTCCTCCTCTGAAAGCTCTCCCTGAGGTCACAGAGTCCTGGAACAAGGTAGTCATTGCTCCTCTGCTGCCTCTGCATTTTGTGCCTTTATCACTTTGGTGTGACTGCCCGCCTCCTGCTGAATGGAGGCATTTTGGCTTTACTCACCTCAGTATCTCCTGGGTCCAGCTGGGTGTCTGGCCTGGCCCAGAATCAGTGCTCATCAAGGGTGTATAGAACTCACAAGGACCCAGGAATGTTTTGTAAATAATACCACCCTCCCACACTTCTCCAATGCTTACTTTCTAAGCTCCTTTACTCTTTGACATTCAAATTTCTAAATGGCCTGTATGTATTTACAAAGCCTGGGAAAACGCCTTCAGAGGACAAACACACCCCACCGGCAAAATGTATTTGCATTGACTAGGATTATGGATGAAATTCAGCCTTCTGGCAAATGAATCATTTGGCATTGGCTGAGTATCTGCTCTGTGCCAGATACTAAGCTGTGATCTCTAGAAAGAGACATGAACTACTGACACAGTCCTTGACCCCGAAGAGCTCAGAATCCAGTGAGCTTGATTTCTTGTAAGTTAGAGACAGAGTTCAGAGCAGAAGCTGAGGCAGGAGAAGAGAAGTAAAATGGACACACCAGAGGCAGTGACAGCCACACAGCTGTCTGGGGACACTGAGTGCAGCAACAAATAGCTTAGGCTGCCTTGGCAGCCCACGAAGGTATCACGGTTTCCTATTGCAGCATCTCAGTGATGCTTTTGTTATGCTGATCTCTGCAAAGCCCCTCTGTACCCCAGCCCAGGATGGTGACTGCCATGCTGTGGAGAAAAGGGCAGTGACCAGGACCACAGGCTCAGAGCTTGCACCCTGGACCACCTGGGAATGGGAGCCCTTCACATGTTCTCTACCTCTGTGTTCAGGTTGGGGGTCCTGGCCAAGGAAGGGAGATGACCCCCATGCTGGGTCAAAAGGACACACTCCCGGGAACAGACTATCTCTTCTTTCTGGGTAATTTCTGCCTCTGCAGTGAATGGTGAAACCAGACACATCCTCTCTGTTGGTATGACACAAAGACAGGCGTTCCTGCTCATGGGCTGAATCTTCAGATGAGGGGAGGTGTAGCACACTCCTGTGCTCTGCTGACTAAGGCAGGGACACATGTCACCCCATCGGAATGAGTGTCAGACCAATGGCTAAAATAAAATCATTTTCAATATTCAAAGGAATCACCTTCATTCATCTACAAATACTTTTCCTTTTCTTTCTTTTTTTTTTTTTTTTTTGAGATGGAGTTTTGCTCTGTCGCCTAGGCTGGAGTGCAGTGGCATGATCTTGGCTCACCGCAACTTCCGCCTCCTGGGTTCAAGTGATTCTCCTGCCTTAGCCTCTGGAGTAGCTGGGACTACAGGCGCCCACCACCACATCTGGCTAATTCTTGTATTTTTCATAGAGACAAGGTTTCACTATATTAGCAAGGCTGGTATTGAGTTCCTGACCTTGTGATCCGCCCGCCTTGGCCTCCTAAAGTGCTGGGATTACAGGTGTGAGCCACCGCACCTGGCCCAAGTTTTTTTCTATAAAACCACATATTGCACTCAAGGTAGGGTAAATGATGCATCATGCCTGCTGGCAACATGGGCCCTATCTGGAAAGCGAGTGCCCACCACCATGGCACAGTGCTGTGCAGTGCCTGTGTGGTGCTGAATCTCAGGAGCAGCCCCCATCCTGTGAACCACAACTACAGGGACCTTAGACATAAGAAAAAATCTCTGGTGGCCAGGCCTGCCAGCAAGCAGATGCTAACCCTGTCCTGGGGGCCTGCAGGGAGGTCGGGCCAGTGGAGAGGTGGCGAGACCCATGTCTGGTCTCCCCAACTCCCACACATGCTATGCAATGGGCGGATGACCACATACCCGATCTGCCTGGAAGGGTCCTGGTGTGCCCACTGCCTCGAAGAGTTATGAGGGGTGCTGCCTCTCACATCTCACCGGTATCGCATTTGAAGGACAAATTATGTCTTCCCTTCCCCACCCTGTGGGCCTCCGTTTCCTCATGTGCAAGTGGGGGATGATATGCTTACATGGTTTTGCAGTGGGGGTATCGATGGGATCCATCTGTCAATGCCTTGCATCCAGTGACCACCTGGAGCACACCTGCAGTTCGCAAGTTAGGCTTCCTGCTGCAGTGAGGGGAGCAAGCACTGCCTGGAGCCAGGGAGCTTCTCTGAAGGAGGTGTTGGAAAGGACCTGTTCCAGAATTTGGGCTTGTATTGGGAGCTTGGGGGAGGGTTGAAATAAGCCTTTGCTCCAGATTGGATGCTGTCAGAGGCAGGGTGGATTCTATCACCTGGCATCTTCCCCAATCTTACCTAGAAGGAAGGAAGACAAAAACAAAGCTAACGCTGCAATTGACAAAGAGGTAGTGGTGAAGACATAGACACAGGGGAGGGGGTATGAGGTCATTTTTGTCCATATTTTGCATGAGCTGAGCCATGATAGCTACCAAGTGACCTTGCTTTGTCTTGACCCATCATGGTCACAGAGCGACCTTGTCTGATGCTGACAACCTGTGCAGTTCAACAGGAGAACACCAACGTCTTGCCAGCAGTGGCTGCTGTCCTCCTGAGGCCTCGCTGCTCCTCCTCTGGGGCCTACTGCTGACCGTGGGAGGTGTGGAGTGGGAGGGGAATATGCCATGGGTTTTTTTTTTTGCAGAGCAAGGGCAGGGGACTCTGATGCCTTCAGCTCTGGCCATCCTGAGTGCTGTGATCTGCTTCCCCTGCTTCCTACACCACCCGCAATCCCACCACGCTGCTGCAGTCACTGCCAACTCATAGTGCCTTCTAAGGGCCCCAGTGTCTCTGGGACACCCCTCTCCCCTGGGAGGGAAGCAAGGTGCTCATGAAGGTCCCAGGTGGAGGTGCTGAAAGAGTGTGGAGGTGCCTTCTTGAGTGTCAAAGTCTGGGATTCCAGCTTTCAGCTTCAGGCTCCAGGTGTGTGTGCCGAAGTGGAATTTTCTGCTCTCATTCGCTCTCCTGTCTGGTCAGAGGAACTTGGGGAGTTTCCTCTCTAGGGGAGGGAAAGGGCCTGGAGAGGTGGCCTTGCCCTGAACTGGGAAGGGGTGGGCATGGGAAAGCAGGGGCCTGGGCTCTGCCTACTGCTTGCTGACAGCTTGGGCACAGCACTGCCCTCCCTGGGCTCCTGTCTCCTTTCTCTGTATGATTAGGTGGAGGTGGATGGGATTCTGCTTCTACTCCCAGTCCTTGGGCACCATATCAGGTACTCACACACTTACGACCCCATCTGGTCTTTGGAACAGCACTGGGGGATGGATCTGTCAATCTCACGTTGCAAATGTTTGTTCTAAATCCCACACTCTGAAGTCAGAAAGACCTGGGTTAGCCCTCAGCCACTGACGGTTGCTTGCTATGTGACCTTGGACAAGTCACTGCCCTTCTCTGAGCCTCAACACCCACATTTACACAGGGGAAGAATAATACCTCCCTCTTGGGCTGCTGTGAAGCAGAGCTAATGCGTACATTGCCTCAGGCACATTGCAGGTGCTCAAAGTGTTGGTCTTTCCTTCCCTTTCTAGGTCCCCATTTCATCATCTACACAGTAGGGAGTAACTCTGTCTGGATTATAAATAAGACAATAGGTGAATGCACTCAGCAAGCCTGGGGGCAGGGATGCCTAGAGAAGCTTCTTGCAAAGGTGAAGAATGTGTGCTCTGAGCCCCATGCTGAGAGGCAGGTGAGAGGACAGCAAGCCCAGCAACTGAGGCCTACAAAATGCCTCCTGCAGAGAGGGAGGAGGAGCAGTGTTCTAAGGCGGGTGGGAGGCAGCATCCCCAGTACTTGCAGGAGGAGCAGGACTGTTGTGCTTGCTCAGGGGGGTGGTAGGTTAGGTTCTTAGGTATCTGCTGGGTATCAGATGCTGCACAAGCATCGTCTCCTTGAACTTAATCTTTCCATCATCCCTGAGAGGTGGGCATTACAGGGGCTTAGTGGGATTGAAACACAGGTCCCCTGAGCCTGTGCTTTTTCTACAAGGCAACTTAGTTCACATGTAATAATAGGACCCAAAAATACAACTGCTATGCTGTGCTCACCTGATTTCATAACATCCTTGTGACCTGCGAGGTTGGTGTACTGTCATCATTTTATGGATGAGGAAACTGAGGCTCAGAGAGGGTGAATAATTTGCTCATCCTTCCAAAGAACTAAAGGGAAGAGAAGTGCTATAGCTCTGGCGCCTTCTATTCCTGGTAGGAAGTGTGCAGTACCCAAGGCCATTCTGACCCTAGTGCAGGCAGGAGAAAAGGCACATCAACAAATCCAGCAGCAAGCTTCCACTGAGGGCCTCCCTGACCTTTCCTTGCACTAGTGCTGTGGGAGAAACAGCCTTGTTCCTTCACCTAACATGGCTTCTTGCCGCCCCCAGGATAAAGCTCAGAGTCCTCAGGTCTGTGTTTGAGAGTCTTCATGGTCTGGTCCCACCTGCATTTCCAGCCAAATCCTCCACCAGGGTTCCCAGTGCAGCAGCCCTGGCCACCTGTCCCATCCTACCATCCTGACTTGGCTCAAGCTGCTCCCTCTGTCCCATGGTCTTCACACATAGAACAAGGAGAAGCTTGATATAGGCTAACCTGAATTTTCCATTTGAGAGCATTTTCACCTTCTGGAAACAGACATTTCACCCAAAATTCCAGATTCCCTGCTTCTCTGAAAATAAATACATACATACATACATACATACATACATGCATATATAAATCTGCTCTTACTCTGCACTATTCTGTTTTCTGAGACAGAGTTTCACTCTTGTTGCCCAGGCTGTAGTGCAGTGGTGTGATCCCCACTCACCGCAACCCCTGCCACCCAGTTTCAAGTAAGTCTCCTGCCTCAGACTCCTGAGTAGCTGGGATACACAGGCATGCACCACCATAGCCGGCTAATTTTCATGTATTTTTTTTTAGTAGAGATGGAGTTTCACGATGTTGGTCAGGCTGGTCTCCAACTCCTGACCTCAGGTGATCTACCGGCCTCGGCCTCCCAAAGTGCTGGGATTACAGGTGTCAGTCACCTCATTTGTCCAGTCTGCACTATTCCTTAGTGTCAGACAATTTGAGCCAAACAATGTCTTTCTCATTTGGACATGACCTTCAGGGTCTAATTTTTGTATTTTTAGTATAGACCAGTTTTGTTTTTTTTTTTTGACAGAGTTTCACTCTTGTCCCCAGGCCGGACGGTGCAGTGGCATGATCTCAGCTCAATGCAACCTCCGCCTCCTGGGTTCAAGTGATTCTTCTGCCTCAACCTCCCGAGTAGCTGGGATTACAGGTGCCTGACACAACAACCTGCTAATTTTTTGTATTTTTAGTAGAAACAGGGTTTCACCATGTTGGGCAGACTGGTCTCGAACTCCTGACCTTAGGTGATCCACCCTCCTCAGCCTCCCAAAGTGTGGAATTACAGGCATGAGCCAGAGCCTGGCCTCACCTGGCTAATTCTTTGTATATTTGAAGAGACGGGGTTTCACTGTGTTGGCCAGGATGGTCTTGATCTCCTGACTTCGTGATCCGCTGGCCTCGGCCTCCCAAAGAACTGGGATGAGAGGTGTGAGCCACTGCACCGGCCTCAGTGTAGCTTATTATCAAAGTATTTACATAGAAAAATTAATCAAAGGGCACAAGCATTTCAATACTTAGGTTAAGATGAAATCTGTGGCCGGAAGAGTGCCAGACACACATGAAATGTTTTGTGCATGAAGGAACCACAACTTAAAATGATTTTCTGTTATTCATTTTGGTATGTTATTTTGGAAATGTGATTAATCACGTATGTAAAGGACGTTGAGAAGAATTTCCAGATACTCTGATATGCATGACATCTTAATCACACAATATAAAGCAAGGCTATCTTAGGAAATTAGGTATCACTGCCAAGGACCTTTACATGAGAAGATAAATAAAAACTACTATTAAATTTGTAACAGTCAGATGGGCTGGCAGGCAAGTTGCGTCATTTTTTTCTCAGTATTTTTTCTTTTTCCTTGATTCAATAAAACAAACTTAAACGCCAGTTATCTGCAGAACCCTCACTGGACTATGTTTAATGATATGTGAAACACAGCCTGCACACTCACAGATCCTTGCCACGTCCCGTTCCCATCCTCTCAAAACCTGTGTTACCCTGTGGCTAGATTTCTCAAGGAGATGAAAGAGAGAGATGAATGAGAACCACCTTCTTTCAGGTCGCTCTGCACTGCTCCTGCAGGTAGACAATGACCTCTCCGGTGAGGCTATTATCCTTGGCTTGGGGGTGGAGGCCTTTATCCTGGAAAAGAGGCCTCTCAGGGTGGGGAGGTGATTTAAATTCTTATGAGAGAGACGCAGCTCCTCACCTCATCTGGACCTTCACAAACCTAAACTGGAACCGCCAGAAAAATGACTGACAACGGGCCACACAAGCCAGGCAGAGACGCGGGGAGAGGCTGACCACAAGAAAGGCGGACATAGAAGATACCGTCCTCTGGCGCACAGGGCACATATGTCCCAACACACACACACATGCACACAGGGACACAGAGCAAAAGAGTGAGAAAGGGGAGAGAGAGAAACAAGAGAGAGACATACGCACACACACAAACGCACAAAGACATACAGCAGTGGCACGGTAACACCTACACGCAGGCAGCCCCTGAATTTTCAGGGTTCTGCTCTCCATGACAACAACCCACTGGTGAGAGAGCAGCCCACGGGCACACAAGCAAACCTCTCCTTTTTTGAAGAGACTCACTGGCACACCGTCCGTGCAGGCCTGAACCTGGGATCCTGCGCTGCTTGCCCGGCCCTCCACCTGCAGTTTCTTCCTCCTGGACGACCCTCCGTGAATCCCGGCCTCCAGAGACTATCCTGTTGATGCCCTGGCCAGGACTGGTCTTAGCCCGGACTCTGACTAATCCCTCTAGTACCAGGTACTCGGGAGGTGGAGGCAAGAGAATCACTTGAACCTGGGCGGCAGAGTTTGCAGTCAGCTGAGATCCCGCCACTGCACTCCACTGAGTGACAGAGTGAGATTCCGACTATAAAAAAAAAAAAAGAAAGAAAGAAAAGAAAAATGACCGCGGAGCGGTGGCTGCGGGGACTGGTGCTGCGGCGGGTGAAGTGAAGATTGGGAAAGGGGCCTCGTCGACCCTCCCCGAATCCGGGCCTGAGGCTGGGATCTCGCGCTGCCGCCCCGGCGATCCGCCTGAGGTTTCTACCTTCTGAGGTTTCTTCCTTCTGAGGTTTCTTCCTGGTGGTCAACCCTCCGAGAATCCCAGGCTCTGGAGACGATCCTGTTAATGCCTTGGCCAGGACTGCTCTCAGACCCAACTCTGACGCACTATCACACGGGGCTCCTACTTCGCAAAGTCTCGGGGACCCATCCACGGGCAACAGTGGCAATCACTACGACCAAAGCGGAGGCTCAGGCCTTGCGCATGCGCACTGGCGAGACTGAATCCCCGCTTGCTCCCGAGAGTCCGGCGGCAGATCCTTTAAAAAATGGCGGCGACGCGCGGCTGAGGGGACTGGGGCAGCGGTGGCAGCAGCAGCGCAGTCCGAGGCGGCGGGTGGGAAGAGGACTACGAGAGGGTCCTGCGGGAGACCCAAGGGTTGTACCCATAGAGGTCCTGTCATCAGGACCTTCTTGATCGGTCTTCTGCTTTGGTTGCCGGTGGAGGAGGAGCTTCAGGGTGTGGCTGGGCTCTCTGGAATCCTCTTCGACCTGACTATGGATCCCACTGGGTGATCAGGAATGGGGTTACAATGCAGTGAGGCGGGAAGGGTCTCGCTGGGGCACAGAAAGATCCTAAGGGCTGCAAGGCGAACTGTCAGCTGAAAATGCACTGACCCATGAGCCCACTGCCTCCCTCCTTCCTAGGTGGAGCAGTGGCCTGACTTCATCTCCAAGGTTCGGGGCTCTGGCATCCCGACACTGCTTTCCGCAGCATGTGCAAGGAGAGACAGAGGTGAGTCCGAGATGGAGCCAATGTGACCACACGTGGCACTAATGTTCCCCAAGAGCAGATGGAGTCAGTGTGTGTCTTTGAGGCCATATGGGGCGATGCTGAGACGGATAGTGATGTCCAGGTGTGTGCAGGTGGGTCACTGGGACCTCCCACACAAAGCCAAGGAAAAGCCAAGCACACTAGAAAACCTGTGAGACAGGGCCTGTGCCTGAGTCCAAGCCACATTCAGGGATGACTGCCAGAGGGGCCAAGAGGTTTCGACAAACGACACCACACCGACATCCTGCCACCTGTAGGTACCCCTGATGCCACCTCCTCTGCACCCAGCAAAACCCAGTCCCTTTGGCTCCCTGACATCCGTGGCAGCCAAAAGATTCAGTGCTTGGAGGCACTTTCCCCAGGAGCAGAGGAACGGGATGGCCCTCAGGAATGAGAGAGGAAGGGCAGGTGGGATGCAACACTAACTTTTCTAGAAGGCAAAGGTCAGCCACAGTGGGGTTGCCTCCCGCTCTTCCTTGATGGACCACGAAGCCATCACTTAGGACATGCAGACAAAGGGAGCTTTCCTGTCCAAGACAGGTATGGAAGCCCAGAACTCCAGGATCATGACAACCTATCATCCAGAAACAGGTTTGGGGAGGGAAGCAATCATAAAAGGGAGCCCAGCGAAATTTCTCCCTAATGGACTGGGAAGTGTTCTTTGTTGAAGACATTGAGCCAGACTAAGAAACCTCTAGGCTTCACAGGAACTGGGCAGACAGAACAAGAGGGAGGACAGAGCAGAGGCCAATGCCACAGCACAATGCCACTATCACGGGCATCCGGGAAAATGTGCCAAATGGGTGACTTGGCGAGGAAGGCCAGCGTTTGAGTGACAGACATGCTTGCCCCATCTTGTAGCCAGCTTCCTTCTCCGTCCCAGTGTATAGCTGTGGGTAGCTTTCTCAATGAGGGCAAAGGGCGAGAGGAGTGAGAACCATCTTCTTGAAGGTCTGTGGGCACACGCCTGTGGGTGGACAATGAGCACCTGTGAGGCCTTTGTCCTTGGCTGGTTTGCAGTCGTCTTGATCCTAGCAAGGAGACAGCACAGGATGGGAGGGGTATTAAAACTCCTGCAAGACAGCGGAGGCATTAAGCCCCTTCACCAAAGCACAGTCATGGAGAACTCCTGCTATGCCAAAATTAAGGGACTGGATATTAAGACAACAGTGGAAATCACTGTGATGAGACAATCAGCTAGAGC
The DNA here is from genome assembly GCF_000001405.40 of Homo sapiens. Lineage (NCBI taxonomy): Eukaryota > Metazoa > Chordata > Mammalia > Primates > Hominidae > Homo > Homo sapiens. The sequence continues at coordinate 26,062,026 of NC_000020.11, read as the reverse complement.
CACGTGGAGGCACACTGGCTGGGCCGACTAAAGCTCCGGTGCTGGACGGCAGGCAGCTGCCCCTTTCAACAATGGCTACTGTGCGGTAGCAGATGGGCTCCTGTTGCAGCCTCGGCAGCGACTGGATCCGGGGTAAAGTTTGCAGCGGCCCGGTAGAGGGTGTGGCCAGTGTCCTGTCCCAGGGTGAAACCCCCAGGAGTCCTGTCCTCAGGACTTCCTTGAGCCAATTCTCACCAAGGGAGGGAGAGCTTCAGGACACCTGCTGGGTTCTCGGGACTCCCCTTCAGATCCGATTTTGGCCCCCGCCGAGTGAGATAGGATGGGCTCACCACATCTGGTGAGGCAGGCAGCGCCTCGCTGCAGCACAGAATGATCCCATAGGTCTCAAGACCTAGTGTCAGCTGCAAATTCACTGATCCCTCAGCCCTCTGCCTCCCTCCTCCTTTGAAAGAGCAGTGGCCTGCCCCGCTTCTAAAAGCCCTGGGGCTCCGGAAAGCCAACCGCCCTTTACAGGACACCTACAAACAGGAACAAGGGCGAATCCGAGGTGGAGACAATGTGACCATGCATGGCACTGGCGTATCCCACAGAAGATGGTGTGAATGTGTGTCACCGGAGGCATACGGGGCGACGCGAAACAAACGGTGTTCTCCATGCATGTGCCGGGGGAAGAGGGGAACGAGTGGCCTTTCCCTCAATGCCAAGGAAAATTGAAGAACACCTGGGAACCGGGGGGTGGGGGGGGGCCTGTGCCTGACCCAAGCCACGTTTTCAAATGCCTACCAGAGGAGCAAAGAGGTTTCTGCAAAATTCGCCCCACCTCCAACCCTACACCGCCCTGGTATCCCTGACACAACTTAGGCTGCCCCCAGCCCCAACCCCAGCCCCTGCCCCAGCCCAGTCCCTTTGGTTCCCTGACATTCGTTTCGGCCAGAAGATCAAGGGAGTCAGTTCACCCAGGAGCAGAGGAGAGGATGTCCCTCAAAAATGAGACAGGAAGTGCAGAGGAAATGCGACACCACCTGTCCTGGAAGACAAGGCCAGTCACTGTCGCCTAGCGCTCCTTCTAGGCAATCCACCCACCCATGAGGGAAAACGTGGAGAAGAAGGAAGCTTCCCTGCCTGAGACACATATGGAAGCCAAGAGCTCCAGGGTCATGAGACCTGCGGAATCCAGGAGAAACACGTTTGGAGAGAGAAACATTCAGGACACGGATCTCCAGGAAATGTCACCCTGACGGACTGGGAAGTCATCTTTGTTGAAGACATTTGGCCAGAGCGAGATGCATCCAGGTCCCTGAGAAACAGGGGAGGCAGAGCAAGAGGGAAGACAGAGCAGAGGCCGGAGCCCAGGCAGGGTAAAGCACCGTGCCACCGCCACGGTCATAAGGGGAGGGGTTCCAAAGGGATGGCTTGTCCAGAGAGGCCAGCGTTCCAGTGACAGGGACTGTTGCCATCTCCCATTCCCGGCTTCCTCTTGCAGACCGTATGGTGGTGTGGCTTCATTTCTCAGAAAAGAGCCGTGAAAAGATACCAGCATCTTCTCTGACGTGGGTCCGCTGCTCTCCTGCAGGACAAAGAGCCCCTGTGGGGCTCTTGTCTTCAGCTGCAGTGTGTTCATCTTGATCCTAGGAAACTGGCCGCTCAGGATGGGAATGAGATTTCATTTGCTCCGTGACCAACGCATCTCCTCAAGTGGGCCAGGCCTTCACATACCCAAAGCGGATCCGCGGCGGCGAAAAAGATTGACAACCGGACTCATGACCCAGGCAGAGACGCAGAAAGAGGGTCACCAAAGACAGGCCGCCCTGCGAGAAACCGCTTTGTGGCGCACAGGGCACATTCGGCAAAGACACACACGCACACGGGCAAACACACACAAAACACTGAGAGAGGGAAAGAAACACACAGACACTGAGAGATAGAGAAGAGAGAATGGGAGACACACACATAGACACACACACTCACACACACACACACACACAGACACAGAGACACACACAGAGTCCTAGAGCAGAGGCATTGAAACACACACCCCCAGGCAACACCTGAGGCTTCGGGGTTGTGCTCTCGACGAGAACGATCCTCGGGTGAGAGACCACCCCATGGGCACGCAGGCCTACATGTCCTCGAGATCACGGCGGCACTACTTTTGGAGAGACTCACCCCAACCAACACCGTCCGGGCAGGCCTGAGGCTGGGATGCCGTGCTGCTTTCCCCGGACTCTGCCTAAGGTTTCGCCATCCTGGTCAGCCCTTTGCGAATCCTGGCATCTGGGGACGTTCCCGTCGACCACGTGGAGAGGTCAGGCCGGAGACTCAGAGCCCCGACACTCAAGCACTGCCATGGAGGGCTCCTACTTTGCCATGCCTCGAGGACTGCTTTCTAAGACAACCGTGGGAACCACTGTGACGGGAGAAGCCGCTCCCGCCTCGCGCATGCGCATTGGCTGGCCCGACTCGAACTCTGCTCCTGGCAGTCAGGCTGGGTCCCCTTTAAAGAACGCCACCGCAGCGCGGCGGCAGCGAGGCTCCAGCTGCAGGCGCGGCGGCGGCTGGATCCGGCCTCCAGTTTGGGGCAGCGTGGGAGAGGGGACCGCGGGTGTCTTGTCCTGTCCCAGGGCCAAACCCCCAGGAGTCCTGTCCTCAGGAACTCCTTGAGCTGACTTCCACCGAGGGAGGGAGGGGGAGCTTCAGGACGCCTGCTGTGTTCTCAGGACACCCCTTCAGATCCCATTTTGGCCCCCACCGAGTGAGATAGGATGGGCTCGCCACATCTGCTGAGGCAGGCAGGGCCTCGCTGCAGCAAAGAATGATCCCATAGGTCTCGAGGCCTAGTGTCAGCTGCAAATTCACTGATCCTTCAACCCTCTGCCTCCCTCCTCCTTTGAAAGAGCAGTGGCCTACCCCTCTTCTAAAAGCCCTGGGGCTCCGGAAAGCCGACCGCGCTTTACAGGGCTCGTGCAAACAGGAACAGTGGCGAATGCCAGGTGCAGACCATGTGACCACGCGTGGCACTGGCGTATCCCACAGCAGATGGTGTGAATGTGTGTCACCGGAGGCATACGGGGCGACGGCGAAACAAATGGTGGTGTCCAGGCATGTGCCGGCGGAAGTGGGGAACGAGTGACCTTTCCATCAATGCCAAGGAAAATCTAAGAACACCTGGGACCCGGGGGGTGGGGGCGCCTGTGCCTGACCCAAGCCACGTTTTCAAATGCCTAGCAGAGGAGCAAAGAGGTTTCTGCAAAATTCGCCCCACCCCCAAACCTCCACCGCCCTGGTAGCCCTGAAGCAACTTCGGCTGCACCCAGCCCCAGCCCCAGCCACAGCCCCACCCATGAGAGGAAACCTGGAGAAGAAGGAAGCTTCCCTGCCTGAGACATGTATGGACACCCAGAGCTCCAGGGTCATTAGACCTGCGGAATCCAGCTGAAACACGTTTGGAGAGAGAAACAATCATAACATGGATCTCCAGGTAGTGTCTCCCTGACGGACTGGGAAGTCATCTTTGTTGAAGAAATTTGGCCAGAGCGAGAGCCATCTAGGCCTCTGAGAAACAGGGGAGGCACAGCGAGTGTGACAACAGAGTAGAGGCTGTAGCCCAGGCAGGGTACAGCACCGTGCCACCGCAATGGGCATAAGGGGCGGGGTTCCAAAAGGGTGGCTTGTCCAGAGAGGCCAGCGTTCCAATGACAGCGATTGTTGCCATCTCCCATTCCCAGCTTCCTCTTGCAGACTGTATTGTGGTGTGGCTTCATTTCTCAGACAAAAGCCGTGAAAAGATACAAGCATCTTCTCTCACCTGGGTCAGCTGCTGTCCTGTGGGAAAAAGAGCTCCTGTGAGGCTCTTGTCCTCGGTTGCTGTGTTTTCATCTTGATGCTAGAAAAGAGGCCACTCAGGATTGGGATGAGATTTCAATTGCTCCGGGACCGTCGCATCTCCTCACGTGGGCCAGGTCTTCACACACCCAAAGCGGTTCCGCGACAGTGAAAACAATTTACAACCAGCCTCATAACCCAGGCAGAGACCCAGAAAGAGGCTCACCAAAGACAGGCCGCCATGCGAGAAACCGCTTTGTGGCGCACAGGGCACATTTGTCCAAAGACACACAAGCAGACGGGCACACACACACAAACCAATAGAGAGAGGGAAAGAAACACACAGAGACTGAGAGACAGAGAGAGAAGAGATCATGGGAGACACACACACAGACACACACCGACACACACACACACACACACACACACACACACAGAGTCCTAGAGCAGAAGCATTGAAACACACAACCCCAGGCAACCCATGAGGCTGCGTGGTTCTGCTCTCAAAGAAAGCGACCCTCGGTTGACAGAGCAGCCCAGGGGCATGCAGGCCGACCTGTCCTCGAGATCACGGCTGCGGCACGACTTTTGAGGAGACTCACCCCAACCAACACCGTCCAGGCAAGCCTGAGGCTCGGATGCCGTGCTGCTTCCCCAGGACTCTGCCTGGGGTTTCCTCATCTAGGTCTGCCCTTTGCAACTCCTGGCATCCGGAGACATTCCCGTCGACCCCGTGGAGAGGTCAGACCGGAGCCTCAGAGCCCGGACACCCAAGCTCTGCCGCGGAAGGCTCCCGCTTTGCCAAGCCTCGAGGACTTGTTTCTAAGACAACCGTGGGAACCACTGTAATGGGAGAAGCCGCTCGCGCCTCGCGCATGCGCATTGGCTGGGCCGACTCGCGCTTCCCTCCTGGCAGTTAGGCTGCGTCCCCTTTCAATAACGCCACTGCTCCGTGGTGGCGGCGAGGCTCCTGCTGCTGCCACGGCGGCGGCTGGTTCAGGGGTCCAGTTTGTGGCGGCGTGGGAGAAGGGGCCTTGAGTATCCTGTCCCAGGGCCAAACCCCCAGGAGTCCAGTCTTCAGGACCTCCTTGAGCCGACTTCCACTGATGGAGGGGGAGCTTCAAGGCGCCTGCTGGGTTCTCAGGAATCCTCTTCAGATCTTAGTTTGGACCCCTCCTGGTTAGAAAGGAAGGGCTCAGCACATCTGGTGAGGCAGGCAGGGCCTCGCTGCTGCACAGAATGATCCCATGGCCCTCAAGGCGTGGTGTCAGCTAAATGTTCACTGATCAGTGAGCCCTCTGCCTCCCTCCTCCGTTGAAAGAGCAGTGGTGTGCCCCACTTCTAAAAGCCGTGGGGCTCCTGCCAGCAGACACCGCTTTCCAGGACAGGTGCAAACAGGGTCGGTGAGAATCCGAGGTGGAGACAATGCGATCACGCGTGGCACTGGCGTATCCCACAGCAGATGGTGTGAATGTATGTCACCGGAGGCATATGTTGCAATGATGAAACCAACATTAGTGTCCACGCATGTGCCTGGTGGAAAGGCGGATCAAGTGGCTTTTCCCTGAATGCCAAGGAAAATCAAAGAACACCTGCGAACAAGGAGGAGGCCTGTGCCTCAGTCCAAGCCACATTTTGAAATGCCTGCCAGAGGAGCAAGGAGTTCTCTGCAACATTCACCCCACCCCGAAGCCTCCACCGCCCAGGTAGCCCTGACGCAACCTCCCCTGCACCCAGCCGCAACCCCATCCCCAGGCCCAGCCCTGTTCCTTTGGTTTCATGACATTCGTTACAGAAAAAAGATTCAGGGAGTCAGTCCACCTACGAGCAGAGGAGAGGATATCCCTCATTTGTGAGACAGGACGTGCAGAGGTAATGGGACACCATCTGTCCTAGAAGACAAGGCCAGTCATGATCGCCTAGCACTCATTCTAGACAATCCACCCACCCATGAGGTGAAACAAGGAGACTAAGGAAGCTTCTCTGTCTGAGACACGTGTGGAAGCCAAGTGTTCCAGGCTCATCAGACCTGCCCAATCCAGCAGAAACAGGTTTGGAGAGAGAAGGAGTCATGACAAGGATCTACAGGAAGTGTCTCCCTGATGGACTGGGAAGCGATCTTCGTAGAAGTTATTCAGCCAGACCAAGAGGCAACTAGTCCCCTCAGAAACAGGGGAGACCGGGCAAGAGGGAGGACAGAGCAGAGGCCAGAGCCCAGGCAGGTTACAGAACCTTGCCACTGCCACGGGCATAAGGGGAGGGGTGCGAAACGCGTGACTTGTCCAGAGAGGCCAGCATTCCAGGGACAGGGATTGTTGCCGTCTCCCATTCCCGGCTTCCTCTTCAGAATTGTATGGTGGTGTGGCTTCATTGCTCAGAGAAGAGCCGTGCAGGGGTACAACCATCTTCTTGGAGGTGGGTCTTCTCCTCTCCTGCCGGACAATGAGCTGCTGTGGGGTTTTGTCCTGGGCTGGAGTGTGGTCCTCTTGATCCTAGAAAAGAAGCCGCTCAGGATGCGGATGAGACTTTGATTGCTCTGGGACCGACGCGTCTCCTCAAGTGATCAAGGCCTTCACAAACCCAAAGTGGAACCGCCGTGAAAACGATGGACAACCGGCCACAGGACCCAGGCAGAGATGCAGAAAGAGGCTCACCAAAGACTGGCCAACATGCAAAAAATTGCATTTTGGCGAACAGAGCACATTCGTCCAAAGACACACACGCACACGGGCATACGCACACAAACACACACACACAGACCGACAGAGAGAGGGAAAGAAACACACAGAGGGTGAGAGACAGAGAGAGAAGAGAGAATGGGAGACACACACACACACACAGTCCTACAGCGGTGGCACAGAAATACACACTCCCAGGCAAACCCTGAGGCTAATAGTGGAAAATATGTATCTAAGAATACATTTGGAACAGAAATGTGAAAAACCAAAAGTAAGAGATATTATGAAGGATCAAATATAAAATGACCCAGTGCTAAAGAGGCAACAAAGAAAATTGTAGAAGAAAATGACAAGAGGAATTGTGCCTTAATGAGTTTGTACTACTATATAGAAAATACACTAGGCTGGGTAATTTCTGAAGAACAGAAATGTATTTCTCACAGTTCCATAGGCTAGAAGTCCAAGATCAAGGTGCCAGCAGGATTGGTGTCTGGTGAGGGTCTGGTCTCTGCATCCAAGATGGTATCTTGTGCACTGTGTCTTCAGGAGGAGATGCACTGTGTCCTCACATGGCAGAAGGTGGAAGGGCAAAACAGGGGAAGCCCACTCCATCCAGTCCTTGTGTAAGGATCCTAAACTCATTCGTGAACACTCTCCCTTCATGACTGAATCACTACCTTAAAGCCCTACTTCCTAATCTTATGACATTGGTGATTAATTTTAGGGGGACACATTCAGAGCATAACACCCTATATTCAATTTCTTAAAAATTATTTTGTTGTTTTGCTTTTCTGTTTTTCAAATGGCTTAAAGTGCACAAAACTGGATTACTCATAATCCTTGGCTCATAGCATACCTTGGCTCCTATTTCATCCTTGTCTGTGCCTGGGCCTCTGTGTAAATGTATTTGAATAATATGGTAATCACTTGTGAACTTACAACACAACCAAAGAACCAGGGTTCTGACCCTAACATCTGCTCCTCCTCTGTCCTTTTTCCTGATTTTCACCCTTCAGCCCGAGGGTAACTACTACCCTGAATTTATGTTTAGGATTCTCTTCCTTTAAAAAAAAAACATTGTTTATTTCATACATATGATTACCTTAAATGATATATTATTTAGTTTTTAAGGGTATAATTTATTTACCCATTATCCTATTAATTTACCCATTCTCCTATTAATGAAAATCTGGCTTGTTTCCATATATTCGCTATTATGAATGGAATTACATGAGCGTTTTTTTTTTTTTACTACCTCTGGTACATATGGGCAAGAGTTTCTCCAGGGCCTATGGTAGAGGAATTACTTTGCCATAACATATGAGAATGCTCAAACTTATAAGATAATCCAAATTGCTTTCCAAAGTGGTTGTTCTAATTTAAACTCTCACCTCCTGTATTAGTTTGAGATGATCTTGTTGATCCACAGTCTCTCCATATTTGGTGATATGGTTTGGCTGTGACCACACCCAAATCTCAGCTTGAATTCTATCTCCCAGAATTCCCACATGTTATGGGAGGGACCCAGGGTGAGGTAATTGAATCACGGAGGCCAGTCTTTCCTGTGCTATTCTCATGATAGTGAATAAGTCTCATGAGATATGATGGGTTTATCAGGAGTTTCTGCTTTGGCTTCCTCCTCATTTTCTCTTGCTGCTGCCATGTAAGAAGGCCTTTTACCTCCTGCCATGATTCTGAGGCCCCCCTCACCATTTGGGACTGTAAATCCAATTACAGTTCTTTTTCTTTACACCTCTTTTTCTTCTCAGACTTGAGTATGTCTTTATCAGCAGGGTGAAAGCAGACTAATACAGTAAATTGATACCAGTGGAGTGAGGTGCTCCTTAAAAAAGTACCCAAAAATGTGCAAGCAACTTTGAAACTTGGTAACAGGCAGAGGTTGGAACAGTTTGGAGGGCTCAGTAGAACACTGGAAAATGTGGGAAACTTTGGAACCTCCTAGAGACTTGCTGAATGACTTTGACAAAAATGCTGATAGTGTTTTGAACAATAAGGTCCAGGCTGAGGTGGTCTCAGATGGAGATGAGGAACTTGTTGTGAACTGGAGCAAAGGTAACTCTCGTTATGTTTTAGCAAAGAGAATGGCAGCATTTTGCCTCTGTCCTAGAGATTTGTGGAACTTTGAACTTGAGAGTGATAATTTAGGGTATCTGCTGGAAGAAATTTCTAAGCAATAAAGCATTCAAGAGGTGACTCGGGTGATGTTAAAGGCCTTCGGTTTTATAAAGGAAGCAGAGCATACAGTTTTGGAAAATTTGCAGCCTGACAATGTGATAGAGAAGAAAATCCCATTTTCTGAGGATAAATTCAAGGTGTCTGCAGAAATTTGCATAAGTAACAAGAAGCTGAATGTTAATCCCAAAAACAATGGGGAAAATGTCTACAGGACATGTCATAGGTCATCACAGCAGCCCCTCCCATCACAAGCCCGGGGCCTAGGAGGATAAAATGGATTTCTGGGCTGGGCCAGGTTCACTGTGCTGTGTGTAGCCTAGGGCCTTGTTTCTCTGCGTTTCAGCCCCTCCAGCCATGGCTGAAAGGGGCCAACATAGAACTCAGGCCATGGCCTTGAGAGTGCAAACACCAAGCCTTGGCAGCTTCCACGTTGTGTTCAGCCTGCACATGCATAGAAGTCAAGAATTGAGGTTTGGAAACCTCCACCTAGATTTCAGAGGATGTTTGAAAACATCTGGATATCCAAGCAGAAGTTTGCTGCAGGGGTGGTGCTCTGATGGAGAACCTCTGCTAGGGCTCTGCAGAAGAGAAATGTGGGGTCAGAGCCTCTCTACAGAGTCCTTACTGGGGAACTTCCTAGTGGAGCTGTGAGGAGAGGGCCACTCTCCTCCAGACCCCAGAATGGTAGATTCACTGACAGCTTGCACCATGAGCCTGGAAAAGCTATGGACACTCAACATCAGTCCATGAAAACAGCCACGAGGTGGACTATACCCTACAAAGCCACAGGGGCAGAACTACACAAGGCTGTGGGAGCCCACCTCTTGTATCAGCATGACCATGATGTGAAACAGGGAGTCAAAGGAGATCATTTTGGAGCTTTAAAATTTGATTACCTTGCTGGATTTTGGACTTGCATGGGGCCTGTAACCCCTTTTTTTTGGCCAATTACTCCCATTTGGAACAGCTGTATTTACTCAATTACCTGTACCCCGATTGTATCTAGGAAGTAACTAGCTTGATTTGGATTTTACAGGGTCATAGGCAGAAGAGACTTGCCTTGTCTCAGATGAGACTTTGGACAGGGGACATTTGGGTTAATGCTGAAATGAGTTAAGACTTTGGGGGACTGTTGGGAAGGCATGATCGGATTTGAAGTGTGAGGACATGAGATTTGGAGGGGCCAGGAGCAGAATAATATGGTTTGACTATGTCCCTACCCACATCTCAACTTGAATTGTACTGCTCAGGATTCCCATGTGTTCGGGGAGGGAATCAGGGGGAGGTAGTTGAATCTTTGGGGCTGGTCTTTCCCATGCTATTCTTGTGATAGTGAATAAATCTCACAAGATCTGATGGGTTAGTGGTTTCGTCTTTTGCTTCTTTTGCCTCCTTCTCATATTCTCTTGCCACTGCCATGTAAGAAGTGCTGTTCATCCACCGCCATAACTCTGAGGCCTCCTCAGCTATGTGGAACCCTTAATCCATTTAAGCCTCTTTTTCTTCCCTGTCTCGGGTATGTCTTTATCAGCAGTGTGAATATGGACTAATACATTTGGTATTGTCAAACTTCTTAATATTTGTGGAGAGAATAGGTGTGTAGTATCTTGTGCATTTCCCTGATTACTAATGAGGTTGAGAAAATTTTTATGTTTTGCAAGCTTTCTCTTTTGTGAAATCCCTATTAATGTCTTTTCCCAATTTTCTGTTGGGTTGCTATTTTTAAAATTAATTCATAGGAGCTCCTTATGCTTAGTTGATATGATATTAATCTTTCATAGGTTTTAGGTACTGCAAATATCTTCTCTAATTTATAGTTTATCTTTTGACTTTTTTACTTTTATTTTTTAATTTCAATTTTTTTGTTTTTGAGACAGAGTCTGGCTCTGTCATTCAGGCTGGAGTGCAGTGGCTCACTGCAACCTCCACCTCCTGGGTTGAGATGATTCTCATGCCTCAGCTTCCCAAGTAGCTTGGACTACAGGTGTCTGCCACTGATGCCCAGCTAATTTCTTGTATTTTTAGTAGAGATGGGGTTTCACCATGTTGGCCAGCCTGCTCTCAAACTCCTGACCTCAGGTGATATACTATTGGGATTACAGGATTGAGACACTGTGACCAGCCTATCTTTCCACTTTTTGATGTAAAAAGTTCTTAATTTTGTGATAGTCAAAATGTCTAATCTTTTTTAATGGTTAAATGGCTTTTTGTGTCCCATTCACTTACATTTTCTACTAAAAGTTTTAAAGTTTTGTTTCTGACATGTAAGTCTTTGGTCCTCTGGAATTTAATGTTTGTATATAGAGTGAAGTAGGAATATAATTTCATTTTGTTTCTTATATCAATAACCATTATTTTTCTATTCTATTTATTGAAAAGTCCTTTCTTTCCTTACTGATCTGCCATGTCACCTACATCACGTATCGAAGATTAAATTTGTAGAGATTTGCTTGGGAGCTCTCTATTCTGTTTCATTAGTCAGTTTATCAGTGAGGACCACACTGTCTTAATTGCTGTAGCTTTATAAAAGTTCTGATATTTGGCAGGACAAATCTTTCCTCTTCTTCAATGTCTTTGATATTCTTGGACCTTCTCTTTTCCATATATATATATCTAGAGAGAGAGAGAGAGAGAGAGGTCTCACTTTGTTGCCCAGGCTTGAGGACAGTGGTGCAATCACAGTTTACTTCACACTTGAACTCCTGGACTCAAGAGCTCCTCCTACCTCAGCCTTCCAAGTAACTGGGACTCTAAGGCATGCACCACCACATCCAGCTAATTTTTTAAAAAAATATTATTTTTTGCAATGATGGAGATCTTGCTATGCTGCCCAGGCTGGTCTCAAACTTTTGGCCTCAAGCAATCCTCCCCCCTCAGGTTCCCATAGTGCTGGGATCACAAGAGTGAGCCACCACACCTGGCTCCATTTTCCATATTTTAAGACCATTTTTAAAAAGTTGCTCAAGACTGCTTTTTTCTCTTGGTGTTACTTGCAACCCCCTTACTTAGCCTTGGAAATACTGTTAGTGAAGAAAATCTAAAGACTCAAAAAAATAAAATATTCTTTCTTTTCTTCCAACTGCAAAAGAGCAGACACCCTCCTGTATCATAAAGCTAGTTTTGATAAATAATTGGTGAACTGAGAGCATACACAGTATTATTAATTCTGTTCTAATTTCTGCTTCACTGTGGAGTGTCTTCACAGAGTCTTAAAAGATTATTGCTATGAAATATTCTTATACATGTAACCCATAACCTCTACAATTCTGCAGTTGTACTTGGCTGTCTTATCCAATACTCAGTTGTTTTGCTTCCTAATTTTTAAATTGGCATCTCTAAGTTCCAAAAGGCATAAATACTAGTATAGATTTTTAGTTAAGCCAGAAGAAAGTAGACTTTATTTACTAACATATCTTATATGTAAAAGTTTAATAAATCTCCCTGCTTCTTTTCTTTTGCATCATAACAGCCACTGAAAATAATCTTTCTATAGCAGTTTGGGGTAAATGGACAATGACTTTTGTGGCCAGAGGTGAATGGCCCAGGGGCTCCTGCACTCCAGGTCCCACTGAGCCTGCCACACAGCTGAGGGCATCGGTATTTCCACACACCTATAGTGCACGCTGTCCCAGAACACAGATCCGATGCTCTCCTTTATTCAAATGGGGAGTTGAGAGTACTGTCGTAGTAATTAAATTAATAAATACATATTTATACACCGTTAAAATCTGGTTGGATTTGTGTCCCTTCACAAAACAAATTGCTTAAATGAAACCACAGAGTTAATATAATTGAGTTCATTTGCTTCTACGAGATGCTCTTTTAAATGGAATTAGAATCTAATATGAAATGTCAATTAAAAGTTTAAATATTCAACTCAATTACATTTAGATTTTTGTTCTGTTTTGTTTTGAGATGGAGTTTAGCTCTTGTCACCCAGGCTGGAGTGCAATGGCACAATCTCAGCTCACTGCAAGCACCTTCTCCTTGGTTCAAGCAATTCTCCTGCCTCAGCCTCTGGAGTAGCTGGGATTACAAGTGTCTGCCACCACGTCTGGCTAAGTTTTGTATTTTCAGTAGAGATGGGGTTTCACCATGTTGGTCAGGCTGGTCTCGAACTCCTGACCTCAGGGGATCCACCCATCTTGGCCTCCCAAAGTGCTGGGACTATAGGCATGAGCCACCACACTCAGCCTTTTTAGATTACTTTACTTTATTTTAGTTACTTATTTTTATGACTTTATTGTTATAAAAATGCTAATTTTAAAAAATCAATCAATATAACAAAGAACATAGAAGATGATCAACAAACATTCCCACCTCTGTTATCTAGAAATAACTGTCATGAATCCAAAAGCTGACACATGGCAAATCCCTTCACACCGGTTCACAGTACTAAGTAACTCCTTGCTTGTAGAAAACATTATTATTATCATTATTATTTTTGAGATGGAATTTGACTCTTGTAGCCCAGGCTGGAGTGCGATGGTGTGATCTCGGCTCACTGCAATGTCTGCCTCCCATGTTCAAAGGATTCTCCTGCCTCAGCCTCCCAAGCAGCTGGGATTACTGGCACACACCACGATGGCCTGCTAATTTTTTGTATTTTTGTAGAGACGTGGATTCACCATGTTGGCCAGGCTGGTTTCGAACTCCTGACCTCAGGTGATCCACTTGCCTCGACCTTCAAAAGTGTTGGGTTTACAGGCAGGAGCCACCACACCCAGACTAGAAAACATTATCCAACAGCAAACAGTAGCAGTATGCTTGGGGGTTTTAGGATTGATTATTTTCAAATCTCTAGAAAAGCTCAATGCATTGCTTTAGGCTATAATCTCAGGGCAGAGTCTCATCTGTTAATGGGGGGATGGTCTAAGGGTCCTTCCAGCTCTCAGATTAATGGTTTCCCATGTTGAACTGCTCCCTGTCACCCACCCATCCTCGGTTTTGTTTGTTTGTTTTTACAGAGATGAGGTCTCACTATACTGCCCAGGCTGGTCTTGAACTCCTGGCCTTAAGCGATCCTCCTGCCTTGACTTCCCAAAGTGCTGGAGTTACAGATGTGAGCCTCTGTGCTCAGCCCATCCTTGCCTGTTCAAGTGTAGAGGTAAGTAGCAGATGCCAAGTTTACCTCCATGTCAGAAGGGGCAGATGCCCCAGGGCAGAATCATAACGCTAATCAGGCCTCCCACTGCATGAAGACATTATGTTCTGAAGCTTAAACCTGGACAAAGGTCTGACCAGTAGCACTGTGTTCATGATTATCAGGTCAAAAATTTAATACTGGGACTACCCAGAAGAACCTGGTAGATTCAGGTGCAGTCCACAGTCCAATGGTCAGCCATGATAACAGGCCACCTGTACTTTCTCTTTATCTTGGAGTCCTTGATGTAAAAATTGATGACATATTCTTCTGGTGTGCTTCCCTTTCTTCTTCATTTTCCATAAGTAATTTCCTCCATCCCGACTCCCAACAGGCCACAGTCAATTCAGGACATTTTAACCATGAAAAGGAGTCTCCATAACACGAATTTAGAGGCCAGACACGGTGGATCACACCTGTAATCCCAGCACTCTGTGAGGCTGAAGTGGGAGAATGGCTTGAGCTTAGGAGCTTGAGACCAGCCTGGGCAACATGGTGAAACCCTGTCTCTAACAAAAAATAAATAAATAAATAAATAAATAAATAAATGAAAATAAGCCATGTATGGTGGTGCATGCTACTAGTCCCAGCTACTCAGGAGGCTGAGGTGGGAGGATTGTGGAGCCAAGGAGGTCAAGTATGGAGTGGTCCAAGATCATGCCACTGCAATCCAGCCTGGGTAATGGAGTGAGACTTTATATAAAATAAAAAAAGGATTTAAAGGACAGGCTGACTTTCTTGTTACAAGCCAATGCACATTTGCTATTCCATAAATCCTAGGGCACCTCTTAAGAATTAATCCAGCATATAAACAGAACCAAAAACAAAAACCATATGATTATCTCAATAGATGCAGAAAAGGCCTTTGAAAAAATTCAACAACTATTCATGCAAAAAACTCTCAATAAATTAGGTATTGAATGGACATATCTCAAAATAATAAGAGCTATCTATGACAAACCCACAGCCAATATCATACTGAATTGGCAAAGACTGGAAGCATTCCCTTTGAAAACTGGCACAAGACAGTGATGTCCTCTCTCACCACTCCTATTCAACAAAGTGTTGGAAGTTCTGGCCAGGGCAATTAGGAAGGAGAAGGAAATAAAGGGTATTCAATTAGGAAAAGAGGAAGTCAAATTGTCCCTGTTTGCAGATGACAAGATTGTGTATCTAGAAAACCCCATAGTCTCAGCCCAAAACCTCCTTAAGCTGATAAGCAACTTCAGCAAACTCTCAGGATACAAAATCAATGTACAAAAATCACAAGCATTCTTATACACCAATAACAGACAAACAGAGAGCCAAATCATGAGTGAACTCCCATTCACAATTGCTTCAAAGAGAAGCAAATACCTAGGAATCCAACTTACAAGGGACGTGAAGGCATTTGGTTCTTCAATGAGAGCTACAAACCACTGCTCAATGAAATAAAAGATGATACAAACAAATGGAAGAACATTCCATGCTCATGGGTAGGAAGAATCAATATTGTGAAAAGGGCCATACTGCCCAAGGTAATTTACAGACTCAATGCCATCCCCATCAAGCTACCAATGACTTTCTTCACAGAATTGGAAAAAACAACTTTAAAGTTTATATGGAACCAAAAAGGAGCCCGCATCACCAAGTCAATCCTAAGCCAAAAGAACAAAGCGGGAGGCATCATGCTAACCTGACTTCAAACTATACTACAAGGCTACAGTAACCAAAACAGCATGGTACTTGTACCAAAACAGATATAGATCAATGGAACAGAACAGAGCCCTCAGAAATATCGCCGCGTATCTACAACTATCTGATCTTTGAGGAAAACAAGCAATGGGGAAAGGATTCCCTATTTAACAAATGGTGCTGGGAAAGCTGGCTAGCCATATGTAGAAGGCTGAAACTGGATCCCTTCCTTACACCTTATACAAAAATTAATTAAAGATGGATTAAAGACTTAAATGTTAGACCTAAAACCATAAAAACTCTAGAAGAAAACCTAGGCTTTACAATTCAGGACATAGGCATGGGAAAGGACTTCATGTCTAAAATACCAAAAGCAATGGCAACAAAAGCAAAAATTGACAAATGGGATCTAATTAAACTAAAGGGCTTCTGCACAGCAAAAGAAAATACCATCAGAGTGAACAGGCAACCTACAAAATGGGAGAAAATTTTTGCAACCTACTCATCTGACTAAGGGCTAACATCCAGAATCTACAATGAACTCAAACAAATTTACAAGAAAAAAACAAACAACCCCATCAAAAAGTGGGCAAAGGACATGAACAGACACTTCTCAAAAGAAGACATTTATGCAGCCAAAAAACACATGAAAAAATGCTCATCATCACTGGCCATCAGAGAAATGCAAATCAAAACCACAATGAGATACCATCTCACACCAGTTAGAAGGGCGATCATTAAAAAGTCAGGAAACAGCAGGTGCTGGAGAGGATGTGGAGGAATAGGAACACTTTTACACTATGATGGGACTGTAAACCTGTTCAACCATTGTGGAAGACACTGTAGCCATTCCTCAAGGATCTAGAACTAGAAATACCATTTGACCCAGCCATCCCATTACTGGGTATATACCCAAAGGACTATAAATCATGCTGCTATAAAGACACATGCACACGTATGTTTATTGTGGCACTATTCACAATAGCAAAGACTTGGAACCAACCCAAATGTCCAAAAATGATAGACTGGATTAAGAAAATGTGGCACATATACACCATGGAATACTATGCAGCCATAAAAAATGATGAGTTCATGTCCTTTGTAGGGACATGGATGAAATTGGAAATCATCATTCTCAGTAAACTATAGCAAGAACAAAATACCAAACACCGCATATTCTCACTCATACTTGGGAATTGAACAAAGAGAACACATGGACACAGGAAGGGGAACATCACACTCTGGGGACTGTTGTGGGGTGGGGAGAGGGGTGAGGGATACCTTTAGGAGATATACCTAATACTAAATGACGAGTTAATGGGTGCAGCACACCAGCATGGCACATGTATACATATGTAACTAACCTGCACATTGTGCACATGTACCCTAAAACTTAAAGTATAATAATAATAAAAGAAAAAATAAAAAAGAATTATGCTAAATCTACTCTACCCATGCTGTATAAATGGAACAACAACACTTGGATGATATCAGAGCTGTTTACGGCATGGGTTACTGAGTATTTTAATCCCACTTTTGAGACCTACAGCTCAGAAAAAAAGATTCATTTCAAATACTTCAGCTTTTTGACAATGTACCTGGTGACTAAAGAGCTCTAATGGAGATGTACAGGGAAACGCATGCTGGTTTCATGCCTGCCAACACAACATCTATTCTGTAGTCCATGGACTGAGGCATCATTTTGACTTTCTAGTCTTATTATTTGAGAAATATATTTTATAAGGCTGTTACTGCCATAGGTCATGATTCCTTTGATGGATCTGGGCAAAGTCAATTGGAAACCTTCTGGAAAGGATTCACTATGACAGATGCCACTAAGAACATTCAAGATTCACCAGAGGAGGTAAAAATAGCAGCATTAATAGGAGTTTGGAAGAAGTTGATTCCAACCCTCATAGATGACTTTGAGAGGTTCAAGACCTTAGCAGAGGAAGCAACCACAGTTGTGGTGAAGATAGCAAGAGAACTAGAATTACAAGTGGAACCTGAAGACGTGAGTGAATTGCTGCAATCTTTTTTTTTTTTTTTTTTTTTTTTGAGATGGAGTTTTGTTTTGTTGCCAAGGCTGGAGTGCAATGGCGCGATCTCGGCTCACCACAACCTCCGCCTACTGGGTTCAAGTGATTCTCCTGCCTCAGCCTCCTGAGTAGCTGCCATTATAGGCATGTGCTACCGCATCCGGCCGATTTTGTATTTTTAGTAGACACGATGTTTCACCACGTTGGTTAGGGTGGACTGGTACTCCCAACCGCAGATGATCCTTCCACCTCGGCCTTCCAAAGTGCCGGGATTACAGGCATGAACCACCGCGCCCGGCCAAATTGCTGCAATCTTAATGGAAATAAATGGAATTAGATGGAAAAAAGTTTAGCCTGGGGCTCAGGATCGGCTCTCCCTTTACTACCACATTCCCGTGCAGAGCACCAAGGAATCAGAGAATTCTAAACTCAACTTCGACCTTGTGGGTTATTATGACAGTATATTTATCAAAGTAGGAGAATAGAACATATTTAACTATTTGTTAGCTTCATTTATAACTCATAATTATTTAGACATACTGCAAATGTGGGCTGGAATTCACGTTCTGACTTTTTGTGGCCTTGAGCTAAGGAAAACGGACCCAGGGAAATGGGCTTTATATGCTTGGATGGCTTCATGGAATCCCCAACTTCTTTAGCTTCTGTGACAGCTCAAGATTGTTACTAAAATCCACTTTGTATTATCTTTAAAAACCAAGGGATATCATTTTTGCTTATATAATAATTATAAACTTAGTTGATAGAGGAGTGGCAGGGTTAGAGAGGATTGGTTCCAATTTTGATATAAATTCTACTGTGGGTAAAATGCTACCAAACTGCATAGCATGCTACAGTGAAATCTTTTGTGAAAGGAAGAGTCAGTCAATGAAGTAAACTTCATTGTCATCTTCTTTTAAGAAATTTGTCACTCCCTCTCCAGCCCTCAGCAACCACCACCCGGATCAGTCAGTAGCTATCAACATTGAGACAAAACCATCCAGCAGCAAAATGGTGATGACTTGCTGAAGGCCTAGATGATGGTTAGCATTTTTTGGCAATCACGTATTTTCAAAGTAAGGTATATACATTATATTTTAGACATAATGCTATTGCACACTTAATTGATTACAGTAGCTTAAACATAACTTCTTTTTTTGAGATGGCATCTGGCTCTGTTGCCCAGGTTGGAGTGCAGTGGTGCGATCTTGGCTTACTGCAAACTCTGCCTCCCAGGTTCAAACAATTCTCCTGCCTCAGCCTCCTGAGTAGCTGGGACTACAGGAGTGCACCACCATTTTTGTATTTCCGGTAGACACAGGGTTTCACCATGTTGGCCAGGCTGGTCTCGAAATTCTGACCTCAGGTGATGCACCCGCCTCGGCCTCCCAATGTGCTGTGATTACAGGCGTGAGCCACCATGCCTGGCAACATAACTTTTATATACACCAGAAAGCAAAACATTTCGTGTGACTTGCAAAAAGTTTCGTGTGACTTGCGCTGTTGTGATATTCCCCTTATTGTGGTTACCTAGAACCAAACCTGCAATATCTCCAAGGTGTGCCTGTATCCCTAGAAGCAGAGCTGGAGTAAGGACTTGGGTGTGGGTGGTTTATTTGGGAAGTGATTCCAAGAAGCAAGAGTCAGAAGTGGGAAGAGTGAGCCAGGAAAGAAAGAAAAACCAAAATAATGGCATGTTATTGAGGCTCCTGCCATGGTGTTTTTTCTTCAGGACCTTCCAAGAGGTTCCGGAAAGTTATCCAGAACTGTTCACCTGAAACATGAGCCTGGAGCATTTGTCCACCTGTCCCACACTGGTTGAGGTCTTCCCCTGAGGCTGTTAACTTGCAAGTGTTTCTGGGCTGTATTTATGCTCAGACAAAATCCTACAATAATGGAGATGCCCTAGGGCAGAAAGTGGAGCTTGAGTTTGCTGGCAGCACAAGGGAAGCCTGCGCTTCAGTGGAACTTCCCACGGTGGCTGAGACTGAATGAAAGGTGAGCTGAGAAGACATGACGCAGGCGCCATTGCACTAAGCAATGGTAGCCATCGATCTGGGCAAGAGGACCCCTGCCCTGAATCCTGTACTTGAGAAGGTGCCTCTCTGGCCCTCCACTGACTGTACCCTGGCCCACCCAGAGCTTCACCCTCTCTTCTAGGGCACACGCTGGGCACTCAGGCCCCTGATGAAATGTGCCTGAGCCTGCATGGCCTCTTCCCTAGGTTCATTTCAAAGCGCAAACTGCTTGTCCAAATGGTGCCCCCTTGTGCACCAGAGGCTTTCTGCTGTCTGAATGGGGTGAGAATTGTGGATGGAGCTTGCACGGGGCCTAGGGAGTCCCCCACACAGGGGTATGCAAAGCTTCTCAAGTGAGGACAGGGCTACCTACGATGAAAGAAAAAAGTTTAGCCTGGGGCTGAGGATCGGCTCTCCCTTTACTACCACAATCCTGTGCAGAGCACCAAGAAATCAGAGAATTCTACACTCGACTTTGACCTTGTGGGTTATTATGGGTGTATATTTATCAAAGTAGGAGAATAGAACATATTTAACTAATTGTTAGCTTCATTTACAACTCATAATTATGTAGACATAAGGCAAATGTGGGCTGGAATTCAAGTTCTGATTTTTTGTGGCCTTGAGCTAAGGAAAAGGGACCCCGGGAAATGGGCTTTATATGCTTGGATGGATTCGTGGAATCCCCAACTTCATTAGCTTCTGTGATGACTCAAGATTGTTACTAAAATCCACTTTGTAGGAAATACGGGGAGGAAGGAAAGAGAAATAGGCCTTTTTATTTTTATTGATACATGACAATTATACATATTTCTAGGGTACATGTGATATTTTGATACATGCATACAATGTGTAGTCATCAAATCAGGATAATGTGCATATCCATCAACTTAAACATTTATCATTTATTTGTGTTGAGAACATTCCACATCTTTCCTCTAGTCATTTTGAAATATATAAGTTATTGTTAATGATCATCACCCTACTGTGCTTTTGAACACTAGAAATTCTGTTCCTTCCATCTAACTGTATTTTTGTCCCCATTAACCAACTTCTGGGAAGGGCAAAAGAGTGGGTGGATGAAAAGGGCCCTTTTTAGGAAAAGTAAATCTTATGAGAAGGGAAGACATTTTAGGAGGAAAAATAAAAAGGTGGACCATGGGCTTAGAGTAGGGACTGCAGAAATTGAATGACAAAGAGAAAAAACCAACTTAGCGATGTGAAAATACATCTCAATGTCATTCCTTTCACAGGTCCTATGTCTGATATTCTTTTGGGAAGCTGGATATGAAGTCGGAATCTTTCTTTGAGTCAAACATTTTTATGATTACGCTTATTATGGAATGATAGCTGACAATTATTGAGAGCAATTATTGGGGACAATTATTGAGCTTTCACAAGCTCTTTTCAAAGGCCTTTACATATATTTTCTACACGTCTAATTGTCAGATATTCTTATTATTCCCATTTTGTAGATGAGGGATGCACAGGCCTAAAACCTATGTGGAGGCAGAGAGCAGCTAAGTAACATGACCATGGCCCAACAGCAAACAAATGATGGGGCCACATGCAAATCCAGGCAGAACCCTTCTATTATATGAAGCTCAATGTTTTCTTGTTTGCATCTTGTTATGAATACACCTATTTGCAAAGGGGTTTTGAAGCTACTTTAAAACATTTTGTGGTTGTGCATGGTGGCTGACACATGTAATCCCAGCATTTTGGGAGACCAAGGTGGACAGATTGCTTGAGCTCAGGAGTTTGAGACCAGCCTGGCCAATATGGTGAAACCCTGTGTCTACTAAAAATACAAAAAAATTAGCTGGGCGTGTTGGTGTGCACCTGTAATCCCAGCTAATCTGGAGGCTGAGGCAGGGGAATCACTTGAACCCAGGAAAGGAAGGTTGCAGTAAGCTGAGATCATGCCACTGAACTCCAGCCTGAGCAACAGAGTGAGATTCTGTCTCCAAATAAAAAATAAATAAGATTGAATTTTGAGCTCCTGACCATGTCCCTAGATTGTACTCATATGTATTTTGATGTCTAATCAAATTTATTCTTAGTGCGCTTTTTAGGGAAAGTATTTATTGAGCATCTACTGTATATCATGTGCTGAGATAGGCACCAGTGGTGCAGGGAACATATGGCACAGTCTCTGACCTCAGGTAACTTTCACTCTCATACATATGTATTAGGACTCCAATACATGTGTGAATATAAGATAGTATGATAGATATTGCAACAAGTAATTATTTACTGTAAACCTATTTTATAGGATTTTAAACTTAAAATACTTTCACCCTATTTCCAAAAAAAGTATTGCATAAGTTTAAATGGATTCTCAGTTTGAAATCATCATAGAAACTGCAGTAGCATCTGCTGGTGAAATACTGCTTTGTGTCTATTAGAATAGTCCAAACAATTGGGAGAGAACTGCATTATTAGAGCTGTAAAAGTTACTGTCTAGAAATCTCAGAAAAGAGGAGGAAGTTCTATGGTAGATGAATAAGATGATATCTAAACTGTTCTCTTAAACTACTGAAGTTCTGTGGATATCTCACAGCACAAAGTTCAACTGTATGCCCACAACTCCTCATGCTACAAGATGTGACACCTTTCCAATCTCTTTTTGCAAAAGCTTCCAATTATGTCTCTTTTAAGAGTACTTTTTATACCCACATATTCCGGATTTTGTAGTACATGCAAAGACAAGATGGGAAGGGGCTTCCATTTGTTGATGCCAGCTGCCCTATGGACCAGGCCCTGCCCATGCATCCGTGTTGGTTCTTTTATCCCCACATCAGCCATAGCCCATAGGCATTAAGTGTCATTGCACAGATGAGGAAATTGAAACTCTAAGAGAATATGCAATCTACCCAGAGTCATGCAGCTTGTGTATGTAAGGGTTGGAATGAAAATCCAATCTGTGTGAGTCCCAAGTCCCCTTCCACCATATGGTTTCCATTTCATTTTGCAATCAGCTTGGCTGGGATATGTCTGCCCTAAAAGATAGTAAGTAGGAATACTTGCCTCTATACCTTAACCTGACATCCATGGGCTTGCTTTTTGTATTTGGAGGTGTCATAACATTATAATAATAATTTGATTTTTTTTGAACAGTGAATATTATACTACTCAGTCTAGAGATTTATGACATCCCAGTCTAAACTGGATGATAACAATGAACTTCTTCAAGGAGACAAGTATGAGTAATAAGGTAGTAATAAGTTGAATTTTTATGGAGTTGCTACTTCTGAATTAAAACTAGTTGAGGTTAAGTAGATATTCAAAATTATTGCTATAATCTTCACTTGAATAATACAAACATTTATTTTTTTTACATATTTATTTATTTATGGAACAGAGAGGTAATTTTAAAACAGAATTTTTGCAAATTGTATTAAAATATATTAAAAACATAATACATTATGACCCAGTAGAGTTTTTCAAAGTAATTCAGTGTTAGTTCAAAATGTGAAATTCAATCAGTATAATTCACCATAGAATACAGTGTGTATGTCAGTATAATATATATCAAAATTGGAAAGAAGTAAATGTATCTTTGTTTTGTAATAAGATGAAATTAAAATTTTAATGAATTTCAACTTTCATTTTAGATTCTGGAGGGTACCTGTGCAGGTTTATTACATGGATGTATTGTGTGATGCTGAGATTTGGGGTACGAATGAAGATGTGAGTGCCTGTCTTGAACTTGCACCCAGAGCAATCTCCCCTGATCAGCAGATGGTAAACTAATTTGAATTACACTTGAATTTCTTAGTAGAGCAGGTCACAAAGGGCAAATTGTGGTCCGGAGACAAAAGTGCCCAATGGTCTAAAATGAGCCTCCCATATCACTGAGGGTACAGGTCTTCAGAGAAATATATTTCAGAAAGGGGTCAAACCCTTGTTTAAAGATAAATGTAAGCTGGGTGTGGAGGCACACGTCTATAATTCCAGCTACTCAGGAGGCTGAGGCAGGAGGATTCCTTGAGTTCAGGAGTTTAAGACCAGCCTGGACAACATAGGAAGATCCCATCTCAATTTTTAAAAATGAGAAAAAAAATTGATAAACTTAAGCACATTAAAATTTTAAAGAGTTTATTTGAGCAAACAGAGATTCATGGATCAGGCAGCTCCAAACTGAAAGTGGTTGGAGGATCTACTGGAGGTGTTTGTAAGGAAGGCTTTTATAGGGTGAATATAGAAGTAGGGTAGAGAAATTATTTGATTGGCAAAAATTTGGGCAGTTGCATTATTTGAACTATCCTGGTGGTAGGTCTCTCATTACACAGCTAATACTCAGCGGGCCACTTGTTGATGGGCTAAGCTTGTTTCATTTTTTCTATGTAGGAACCCTGGCCATGGGAGCTATCTCAGCCTAATGCTCTCCCATTACGTTATTTTACACCTTCTTTCTGTATCAGGGTAAGTGGGGGTCTTCCCCAGGAGTGTTCTTACCACCCTGTTTCCCTCAGCAAAATGAAACTGTCCCTTTTGCCTCTGTAGGCAATCTTCTGAACAAGACATTCCTAATATTCTTATCTTACTTTATCTTATCCTCTTCTCTGTACCTTGTTTACATGCTTCTGGAACACTTGTGTGTCTTGCACTTATCTCCTGAATTATTTAGGCAATCCTAAAAGAAGACCGCTAGGATGGATTGGTAGAGAACTGCTGGCATATTGAGCCCTCTCTCTTTGTATCTGGAACTTTCATAATTACGTTAGTTCTCCATGCCAATTTTGCACTTATCTTTGTTCTCCACTTCAAAATACATTTACCTCTGACAGAAGCTGAATACATAAAAGGGACCTTGTCCAGTGGTACTTATGAGGCAGGAGACATGATATAGTTAAAATTATAAACTATAATCACTATATAGTTATATACTACATATAATCACTATATCACTCCCGGGTTCAAGTGATACTCCTGCCTCAGCCTCCTGAGTAGCTGGGATTACAGACGTGTGCCACCACACTTGAATAATTGTATATGTTTTAAAATAAGAATAGATTTTCTCAGCTAAACTGAAGGGAAATGCTAAAGAAAGAGTGAGATTTGACTTGATAATTATGTGTCTGAATGAATCAGCCAATTAATAAAATGAAAACAGGCCGGGACAGTGGTACATGCCAGTCCTCCCAGCAATTTGGGAGGCCAAGGTGGGCAGATCACTTGAGTCCAAGAGTTTGAGACCAGCCTGAGCAACATATCAAAACACTGTCTCTACAAAAAATACAAAAATTAGCCACTGTGTGGTGGCTCATGTCTGTAGTCCCTGCTACTTGGGAGGCTGAGGTAGGAGGATCACCTGAGCCTGGAGATGTAGAGGCTGCAGTGAGCTGTGATCATGCCACCGCACTTCCAGCCTGGGTGACAGTGAGACCCTGTCCCAAAGAAACTAAACTAAAATTAAATGAAAACAAACACAAGACAAAAATTGATGGACTTGTTTTAACACATAGCATGATGAACACACGTAGATAACAATACTAACCCAATGGGTTATTGTCAGTCAAACTCATGGTCACTAGTCTAAAGGAAATAGAAATAATGACTGTAAATTAACAACCATTTACAACATTAGAAATACAAAATACAAATTATCATCAGATATATCAGACTCACAATTATTTGACCTTTTAAGAATTCATCCTGCTCTCCAAAATGAATAAGAAAATATTGATAACTCTTTTTTCCCTTAACTTAGCCCTTCATGCTCCTGAATCTCTGAATTTGTGTTTACATCTTAACACTCTTTTTTTGTAATTATTTTCTGCAGCTTTTTTCTCTTCACTTGAGACATCTCCTATATTCTCTTTACACTTTTCCACAAATGACTCAATTTTTTTTTGTAAACTTCATTAATGAGTTCCATGTATGTGATGATAGTGTAATGATAAATTATCCATGTGGTTTCCCTCCACTCTTGTTCATTATTCAAGTGACTCTCGATTTACCAACAGGCTAGGAGGTACCTATGACATTTTGTTCAGGTTAAGCAGAAAGAAGAAAACAAAATCTACATTCTCTTTTTTATATTTTAAACACAAGCCAACAAATAATTTGGAAGGACCCATGACAGGGAGGATTTTATGCTCTTTCAAGAGTAATTGAGATTGTTTAATTGTACGGAGGAATGAGCATATCTCAAGGGGAAGCAAGAAGATATAATATTTGGATGACAGAATCATTAAGAACTGGCTTTGCACCCTGGCTACACCATTGCACACAGGAAATATTAGGGTGCAGTGGTGCATGCCTGTAATCCCAGCACTTTAGGAGGCTGAGGCAGGTGGATCACCTGAGGTCAGCTGTTCAAGACCAGCCTGACAAACATGGTGAAACCCCATCTGTACTAAATACAAAAAATTAGCTGGGTGTGGTGGCACATGCTTCTAATCCCAGCTACTTGGGAGGCTGAGGCAGGAGAATCACTTGAACTTGGGAGGCAGAGGTTGCAGTGAGCTGAGATAGTGCCATTGCACTCCAGCCTGGGCAACAAGAGCAAAACTCTGTCTCAAAAAAAAAAAAAAATATATATATATATATTCACTGCCCCACCAACTTTTTCACATAGGATGATTAAGGATTCCAGAGCCCATGCTACCTCTAGGGGCTCCTACCCCTGCCACACCACACATATATCTTGCCAGGGCCTGTTACAGAGAAGAAAAGGCCCAGTAAATTAATATCACAATCATTGCCACATACCCACCAAAAGACTCAAATTAAAATTTTGACAAAATTAAGTGTCAAGAAGAATGCGAAGATTTGAGAATTATCACATTGTAAGACTGTCAGTTGGTGTGTTAACATTGGAATGAAACGAATAATACCTAGTAAAACTGAAGATAAGTTTACCCTGTAACCTATGGTTTCACCTCTTGCTTTATACTGTACATAAATACACACTAATGGTAACCAAATAGAAATACAAACATGTTCACAACAACATCATTTGTAACTGACAAAAGTGAACACAACCTACATGTCCACCAACAATGAAGGGATACACACTGGTGTACTGTAGTTTTATTTATTTTTATTTTTTATATTTATTTTATATATATAAATATAAATTTATATATATTTTTTGAGACAGAGTCTTGCTTAGTTGCCCAGGTTGGAGTGCAGTGGTGCGATCTTGGCTCACTGCAATCTCCACCTCCTGGGTTCAAGGAATTCTCCTGTCTCAGCCTCCCCAGTAGCTGGGATTACAGGCGCATGCCGCCACTCCCGGTAAATTTTTTTATTTCTAGTAGAGATGGGGTTTCACCTTGTTGGTAAGGCCGGTCTCAAACTCCTGTCGTGAGGTGATCCACCTATCTCGGATTCCCAAAGTGCTGGGATTACAGGTGGCAGGCGCTGCGCCTGGGCTGTTTTTTTTTTTTTTTTTTTTGAGACTGTCACTCTATTGCCCCAGTTGGAGTACAGGGTGAGATCTTGGCTCACTGCAACCTCCACCACCTCCCAGGTTCAACTGATTCTCCTGCCTTAGCCTGTCAAATAATTGGGATTACAGGCGCACACCACCACATCTGGCTAATTTTTTTTTTTTTTAACAGAGTCTAGTTCTGTCACCCAGGCTGGAGTGCAGTGGTGCAAACTTGGCTCACTGCAACCTCTGCCTCCCAGATACAAGTGATTCTCCAGCCTCAGCCTCCAGAGTAGCTGAGACTACAGGCATGTGCCACCACACCTGGCTAATTTTTTGTATTTTTAGAAGAGATGTGGTTTCACTGTGTTCGCCAGGATTGTCTCTATCTCCTGACTTAATGATCCACCTGCCTTGGCCTCCCAAAGTGCTGAGATGACAGACATTGGCCACCACGTGGCCTAATTTTTGTAGTTTTAATAGAGATGGAGTTTCATCATGTTGGCTAGGGTGGTCTGGAACTCCTGAACTCAAGTGATCTGCCTGCCTCAGCCTCCCAAAGTGCTGGGATTATAGGCACGAGCCATCATGGCTGGCTGGTGTACTGTTTTAATAGAATGAAGAAACAATGTTAAGTGTGAATCTTAAATACTTAATATTGAGTAAAAGGGGCCAGATGCACCAGGATACAGACTTTTACTCCAATTATGTAAGAGAAAAACCAGGCAAAATCAGACTTTACTTTAGGCATATAAAAAATGCATAATAAGGCCAGGCACTGAGGTCAGGAGTTCTAAACCAGCCTGACAAACATGCAAAACCCCATCTCTACTACAAACACAAAAATTATCCAGGCATGGTGGCACATGGGCCATGCCTGTAATCCCAGCTACTTGGAAGGTTGAGACATGAGAATCACTTGAATCTGGGAGGCAGAGGTTGCCGTGAGCCAAGATCATGCCACTATACTCCAGCCTGGGTGACAGAGCGAGGCTCTGTCTCCAAAAAAAAAAAAAAAATGATATAAAATACATAATAAAATTATAAAGAGAACCAAGGAGAGGATGGCAGATATCCACAGGTAATGTGGATATCTCTTATATCTGTTACTAATAAGGGGAAGGAAGACTTTAGGATCAGTTAGGTGCATACAGAGGACTTCTCGGTGGTGATAGTCCTCTATTTCTTCACCTGGATAGGTATCACACAGATGTTTATTTAATAACTGATGTATCCATATCTTTGTTTGTATATTTTAAAATAAGAATGAAATAGAGGAAAGGAAGGTGAATGGAAAGAGATTTCTCCATTCATCAAAATTTTAAAGTCATGTTTTTCCTCAGGTTCTTCTCCAAGCTCAGTTTGAAATGATGAAAGGAGCTAAGCATGGTGGCTCACGCCTGTAATCTCAGGATTTTGAGAGGTTGAGGTGGACGGATCACCTGCGGTCAGGAGCTAAGACCAGCCTGGCCAACATGGTAAAGCCCCGTCTCTACTAAAAATACAAAAATTAGCTGGGTGTGGTGGTGGGCACCTATAATTCCAGCTACTCAGGAGGCTACAGTGAGCTGAGATCACATCACTTGACTCAAAAGAGTGAAACTTGTCTCAAAACAAAACAACAGCAATGAAAAAGGAAACAGGAAAACATCCTCAATAATAGAGGACGTACTAAACAAGGATGCAGCCACTCATATCATGTCTTGATTTGTAGATTAAGAAAATGATGACCCTTCCTAGGTACTGATTTAGAGTGACATTTCTGTGAAAGTAGAGAAATACTTATATATCCATAGAACACATATATGTATTTAAAATTGTATATGAGCATGACATATACATACATATTTGTGTGTATGGCATCTGCATCCTTGTATGTTTAAATACAATCTGGCAATTGCATTCTTTGGTATTTGAAAACTTATATCCACTCAAATCCTGCACATGAATGTTTACAGCAGCTTATACACAACTGACAAAGATTGGAAGTAACCAAGATATCCTACAATAGAGAAATGGATAAACTAATTCTGAAACATTCATACAAAGGAATATTCTTCAGGAATAAAAAGAAATGAACTACCAAAGCATGAAAAGACATGGAGGAATCTTAAACATGTATTTCTAAGTGAAAGAAGCCAATACAAAAAGGCCACATAGTATAGATTTCCAACTATATGGAATACTAGAAAAGGCAAAACTAGGCAGATGGTATTATAAAAAGTTCAGTGGTTGCCAGAGGCTTGAGCAGAGGGAAAGATAAATAGGTGGAGCACAGAAGATTTTTAGGGCAGTGAAACTTTTCTGTGTGACCCTATAATGGTGGATATATGTCCTTATGCATTTGTCGAAGCCCATAAATGGTAGAACACAGAGAGTGAATCTTAATATTAGCCATGAACTTAATAATATCAATATTGGCTCATCAAGCATAACAAATTACCACACTAACAAGATGATAATAGAGGAAGCGTGTGTACTATGGTGTGAGGTGAATATTAGAGCTCAATATGCCTTCTGCTCTATTTTTCTGTACACCTACAACTGTTCTAAAAATTGTCAGTTATTTATTTATTTATTTATTTATTTATTTTTATTTATTGAGATGGAGTCTCACTCTGTCACCCAGGCTGGAGTGCAATGGCCCAATCTCGGCTCATGGCAACCTCCACCTCCCGGGTTCAAGTGATTCTCCTGCTTCAGCCTCCTGAGTAGTTGGGATTACAGGCACCAGCCACCATGCCTGGCTAATTTTTTGTATTTTTAGTTGAGATGGGGTTTCACTGTGTCAGCCAGGATGGTCTTGATCTGCTGACCTCGTGATCCACCCGCCTTGGCCTTCCAAGGTGCTTGGATTACAGACATGAGCCACTGCGCCTGGCCTTATTTATCTTTTTGAGACAGGGTTTAGCTCTGTCACTCAGGCTGGAGTGCAGTGGTGCAATCATGGCTCAATGCAGCCCCAAACTCCAGGTCTCAAGTAACCCTCCCGCCTCAGCCTCCTGAGTAGCCGGGACCACAGGCATGTGCCACCATGCCCAGCACATTTCATAGACCTCTGAAAAGATGCTCAACACCATATGTCACTAGGGTGAAACAACGATGTGATACCATTACACATCTCTTAGACTGCCTTGAATGCAAACACCAACACCAAATGCTGGTGAAGATATGGAGCGACAGGAACTCATCTCTATTTCTGCTGAGAATGCAAAGTGGGACAGCCACTGTGGAAGGCAGTTTTGCAAGTTCCTGCCAGACTAAACATACGCTTACCATACAATCCAGTGAAAAATGAAATTTTAAAAATATGTTTTATATACTTGAACCATATACATTTAAATACATATATATTTTATATATATTTTAAAAGTATATATATTGTTATTTTTTGTAGAGACAGTCTCTACAGACCATAGCCTGCAGAATCTATTAATTTTAAAAGCGTTTTAAACTCTTGAACAAGAAATTATTTGAAGAGTGAAAAATAAAATGATAGAGTATTGATTGGTAAATTCCAAATGTTGTATATTACATAATTTGGATTAATTTTAAATTCCAAATAGTGAAACTTTAAAAAATATTTTAAAAATTTCCTAATCCGAGATCAATCCTAGTTCAACACATTCAAGAGCTGATTTCAGAGGAGAGATAATTGGTCAACAAGTTCTTTGGTTTTGACCTTGTTTTCCGACTATTTGTGTTTGTGAATGGTGAATTTTTAGATTTTGTTCCTTTCTTCTTAGGGTATTGACTAATATTTTATTAAGCCAGAGAGACAGTAAATTAGAATTATCTTGTTATAAATATTTCCTCCAAATTCACTTATCTAAAGTTTTTGGTTTCTTTAGTCGGGTGCAGTGGCTCACGCCTGTAATCTCAGCACTTTTGGAGGCTGAGGTGGGGGTCACTTGAGGTCAGGAGTTCAAGATCAGCCTGGCCAACATGTCAAAACCCCGTGCTTACTACCATACAAAAATTAGTAGAGTGGCTGGGTGTTTTGGCTCACTCCTATAATCCTTGCACTTTGGGAAGCCAAGGTGGGCAGATCACCTGAGGTCGGGAGTAAAGAAACAGAGAGTAAAGAATTTCTGAAACCAAAAAGTCTGAGAAAAGCTGCTCAATATATTCATTCAACAAATATTTGTCTCCTTACTGTGTACATGGTACAGTTCTAAGCTCTAGGGATAAATAGCATTGAACAAAATTCACAATATCTCCTGCTCTCATCAAGTTTACATTCTAGTGGACATAATATAAGAACAGAGATGATTTGTCAAAAGGCAGTCCGGGCACAGTGGCTCATGCCTGTAATCCCAACACTTTGGGAGGCCAAGGCAGGGAGATCACTTGAGGTCAGGGGTTCGAGATCAGCCTAGCCAATATGGTGAAACCCTGTCTCCACTAAAAATACAAAAATTAGCCAGGGCTGGGTGTGGTGGCTCACCCCTGTAATCCCAACACTTTGGGAGTCCGAGGTGGTTTGGATCACCTGAGGTAAGGAGTTCAAGAACAGCCTGGCCAACATGGTGAAACCCCGTCTCTACTAAAATACAAAAAAAAAAAAAAAATGTTAGCCAGGCGTGGTGGCAGATGACTGTAATCCCAGCTACTTGGGAGGCTAAGGCAGGAGAATCACTTGAACCTTTGGGGCGGAGGTTGCAGTGAGCCGAGATCACACCGATGCACTCCAGCCTGGGTGACAGAGCGAGACTCCATCTCAAAAAAAAAAAAAGTTTTAAGTGCCATGGAAAAAATAGGGAAGTGGTAAATAGTTTCAATTTCAGATAGGATGATCTCTGACAAGGCAAGAATCATGTTAAGACATGAAGAAAATTAAGACAATGATCCTTACAGGTATATGGAGGGAGAGCTTCTTTTTTTTCCTTTTCTGTTTTATTTATTTATTTATTTATTTATTTATTTATTTATTTGACAGAGTTTCACTCCTGTTGCCCAGGCTGCAATGCAATGGCACCATCTCAACTCATTGCAACCTCCACCTCCTGGGTTCAAGTGATTCTCCTGCCTCAGCTACTCTCCCAAGTGAAAGGTGACCAAGAGAGCCATTGAAAATAGTGAGAGTGGCCGAGTGCGGTCCCAGCACTTTGAGAGGCTGAGATGGGTGGATCATGAGGTCAGGCATTGAAGACCAACCTGGCTGAGAGGGTGAAACCCCGTCTCTACTAAAAATACAAAAATTAGCGAGGTGTGGTGGCATGTCCCTGTAATCCCAGCTACTCCAGAGGCTGAGGCAGAAGAATCACTTGAATCTGGGAGGTGGAGGTTGCAGTGAGCCCAGATCATGCCACTGCACTCTAGCCTGGGTGACAGAGCAATATTCTGCCTCAAAAAAAAAAAAAAGAAAAGAAAAGAAAAATAAAATGGTGAGAGCACCATGTTTGAAAAGTGGTCCAGGCACTGGAGTAAAGGGCCAGTGTCAGCCAAGTCATCAGCTATCAGAACAGGAAGCCATCAGGTAATATATCAAGTTGATATATTGAGAAGAAGCAGGATCTACCTATTATATAATATAGAGACAAGCACTCAGATATGTAGATTAGAAATAGTTTAGAAAATTTAAACATTTGATTATTCAGGAAGTAGACCTGGGAGCATTGGAGAAACAGGTTGGGGGAGTAGACTGCATGGAAAGCTCTTTCTTAGTTTGTAATTTTTCAATTATGCACATAGGTTTCTTACATAACATGGAAAATTCAATTAAAGAAGAAACAACATTGTGTTCTGAGGTCCCAAAGGTTTAGTGATTAATTAGAAAGACTCACAAAACCGAGTGAAGCTGTTATACTCATAGTTTATTACAACAAAAAGATACAGATGAAAATCAGCAGCAGAAAAAGGTGCATAGGGCAGAGTCCAGGAGAGACAAAGCACAAGCTTCCAGTTTTCCTCTCCCAGTGACATCGTGTGGACGGTGCTTAATTCACCCAGCGATATGTGGCAAAAAGTATAGAATATACTCCCCAACAAGAAGCTTACCTGAGCCTTGGGGTTGAGGGTTTTACTGGAGGTTGGTCACATGGACAAGAGCACCCATTTGGATGGCCTTAGTTTCTCTGTCTCCACCCTTCCCAAGGTCAAGCTGACACTGCATGGTCCAAGTTCCCCATAATAAATCACGTTGTTAACTCCCAGATAGGCAGGAGATTCCAAGGACTTAGAGGTTATTTCCTGGGAGCTAGGATAGAGTCAAACCTTTCTTTGGAGTATGCCAGGTTTGGGCAATTCAGGCCTACTAAGTTTCCTCGACTGCATACAAGTGATAGTATGTAGGAAATGAGTAGTCACATATATTGCTGGTGAAAGTAGAGTGTTATATAACCCTTTGGAAAGAAATCAAGTGTGTAGCACATACACATTATATTTGGTTTGTTTTTGTTTTTGTCTGAGACAGGGTCTCACTCTGTCACCCACACTCAGATGCAGTGGCATGATCACAGCTCACTGCAGCCTCGACTACCCAGGTTCCAGCTATCCTCCCACTCAGTCTCCTGAGTACCTGGGACCACAGGCACCTGCAAGTACACCCAGCTAATTTTTGCGTTTTTTGTGCAGATAGTGTTTCACCATGTTGCCCAGGCTGATTTCAAACTCCTGGGTTCAAACAATCCCCTACCTCAGCTCCCCATTGTGCTAGGATTACAGGAGTGAGCCACTGCACCCAACCTATATTTGTATATACATTAAATTGTATATGTTAGGCTGGGCACGGAGGCTCACGCCTGTAATTCCAGCATTTTGGGAGGCCAAGGTGGGCGGATCACTTGAGGTCAGGAGTTTGAGAGCAGCCTGGCCAACATGGTGAAAACCCATCTCCACTAAAAAAGCAAAGTTAGCTGGACATGGTGGCAGATGCCTGTATTCCCAGCTACTCAGGAGGCTGAGGCAGGAGAATTACTTGAACCAAGCAGCGGAAGTTGCAGTCAGCCGAGATCATGCCACCGCACTCCAGCCTGGATGAGAGAGCAAAACTCCATCTCAAAAAACAAAACAAAAAAGTTGTATATGTTATTGTATGTTGTGTATATATTAAGTTGCATATACACATATTAAATATATACACATATATTACACTTTATACACATACACTTGTTTCCTCATGCAATTTGTTTCAGCAGAAGTAAAAATAAAGATATAAGTAAAAGAATATTTATAGAAGCACTATTTTTGGTGGCAAGAGTACTTTAATATCTTAAATGCTCATATAATGAAAGATACTTTAACTCTTACAAAGAACGAGTTAGCTTTTTATCTACTATAAAGATATCCTAATATCTTTATATCTAAAGTGACATATGTGGCCAATTGTTATATTAAAAAAGGAGAATGCTTTATAATTAA
This sequence comes from Homo sapiens, assembly GCF_000001405.40. Classification (NCBI taxonomy): domain Eukaryota; kingdom Metazoa; phylum Chordata; class Mammalia; order Primates; family Hominidae; genus Homo; species Homo sapiens. Next base: position 26,027,713 of record NC_000020.11, on the reverse strand, counting down.
AGAAAAAAGAAAGAAACGTTACATAGTAGCCCTCCCTTATCTGCAGGAGATGTGTTCTAAGACCCTCAGTGGATGCCTGAAACTTGGGTAGCATTGACCCAATTGCTGTCAATCAGAACACATTTCTGTTTATGATTTCCACGCACAAATTTAATGCCTTTTTCATCTTAACTAAGCACTTATCACACACTTGGCTGTACTTTTTAGAGCTTGCAGTGCAATAAACAAGACTAACAGAAATTTCTTTTTCCTTCTTACATTTTCACCGCTAGAGGATTTGTTCTTACTATCGATGTTAGCAAACTGAGCACATTACTTCTCTCTTTTTCTTTCTTTCTTCCTTTCTTTCTCTTTCTTTCTCTTTCTTTCTTTCTCTTTCTTTCTTTCTTCTTTCTTTCTTTCTTTTTCTTTCTTTCATCTTTCTTTTTTTCTCTTTATTTTATGTATTTACTTATTTATTGAGATGGAATCTCAGTCTATCATCCAGGTTGGGGTGCATTAATGCAATATTGGCTCACTGCAAACGTCTCCTCCCAGGTTCAAGAGATTCTCATGCCTCCGCCTCCCAAGTAGCTGGGATTAAGGCGCTCGCCACCGTGCCCAAATAATTTTTGTATTTTTTGTAGCGATGGGGTTTCACCATGTTGGCCAGGTTAGTCTCGAACTCCTAACCTCAAAAGATCCACCTGCTTCAGTCTCCCAAAGTGCTGGGATTACAGGCATGAGCCACCAAGACTGGCCTGTATATTCTGTTGTTTGCTGGCCAATACTTATATGAATCTTGGAGAACATCGTGGAAAGATGCTCATCATCTTGTTAACTGGTTATTTCAATAGTGGAACTGGAGGGGGAATACTGCCTTTCCTTGTATTTATTTGTAATGTTTCATTTTCATTATGAACATGTATTATTCTAATATGTTTAAATATTAATAAAGACAGGTAAATATATGTAATTTTAATTCAAGCTGAAATCCTCAAGGCAATCACATATAATTAAATAGATGGAGGAAAGAAAACATTTAAAATCCCTGAAGGAAAAGGAGGGAAGTCCAGGCAAGGAGTCTCATGCTTATGTCAGCACTTGGGGAGGCCAAGGCAGGAGGATCACTTGGGGTCAGAAGTTCGAGACCAGTTTAGCCAATATGGTGAAACCCTGTCCCTACTGAAAATACAAAAATTAGCCAGGCATGATGGCATGCACCTGTAATCCCAGCTACTTGGAAGGTTGAGGTGGGAGAATCGCTTGAACCCGGGAAGCAGAGGTTTCAATGAACCGAGATTGTGCCACTGCAGTTCAGTCTGGGTGAAACAGTGAGACTCTGTGTCAATCAATCAATAAAAGGAGGGGGGAAAACACAACTAAAAAAATAAGTGATTCAAAAGTAGCAATGTACCATAATGCCTAAATTTGTGGGATTGGCGGGGTGTGATGGCTCCCGCCTGTAATCCCAGCACTTTGAGAGGCCAAGGTGGGTCGATCACCTGGTCAGGAGTTCGACACCAGCCTGATCAACATTGTGAAACCCTGCCTCTACTAAAAATAAAAAATTTAGCAAGGTGTGGTGGCGGACACCTGTAGTCCCAGCTACTAGGGAGGCTGAAACAGGAGAATCACTTGAACCTGGGAATCAGAGGTTGCAGTGAGCTGAGATTGTCCCACTGCACTCCAGCCTGGGTGACAGAGGGAGACTCCCTCCAAATAAATAAATAAATAAATAAATAAATAAATAAATAAATAAATAACACTTTGTGGGACCAATTCCAATCGAGTCCAGGGGAGCACACACTGGCGACCAACATCCCCCCTCAGGTCCCTTCAGGGTCGAGAGAGTGCATCTGGAACAGACTGGGAAACTCCAGCAGGCAAAGTAAGGTTCCAGGAATAGACACACCTGACACATTCTCCATGTGCCCTCCACCCAACCCTCTCCCCATCAGGCTTCCATCGGGCTCCAATTCTGCACTCTCCCCAAGAACCTCAGATTGAAACATTGCAAGGAAGACACCGATACTCAAAGTCACAGGCTTAGGAATCTGAGCTACAAAGAAAAATGAGCCCCTGCTCCCCCAACTGCCTGGTACTCCCCTCAGCACTGCTGCCCTTCACCTGCCCCCTCCTCCATAATTTGAACTGTCCTCACAGAAGCTGGAGAGACGGCTCGCCTGTCAGGAAAGAGAGGACCAGCATGTGGCAAATGCCTGGAGTATGTAGGAGCAGATGGAGAGATTAGCACAGGGATGTAAGAAACAAGTGGCTCTCAGACCAAAGAAGACTCTGCGGGAGACGGCACATTAAGCCTTCATAGGGGCGTGTGCTGGACAGCAGCTCCCCAGTTACCGAAACAATTATCTGAGAAAGGCTCTGAGCTGACCCGAAACACCCTTGGATCCCATGGCAACGCCTCAGCGTCTGGCAGTAATAGGTTTCTGTGCCCATAATCTCTAGGTCTGGAGGTCCCAACTCCACCAGCCTCTCACAGCCCAGAGGTACATCCCATTGGCGCCTGATGGGTTAGGGAGGCTGTTCTTCCAGCTGTGACAGATCCAGCCTAGGAGCGCTCCTGGGTCTTCTTAGTTGTTTCTTCCCGCACACCTGCCACTCAAAGCCACAACCCACTTGCACACCACCTTGAGGACACCTTAAAACGACTGCCTAGATGTGAACCGCGCTGAGGGAATGGTCAGCTTTACTCCCATTAGATGGCTTGGCCCAAAGGACCTAGCGACCACTCAGACAAAAATTTCTTCCTAAAAGCTGGATGTGTCTGTGATCTCTAAGAGGCAAAACTAAACCCTAAAGAAAAAGCCAACCCACCCCCACCTCCACAAAACAAAAACAAAAACAAAACCCACCGCCAACCCACCTTTCATGTGAGGAGTCCTTGAGAAGGGCCTCTCCAGCCAGGACCAGGCAAGGGAATCTATGCACTTGGCCAGACCCAGAACACACAGTGTCAGGGACCTCACAGTCACACTCTGACCTCATAGAATTTCCACCACTGACACACAGATCAGGATGTGTCAGCCTGAGAGATGACACCACAAATCTGGCTTTCACAGATTGATTCCACACACATCCCATCACTGACACCAGATTCCCTCATCACTGACCCTACATACCCACAAGAATTGATTCCATGGATCTCATCACTATCCCAAAGACTACCCATCATAATCTACAGATTGTCATCTCTCACCCCAGGGACCCCACAGATTCCCCATCCCTGATTCCAGGATCTACAGAACCTCATCTCTTACCCCCACAGACCTATTAATAAAAGGATACATTCATAGGAGACTGTGTTGACCATTTTACACACCCATTGCCTGTGTGTGTGTGTGTGTGTGTGTGTGTGTGTGTGTGTGCTGATTAATGGACTTAGGTAAACTTTAGCATTTTGGTAGGCAATGCAATTTTTCAATGCCTTTTCTTTCTTTTTCTTGTACATCTTTAAAGGCCTTACTCCAGTAAGTATGCATTGCAGTTTATTAATGCCTATCCCTTACTGAGTCCTTGTCATGCGTATTTGTTATTAATCATAATTCACAATTCTTATAATTCAGAGACACCAGAGATTCACATAAGAAGAATGGCTTTGGGTTTTTATTTATTTATTTGTTTTGGTTTCTGTAAGTTATCAAATTCATTCATTTGTATCAAGTCACTAAGTGTATACTTTGTTTTCTAAAAAAAATTCCAATCAATTTTTTTTTTAAGACAGGTTATCGCTCTGTCCCCCAGGCTGGAGTGCAGTGGTATAATCATGGCCACTGTAGCCTCAACCTCCTGGGCTCAAGTGATCCTCCCTCCTCAGCCTATGTAGTAAGCTGAGACCACAGGCATGCACCAATATGCCCACCTAATTAAAATTTTTTTGTAGATATGTGTGTCTCACTATATTGCAGAGACTGGTCTTGAACTCCTGGGCTCAACTGATCCTCCCACCTTGGCCTCCCAAAGTACTGAGATTACAGGTGTGAGCCACTGTACTCAGCTGATAAAATCTTAAAAAGAGGAAAATACTTTGGGGCCTAATGTAAAATTTCCACCGAGATGATGCGTCAGAAATTAAGGTAGAATAAGATGTCCCTAGGGCATCAAAACAACAAAACTTAATCTTGGGCTGGGTGCGGTGGCTCATGCCTGTAATCACAGCAATTTTGGAAACCAAGGTGGGGGACTCACTTGAGGTCAGAAGTGTGAGACCAGTGTAGCCACCATGGTGAAACGCTGTCTCTACTAAAAATACAAAAATTAGCCTGGAGGTTGCACTGAGCCAAGATTGTGCCAATACCCTCCAGTCTGGGCAACAGAGGGAGATTCTGTCTCAAAAAAAAAAGAAGAGGAAGAAGAAAGAAAATCTTAATTTCTTCGTCAAATGTAAAAACTATGGACTGGACTCTGGAGGAATAATACACAAAAAGACAGATAGGCACTATTTTTTTGAAGTTTTATTGAGAAATATTGATAACATACCACAGAAGCCACTGATTTAAAGTGTAAAATTCAGTGGTTTTCAGTATATTTGCACTGTTATGCAAACATCACCACAATAAATTTTAGATCATTTTCATTACCCTGAAGTAAACACCATATCCCTCCATTTCCCCCCAACTCCCCTAATCCTGGGCCACCACAAATCTACTTTCTGTTTCTATGTGTTGGTCTATTTTGGACATTTTATTTAAATGGAATTACATACCATGTGGTCCTTTGTGACCGGCTTCTTTCACTTAGCATAATATTTTCAAGGTTTATTCAATCTTGCATGTGCAAAGGGGGCACTTTACATAAGGATAAACCTGGAGTGGGGGGTACTTACTGATTGATTTGGAAACTTCCCTCCGAAATTGTAAAGGCTTTCAAATAGAGGAACAACCTATTCAGGCTAAAATCCTGTTTTCAGCAGTTTGTAATGTGGGGTTTTATTGCAAAGAATGGCAAGATTTTTGGGCTTATTTTCTGCAAATTCTCCCTGTGTTTGGGGAACAGTCACAGAATGTGGAGGAATGAGCTTCTAGGCTCTGTGGCTGCAGATTCATGTCCAGGAGAACTCAGGTCCCAGGATAGGCAGAGAAAAACAGTGTAAGAAGGCCAACAGAATGCTTTGAAATGGAAAATTTAAAATGTTCCCTCCAAAAGGAGTCCCAGATAACCACATAGAAGAGGACTTTGCTGGGCAGCTCCATCGCAATTGTTCAATACTAAGATACAGACAGACTGGGAAAGAAGGAAGTTTATTTCTGCAGCCACTTACAGGGAGAAGCGCCAGGTAAATCACCAGATCAACTCAAAGTTACAAGTTTTTTTTTCTAGTGCTTATATATATCTTAAGCTCCATGTGGGATTGCACCTACAAGCAGGAGTGTTTCATTCAATCAACATCTAATCTTTAACTCGGGTCTAGCGTCTGGAAAGATTTCCCTAGAGTCTTGGAAAGTTTTTGAATCTTAAGACAGGCCGAGGTGAATGTGTACGAACGCTATCATTATTCGATCAGATTTTAGGGTCTGAGAAAACCCAGACGGGGTCTCAGTGGGTTTGTTTTCACATTCCATCCGTGATACTCAGGCACCAGTTTCTCCATTTCTTTAACGTTAACTTATGCATTCATCAAAATTATAGTAAAGGGTTAGTAGAAACTGTTCTGGTTGCTATTGCAAACCTGGCCTGCCACAGGCACTGAAGCCCACTATAGAACATTGAAAATGCCTGCAAACACTGACTTTACTGACCAGTCAATTAAATTGCAGAAAAGCAAGCTCACGCTGCCTCCCTGATCTGTCCTCCAGAATTGCTAGTTAGAAACGTTCACATTGTCCTAGGTTCAGTTTTGCAAAGATGGAGCCTGGCAGTGAAAGCATTTGTTTGAGTTCATGCATTAAGATTTGCTTTGTCTATTTCTTTTATATTTATTTATTTATTTATTTATTTATTTATTTTTGTGATGGAGTTTCAATCCTCTTGCCCAAGCTGGAGTGCAATGTGGCGGTCTCGGCTCACTGCAACTTCCGCCTCCTGGGTTGAAACTGTTCTCCTGCCTCAGCCTCCAAAGTAGCTAGGATTACAGGCATGCGCCACCATGCCCGGCTAATTTTTGCATTTTTAGTAGAGATGGGGTTTCACCATGTAGGCCAGGATGGTCTTGAACTCCTGAGCTCAGGCAATCCACCCGCCTCAGCCTCCAAAATGCTGTGATTACAGGCATGAGCACCCTCGGCCGGCCTATTTTATTTTAAGATGGAGTCTTGCTCTGTCGCCCAGGCTGGAGCGCAGTGGCACGAGCTCGGCTCACTGCAACCTCTGTCTCCGGGATTCAAGCGATTCTTGTGTCTCCGCCTCACAAATAGCTGGGATTACAGGCTCCCGCCACCATGCCTGGCTAATTGTTTATTTTTAGTAGAGAAGGGGTTTCACCATGTTGGCCAGACTGGTCTCGAACTTCTGACCTCAAGTGATCTGCCCGCCTCGGCCACCAAAAGTGCTGGAATTACAGGCGTGAGCCACCATGCCCGGCCCTATTTCCTTTATTTTATTTATTATTTCGAGAAGGAGTTTCGCTCTTGCCATCCACGCTGGAGCGCAGTGGCGCGATCTCGCCTCACTGCAACCTTCACCTCCTGGGTTCAAGCGATTCTCCTGCATCAGCCTCCGGAGTAGCTGGGATTACAGGCGCATGCCACCACGCCCAGCTACATTTCCTTTATTTTATTTTTTATAATTTACTACCCTGTTTGTTGATGACAAGACTGGCTGTGCACAAGGTTGGGTCTCGGTGCTCACCGGGAGCCGGGCATGGACCAGGTGGGAGGTTCTCCAGTGCCTGATACAAATCTGCAAGAAAGCGCAGGAAACGGCACTAAAGGTAGGCGTTCCAGCGCAGAAATGCGCAGGAATGGTTTTCCTGTGCTTGTAGGGAGGTCATCCCCAAGCGTTTCTTATTGGCTTCCAGTGAGACAAGATCACACCACTGCACTCCAGCCCGGGCTACAGAGTGAGACTCTGTATCCAAAAAAAAAAAAAGAGTGCTGAATGAATATCCATTGATGCATGAAATGGCTGCATTAAAGGAAAACTAGACAAGAAAAGACAAGGCAAAAAAAAGTCAAGGATCAGTATGAAAAATAAATATATTCTAAAAGATTTGTTTTTAAAGCAACTACATGGGTTTAAATTTTAAAGGGAAAGAAGTAGCTCCAAGATAGAGGAAACAGGATGGCTTCTGAAGAAGGGAGCATTATTCTTTGAAATGGAAAGAAATTATGACAAGAGGGTAGCACAGACTGTCCAAGAGGTGGAGGTAAAAGGGGGTTCTTGGCCAGACACAGTGGCTCACACCTGTAATACCAGCACTTTCAGAGGCCAAGGCAGGTGAATCACCTGAGGTCAGGAGTTCGAGGCCAGCCTAGCCAACATGGTGAAACGCCTTCTCTACTAAAAATACAAAAATTAGCTGGGCATGGTGGCAGGTGCCTATAATGCCAGTTCCTTTAGAGGCTGAGGCAGGAGAATCGCTTCAACCCGCGGGTGAAGGTTGCAGTGAGCCGAGATTGCATCACTGTTCTCCAGCCTGGGTGACTGAGAAAGAATCTCTCTCAAATTAAAAAAATTAAAAAAAATGTGTGTGGTGGGGGTATCTTGACTTTCCTCCATGTGTCTTAGGCCACAACTCTTACATGGGACCTTGCAGAAGAGATTCCTCAACCAATACCTTTATGGTGCTGCCTCCCTGATGGGCTGGGTTCTAAACAGCAGTGCCTTCCCCATCTGCTCAGTCCTTACTCACCTGGGCACCATCCTCCTGGTACGTCCCTTGAAACCATGCAGGACTCTTTCCCTTGCTCCAGTAAGGAAATCACATCAGGCTTTGGGATAGAGAGACCTGTTTATAAGAAAAGAAGTAAGATGGCCAGGCATAGTGGCTCACTCCTGTAATCCCAGCACTTTAGGAGGCCAAAACAGGTGGATTGCTTGAGGTCAGGAGTTCAAGACCAGACTGACCAACATGGTGAAATCCCGTCTCTACTAAAAACACAAAAATTGCCCAGACATGGTGGCCAGTGCCTGTAATCCCAGCTACTCAGGAGGCTGAGACGTGAGAATTGCTTGAACCCAAGATGAAGGTTGGAGTGAACCGAGATCGCACCATTGCACTCCAGCCTGGGCGATAGAGTGAGACTTCATCTCAAAAAAAAAAAAAAGAAAGAAAGAAGAAAAAGAAAGAAAGAAAGTAAGTAAAAAAGAAGGAAAGAAAGAAAGAAAGAAAGAAAAGAAGTAAGACATACTCCTGCTGTTCCTGAATTCAAAGTTAGTCCCTTAGTACTCACGAAGGACTAGAGGAAGGTGTAAAGGTCTGAAGCATGGAGAAGATGGAAGGACCCCAAAGAGCTGCCCATCTATTAATCTACTAAACACAAAACAATTCCCTAGGCAGCAGGTGAAAAGTCACCCAGACAAGTGAAAGCTACAGCCAAAACTCATGAGTTATTTGGGGATAGACATCCTTACCTAGTGAGACCAGGCTGCTATAGTTCTCCATCATTACATCTCTCTATAAGTCCTTCTGAGCAGTGTCCAGGCCCTCCCATTCCTCCTGAGAGAAGTCGATAGACAGATCCTGGAACATGCCCAACCCCTGAAATGACAAACCCAGGCAGCGCTGTTGAAATTAAAGGAAAGGTTTTTAAGATGAAGGAAGAGATGGAAGGGTGCTGAAGGATGGAGAGAATGTAGTGTGCAGACCGGCTAGGCTGAGAGTGGGGAAGAGTAAAAAAATTAGTGTGACTTCAACAAAGTACCTTCATGTTCATGAATATTCCTGTTGTGGCTGACAAACCTCCTTCACAGAAAGGGACATTCCCAGTATTCCATGGTTAGAGCTGGGAATGAATAAAGTACATTGATATATTATTTCCCAAATAAATGAAATAGAGTTGAAAAGCACACAGCAAGCTGTAGGCTTGGCAAAGCTTCAAGAATATTACAGTAAACATCTGATATGCAAGTTACTATTTACAACAAAAGCTTAATAAATAGGCACTTCCCCCTTACCATTTTCTTTCTTGTTTTTTTTTCTCTTGTTTCATTTTTTTGTTTTTGTTTTCACTTTGAGACAGGGTCTCATTCTGTTGCCCAGGCTGGAGTGCAGTGGCACAATCACAGCTCACTGCAGCCGCAACCTCCCAGGCTCAGGTGATCCTCTCACCTTAGCTTTGATTAGCTTTGATTATAAGCGTGCGCCACCATGTCCAGCTAATTTTTTTTTTTTTTTTTAGTAGAAATGAGGGTTTGCCATTTGGCCAGGCTACTCTCAAACTCCTGAGCTCAAGCAATCCACCTGCTTTGGCCTCCCAAAGTGCTGGGATTACAGGCATGAGCCACCACACCCAGCCTTGTCTCTTTTCTTAAAGGAAGACAGGATCTTTCAAAAATATCTACAAAAAGGTTAAAAACCTCTATTGGCCGGGCACAGTGGCTCACACCTGTAAACCCAGCACTTTGGGAGGCCAAGGCGGATGGATCGCCTGAGGTCAGGAGTTCGAGACCAGTCTGACCAACATGGAGAGACCATTTTAGTCTCTATTAAAAATATAAAATTAGCTGGGTGTGGTGACACATGTCTGTAATCCCAGCTACTTGGGAGGCTGAGGCAGGAGAATCGCTTGAACCTGGGAGGTGGAGGTTGCAGTGAGCCGAGATCGCACCACTCACTCCAGCCTGGGCAATAAGAGTGAAACTCTGTCTCAAAAGAAAAACAACAACAACAACAACAAAACCTCTATTGCACTTTGATAATTAGTACTTCCATAAAATAGTATAGATAGCACTTCGATAATTAAATGTACATTGGCTGGGTGTGGTAACCCACACCTGTTATCACAGCACTTTGGGAGGCCAAGGCAGGTGAATTGCTTGAACTCAGGAGTTCAAGATCAACCTGGGCAACATGGCAAAACCCTATCTCTACAAAAATACATATCATATACAAATTAGCCAGATGTAGTGGGACATGCCTCTAGTCCCAGCTACTTGGGAGGCTGAGGTGGGAGGGTTGCTTGAGCCTAGGAGGTCAAGGCCGCAGTGAGCTGTGATCCTGCCACTGCACTCCAGCCTAGGCACCAGAGCAAGATCCTGTCTCAAAAAAAAAAAAAAAAAAAAAGGCCAGGTGCGGTGGCTCACGCCTGTAATCCCAGAACTTTGGGAGGCTGAGTAGGGCAGATCATGAGGTCAAGGGATCAAAACCATCCTGGACAACATGGTGAATCTCTGACTCTACTAAAAATACAAAAATTAGCTGTGCATGGTGGCACGTGCCTGTAGTCCCAGCTACTCGGGAGGCTGAGGCAGGAGAATTGCTTGAACCCAGATGGTGGAGGTTGCAGTGAACCAAGGTCATGCCACAGCACTCCAGCCTGGTAACAGATGGAGACTGCATCTCAAAAAAAAAAAAAAAAAGAGTGGGTATCATGGTAGGAATAAACTGCACACAGGTCAGACAAAAGTTACAAGGGCATCTGCCAGTATAAACAAGTTTCCTGTGAGACACCTGGTCATGGGTCAGATACTTGAGCATTAGGCTGTGGTCCAGGAAAAAGAAATGTCCAGTGAAAGGCTACTCTAAAGACCCACAGGCCCCTCCCCTAGAGCCCCATTAGAGTGAGGTAGAGTTTATAGCCATTCTCCTGAGAGACCTCAAGACCTAATTAGAAGAAAACTATAACATTTGTTATATAGAAGGCATTTTCCAAAGACTAGTTCAAAGATGAAAGATATAGTCTTCCTTTGGATATAAAACAAAATCTCAAGATACACCAAAACTGTTTTGCTTTTACTGAATAATTTTTGTGCATATGTGTTTAGCTGCAAGTGCCTAACAAGCTGTGATTTTCTTTCCTTTCCTTTCCCTTTTTTTTTGTCTTGAGACAGCCTTGCTCTGTCACCCAGGCTGAAGTGCAGTGGCCTGATCTTGGCTCACTGCAACCTCAGCCTCCCATAGCTGGGATTACAGGTGCCTGCCACCACACCCAGCTAATTTTTGTAATTTTAGTAGAGACGGGGTTTCACTGTGTTGCCGAGGATGGTCTCGAACTCGTGGCCTCAAGTGATCCACCCACGTTGGGTCCCAAAGTACTAGGATTACAGGCATGAGCCACCATGCCTGGCCAACTCTGATTTTCTAACTTGCCTCATGTATTAGGTTCATACTGGGAAAAAAACAGGTCAGAGCCATTGGAGCCACGTGTACAGATGTGCAGTAGCTCTGCTAGTAACACTGCTGCTTTCTTCGGCTCTTAAGACAGATGAGTTCAGCACGTGTCTGCCCTTGCTCTAGCTGTCTCTGATTCCCCCCAACAGATCCACAATCATGTCACTCAGTTAGATTCACTTTGGATATCCCATCATTAGATTAAAACCAGCAGGTCAAAAAGATAACCTGAGGAAATGCTTTCACATCCACAGTGTTCTCATAGGGCAAGTATCATTTAGACATGTCAGGACCGTGGTTGCAGAGGACAGAATGAAGTGTCATCCTTAACTGGCCATCCAATGTCATCAGCAAGAACAGGAGGACTTTATAGGATATTATCTGATGTTTTCTGAATATTACCTTACAAATGCTGCTTTACTTATAACTTAAGAATAGGGACCCTGTCTTTTAAAGCTTTATACATCCTCAAGTAAAGGTTTTTCATATTAAATCCATTAATAATATCTAAAGGCCGACCTGGAAATTCCATTTCTAAGTATTTATCCAAAGTAAAGATTTTTTTTTCTTTTTTTGAGACGGAGTTTTGCTCTTGTTGCCCAGGCTGGAGTGCAGTGGTGTGATCTCGGCTCACTGCAACTTCTGCCTCCTGGGTTCAAGCGATTCTCCTGCCTCACCCTCCTGAGTAGCTGGGATTACAGGCACGCAGCACCACGCCCAGCTAATTTTGTATTTTTAGGAGAGACAGAGTTTCTCCATGTTAGTCAGGCTGGTCTCAAACTCCTGACCTCAGGTGATCAACCCACCTTGGCCTCCCAAAATGCTGGGAGTACAGGTGTGAGCCACCACGTCCTGCCAAGAATTTTTTTTTTCTTGAGACAAGTCTCAATCTGTTACCCAGGCTACAGTGCAGTGAGGTGATCACAGCTCACTGCAACCTCTGCCTCCTGGGTTCAAGTGTTTTTTGTGACTCAACCATCAAAGTAGCTTGGAATACAGGCACACACCACCATACCTGGCTAATTTTTTTTTTGTATTTTTGGTAAAGAGCAGGTTTTACCATGTTGGCCAGGCTGGTCTCAAACTCCTGGCCTCAAGCAAGGCCACTTTGGGAGGCCAAGGTGGGCAGATCACCTGAGGTCAGGAGTTCAAGACCAGCCTGGCCAACATGGTGAAACCCTGTCTCTAATTAAAATACAAAAGGTAGCCAGGTGTGGTAGCAGGTGCCTGTAATACCAGCTACTGGGGAGTCAGAGGCAGGAGAATCACTTCAGCCTGGGAGGCGGAGGTTGCAGTGAGCCGAGACTGTGCCACTGCACTCCAGCCTGGGCAACAGAGCCAGACTGTCTATCAAAATATAAATAAATATAAAAATACAAAAAAGCTGGACACAGTGGCTCATGCCTGTAATCTCAGCGCTTTGGGAGGCCAAGGCAGGTGGATGACTTGAGATCAGGAGTTCCAGACCAGACTGTCCAACATGGCAAAACCCTGTCTCTACTAAAAATACAAAAATTAGTCGGGTGTGGTGGCTCACCCTCTAATCCCAGCTACTTGGGAGGCTGAAGCAGGAGAATCACTTGAACCTGGGAGGCAGAAGTTGCAGTGAGCAGAGTTCATGCCATTGCACTCCAGCCTGGGCAACAAGAGTGAAACTGCATCTCAAGAAAAAAAAAAAAGAATACAAAAAATTAGCAGGGTGTAGTGGCGCATGCCTGTAATCTAGGCTACTTGGGAGGCTGAGGCAGGAGAATTGCCTGAACCTGGAAGGTGAAGATTACAGTGATAAGACTGCACCACTGCACTCTAGCCTGGGTCACAAGAGCCAAGAGCGAGAATCCATCTAAAAAAAAAAAAGAGTTTCTATTTGGGGTGCAAAACAAAAGAAATGGAGTGAAAGGGATGTAAGGAAATTGAAAGTCAACAGGCTAATAATGCCAATAAATAATGATGGAGCAAAGAAATCAGTATTGGCCAAATAAAACCAACGTGTTTTGTAATATTTTTTCAAAATTTAGACAAAGTTTTCCAGTACACTGAGACACTTCTACTATCAAGACTATAATATTGGCTGAACACAGTGGCTTATGCGTATAATCCCAGCACTTTGGGATGCCAAGGCAGGAGGATTGCTTGATCCCAGAAGTTCAAGTCAAGCCTGGGAAATATAGGGAGACACCGTCTCTGCAAAAATTAAAATAAAATAAAATAAAATAAAATAAAATAAAATAAAATAAAATAAAATAAAATAAAATAATAATAAAATAAAATAATTAAAATAATAAAATAAAATAAAATGCCAGGCATGGTGGTATACCTCTGTGAGCTGTGACCACCCCACTGCACTCTAGGCTTGGTAACAGAGCAAGAAAGACCCTGTCTCAACAAAAACCTAGAATATAGAATAAATGACATTTGGGTAAGTGGAATATTAGGTGTTCAATAAACATAGGTTATTCCCTCCCTATCTCCATAGAATCATCAATTTTATTTTAAAAGAGAAGTTTTGATTAGAATCCAAAAATATCAATACTTCTCTTTCCAAAAAAGGAGGGAGGATTTAAATATAACAATTTCTTGGTTATTTCTATTTATTTTCATGGTTGCTTAATATTACTCAGTAACAAATATGCAATTGCTCTCTTTCAAACGTAGTTTTAATTAGTTGCACAAAATGCCAACTTATAGTCTGATGTACTTCAAATTTCCCTATCTATGAAAGCTAAATTTGGATATTATCATCTCAAGAATATTATAATCTCTGTCTTTAAATCTATCTGGGGTTCTACCTTTTCTGTAAGCCTTAGTGAATCTCACTATAGTCCTCCTTCCCTTTAAAAATGCAGTGATAGGCCGGGTGCAGTGGCTCTTCCCTGTAATCCCAGAACTTTGGGAGGCTCAGGTGGGAAGATTGTTGGAGCTCAGGAGTTCAAGACCAGACTGGGCAACATGGCAAAACCCCGTCTGTGCAAAAATTACAAATATTAGCCTGGCATGGTGCCATATGCCTATACTCCAGATACTTGGGAGGCTGAGGAGGGAGGATCCCTTCAGCCCCAGAGGTCAAGGCTGCAGTATGCCCTGACCCTGCCACTGCACTTTTGGAGGCCAAGGCAGGTAGATCACCTGAGATCAGGAGTTCGTGACCAGCCTGGCCAATACGGTGAAACCCTGTCTCTACTAAAAATACAAAAATTGGTCTGGTGTGGTGGCGGGCACGTGTAATCCCAACTATTCAGGAGGCTGAGACAGGAGAATCACTTGAATCTGGGAGGTGGAGGCTGCAGTGAACCAAGATTGCACCACTGCAGTTCAGCCTAGGCAAGGCAGAGTGAGACTCTGTCAAAAAAAAAAAAAAGAAAGAAAGAAAGAAAGAGAAAGAAAGAAAGAAAGAAAAAGAAAATCAGTGATAGGTGAGGCAGCTCATGCCTGTAATCATAGCACTTTGGAGGCAGAGGGGGAGGATCACTTGAACTCAGGAGTTCAAGACCAGCCCAGACAACATAGTGAGTCTTCTTCTCTACTGTAAATTATTTTTAATTACACCATAGTGCTAGTGTGTGCCTCTGGTTTCAGCTTATTTGGCAGGCTGAGGTAGAAGGATCTCTTGGGCATAGGAGATCAAGGCTGCAATGAGCTGAGATCGTGCCACTGAACTCCAGCCTGGGAGACAGAGTGAGACTCTACCTCATAAATAAAAATAAATACATAAATAAAAATTCAGCGATGGAGTTGATGGATTTGAGGTTGAGGACCCCCAATGTGAACCCATTTGGAAAAAACTCAACCTGTGTTCTTCCTCTGCTTCACACCAAAAACACAACAATCTACCCAGAAGACTTCTGTGGCCTCAAAATATGAGGCGATTTCTCCCTTTCACCAAGCAAGGAATCAGTTCTGCAGCAGACACCAGCTGGGTGTCCACCAATTCGATTCTGACACTATCTGCCATAAGACAGTGTCACCTCACAGATTGAGGGCTCAGCCCCCAAAACTGCCCCCCTTTCAGACACCAGTCACAAGTCCCAGCCTCTGGAACTTCTGACTGATGGGTTTAATTTGGGGTTCCTATGACCTCCTCTTTGGTTTGATTAATTTGCTAGAATAAAATGGCTCACAAACCTCACGGAAACACATTTACTATTTGATTATAAGGATATTCCAAAGGATATAGATGAAGAGATGCCTAGCACGAGGTATGGGGGAAGGGGCACAGAGCTTCCATCCCCTCCCTGGGCACAACCCTCCAGGAACCTCCATGTGTTCAGCTCTCTGGAAGCTCTCCGAATCCACTCCTTTGGGGTTTGTAAGGTGGCCTCATTACATATGCATGATTGATTAAACCATTAGCCACTTGCCATCAACTTAATCCTCAGTCCCCTCCACTCCCCAGGGGTGGGAGGGTAGGGGCTGAAAGTCCCAACCCTCTAATCCTGCCTTGGTCTTTCTGATGACCAGTCCACATCCTGAAGCTATCGGTCAATCACTAACATATAAAAAGCCAAAGCCTGGGTGCGGTGGCTCACGCCTGTAATCCCAACACTTTGGGAGCCCGAGGCAGGCAGATCACTTGAGGTTAGGAGTTCGAGACCAGACTGGCCAATATGGTGAAACCCCGTCTCTACTAAAGAAGAAAACAAAGACAAAAATTAGCCGGGCATGGTGGCACATGCCTGTAGTCCACTCGGAAGGCTGAAGCAGAAGAATTGCTTGAACCCGGGAGGCAGAGGTTGCAGTGAGTGGAGATTGCGCCACTGCACTCCAGCCTGGGTTACAGAGCAAGACTCCGTTTCAAAAAAAAAAAAAAAAAAAAAAAAAAAAAAACAGCAAGCCCTTAGGACATTCCAAGGATTTTAGGAGTTGTATGCCAGGAAATAGGGACAAAGACCAAATTTGTATTTGACAAAATCACAGAACCGTATGAGTATTTAATTCAATACAGGCATGGAAACTGGCCCAAGCATTTACTCACAGATGACTGGGCAAATCCCTGGTCCTATGGGTACAAACTATTGATCAAACCCCCAATCTCATTCCTACCCCTAAAATATAGCAACGTGAAAGATCTTATTACCTATTTGGACTGAGATTAACACCATCCCTTAAACTGCATGGCTTTCAATCCCAGGGCTATGGCGTGTGATGCCACATAGAATATGCATGAATCTTCTCTCCAACAATTGAGTTGTTAGGATAAAGGCTCTTGTCTTTGCCTTCTTTCTCTCACAGCCAAGAATATTAAGGAACGTGGACACAAAGAATGAGTTTGGAACAGAAGTTTAATAAGCAAAAGAAGAAAGCTCTCCCCAGCAGAGAGGGGACCCGAAAGAGGGTTGCCAACTAGGAGGCTGAATCTGGGGGTTTTGTGAACTGGGAAGAGGAAGAATGTGCTCACTGGTCTGTGAGCTGTCTTGGAGATAGCACGACTTCGCTTGGCCCGGGACCTTAGCCTGGGACCAATCAGAGGCTGAAGTGAAATTTTGGCCCAAGACCAATCAGGGGCTGAAGTGAAAGTTTGGCCCAGGACCAATCAGAGGCTGAAGTGATGATTCATAGAGGCTCGGCTCACAGTCCAAAGCATGTCCAGAAAACAAAGTGGCCGCCGGAGCCTGTTAGTCCAAGCTGCACCGATTTGTAAGCCCCCACCATTTCACAGACCCTGTTCAGAGGGAAACATTCCACTGGGGTTTGGGCTGCGAGAAACATCCTCCCCAACCGCCTGACTTCCTTATCACATCCTGCTGGGGAAAGGCCCAAGAAACATCCTTACCAACATTCTCCCAGGCAACAAGCTATACTGCCCAGACCCCTCCTGCCCAGGCCTATAATTACTCCAGCTTGTAAGCGGCAGTGGGCTCTGGCATTTAGTTGGTCCCCTCCATAGAGCCGCCAACTCTCTTTCTTTAACCTTCGCCTTCCCTTCAAAATCTAACAGAGCCCACTGTATACATGCCCACAAAAAAGCGACTATTTCCTGGAAGCCCGCTGGTCACACAAAGGACAAAGGCATTTCTATGTTGGGCCTCGGTCCCTTATCAGTGCAGCTGAGGAATGTCTTTAGGACAACCCCCTTTGCTAGTTTTCCTTCTCTGTGCCTGCAGCCTGATTTTTCTGGCTGTTTCTCTGTTTAAAGGAGTTTTACCAAGGACCCGCTCTAACTCCCTAAAGGTTTTTTTCTCTCAAGGGGACACACAAAGTTCCAATCACACACATGCCTCCCTATATCCACTTACCCTCTGCCTCACAGCCAGTCACACTCTCCTCTCTCACACAGACCACGGGGCCACACAAGTTGCACCTGCACAGCCACAGACCTGCAACTCACGCACACACAGTACTGCACACACACGCAAAGTCACACATCCACCCTGGGACACGCAGCCCCAACCACACAGTCACCGGTTGTCCACATCCGCACACACAACGCGGCTCGTCCAGGACACACACATCCACTCCGAGCGCGCACAGTCACAAGCGCCCACTTGATCACCCAGAGTCAGCACCACGCAGCCACAGTCACAGACCACGAAGACCCACGGCAACCATGGCAATCACACACGCAAACTCCTCTCCTCAGCCCTCCACACACAAAAGGACCGGAGCCGGATTCCTCACCCTCAGCTTTCTCCAGTTCCGCTCGGGGCCAGCCTGGCCAAGTTACTCCGGACTCCAAGGCGCGGCAGCAGCTAATTGGGCACAGCGAAAGAATCTGCCACCTGGCTAAGAGGAAGCCGAAATCTCGCGAGACGTGGTATTGGCCTGCAGAATCCTCCGGGAAATGTAGTCCAGAGCCCGACTGCTCCCCTACTAAAAATACAAAAATTAGCCGGGCCTGGTGGGCGCCTGTAATCTCAGCTTCTTGGAAGGCTGGGACAGCAGAATCGCTTGAACCCGGGAGGTAGAGGTTGCAGTGAGCCGGGATCGCGCCGTTGCACTCCAGCCTGGGTGACAGAGCCAGACTCCGTCTCAAAAAAAAGTAAGCAGACATGTCTGCTGCCCACATGAGGTTTACATTCTTGTCTGGAGAAAAAAAAAAGATTTTAAATTAAAAGGGGAAAATGAAGTAATTTTATATTGTGATAAATACTATGAAATATATCAATAGGTGGTATAAGCAGTAACTTGAGGGATCTTTCCCGTAGCATTGATAGGACGGGTGTCTGAGAGATAACCCTCGAGCTTTGGTGGTGAGGAGCCATCAGTGTGGAAGGGTATTCCAAGCAGAGGCACAGTTACACTGAAGGCCCTGAAAAATCAGAGAGCACTTGGAGCATTCCAGAAACAGAAAGCAGCCTGGTGTGACTGAAGCTTAGCAAGTGAGTGGGAAATTAGTTTAGATTTAGGATGCAGACGTCGGCATTTTCCGATTCATGTGAGAAAATGATAGTGCTGAGATTACAGGCGTGAGCCACTGCTCCCAGCCCCAAACCAAGTTTTTATAGCAGCAAGAATAGATGCTCTGGTACGGTCAGCGTCTAAAGATTTTACAAACAATATCTCTTCTTCTAGTTTGCAGTCATTATTGAAATAACAAACATGTCCTATTGTCAGGCCTTACTCTCAGTAACTGATTTCATTGATCTGAATAGGAAACTTACTTGATTAATCAGCTACTCTTTGGTATTACCTGACATCTCATTAATGCATCTTTGAATTGAATTATTGCTCAATAGGAGTGATTGTGAAATAGTGGCAATGTATTACATCACTATTGAAGTTACCGTCTCTCATGTGAGTCCTGTGACAGTTTCAGCAAGTATAAAGCACTATGGGGTTTTACAATGATTTCTGTAATCTTTTCTTTTCTTTTTCTTTTTTTTTTTTTTTTTTTTTTTGAGACAGAGTTTTGCTGTGTTAGCCAGGCTGGAGTGCAGTGGCATGATCTCAGCTCACTGCAAGCTCCGTCTCCGGGACTCAAATGATTCTCCTGCCTCAGCCTCCCGAGTAGCTGGGATTACAGGTGTGTGCCACCACGCCTGGCTAACTTAGTATTTTTAGTAGAGACGGGGTTTCGCCATTTTGGCCAGACTGGTCTCAAACTCCCGACCTCAGGTGATGCGCCTGCCTCGGCCTCCCAAATTGCTGGGATTACAGGCGTGAGTCACCACGCCTGGCCTATTTCTGCAATTTTGTAAGGCAATTATTTCATCATAATTGGTTTGCTTATCCTTTTTTTTTTTTTTTTTTTTTTTTTGAGACCAAGTATTGCTCTATAGTCCAGGCTGGAGCATGGTGCTGCAATCTCGGCTCATTGCATCCTCCGCCTCTCAGGTTGAAGCGAGTCTCCTGCCTCAGCCTCCCGAGTACCTGGAATTACAGGTGCACACACCATGCCAGGCTAGTTTTTGTGTTTTTAGTAGAGACAAGATTTCACCATATTACCCAGGCTGGTCTCCAACTCCTGGGCTCACGTGATACACCCACCTCGGCCTCCCAAAGTGTTGGGATTACAGGTGTGAGCCACCTCCCCCCGCAGCTTGTCTTTCTTAAATAAGAAGTAACAGTGTCACAGTTCAAAATTCTATTTTAAACTTTTTAAATATTCTGTTTCTCGACTTTATCAGGATGTTTCTTTTATTGATGATCCACAAATCTTGATGATTTCATAGCCGTTTGTAAAAACAAACAAACAAAGACTATTATTCATAAGAAACAAGCTGTTTTGAGTTAAATAGGGTTTTCAATAAAACTGTAAGCTAGGCTGGGCGCGGTGGCTCAAGCATGTAATCCTAGCACTTTGGGAGGCTGAGGTGGGTGGATTGCCTGAACTCAGGATTTCAAGACCAGCCTGGGCAACAGGGTGAAACCCCGTCTTTACTAAAATACAAAAAATTAGCTGGGTGTGGGGGCATGTACCTGTAGTCCCTGCTACACGGGAGGCTGAGACAGGAGACTTGCTAGAACCCAGGAAGTGGAGGTTGCAGTGAGCCAAGATCATGCCACTGCATTCCAGCCTGGGCAACAGAGTGAGTCTCCATCTGTAAAAACAAAAACAAACAAACAAACAAACAAAAAAACAAAACCAGTTGGCCAGATATTCATTCATTCAGATGTAGTCAACACTTTTCATTTTCAACACTTAACACAATTAATGCTAGGTTGAATTACTTTCGTAATATAAACTATTTTACATAATTCCCAAAGCACTGAGGATCAATCATAAATACTATCCACAAGGCAGTCAATAGACACACAGAGACCACCTCTCATATAACTTTGGGATAGAGCATTCAATCAAAAAAAAAGTCTTCCAGGTATAGCCATCAATTTGCCATCATTTTGTAACACTGATCTTGCAAAGATTTTTTTTTTTTTTTTTTTTTTGAGGTGGAGGCTCACTCTGTCACCCAGGATGAAGGGCGGTGGCACGATCCACTCACTGCAACCTCTGCCTCCTGGGTTCAAGCGATTTTCCTGCTTCAGCCTCCCATGTAGCTGGGATTACAGGCAGGTGCCACCACTTCTGGGTAATTGTTTTGTATTTTTAGTTGACACAGGGTTTTACTATGTTGGCCAGGCTGGTCTTGAACTACTGAATTTCAGTGATCCACCTTCCTTGCCCTCCCAAAGTGCTGAGATTACAGGTGTGAGTCACCGTGCATGGCCTGATCTTGCATGGATTTTTTATCTTCCATAAAATGATTAATGCTGCCCATCATATTTGAGAGAAATTAAATACCAAGGAGTAAAATTTTGTGCAATAGGCCAGGCATGGTGGCTCATACCTGTAATCCCAGAACTTTGGGAGTCCGAGGCAGGCAGATCACTTGAGATCAGTAGTTCTAGACCAGCCTGGCCAACATGGTGAAACTCTGTCTCTACAAAAAATACAAAAATTATCTGAGCGTGGTAGTGTGTGCCAGTAATCCCAGCTACTTGGGAGACTGAGGCAGGAGAATCACTTGAACCCAGGAGGTGGAGGTTGCAGTGAGCAGAGATTGCACCACCGCACTCCAGCCTGGGTGACAGAGTGAGCCTCCCTCTCCGAAAAAAAAAAAAAAAATTGTGGAAGGCCACAAACCACTGCAACAACTATAATTCATTTTACCTTCAATAACCAATGTTCACCCTCTTAGGGGCAATATCACTCCCATTAAGAATGCGTGGCCAGGCACAGAGGCCCATGCCTGTAATTCCAGCACTTTGGGAAGCCAAGGGAGGCAGATCCGCTGAGGTCAGGAGTTCCAGACCAGCCTGGCCAACATGGTGAAACCCTGTCTCAACTAAAAACACAAAAATTAGCCAGGCATGGTGGCATGCATCTGTAGTCCCAACTACTCAGGAGGTTGAGGCAGGAGAATCACTTGAACCTGGGAGGTGGAGGTTGCATTGATCTGAGATTATGCCACTGCTCTCCATCCTAGGTGACAGAGTGAGACCCTGTCTGGAAAAAAAAAAAAAGAATGCTTCCAGCAAGGCTGAATAAATATACGAATTAGGCATGTGGCATGTGTGTTAGTATACATACAATGTATTTCCTAGTTCTGCCCACTAAGAGGGCCTAGAAGCAATGACACACCCATAGCAATGAGCACACGTGTCACCCCGATCTTGGCGATTTTGTTTTTGTTTGGTTTTTAAAAATAGAGATGGGGGTCTCACTGCGTTGCCCAAGCTTGTCTCAAACTGTTGGCCTCAAGGGATCCTCCTGCCTCAGCCTCCCAAAATGTTGAGATTACAGACCTGAGCCACCTCACCCAGCCCAAGATTTTGGTGCTTTGTAAATAATACTTTTCAATGAAAGAAACCAAGGATCTTTAATAAATGGTTTATTCCACGTCTGGGTCAGGGAAAATACCAGATGAATCAAAACACTTTATGGTGCCAGAAAGTTGGTAATTAGTCCCACACCCCAACCCCCTGATAAAGGCATGCTATAAATAGAACACAGGAGCCAACCTAAAGAAATGCCCAAGGCCAATTTTTTTTTTTTTCTTGATGCAGTTTCACTCTTGTCACCCAGGCTGGAATGCAGTGGTAGCTCACTGCAACCTCCACCTCTTGGGTTCAAGCGACTCTCCCACCTCAGCCTCCTGAGTAGGTGGAATTACAGGTGCCTGCCACCACACCCAGCTAATTTTTTGTAGAGACAGGGTTTCAGCAGGTTGGCCAGGCTGGTCTCAAACTCCTGACCTCAGGTGACCTCCATGCCTCTGCCTCCCAAAGTGCTAAGATTACAGGCATCAGCCATTGCGCCTGGCCTAAGTTTGTATTGTTTTCAGTATCACAACCACATACATGTTCAATTGCACACATACTATGTTCTCTACAAATGTGCAGTTTGGACCTGCCTCATCTTGGTACTCTACAACAAGAGCATTGCATTGTCACACATGTAGACAATGAATTGACTCAGAATCACAAATACTTGTACTGGGGACCTGTAGGGAGAAATCAAGCCCTAGGAAGAGTACCAGGTCATCATCTGGGAAAGGAAATATTAGGAGTATTTGGGGTTTGAATAGTACTGTATTGAATTCCAATTCATTTCAAAATATATTTCACAGATTATCACAAACCAGGAAATAAATTGTGTGTACTTTTCTTTGTTTTGTTTTGTTTGTTTGTTTGTTTGTTTGTTTAGAGAGAGTTTTACTCTTGTTGCCCAGGCTGTAGTGCAATGCCACGATCCTGGCTCACCTCAACCTCCACCTCCCCGAAACCTCTGCCTCCCAGGTTCAAGTGATTCTCTTGCCTCAGCCTCCCAAGTAGCTGGGATTACAGGCATGTGCCACCAAGCCTGGCTAATTTTGTATTTTTAGTAGAGATGGAGTTTCTCCATGGGTTTTTTTTTTTTTTTTTTGAGACAGATTCTCACTCTATTGCCCAGGCTGGAGTGCGGTGGTGAGAACTCAGCTCACTGCAACCTCTGCCTCCTGGGTTCAAGTGATTCTCCTGCCTCAGCCTCCCAAGTAGCTAGGATCACAGGTGCCTGCCACTGTGCCTGGCTAATTTTTGTATTTTTTAGTAGAGTTGGGGATTCGCCATCTTGGCCAGGCTGGTGTTGAATTCTTGACCTTGTGATCCACCTGCCTCAGCCTCCCAAAGTGCTGGGATTACAGGCGTGAGCCACCGAGCCTGACCAGTTTGGGTTTTTTGAGACAGTCTTACTCTGTCATCCAGGCTGGAGTGCAGTGGCATGATCTCGGCTCACTGCAACCTCTGCCTCCTGGATTCAGGTGATTCTCCTGCCTCAGCCTCCTGAGTAGCTGGGATTATAGGTGCATGCCACCAATCATGGCTAATGTTTTTGTATTCTTGGTAGAGATGGGGTTTCACTGGGTTGGCCAGGATGGCCTTGATCTCCTGACCTCGTGATCTGCCCACCTCGGTCTCTCAAAATGATAGAATTACAGGCATGAGCAAGCATGCCCAGTGAACTGTGACCATTTTGAAAGCCATGATTTATGGGAATAGCAGTTCTTCCTCTTTGTGTAAATAAACAGAGGCCACCAAAATAAGAACAAAGAGAGGCTTATGCATACAGAACTTGCTACAGAGTAAGGGTTCCATTTGTTTAAGTTGTCTATAGATTCTGGATATTATTAGGCCTTTGTTGGATACATCGTTTGTGAATATCTTCTCCCATTCTGTGGTTTGTTTACTCTGTTGATAGTTTGTCTTGTTGTGTTTACGCTTTTATTTTACTTTAATTTTTTTTTTTGAGGCAGTCTTGCTCTGTCACCCAGGCTGGAGTGCAGTGGTGCGATCTCGGCTCACTGCAACCTCTGCCTCCTAGGTTCAAGCAATTCTCCTGCCTCAGCCTCCTGAATAGCTGGGATTACAGGTGTGCACTACCACCACCTAATTTTTGTATTTTTATTAGAGACAGGGTTTCACCATGTTGGTCAGGCTGGTCTCAAACTCCTGACCTTGTGATCTGCCCAACCTGGCCTCCGAGCTTCTGGCTTAATTAGGTAACACTTGTCTATTTTTGTTTTTGCTGCAATTGCTTTTTTGGAATCTTAGCCAAAAATTATTTGCCAAGGCCGATGTTGAGAAGAGTGTTTCCTAGGTTGTCTTCCAGGATTTTTATAGTTTGGGGTCTTATATTTAAATCTTTAATCCATTTGGAGTTAATTTTTGTATATGGTGAAAGGTAGGGGGCTCAGACTCAGTCTTCTGCATGTGGGTAGCCAGTTATCCCAGAAACATTTGTTGAATAGGGAGTCCTTTCCTCATTGCTCACTTTTGTTGACTTTGTCAAAGATCACATGGTTGTAGGTGTGTTAATTTTTTTCTGGGTTTTCTAACCATCCCATTGGTCTATGTGTCTGTATTTGTACACTACTATGCTATTTTGGTTACTGTAGCCTAGTAGTATAATTTGAAGTGGCATATATGATGCCCATCAGCAGTGGATTGGATAACGAAAATGTGGTAATTATACACCATGGAATACTACATAGCCATAGAAAAAGAAACCATGTCCCTTGAAGCAACATGGATGCAGCTGGAGGCCATTATCCTAAATGAATTAATGCAGCATCAGGTAACCAAATACCCATGGTCTCACTTATAAGTGGGAGCTAAACATTGAGTACACATGGACACACAGATGGGATCAATAGACACTGGGGTCTGCTTGAGTGGGGAGGATGGCATGAGGCTATGGGTCAAAAAACTATTGGGTACTGTGGTTACTACCTGGGTGACAATATCATTTGTACACCAAACCCCAGTGACATGCAATTTACCCATGTAACAAGCCTGCACATTTATCCCTTAAACCTAAAAACAGAAAAAATTAAAAATAAATAAATAAATGAGGTATAAGTCTGATTGTTGAATGTTGTGAATGGTAACCAACAGAGCCATTGAAAACAGTGCGAGTGGTGGGGTCGGTGGCTCACACCGGTAATCCCAACACTTTTGGAGGCCGAGGTGGGTGGATCACAAGATCAGGAGTTTGAGACCAGCCTGGCCAAGATGGCGAAACCCCGCTTCTACTAAAAATACAAAAAATAGCTGGGCATGGTGTCTCATGCCTGTAATCCCAGCTACTCATGAGGCTGAGGCAGGTGAATCACTTGAAACTGGGAGGCAGAGGTTGCAGTGAGCTGAGATTGCACCACTGCACTCTAGCCTGGGCGACAGAGCAAGACTCTGTCTCAAAAAAAAAAAAAAAAAGAAGAAGAAGAAGAAAAGAAAAGAAAAAGAAAATAGTGAGAGCATCATATAAGGAAAGTGGTTCAGGCACTGTGGTAAGGGGTGAGTGTCAGCCAAGTCATCAGCTATCAGAACACGAAGCCATCAGGTAATATATCAAGTTGATATATTAAGAAAGAGGGGCCAGGCGCAGTGGCTCATGCCTGTAATCCCAGCACTTTGGGAGGCCAAGGCAGGCGGATCACGAGGTCAGGAGATCAAGACCATCCTGGCTAACACGGTGAAACCCCATCTCTACTAAAAATAAAAAAAAAATTAGCCAGGACTGGTGACGGGTGCCTGTAGTCCCAGCTGCTGGGGAGGCTGAGGCAGCAGAATGGAGTGAACCCGGGAGGTGGAGCTTGCGGTGAGCCAAGATCGTGCCACTGCACTCCAGCCTGAGTGACATAGCAAGACTCTGTCTCAGAAAAAAAAAAAAAAAAAAAAAAAACAGAAGGAGGAAGATCTATCTATTATATAACAGAGATAAGCACTCAGATATATGGATTATAAATAGTTTAGAAAATTTAAATATTTGATTATTCAGAAAGTAGACTTGGGAGTATTGGAGAAACAGGTTGGGGAGTAGACTGCATGGAAAGCTCTTTCTTAGTGTGGGATTTTCAATTATGCACATAGGTTTCTTACATAACATGGAAAATTCAATTAAGAAACAACATTGTGTTTTGGGGTCCCAAAAGTTCAGTGATTGATTAGAAGGACTCACAAAACTGAGTCAAGCTGTTATACTCACAGTTATAGTTTATTACAACAAAAGGATACAGATTAAAATCAGCAGCAGAAAAGGGTGCATAGGGCAGAGTCCAGGAGAAACCAAGCACAAGCTTCCAGTTGTCCTCTCCCAGTGGCATCATGTGAACAGTGCTTAATTCACCCAGCGATATGTGGCAGAAAGTACAGAAAATACTCCCCAACAAGAAGCTTACCTGAGCCTTGGGGTTGAGGGTTTTACTGGAGGTTGGTCACATGGACAAGAGCACCCATTTGGATGACCTTGGTTTCTCTGTCTCCACCCTTCCCAAGGTCAAGCTGACACTGCATGGTCCAAGGTCCCCACAATAAATCACATTGTTAACTCCCAGATAGGCAGGAGATTCCAAGGACCTAGAGGTTATTTCCCAGGAGCTGGGCTAGAGTCACACCATTCTTTGGAGTATGCCAGGTTTGGGCAATTCAGGCCTACTAACTTTCCTCGACTGCACACAAGTGATAGTGAGTATGTAGGAAATGAGTAGTCGCATATATTGCTGGTGAAATTACAGTGTTATATAACCCTTTGGAAAGAAATCAAGTGTGTAGAGCGTAAACATTATATTTAGTTTGATTTGCTTTTGTCTAAGACAGGGTCTCACTCTGTCACCCATGCTGGAGTGCAGTGGCATGATCACAACTCACTGCAGCCTCGACCACCTGGGCTCCAGCTATCTTCCAACCTCAGTCTCCTGAGAAGCTGAGAGCACAGGCACGTGCCACCACACCCAACTAATTTTTGTGTTTTTTGTACAGACAGGGTTTCACCATGATGCCCAGGCTTGTTTCAAGCTCCTGGGTTCAAACAATCCCCTACCTCAGCTCCCCATTGTGCTAGGATTACAGGAGTGAGCCACTGCACCCAATCTATATTTGTATATACATTAAATTGTATATGTTAGGCCAGGCGCGGTGGCTCACATGTGTAATTCCAGCACGTTGGGAGGGCAAAGTCAGTGGACAACTTGAGGTCAGGAGTTCGAGAGCAGCCTGGCCAACATGGTGAAAACCCATCTCCACTAAAAAGACAAAGATAGCTGGACTTGGTGGCAGATGCCTGTATTCCCAGCTACTCAGGAGGCTGAGGCAGGAGAATCACTTGAATCCAAGATGTGGAGGTTGCAGTGAGCTGAAATCACACCACTGCACTCCAACCTGGGCGACAGAGCAAAACTCCACCTCAAAAAACA
This sequence comes from Homo sapiens, assembly GCF_000001405.40. Classification (NCBI taxonomy): domain Eukaryota; kingdom Metazoa; phylum Chordata; class Mammalia; order Primates; family Hominidae; genus Homo; species Homo sapiens. The sequence continues at coordinate 26,000,395 of NC_000020.11, read as the reverse complement.
ACCAAAAATTGGGGTATGTTATTGTATGTATGTGTATATATTAAGTTGTATATACACATATTAAATATACATACATATATTACATTTTATACACATACATTTGTTTCCTCATGCAATTTGTTTCAGCAGAAGTAAAAATTAATAAAGGTACAAGTAAAAGAATATTTACAGAAGCACTATTTTTGGTGGCAAAAGTACTTTAGCATTTTAAATGCTCATATAGTGGAAGATACTTTAACTCTTACAAATAATGAGTTAGCTTTTTATCTACTATAAAGATATCCTAATATCTTTATACCTAAAGTGATATCAATGGCAAATTGTTATATAAAAAAGGAGAATGTTTTATAATTAAAGAAAAAAAGAAAGAAACGTTATATAGTAGCCCTCCCTTATCTGCAGGAGATGTGTTCTAAGACCCGCAGTGGATGCCTGCACCTTGGATAGCATTGACCCAATTGCTGTCAATCAGAACACATTTCTGTTTATGATTTCCATTCACAAATTTAATGCCTTTTTCATCTTTTCACACATATGGCTGTATTTTTAGAGCTTGGGGTACAACAAACAAGACTAACAGAAATTTCTTTTTCATTCTTACATTTTCACCGCTAGAGGATTTGTTCCTACCATCGATCCTAGCAACCTGAGCACATGATTTCTTTTTCTTTCTATTTTTTTCTTTCTTTCTTTCTTTCTTTCTTTCTTTCTTTCTTTCTTTCTTTCTTTCTTTCTTTCTTTCTTTCTTTCTTGGTTGCTTGCTTGTTTGCTTTCGTGCTTCCTTTCTCTGTCTTTTTCTCTCTTTCTTCCTTTTTTCTTTGTTTCTTTCATCTTTCTTTTTTTCTTTCTTTCTTTATCTTTATTTATTTATTTATTTATTGAGATGGAATCTCACTCTGTCGCCCAGGTGGGAGTGAAGTAATGCAATTTCGGCTCCCTGTAACTTTCATCTCCCAGGTTCAAGTGATTCTCATGCCTCCACCTCCCAAGTAGCTTGGAATACAAGCGTCCACCACGCCCAGATAATTTTTGTGTTTTTTGTAGTGATGGGGTTTCACTATGTTGGTCAGGGTAGTCTTGAACTCCTGACCTCAAATGATCCACCCGGTTCAGTCTCCCAAAGTGCTGGAATTACATGCGTGAGCCACCACACCTGAGCTGTATATGCCATTGTATGATTGCAAATAATTATATGAATCTTGGAGAACATCATGGAAAGATGTTCATCATCTTGTTAACTGGTTATTTCAAGAGTGGAGCTGGAAGGGGAATACTGCCTTTCCTGTGTATTTATTTGTAATGTTTCATTTTCATTATGAACATGTATTATTTTAATATGTTTAAATATTAATAAACACAGGCAAAAATATGTAATTTTAATTCAAGCTGAAATCGTCAAGGCAATCATACATAACAGATGGAGCAAATAAAACATTTAAAATCCCTGAGTGAAAAGGAGGGGAGGCTGGGCATGGTGGCTCACGCCTATAATCCCAGCACTTTGGGAGGCCGAAACAGGAAGATCACTTGGGGTCAGAAGTTTGAGACTGCCTTGGCCAACTGAGACCCCTGGACTCGATTGGAATTGGTCCCACAAACTTTTTTTTTTGAGGGAGTCTCACACTGTCACCCAGGGTGGAGTGCAATGGGGCAATCTCGGCTCACTACAACCTCTGCTCCTGGGTTCAAGTGATTCTCCTGCCTCAGCCTCCCTAGTAGCTCGGACTTCAGGTGTCCGCCACAACACCTGGCTAATTTTTTTCTATTTTTAGTAGGGACAGGGTTTCACAATGTTGGTCAGGCTGGTCTCAAACTCCTGACTTCAGGTGATCCACCAGCCTCTCAAAGTGCTAGGATTACAGGTGGGAGCCATCACACCCCACCAATCCCACAAATTTAGGCATTATGATAATCGGAGCCACCATGCCCCACCAATTACACATATTTAGGCATTATGATATATTGTTACTTTTAGAATCACTTGGTTTTTATATTGTGTTTTTTCCCTTCCATTTGTTTGTTTATTTATTTATTTATTTATTGAGACAGAGACTCGCTGTGTCACCCAGCCTGGAGTGCAGTGGCGTGATCTTGGCTCACTGCAACCTCCACCTCCCGGCACTCCATCTCCACCACACTGGCAACTAACATGCCTCCTCAGGCCCTCTCAGGGTCTAGAGAGGGCGTCTGGAACAGACTGGGAAACTCCAGTAGGCAAAGTAAGGTGCCAGAAATAAAGACACCACCTGAAACATTCTCCATGTTCCCTCCACCCACTCCTCTCCCACCACTCTTCCATCTGGCTCCAACTCTGCCCTCTCCACAAGAGCCTCAGATTGAAATGTTGCAAGGAAGACAAAGATTCTCAAAGTCACAGGCTTGGGAATCTGAGCTATAAAGAAAAATGAGCCTCTGCTCCCCCAACTCCCCCATACTCCCCTGGGCACTGCTGCCCTACATGCACCCCCTCCTCCATAATTTGAACTGTCCTCCCAGAAGCTGGAGGGAGACTGCCCGCCTGTCAGGAAAGAAAGGACCAGCATGCGGCAAATGCCTGGGCTACATAGGAGCAGACGGCGAGATTAGCGCAGGGATTTAAGAAACAAGTGGCTCTCAGACCAAAGAAGACTTGCCCGAGATGGCACACTAAGCATTCATAGGGGTGTGCGCTGGACAGGAGCTTGCCAGTTACCCAAAGAATTGTCTGAGAAAGGCTCTGATCTGGCCCGAAAGGCCCTTGGTTCCCACGGCAACTCCTCAGCGTCTGGCAGTAATAGGCTTCTGTGCCCAGACTTTCTGGGTCTGGAAGTCCCCCTCTGCCAGCCTCTTGCAGCCCAGAGGCACCTCCCATTGGCGCCTGATGGGTTAAGGAAGCTGTTCTTCTAGCTGTGACAGATCAAGCCTGAGGACCTCTCGTGTGTCTTTCTTAGTTGTTTCTTCCCGCCCACCTGCCACTCAAAGCCACAACCCACTTGCATGCCCCCGAGTGGACCCCTTAAAGCGACCATCTAGATCTGAATTGCGCTGAGGGAATGGTCAGCTTCATTCCCATTAGATGGCTTGGCCCAAAGGAACTAGCGATCGCCCAGACAAAAATGTCTTCCTAAAAGCTGGATGTGTCTGTGGTCTCTAAGAGGCAAAACCAAACCCAAAAGGAAAAGCCAACCCACCCACCCCCACCATAAAACAAAAACCAAAACCGCCGACAACCCATCTTTCACATGAGGAGTCCGTGAGAAGGGCCTCTCCAGCCAGGATCAGGTAAGGGAATCTGTGCCCTTGGCCGGACCCAGAACACCCAGTGGCAAGGAACTGACTGTCACACTCTGACCCCATAGAATTTCCACCATTGTCACACAGGTCAGGATGTGTCAGCCTGAGAGATGACACCACAAATCTGGCCTTCACAGATTGATTCCACACTCTCTCACTGATTCCACACACATCCCGCCACTGACACCAGATTCCCTCATCACTGACCCTACATACCCACAAGAATTGATTCCATGGATCTCATCACTATCCAAAAGACCACCCATCACTAATCTACAGACCCTCATCTCTCACCCCAGGGACCCCACAGATTCCCCATCCCTGATTCCAGGATCTATAGAACCTCATCTCTTACCCCCACAGACCTATTTATAAGAGGATACGTTCATGGAATACCATGTTGACCATTTTACACATCCATTGCGTGTGTGTGTGTGTGTGCTGATTAATGGACTTAGGTAAACTTTAGCATTTTGGTAGCCAATGCAGTTTTTCAATGCCTTTTCTTTTTCTTTCTTTTTCTTGTACAACTTTAAAGACCTTACTCCAGTAAGTGTGATTTGCAATTTATCAATGCCTATCTCTTATTGGGTCCTTGTCATGCATATTTGTTATTAATCATAATTCACAATTCTTACAACTCAGAGACACCAGAGTCTCACATAAGAAGAATGGCTGTGGGTTTTTATTATTGTTATTTTTTTGGTTTCTGTAGATTATAAAAGTCATTCATTTGTATCAAGTCAGTAAGTGTATATTTTGTTTTCTTAAAAAATGTAATTAAAAATATTTTTGCTGGAATGCAGTGGTATAATCATGGCCACTGCAGCCTCAACCTCCTGGGCTCCAGTGATCCTCCCACCTCAGCCTACCTACTGGCTGAGACCACAGGCATGCAACAATATACCCACCTAATTAAACATTTTTTTTTTTTTTTTGTAGAGATGGGCTTCTCACTATGTTGCAGAGATTGGACTTGAATTCCTGGGCTCAACTGATCCTCCAACCTTGGCCTCCCAAAATGTTGCAGTTAGAGGTGTGAGCCACTGCACTCAGCTGATAAGATCTTAAAAAGAGTAAAATACTTTGGGAAGTAATGTAAAATTTCCACTGAGACGATGCATCAGAAATTAAAGTAGAATAAAATGGTCCTAGGGCATCTGAAACAATGGGAACTAAGTCTTGAGCCAGGTGTGGTGGCTCATGCCTGCAATCCCAGCACTTTGGGAGGCCAAGATGGTGGACTCATTTGAGGTCAGAAGTTCGAGACCAGCCTAGCCAACACGGTGAACCACAATCCCTACTGGGAATACAAAAATTAGCTGGGAGGTTGCAGTGAGCTGAAATCGTGCCACTGCACTCCAGCCTGGGCAACAGAAGGAGACTGTCTCAAAACATAAAATAAATAAAATAAAAATAAAGAAGAAGAAGAAACAATATCTTGATTTCATCATCAAGTGTAAAAATGTGGACTCTGGAGGCACACAGGTACTCTTTTTCTCTGAAGTTTTATTAAGAAATATTAACATATCACAGAAGCCACCCATTTAAAGTGTAAAATTCAATGATTTCAGTATATTTGCACAGTTGTGCAAACATCATCACAATAAATTTTAGATCATTTTCATTACCCCAAAGTAAACCCCATATCCCTCCATTTCCCCCAACTCCCCTAACCTTGAGCCACCACTAATCTACTTTCTGTCTCTATGCATTCATGTATTTTGGACATTTTATTTAAATGGAATTACATAACGTGATATTTCATGACTGGCTTCTTCCACTTAGCATAATATTTTCAAGGTTCATTTAATCCTGCATGTGCAGAGGGGGCACTTTGCATAAAGATAAACCTGGTGGGTGGTGCTTACTGATTTATTTTGAAACTTCGCTCCAAAATTGTGTGTGTGTGTGTGTGTGTGTGTGTGTGTGTGTGTGTGTATTTTTTTTTTTTTTTTTGAGACAGAGTCTGGCTGTGTTGCCAGGCTGGAGGGCAGTGGTGCGATCTCAGCTCACTGCAACCTCTGCCATCCTGGTTCAAATGATTATCCTGCCTCAGCCTCCTGAGGAGTTGGGATTACAGGTATGTGCCACCACACCTGGCTACTTCTGTATTTTTAGTAGAAACAGTGCTCTTCCATGTTGGTCAGGCTGTTCCTGACCACCACCATGCCCAGCTAATTTTTTTTTTTAAGACAGGGTCTCACTCTGTTATCCAGGCTGGAGTGCAGTGGCACAATGTCGGCTCACTGCAGCCTCGACCTCCAGGGCTCAAATGATACTCCCACTTCAGCCGCCCAAGTAGCTGTGACCACAAACATGTGCCACCACGCCTGACTAATTTTTGTATTTTTAAAATACAAAAAAACCTGTTAAGACAGGGTTTCAGCATGTTGTCCAGGCTGGTCTCAAACTCCAGAGCTCAAGTGATCCACCTACCTTGGCCTCCCAAAGTGCTGGGATTACAGGTGTGAGCCACTGCACTTGGCCTAATTTTTTTTTTTTCTGAAGAGATGAGCTCTTGCTGTGTTGCCCAGACTGGTCTCAAACTCCTGGCTCAAGCAATCCTCCTGCCTTGGCCTTCCAAAATGCTGGGATTACAGGTGTGAGCCACCACACCGGCCCATTCTTTCTTTTATACTGAGTATTCAGAAATTTTTTTAAATGTGTTTTCCACTTACAGCATTTCTCAGGTTGGACTAGCCATCTTTCAAGTGTTCAGCAGCCTTGTTGGACAGCACAGCTCTGGAGGGTGATTTTATGTACATTCCCACTGCTCTCTCTGCCTCCTTGATTCCCATCTACCCCAAACCCCTGCAGTGTGTGACTATCGTGTCTCTCTCTCCTCTCTTTCTGTTTCTTGTATTCCTTTAATATAGAGAATTATTTCCAATTCCTTAACATCGTGCCCTGATTTTTTTCTGTCTTATATTCAAGGGTCACAGTTTTTCTCTCACCATCATTACAGTCTTTTCCCATAACATGTGACATGTCTTTTTGTCTTGGTTGAGTATTTATTTACAATACATGAATGGTTGTTTTCTTTGATATATTAGTGACTTACATACTTTTTTTTTTTTTTCTGAGATGGAGTCTCACTCTGTCACCCAGGCTGGAGTGCAGTGGTGCAATCTAAGCTCACTACAACCTCTGCCTTCCAGGTTCAAGTGATTATCCTGCCTCAGCCTCCTGAGAAGCTGGGATTACAGATGTGCACCACCACGCCTGGCTAATTTTTGTTCTTTTAGTAGAAACAGAGTGTTGCCATTTTGGCTAGGCTGGTCTTGAGCTCCTAACATCAGGAGATCCACCAGCCTCAGCCTCCCAAAGTGCTAGGATTATAGGTGTGAGTCACCTCACTTGTCCAGTCTGCACTATTCCTTGGAGTCAGACAATTTGAGGCAAACAATGTCTTTCTCATTCAGATGTGACCTTCAGGATCTAATTTTTGTAATTTTAGTATAGACAAGGTTTCTTTTCTTTCTTTCTTTTTTTTTTTTTTGTTGTTGTTTTTGAGACAGAGTTTCACTCTTGTCACCCAGGCTGGAGTGCAGTGGCATGATCTCAGCTCACTGCAACCTCTGCATCCTGGGTTCAAGCGATTCTCCTGCCTCAGCTTCCTGGGTAGCTGGGATTACAGGCGCCTGCCACCACACCTGGCTAATTTTTTGTATTTTTAGTAGAAACAGGGTTTTGCCATGTTGGGCAGACTGGTCTCAAATTCCTGACCTTAGGTGATCTGCCAACCTCAGCCTCCCAAAGTGTGGGGTTACAGGCATGATCCAGCACCTGGCCTCTCCTGGCTAATTCTTTGTATTTTTGAAGAGATGAGGTTTCACCATGTTGGCCAGGATGGTTTTGATCTCCTGATCTCCTGATCCACTGGCCTCAGGCTCCCAAAGAGCTGGGATTGGAGGTGTGAGCCACTAAGCCCAGCCTCAATGTAGCTTTTTATCAAAGTATTTATGTAGGAAAAATCAATCAAAGAGCACAAGCATTTCAATACTTAGGTTACTTAAGATGAAATTTGTGACCAGAAGAGTGCCAGACACACATGAAACGTTTTGTGCATGAAGGAACCACCAATTAGATAAACAAATTTGAAGGAACTAAGTAACAAATAATTTTCTGTTGTTTGTTTTGGTATGTTATTTTGGTAATGTGATTAATCACGTATGTCGACGGCATTGGGAAGAATTTTCAGATTCTCTGATATGCATGACATCTTAATCAAACAATATAAAGCAAGGCTATCTTAGGAAATTAGGTATCACTGCCAAGGACCTTTACATGAGAAGATAAATTAAAATTACTATTAAATTTGTAACACTCAGATGGGCTGGTAGGCAAGTTGTGTCATTTTTACTCGGCATTTTTTCTTTTCCTTGATTCAATAAAACAAACCTAAATGCCAGCTATCTGCAGAACCCTCACTGGACTATGTTTAATGATATGTGAAACACAGCCTGCACACTCACAGATCCTTGCCACGTCCTGTTCTGATCCTCTCAAAACCTGTGTTACCCTGTGGCTAGATTTCTTAAGGAGATGAAAGAGAGAGACAAATGAGAACAATCTTTTCTGATGTCGCTCTACACAGCTCCTGCAGGTAGACAATGAGCTCTCCGGTGAGGCTTTTATCCTTGGCTCGGGGGTGGAGGCCTTAATCCTAGAAAACAGGTCTCTCAGGGTGGGGAGGTGATTTAAATCCTTATGAGATAGACGCAGCTCCCCATCTCATCCAGACCTTCACAAACTCAAACTGGAACCACCGGAAAAACGACTGACAACCGGCCACAAGACCCAGGGAGAGACGCGGGGAGAGGGTGACCAGAAGAAAGGCTGACGTACAAGATACCGCCCTCTGGCACACAGGGCACATGTGTCCCAACACACACACGCACACACAGACGGTCACAGAGCGAAAGACCGAGAAAGGAGAGAGAGAAATAAGAGAGAGACTTACGCACACACACAAACGCAAAAAGACATAGGGCAGTGGCACGGTAACACTCACCCCCAGGCAGCCCCTGAAGCTGCCGTGTTCTGCTCTCCGCAACTACGACCCATCAGTGAGAGAGCAGCTCATGGACACACAAGCAAAACTCTCCTTTTTTGAAAAGACTCACTGGCACACGGTCCATGCAGGCCTGAGGCTGGGACCCCGCCCTGCTTCTTCGGCCCTCTGCCCGCGGTTTCTTCCTCTTGGATGACCCTCCGTGAATTCCGGCCTCCAGAGACCATCCTGTTGATGCCCTGGCCAGGACTGGTTTTAGCCTCGACTCTGATTAATCCCTCTAATCCCAGGTACTCGCGAGGCCGAGGCAAGAGAATCATTTGAACCCAGGCGGCAGAGTTTGCAGTGAGCTGAGATCCCACCACTGCACTCCAGACTGGGTGACAGAGTGAGACTCCGACTATTAAAAAATAATAATAAAATAAATGACGGCAGAGCGGCGGCTGCAGGGACTGGGGTGGTGGCTGGTGAAGTGAAGATTGGGAGAGGGGCCTCATCGACCCTCCGCAAATCCTGGCTTGAGGCTGGCATCTCGCGCTGCCTCCCTTGCGATCTGCCTGAGGTTTCTTGCTCCTGAGGTTTCTTCCTGGTTGTCCACCCTCCGAAAATACCGGTCTCCGGAGACCATCCTGTTAACACCCTGGCCAGGACTGCTCTCAGCCTCGACTCTGACGCACTATCACACATGGCTCCTACTTTGCCAAGTCTCAGGGACCTATTTCTGGGCAACAGTGGCGGACACTGTTACCAAAGTGGTGGCTCAGTCGTCGAGCATGCTCACTGGAGAGGCCGACTCCGCCCTTGCTCCGGAGAGTCAGGCTGCGGACCCTTTAAAAAATGGCTGCAACACAGCTGACTGCGGCGACTGGGGTGGCGGTACAGTCCGAGGCGGCAAGTGGGAAGGGTACTAGGAGGGGGCCTGCAGGAGACCCAGGGTTGGACCCATAGGGGTCCTGTCGTCAGGACCTTCTTGATCCATCTTCTGCTTCAGTTCCTGGTGGAGGAGGAGCTTCAGGGTGCCGCTGGGCTCTCCGGACTCCTCCTCGAATCTGATTATGGATCCGAACCGGTGATCAGGAATGGGGTTACAATGTAGTGAGGCGGGAAGGTTCTCGCTGGGGCACAGAAAGATCTCAAGGGCCGTAAGGCATACTGTAGGCTGAAAATGCACTGACCCATGAGCCCGCTGCCTGCCTCCTTCCTAGGTGGAGCAGTGGCCTGTCTTTATCTCCAAGGCCCAGGGCTCTGGCATCCCGAAACTGCTTTCTGCGACATATGCAAAGAGAGACAGAGGCGAGTCCGAGATGGAGCCAATGTGACCACACATGACACTGATGTCACCCAAGAGCAGATGGAATGAGCGTGTGTCTCTGAGGCCATATGGGGCGACGCCGAGACAGACAGTGACGTCCAGTTGTGCGTCCGTGGGCCACTGGGACCTCCCACACAAAGCTGATGAAAAGCCAAGCACACCTAAAAACCTGCGAGACAGGGCCTGTGCCCGAGTCCAAGCCACATTCAGGGATGGTTGCCAGAGGAGCCCAGAGGTTTCGACAAAGTACATCCCACCCCAATCCTGCCAGCAGGTAGGTACCTCTGATGCCAACTCCCCTGCACCCAGCAAAACCCAGTCCCCTCGGCTCCCTGACATCCGTGGCAGCCAAAAGATTCAGTGCTTGAAGGCACTCTCCCCAGGAGCAGAGCAACAGGATGGCCCTCAGGAATGAGAGAGGAAATACAGGTGGGATGCAACATCACCTTTCCTAGAAAACAAAGGTCAGCCACTGTCGGGTCGCCTCCCGCTCTTCCTGGACCGACTATGCAGCCATCACTTTGGACATGGAGAGCAAGGGAGCTTCACTATCCAAGACAGGTATGGAAGCCCAGAGCTCCAGGATCATCACACCTGCCCTATCATCCAGAAATAGGTTTGGAGAGGGAAGCAATCATGAAACGGACCCCAAAGATATTTCTCCCTGATGGACTGCGAAGTGTTCTTTGTTGAAGACGTTGAGCCAGACTAAGAAGCCTCTAGGATTCCTGGAACCTGAGCAGACAGAGCAAGAGGGAGGACAGAGTAGAGGCCAGCACCCAGGCAGGATACGGCACAATGCCACCATCACGAGCAACTGGGAAAAAGTGTCAAGCGGGTGACTTGGCCAGGAAGGCCAGCTTTTGGGTGACAGAAATGATTGCCGCATCCCGTTGCCGGCTTCCTTCTCCGTCGCTGTGTCGAACTCTTCCTGGATTTCTGAATGAGGGCAAAGTGCGAGAGGAGTGAAAACCGCCTTCTTGAAGGTCTGTGGGCACCCTCCTGGGGGTGGACAATGAGCACCTGTGAGGCCTTTGTCCTTGGCTGGGTTGTGGTCATCTTGATCCTAGCAAAGAGGCAGCTGAGGATGGGAAGGGTATTAAAACCCTTGCGAGTCAGGCTGGAGGCTCAGGGCCCCAATAACGAAGCAGGGCCACAGAGAACTCCTGCTTTGCCAAGCCTCAGGGACTGGATTCTAAGACAACCATGGAAATCAATGTGATGGGAGAATCAGCTAGAGCCTCGCGGATACGCATTTGCTGGGCCGACTCGCGTTGCGCTCCTGGAAGGCAGGCTGTGGCCTCTTTAAACAATGGCGACTGCACAGTGGCAGGGGGAATCCTGCTGCAGCCGCGGCGATGGCGGGATGCAGGTTCCAGTAGGGGGCGGCAGGGGAGAGAGGGCCACGGGGGTCCCAGGGCCAAATCCCGAGGAGTCCTGTCTCAAAGACTTCCTTAAGCTGACTTCCACCGGTGGAGGGAGAGCTTCAGGGCACCTGCTGGCATCTGAAGACCCCTCTTAAGATCCGATTTTGGACCCCTCCGGGTGAAGACGGATGGGCTCACCACATCTGCTGAGAAAAGAAGGGCCTCCTTGCAGGGCACAATGATCACATGGGCCTCAAGGTGTGGTGTCAGCAGAAAAATCACTAACCCATGAGCCCTCTGCCTCCCTCCTCCTTTGAAAGAGCAGTCGCCTGTCCCACTTGTAAAAGCTCTGGGGCCCTTGCAAGCTGACACCTCTTTTCAGGACACATGCAAACAGGGACAAGGGCGATTCCGAAGTGGAGTCAATTCCAACATGCGTGGCACTGGCGTATCCCAGAGCAGATGGTGTGAATGTGTGTCACTGAAGGCATATGGGGTGATGGTGAAACACAAGATGGTGTTCAGGCATGTGCCAGGTGGAAGGGGGGCACAAGTGACCTTTCCATCAATGCCAAGGAAAATCAAAGAACACCTGGATCCAGGAGGAGGCCAAAAGATTCAGGGAGTCAGTCCACCCAGGAGCAGAGGAGAGAATGTTTCTCAATAATGAGACTGGAAGTGCAGATGAAATGTGACACTGCCTGTCTTAGAAGACTAGGCTGGTCACAGTGGCCTACCGCTCATTCTAGGCAATCCACCAACCGATGAGGTGGAACATGGAGACCAAGGTAGCTTGCTTATCTGAGACAGCTATGGAAGTCAATCTCTCCAGGGTCATCCAACCAGCCCAATTAAGCAGAAACAGATTGGCAGAGAGAAAAAATAGTGATGCGCATGTCCATCAAGTGTCTCCCTGATGGACTGGAAAGTGATCTTTGTTGAAGACATTCAGCTAGACCTAGATGCATCTAGGCACCACAGAAACAGGGGAGACAGAGCAAGAGGGAGGACAGAGCAGGGGCCAGAGCTCAGGTAGGATACAGCACTTTGCCACCCCCATGGGCACAAGGGGAGGGGGGCCTAACCAGTGACTTGTCCAGAGAGGCCAGCGTTCCCGTGACAGGGATTGTTGCCATCTCCCATTCCCGGCTTCCTCTTCAAGACTGTATCATGGTGTGGCTTCATTTCTCAGAGAAGAGCCATGAAAAGATGCAATCATCTTCTTGGACGTGTGTCTGCTCCTCTCCTGCAGGACAGTGAGCTCCTGTGGGGCTTTTGTCCTCGGGTGGAGTGTGGTCATCTTGACCCTAGAAAAGAGGCCACTCAGGATGGGGATGATAGTTCAATTGCTCCGGGACCGACGCGTCTCCTCACGTGATCGAGGCCTTCACAAACCCAAAGTGGAACGGCCAGGAAAATGACTGACAGCTGGCCACATGAACCAGGCAGAGATGCAGAAAGAGGCTCACCAAAGACCAGCCGACATGCAAGAAATCACTTTCTGGCTCACAGGCACATACGTCCAAACACACACACACACCAGAGCATGCACACACAAACACACACACACACACACAAACCGACAGAGAGAGGGAAAGAAACAGAGTGAGAGACAGCGAGAGAGGAGAGAATGGGAGACACACACACATACACACACACACACACACCGTCACATGGCAGTGGCATGGAAACACACCCTCCTCAGACCGAATGCCACCCCTGAGGCTGGAGGCTTCTGCTCTCGATGAGAACGACCCTTGGGTGACAGAGCAGCCCAAGAGCACACAGGCAGGCCTGTCCTAGAGATCACGGGGGCACGACTTTTGGGGAGACTCACCTGAACACCGTCTGGGCAGGCCTGAGGCTAGGCTGCCGCGGTGCTTCCCACGGACTCCGCCAGGGGGTTTCTTCGTCCTGGTAGGCCCTTTGTGACTCTTGGCATCCAGAGACGTTCCTGTCGACCCCGTGGAGAGGTCAGGCCAGAGCCTCGGAGTCCCGACGCCCAAGTACTGCCACGGAGGGCTCCTGCTTTGCCAAGCCTCCTGGACTGGTTTCTAAGACAACCGTGGGAATCACTGTGATGGGAGAAGCGGCTCGCGCCTCGCGCCTCGCGCATGCGCATTGGCTAGGCCGACTCGCCCTCCGCTCCTGGCAGTCAGGCGGAGTCCCCTTGAAACAATGGCAGCTGCGCGGTGGCAGGGGGACTCCTGCTGCAGCCTCCGCGGCAGCTGGATCCAGGACCCAGTAGAGGGCGGCGTGGGAGAGAGGTCCGCGGGTGACCTCAGGAGTCCTGTCTTCAGGCCCTGCTTGAGCCAACTTCCACCGATGGAGGGAGAGCTCGAGGGCGCCTGCTGGGGTCTCAGGACTCCTCTTTGAATCACATCTTGGACCCCTCCGGGTGAGAAAGGAGGGGATCACCACATCTGCTAAGGCAGGCAGGGCCTCACTGCAACACAGAATGTTCCCATGGGCCTCAAATCATGGTGTCAGCTGAAATTTCACTGACCCATGAGCTGTCTGCCTCCCTCCTCCATTGAAAGAGCAGTGGCCCGCCCCACTTTTAAAAGCCCTGGGGCTCCTGCAAGCTGATACCGCTTTCCAGGACAAGTGCAAACAGGGACAGAGGCGATTCCCAGGTGGAGCCAAGGCGACCACGTGTGGCACTGGCGTATACCAGAGCAGATGGTATGGATGTGTGTCACTGAGGGCATATGGGGCAATGGCAAAACAAGCAATGGTGTCCAGGCATGTGCCCGGCTGAAGGGGAGCACAAGTGACCTTTCCATCAATGCCAACCAAAATCAAAGAACACCTCAGATCTAAGACGCGGCCAAAAGATTCAGGGAGTCCGTCCACCCAGGAGCAGAGGAGAGGATGTCCCTCAAGAATGAGACAGGAGATGCAGAGGACATGTTTCACCACGCCTGTCCTAGAAGACAAGGCCGGTCACGGTCGCTTACCGTTGCTTCTAGGCAATCCACCTACACATGAGGTGAAACATGGAGACCAAGGTAGCTTCCCTGTCTGAGACACGCATGGAAGCCAAGAGCTCCAGGGACATCAAACCTGCCCAATCAAGCAGAAACAGGTTTGGAGAGAGACACAATCATGACACGGATCTCCAGGAAGTGTCTCCCTGACGGACAGGGAAATGATCTTTGTTGAAGACATTCAGCCAGAGCAAGAGGCATCTAGGCGGCTGAGAAACAGGGGAGACAGAGCAAGAGGGAAGGCAGGGCAGAGGCCAGAGCTCAGGCAGGATACAGCACCGTGCCACCTCCACGAGCATAAGAGGAGGGGGGCCAGAAGTGTGGCTTGTCCAGAGAGGCCAGCGTTCCAGTGACAGGGATTGCCAACTCCCATTTCCGGATTCCTCTTCAAGACTCTATCGTGATGTGGCTTCATTGCTCACAGAAGACCCGGGAAAAGATACAACCTCATTTCTGACGTGGGTCCACTCCTCTCCTGCAAAACAATGAGCTCCTGTGGGGCTTTCGTCCTTGGCTGCAGTGTGGTCATCTTGATCCTAAAAATGAGGCCGCTCAGGATGAGGATGAGATTTCAATTGCTCCGGGACCAACGCATCTCCTCACGCGGTCGAAGCCTTCACACAGCCAAAGTGGTACCAGGGTGAAAACGATTGACAGCCAGCCACAGGACCCAGGCAGAGACACAGAAAGAGGCTCACCAAAGAAAGGCTGACATGCGAGAAATCGCTTTTTGGCGCACAGGGCACATTCGTCCAAAGACACACTCGCACACGGGCACACACACACAAATGGACAGAGAGAGGGAAAGAAACACACAGAGAGTGAGAGACAGAGACAGAAGAGAGAATGGGAGACACACACACACACACACACACACAGAGTCATACAGCAGTGGCACAGAAACACACACCCCCAGGCAACACCTGAGGCTGCGGGGTTCTGCTCTGGATGAGAACGACCCTCGGGTGAGAGAGCAGCCCAGGGGCACGCAAGCCGACCTGTCCTTGAGATCCCGGGGGCACGACTTTTGGGGAGACTCACCCGAACACCGTCCGGGCAGGCCTGAGGCTGGGATGCCTTGCTGCTTCCCCTGGACTCCGCCCGTGGTCTCATCGTCGTGGTCGGCTCTTTGCGACTCCTGGCATCTGGAGACGTTCCTGTCGACCCCGTGGAGCGGTCAGGCCGGAACCTCGGAGTCCCGACACCCAAGCACTGCCAAGGAGAACTGCTTTGCCAAGCCTCGGAGACTGGTTTCTAAGACAACCGTGGGAACCACTGTGATGGGAGAATCCGCTCACGCCTCGCGCATGCGCATTGGTTGGGCCGACTAACGCTCTGCTCCTGGCAGTGGGGCTGCGTCCCCTTTAAATAAGGCCGTGGCTGCGCAGCAGCAGGGGGGCTCCTCCTGCAGCCTTGGCAGAGGCTGGATCTGGGGTCCCGTTTGGGGCCGCGTGGGAGAGGGGGCCGCAGATGTCCTGGCCCAGGGCCAAACCCCCAGGAGTCCAGTCTTCAGGACCTCCTTGAGCCGACTTCCACCGATGGACGGGGAGCTTCAGGGTGCCTGCTAGGTTCTCAGAACTCCCCTTCAGATCCGATTTTGGACCCCTCTGGGTGAGAAAGGATGGGTTCACCACATCTGGTGAGGCAGGCAGGGCCTCCCTGCAGCACAGAATGATCACATGGGCCTCAACGCGTGGTGTCAGCTGAAAATTCACTGATCCCTGAGCCCTCTGCCTCCCTCCCCCTTTGAAAGAGCAGTGGCCTGCCCCGCTTCTAAAAGCCCTGAGTCTCCTCCAAGCTGACACTGCTTTTCAGGACACGTGCAAACAAAGACAGAGGCGATTCCGAGGTGAGGCCAATGCGACCAAGCGTGGCACTGGCGTATCCCAGAGCAGATGGTGTGAATGTGTGTCACCGGAGGCATATGGGGCGATGGCAAAACCAACAATGGTGTCCAGGCATGTGTCCGGTGGAAGGAGGGATCAAGTGACCTTTCCATCGATGCCAAGGAAAATCAAAGAACAACTGGGAACCAGGAGGGGGCCTGTGCCTGAGTCCAAGCCACATTTTGAAATGCCTGCCAGAGGATTAAAGAGGTTTCTGCAAAATTCACCCCACCCCCAACCCTCCACGGCCCAGGTAGCCCTGACCCAACCTCCCCTGCAACCAGCCCCAGCCCCAGATCCAGACCCAGCTCCAGCCCCAGCCCAGTCCCTTTGGTTCCTTTCCCCGATATTCTTTACCATCAAAAGATCCAGGGAGTCAGTCCACCCAGGAGCAGAGGAGAGGATGTCTCTCACAAATGAGACATGAAGTGCAGAGGAAATGGGACACCACCTGTCCTAGAAGACAAGGCCTGTCACGGTCGCCTAGTGCTCATTCCAGGCAATCCACCCACCCATGAGGTGAAACACGGAGAGGAAGGAAGCTTCCCTGTCTGAGACAAGTGTGGAAGCCAAGAGCTCCAGGGTCGTCAATCCTGCCCTATCAAGCAGAAACAGGTTGAAAGAGAGAAACAATCACGACAGGGATCTCCAGGAAGTGTCTCCCTGACGGCCTGGGATGTGATCATTGTTGAAGACATTCAGCCAGAGCAAGAGGCATGTAGGCCCCTCAGAAGCAGGGGAGACAGGGCAAGAGGAGGGACAAAGCAGAGGCCAAAGCCCAGGCAGGATACAGCACTGTGCCACTGTCACGGGCATGAGGGGAGGGGTGCCAAAAAGGTGGCTTTTCCAGAAAGGCCAGCTTCCCAGTGACTATCTGTGAAAATGCCTTGTGATGTGTGGGTTATCCCTCAGAGTTAAACATTTGTTTTGACTTAGCATTTTGGAAACACTCTTTTTCAAGGATCAATGAAGGGATATTTTGAAGCCCATGGATGAGTGTATTGATAAACTAAATATCCCACCATAGAAACTATCAACAAATTATTAGTGAAAATGCTCTGTGTTGTGTGGATTCATCTCACAGAGTTAAACTTTTGTTTTTATTCTGCAGGTTTCAAACATTCTTTTGTAGAATCTACAAAGGAACATTTCAGAGCCCACTGAGGCCTATAGTGAAACCTGAATATCTTGTGATAAAAGCTAGAAATGAGCTATCTGTGAAAATGTTTGTTATGTGTGAATTTATCTCATAGAGTTATACCTATGTTTATATACAGCAGGTTGGAAACATTCTTTTAGTAGAATCTAAAATAAGAAATTTCTGAGTCCTTGAGGCCTATTATAAAAAAACGAATATCCCTGATAAAAACTGACAACAAATTATCTGTGAAAATGCTTTGAGATGTGTGGATTCATCTCGCAGAGTTAAACCCTTGTTTTGGTTCAGAAGGTTGAAAACACTCTTTTTGTAATATCTATGAAGGGAAATTTTGGAGCCCATAGAGGCCTATACCAAAAACCAAATATCCCAGGATAAAAACTAGAAACAAGCTATGTGTGAAAATGTTTTGCAATGTTTAGAATCATCTCACAGAGTTAAACCTTGTTTTGATTGGGCAGGTTGGAAACATTCTTTTTGTAGAATAAAGGAAGGGACATTTTGGAGCTCATTGAGGTCAATAGTGAAAAACCACATATGCCATGATAAAAACTAGAACAAGCTATCTGTAAAAATGTTTTGCAATGTGTGGTTTCATCTCACAGAGTTTAACCTTTATTTTGACTTAGCAGGTTGGAAACACTATTTTTCTAGAATCTGCAAGGGGTCATTTCAAACCCAATGAGGTCTGTAGTAAAAAACTGAATATCCCACGATGAAAACTAGATACTAGCTATCTGTGAAAATGCTTTGCAACGTGTGGATTCATCTAACAGAGTTGAATGTTAGTTTTGATTCAGCAGGTTGGAAACTTTGCAGGTTGGAAACATTCATTTTGTAGAATCAAAGGGGGGACTGTTCTTAGCCCCCTGAGGCCTATAGTGAAAAACCAAATATCCCATGATAAAAACTAGAAACAAGTTATCTGTAAAAATGCTTTGCAATTTGTGGATTTGTCTCACAATGTTAAACCTTTGTTTTGATTCAGCAGGTTGGAAACTCTCTTTTTGTACAATTGATGAGATATTTCAAAGCCCATTGATTGAGGCTTATAGTGAAAAACCTAAAATCCTAATAAAAACTATAAAGAAGCTATCTCTGAAAATGCTTTGAGATGTGTGATTTCATCTCATAGAGTTAAATCTTTCTTTTTATTCAGCAGGTTGGAAACATTCTTATTGTAGAATATACGACAGGACATTTCAGAGCAAATTGAGGCCTGTAGTGAAAAACAGATTATACTGTGATAAAAGCTAGAAAAAAGGTATCTGTAAAAATGCTTTGTGATGTGTAGATTTATCATACAAAGTTAAACCTTTGTATTGCATCAGCAGGTTGGAAACTCTCTGCTTGTAGAATCTGTGAGAGGTCAATTTGGAGCCCATTTTGGCAGGTAGTGAAAAACAAATATCCCATGATAAAAACTAGAAAAAGCTATCTGTGAAAAAGCTTTCTGATGTCTGGATTCATCACACACAGTTAAATCTTTGTTTTGATTCAGGAGGTTGAAAACACTGTTTCTGGAAAATCTATAGAAGGCAGGTTGGAAACACTTTTTTTTGTAGAACCTATGAAGAGACACTTTGGAACCCATTGAGGCCTGTAGTAAAAATACAAATGTCCCATGATGAAAACTAGAAAAAGTTTTATGTGAAAATGCTTTGCAATGAGTGGATTCATCTCCCAAGGTTAAAGCTTTGTTTTGATTTAGCAGATTAGAAGCACTATTTATGGAGAATCTACGAAGGGACATTTAAAGCCCATTGAGGCCTCTTTTAAAAAATCGAATGTCCCACAATGAAAACTAGAGATAAGCTATCTGTGAAAATGCTTTGTGATGTATGGATGCATCTCCCAGAGTTAAACCTTTGTTTTTATTCTGCAGGTTGCAGACAGTCTAATTCTGGAATGTGTTAAAAGACATTTCAGGGCCCATTGAGAACTATAATAAAAAAACAAATATTCCTTGATAAAAACTAGAAAAATCTATCAGTGAAAATCCTTTGTGTTGTGTGGATTCAACTGAGAGTTAAAATTGTTTTGATTCAGCAGGTTGGAAAAACTCTTTCTTAGAATCTATAAAGCAACATTTCACAGCCCATAGAGGCCTATAGTTGTAAAACTAAATATTCTGCTATAAAAACAGGAAACAAGCTATCTGTGAAAATACTTTCCAATGTGTGGATTTATCTCACAAAGTTAAACCTTTGTTTTGTTACAGCAAGTAGAAAACAATCTTTTTGAAGAACATTCAAAGGAATATTTTGAAGCCAATTGAGGCCTGCAGTGGAAAACAAAATATCTTATCATAAAAACTTGAAACAAGTTATCTGTGAAAATGCTTTGTGATGTGTTCATTCGTCTGACAGAGATAAACCTTTATTTTGATTCAGCAGGTTGGAAACACTCTTTTTGTAGAATCTAGGAAGAAACATTTTGGAGCCCATTGAGGCCTATAGAGAAAAACCTAATATCCTGTGATAAAATCTAGAAACAAAATGTCTGTGAAAATGTTTTATGATGTGTGAATTCATCTATCAGAGATAAAACTTTTTTTGATTCAGCAGGTTGGAAAAACTCTTTGTAGAATCTATAAAGGGATATTTCAGAGCCCATTGAGGCCTACTGTGGAAAACCAAATATTCTGCAATAGAAACTAGAAACAAGCTATCTGTGTACATGCTTTGCCATGTGTGGGTTCATCTTACAGAGTTAAACCTTTGTTTTGATTCAGCAGGTTGAAAACCTTCTTTTAATAGAATCTACAAAGGGATGTTTCAAAGTACATTAGAGGCTATACTGAAAAACCTAATACCAGTGATTAAAACTAGCAGCAAGCTACCTGTGAAAATGCTTTCTGATATGTGGATTTGTCTCACAAACTTAAACCTTTGTTTTGATTCAGCAGGTTGGCAACACTCTTTTTGTACAACCTATGAAGGGACATTTTGTAGCTCACTGAGGCCTATAGTGAAAAAATGAATATTTCAAGATAAAAATTAGAAACAAGCAATATTTGAAAATGTTGGTGGTGGGTGGATTCTTCTCACAGAGGTAAACCTTTATATTGATTCAGCACGTTGGAAACACTCTTTTTAAAGAATCTACAAAAGGACATTTTGGAGCCCACTGACAAGTATATTGAAAAACTGAATATGCCACGATACATACTAGCAACAATCTATTAGTGAAAATGCTTTGTGATGTGTGGATTCATCTCACAAAGTTTAACCTTTATTATCATTCGGTAGGTTGAGAACACTCTTTATGTAGCATATACAAAAAAAAAAGATATTTTCGTGAACATTGAGGACTAAAGTAAAACACCAAATATTTCACAGTAAAAACTAAAAACTGTCTATCTGTGAAAATGCTTTGTGAAGTGTGGATTTATCTCACAGAGTTAAACCTTTGTTTTGATTCAACAGGATGAAAACACTTTTTTGTAGAATCTATGAAGGGACATTTCAGAGCCTATTGTGGACTATACTGAAAAACCTAATATCCTGGCATAAAAACTAGAAAGAAGCTATCTTTGCAAATTATTTGCGATGTGTGGATTTATCTTACAGAGATAAACCTTTTTGTATCAGTTAAACCTTTTTTTTATTCCCCGCAAGTTGGAGTCCTCCCACCTGACCATGGGGCCATGTTGTGGACAGCTTGTGCAATGAAGGGAATGCAAGGGTGGAGTTGGAAGCACTTCGTGTGTCATCTGTCTGCACCTTTTTTTGCAGATGAAGGTGCAGACCCCATCCACACCTCAGCAGACTGTATGCTCACCCATATCTGAACTTATTGCTGCTCACACTCCTAGTTCTAGAATGAAATCCCAAGATGTTGGAGGAGTGCTCCCTTCATGACATGAAGCACCTGCTCGGCTGCAAACAGAATTCGAATTGGATTCAAGCGGCCTGTGGACAGGACTGCTAGAGTCACACCCTGGGTTGACCACAGGACAATGAGGCCCTGACAGGTGTCTTCTTCTGAGAGTGGTGTGCTCCTCTTCTTTCTAGAAGAATGGCTCCTTTGTATGGGGAGGTGATTTGTACACCTGTGAGTCTCAACCATCCCCCCAACTCACCGTGGACTCAGGAACCACGGAAAAACAAAGAACATGCAGCCCCATAGGCCAAGCAGAGCCACACAGACAGGTGCACCAGAAGGTGGAGGGACTAGAAAAAAAAGTGCTGCAGTGCATTAAACACATTCCTTTTAGCAGATGCCCCTCACACACACACACAGACACACACAAACACACTCACATACAGCCACACACACACACGCAGACATTCAAACACTCACAACACTCGCACAGAAACACACAGCCTGGCAGCTCCTGAGGCTGCACGGTTCTGCAGAAAGCTCCTTCTGAGAGAGAGCAGCCTCAGAAAACAGAGGCGGGATGTACCTAGAAATCACAGGGAGGGAAGTTTCAAAAAGACTCACTCCCACACTGTCTAGGCAGGCCTGACTCATCGTGGGTATCCTTTTGGATCCTTAGGGATTTTGTGGTTTATTCCTGGGGCTCCACTTGATGTGTCTTCAGGCTGACTCGCCACTGCCCACTCCTAGGATTGTGGGAATATCCCATAGAGCCCTCAGAGTAGACAGGTGATAGTTCAATGCCAACACACATCCACAGAGGACTCCTTCTCCACCAAGATGAAGGGACTTGTCACCAGGTAATGGTGGCATTCACTGTGACATGAGCCACTGCTCACCACTGGTGCCTGGTGGCCTGACGGTCACATGTGCATTCACCAAGCAGGCTCGGGCACCTGGCTGTCAGGGCTGTAAGCCTGGCAAAGCTCAGGAAAATGGTACAGCCAGAGCTGGCCTAGTCTCCAGAAAAAGGCTGCCTGAAGCAACCCACTGCAGCACGCTAATAGTCTCGAACATAGGGCCTTCATGAGACATCTCCATGGTAGGGTCCCACAGGAGAAGGAGGAGTTTGAAGACTGTGAGGTGAGCTCTGGAGACTGGTCTTCTGACTCCATTCCCAAAAGAGGCTGTGTGCATGAATTGGGTCTCCTGGGGATGGGAATAAAGTCTGGTGAGTTGTTAAGAGGTCTCTGGGTGATGGAATAATATCTGAGATCCAAGTGGCAGGTGTCAGTGGAAGATGGCCAGGCCCTTGAACCCCCTGCCTTCCTTCATCCCAGGCCTCACAGGGGCTCCTGCTTCTCAGCACAGCTCTCTGGGAAAGGCAGAAACCACGACAAAGGCAAGTCCAAGGTGGAGCAGTGTTCTCACACCTAAAACAGGCCTCTCGTGGGCGCACATGAGGTTGAGAGAGTGTCTCAGAGGCTGTCTGGGGCAATTTGAAACCTGAGAATAATGTCCAGGAGTGCTGTTGATTGGCAATGTGGACAAACCATGAAAGCAAAGAAAAATCAAGGCTCTCCTGGGAGAATGAGCAGACTTGTGCAGGAGTCCAAGCCATGTTCAAGGATTCCTGCCAGAGGACTTAAAAGCCTCCTGCAAAGTGCAAACAATGCCAGCCACCACTATGAGACCACTACCCACCACCTGGTGTGTGGCCAGCCTACCCAAAATGCCTTTTGCTTTCTGATATTCCTGGCAACGAAAATATCCACAATGAAAGTCAGTCCTATCCACCAACAGCCCAATGAAAAACCCCATCCACAATGAGAAAGGAAGTGCAGATGACATGAAACAGAGCCTAGATTGCCAGGTAAAAGCCAGACACAGCTGCCTGTTTCTCATCCTACAGGAGTCATGCAGCTGTCCTTTAGAAGTGGGAGAACAAGAGTTATCTTGATGGTGGATATAATCGAAATTTATGATTCCAAAAGTATCACAACTGCCCAGTCATTAAAATGTGACAGTGTTTATAAGAAAACACTCATGCAATGGATTCCCATGAGAGTCGTCCTCCATGAACTGGGAAACTTTTAGTGTGGAAGACTTTGAGCCAGATCCAGAAAAACCCCAGGTTCATGAGGAACATGGAAGTCAGACTGAGCCAGACCTAGGACACTCTAGGCCCACAAGGAACATGGAAGTCAGGAACAGAGGAGGCCAGTGTGGAGGCCACATCCAACCCAGCATCAATCCATCTCACTCCAATGTGGCTCTGGGAATGAAAGCTCAATTCTGGAGCTGGCCAGAAGGGCCCCAGTTTGTAATCCTACTTTTCCCTGCACGATTGAGTCATCCCACCTGGGCACCAGGCCATGCTGTTGACTGTGCAATGAAGGGAATGAGGGGATGCAGTTGGAAGCAACTTCTGTGTCATCTTTCTGCACCTTTTTTGCAGGTGAAGGTGTGAGATCCCATCCACACCTCAACAGATTGTATCCTCACCCCTATCTGACCTTATTGTTGCTCACACTCTGTGTCCCAGAATAAGATTCTGAGACAATGGAGGAGTGCCTCCCTGATGACCTGAAGCACCTGCTCAGCTACAAACCAAAATAGAGGTAAATTCAAGAAGCCCTGCGACTGGACTGCTGGGGTCTGGCCCTGCGTTGGTCACAGAACAATAAAGCACGGGAAGTTGTCTGTTTTGGGGTGTGGTGTGCTTCTCTTCTTTGTAGAAATGTGGCGTTTTTGCAAAGGGAGGTGATTTTGACCCCAGCGGTTGTCAGCCATTCTTCCAATTCACTGTGGATTCAGGAACCATGGAAAAATGAAGAACATGGAGACCCTCAGCCCAAGCAGAGCCACAGAGACAGGCCACCAGAAGGTGGGGTGACAAAAAACAGTGCTGCAGTGCGTTAGCCACATTTCTTTTAGCAGACTCCACTTACCCCCACACACAGACATACACACACACACACACTCACATGACCACATTCACACGCAGATATCCACAACTTGAAACACTCCCACAGAAACACACATCCCAGCAGCTTCAGAGGCTGTGTGTTTCTGCAGCAAGCTCTTCTTGGGAGAGAGCAGCCTGGGGAACACAGGCGGGCTGTACCTAGACATCACCAAGGGGGGCAAATTTTAAGAAGACTCACCCCCACACCCTCTAAGCAGGCCCCTTCGGGCCATCTACATGGTCAGGTCCTGCTGGAGGAGGAGGCACTTGGAGACTGTGATGTGGATGCTGGAAACTGTTCCTCTTATTCCATTCCCGAAAGAGGCTGTGTGCAAGAATTGGGTCCCATGGGGAAGGGAATACAGTCTGCTGAGATGTTAAGGGGTGTCCAGGTGATGAAATCATACCCAAGACCCCAGAGGCAGATGTCAGCAGAAAATGGCAGGGCCCTTGAGCTCACTGCCTCCCTTCATCCTGGGCCTCACAGGGGCTCCTGCTACTCAACATGGCTCTCTGGGAAAGGCAGGAAACATGAGAAAGGCAAGTTCAAGGTGAAGCAGAAGTCTCACACTTCGAACTGACCTCATGGGTGCAGATGCAGTTCAGAGA
This sequence comes from Homo sapiens, assembly GCF_000001405.40. Taxonomy (NCBI): domain Eukaryota; kingdom Metazoa; phylum Chordata; class Mammalia; order Primates; family Hominidae; genus Homo; species Homo sapiens. Next base: position 25,975,989 of record NC_000020.11, on the reverse strand, counting down.
GTGTCTCAGTGGCCGTCTGAGGTAATTGCAAGCCAAAAAAGTGTGTTTAGGAGCGCTGATGAAGAGTAGTATGGACTCCTCATGAAAGCAATGGAAAATCAATGCTTGCCTTGGAGAATGAGAGGGCCTGTGCTAGAGTCCAAGCCATGTTCAAGGATTCCTGCCAGAGGACCCAAAAGCCTCCTGCAAACACCCCAATCCCCCATAGTGAGACCACTACTCACAACCTGGAGTGCAGCCAGCCTACTGGAAGTATTTTTTGCTCCCTGAAATCCCTGGCAGCCAAAAGATCTGTAGAGAGAGGCAGTCCCCCCTAGCAACAGATCCATAAAAGATCCCCTCCACATGAAGAAGAACATGCAGATGATTGTAACAGAGCCTACATGAGCAGGCACATCCAGACACTGCTGCCTGCTTCTCATCCTATAGAAATCAGGCAGCCCTCTGATAAAAGTGGGAGAACAAGAGTTTCCTTGTTGGCAGATATGGTAAAAATCCTTTGCTATGTGTGGCTTTCTTTTCACAGTTAAAACTTTGTTTTGATTCAGAAGGATAGACCCTTTTTTTTGTGTCCCTATGAGGGAAAATTTCAAAATCCATTGAGGCCTATAGTGAAACACCAAATATCCCGCGATAAAAACTACAAAGAAGCTATGTCTGAAAATGCTTTCCAATGTGTGATTTTATCTCACAGAGTTAAACATTTCTTGTGATTCAGTAGGCTGGAAACTCTCCTTTTCTGGAATCTAAGAGGGGCTATTACAGAGCAAATTGAGGCCTATAGTAAGAAACTGACTATCCTGCGATAAAAACTAGAAACAAACTATCAGTGAAATGTTTTGTGATGTCTGGATTTATCTCACAGAGCTAAATCTTTGTTTTAATTCAGCAGTTTAGAAACACTTTCACTGTAGAATCTACAAAGGGACATTTTAGAGCCCACTGATGCCTATAGAGAAAAATGGAATATCCCGCGATGAAAACTTGATGCAAGCTATCTGTCAAAAGCCTTTGCGAGGCATGGAATTATCTCACAGAGCCAGCTTTTTGTTTTGATTCAGCACGTTGGAAACAAGTTTTTTGTAGAATCTAAGGTGAGACATTTTGAAGCACATTGAGGCCTGGAGTTTAAAACCAAATATCCTGCAACAAAAACTAGAAACAAGCTATCCGTGAAAATGCTTTGTGATCTGTAAAATAATGTCACACAGTTAAACCTTTGTTTTAATTCAGCACTTTGGAAAAACTCTTTTTCTGGAATCTACAAGGGGACATTTCGGAGCCCATGGAGGTCTATAGTGAAAAACAGAATATCTCACGATAAAAACTATAAGTAAGCTATGTGTGAAAATGCTTTAGGATGTGTGGGTTCATCTCAAAGAGTTATACCTTTCTTTTGATTCAGCAGGCTGAAAACAGTCTTTTTGTAGTATCTACCAATAAACATGTCACAGCCCATTGAGGCCTACAGTGAAAAACAGAATATCCTGCGGAAAAAACCTAGAAGCTTGCTGTCTGTGAAAATGCTTTGTGATGTGTGGATTCGTCTTACAAATTTAAACCTTTCTTTTGATTCCATAGGTTGGAAACACTATTTTTGTTGAATCTAAAAAGAAAAAATGTCAGAGCTCATTGGGGCCTATAGTAAAAAAAAAAAAAAAAAAAAAAAATTCCACGAAGTAAACTAAAAACAAGCTATCAGTGAAAGTGTTTTGTGATGTGTGGATTCTTCTTACAGAGTTAAGCTTTTTTTTTAATTAGCATGTTGGAAACACTCTTTTTGTAGAATCTATGAAGGGACATTTCAGAGCCCTTTGAGGCATATAGTGAAAAACTGAATATCCTGCGATAGAAACTAGAAATAACCTATCAGTGAAAATAGTTTGTGATGTGTTGATTCATCTCCTAGAGTTAAACCTTTGATTCAACAAGTTGAAAACACTTTTATTGTAGAATCTATGAAGAGCATTTTCAAAGACCTTTGAGGCCCATAATGAAAAATCAATTATCCTGCGATTAAAACGAGAAAGAAGATATCTGTCCAAATGCTTTGCAATGTTTGGATTCATCTCACAGAGTTAAACCTCTGTTTTAATTCAGCAATTTGGAAACACTCTTTTTGTAGAATCTACGAATGGGAATTTCTGAGACCTTGGAAGCATATTGTAAAAAAGCGAATATCCCACACACACAAAACTAGAAAACAGCTATCTGTGAAAACGACTGGCAGTGTCTGGATTCATCTCACAGAGTTAAACATTTGTTATCACTCAGCAGGCTAGAAATACGTTTTTCATAAATCTAAGGAAAGACATTTCAAACCCTGAGGCCTATAGTGAGAAACTGAATATCCCGCGATAAAAACTACAAACAAGTTATCTGTGAAAATACTTTGTGATATGTGAAATAATGTCACATATTTAAACCTTTGTTTTAATTCAGCAGTTTGGAAACACTCTTTTTGTAGATTCTACATAAAAACATTTCAGAGCCCATTGAGGCCTATAGTGGAAAACCAAATATCCCATTAAAGAAACTAGAAGCAAGCTATCTGTGAAAAAGTTTTGCAATGTGTGGATCCAACTCACAGAGTTAAAACTTTCTTCTGATTCAGAAGAATCAGAACACTCAATTCAATCAGAATTGAAACACTCCTTTTCTAGAATCTACGAAGAAACATTTCAGAGCCCATTGAAACCTATAGTGAAAACCCTAATATCTCATGATAAAAAATGGAAACAACCTGTCTGTAAAAATGCTTTGGGATGTGTGGATTCATCTCAAAGAATTAAACATCGTTTTCTTTCAGCAGGTTGGATACACTCTCTTTGTACAATCGACACAAGGACATTTCAAAGCCCACTGAAGCCTGTAGTGAAAAACTTAATGTCCTGTGATAAAAAACTACAAAAAAGCTGTGTCTGAAAGTTATATGCAATGTGTGATTTCATCTCACAGAGCTAAATCTTTCTTGTGATTCAGCAGGTTGATTAAAAAACCGATTATCCCACAATAACATCCAGAAACAAGCTATCAGTAAAAATTCTTTGTGATGTGTGGATTCATCTCACAGAGTTAATCATTTTTTTGATTAAGCAGATTGGAAACACTCTTTGTGTAGAATCTACAAAGGGACAGTTTGAAGCCCACTGAGGCCCATAGTGAAATACAAAATATCTCACGATAAAAGTAGAAACAAACTGTCTTTGAAAATGCTTTGCAATGTGTGGGTGCATCTCACAGATTTAAACCTTTGCAGGTTTAAATTCAGCAGGTTGAAAACACTATTTTATAGAATACATGAAGGGATATATCACACCCATTGATGCCTATAGTAAAAAGCAGAATATTTCACAATAAAAACAATAAAAGTCTATATCTGAAAATGCTTTGTGATGTGTGGATTCATCTTCCAGAGTTAAATATTTGTTTTGATTCAGCAGGTTGGAAACACTCTTTATGTAGAATCCATGAAGGGCCATTTCAGAGCCCATTGAGATCTACAGTGAAAGATGAAATATCCCACAGAAATAAAAAAAAAAAAAACAAGAAAAAACCTATCTGTGAAAATGCTTTGCCATTGTGGATTCATGCCACAGAGTTAAACTGGTGTTTCAAATATGCAGGCTGGAAAAACTCTTTTTGCAGAATCTACAAAGAAATACTTCAAAGCCCAGTGAAGCCTATAGTGAAAAGCAAAATATGTGGAGAAAAAAACTACAAACAAGCTATCTGTGAAAATGCTTTCCAATGTGTGTATTCATATCATGGAGTTAAAGCTTTCTTTTGATTAAGCAGGTTGAAAGCAGTCTGTTTTTAGAATCTATGAGAAGACATTTTAGTGCCCATTGAGGCCTATGGTGAAAAACTGAATATCCCTTCATAAAAATGAGAAAGAGGCTATCTGTGAAAATGCTTTGCAATGCGTAGATTTAACTCACAGAGTTAAACCTTTGTTTTGATTTAGCTGTTTGGAAACATTCTTTTTGTGGAATCTATGAAAAGACAATACGGAGCCCCTGGAGAATTACTTGGAAAAAGGGTGTATCCTATGATGAAAAGTAGAAAGAAGATATCTGTGAAAATGTTTTGCAATGTGTGGATCTATCTCACAGAGTTAAACCTTTGCTTTGATTCAGCAGGCTGGAAACCCTCTTTTTGCAGATTGTACAAAAGGACATTACAAAGCTCATTGAGACCTATAGTGAAAAGTTAAATATCCCACAGTGAAAACTAGAAACAAGCTATCTGTGAAAAGGTCTTGTGATTTGGGGAATCATCTCTCAGAGTTAAACGTATGTTATTTTTTCAGCAGGTTGAAAACACTATTTTTTTATAGAATATATGAAGGGACATTTCAGAGCCCATGGACAAGTACATTAAAACACTGAATATCCTGCAATAAAAACTACAAACAAGCTATCTATGAAAATGCTTTGCATTGTGTGGATTCCTTTCACAAAGTTAAACATTTATATTGATTCAGCAGGTTGGAAACACTATTTTTCTAGAATCTACTAAGGGCCATTTCAGAGTCCATTGAGGACTACTACAGTGAAAGACCGAATATCCCATGATAAAAACTAGAAACAAGCTACCTGTGAAAATGCTTTGCAGTATGTGGATTCATCTCAAAGAGTTAAACATCTATTTTACTTTGGCAGATTTGAAAAACTCTTTTTGCACAATCTACGAAGAAACATTTCAAAGCCCATTGAAACCTACAGTGAAAAACAAAATACGTGGAGATATAAACAAGAAACAAGCTATCTGTGAAAATCCTTTGGGATGTGTGTATTCATATCACAGAGTTAAACCTTTGTTTTGATTAAGCAAGTTGGAAACAGTCAGTTTGTAGGATCTAGGAGAAGACATTTTGGTGCCCATTGAGTCCTATAGTGAAAAATGAAATATCCCATGATAAAAACAAAACAAACAAACAAACAAACAAAAACAAGCTATCTGTGAAAATATTTTGCAATGTGTGGATTCACCTCACTGAGTTAAAACTTTTTTTGATTCAGCACTTTGAAAACCCTCTTTTTGTACAATCTATGAGAGCCATTTGGGAGCCTATTGAGGTCTATAGTGAAAAACTAAGTATCTCATGATAAAAGCTAGAAACTAGCAATCTGCGAAAGTGCTTTGCAATGTATGGATATATCTCATAGACTTAAACCCTTGTTTTGATTCAGTAGGCTGGAAACACCCTTTTTGTAAAATCTACATAGGGACATTTCAGAGCACATGAAAGCCATTAGTGAAAAACTGAAAATCCCATGACAAAACCTAGTAAAAAGCTATCTGTGAAAATACTTTGTGATGTGTCAATTCATATCACAGACTTAAACCTTGTTTTAATTCAGCAGTTTGAAACACTCTTTTTGTAGAAACTAAAATGGCACATTTCAGAGAACATTAAGGCCTAAAGTTAAAAGCGTTATATCTCAAGATAAAAACTAGAAACAAGTTATATATGAGAATGCTTTGAGATGTCTGGATTCATCTCACAGGGTTAAACCTTTGTTTTTACTCAGCAGGTTGTAAATGCTCTCTTTGTAGAGTCTATGAAGGGATATTTCAGAGTCCATCAAGAAGTATATTAAAAAACCGAACATCCTGCGATGAAAACTAGAAACAAGCTATCTGTGAAAATTCCTGCCTATGTGTGGATTCCTCACAGTATAAAACCTTTGTTTTTATTCAGCAGACCAAAATCACTCTTTTTTTAGAATGTACAAAGGGACATTTTGGAGCCCATTGTGCCCTGTCATGAAAAACTGAGTATTGCATGATAAAAACTAGAAACAAGCCAACTGTGAAAATATTTTATGATTTGTTATTTTATGTCACAGAGTTAAACCTTCGTTTTTATTCAGCAGGTTGAAATCACTCTTTTTGTAGACTCTATGAGGGGACATTTCAGAGCCTATTGAGGTCTATAGTGAAAAACCAAATATCCCATGATAAAAACCAGAAACAAGCTATCTGGGAAAATGCTTTGAGATGTGTAGATTTATAGATTTATCTCACAGAATTAAATGTTTGATTTATCAGATTGCAACAACTCTATTTGTAGAATCTACGAGGGGACATTTCACAGACCATTGAGGCCTACACTGAAAAAACTGAATATCCCATGATAAAAATTAGAAACAAGCTATTTGTAAAAATGCTTTGTGACGTGTGGACTTATCTCATAAAGTTAAACCATTGTTTTGATTTAGCAGGTGAGAAACACTCTTTGTAGAATCTAAGAAGGCACATTTCAGAGCCCATTGAGGTCTAAAGTAAAAAATTAAATATCCCACTACAAAAACTAGCAACAAGCTATATTGGAAAATGATTTGTGATATGTGGATTCATTTCAGAGAATTAAACCTTTGCTTTGATTGAGCAGGACTGAAGCACTCTTTTTGTAGAATCTATGAAAGGACATTTTGAAGCCCATTGAGGCCTATAGTCAAAAACCAATTATCCCGTGATAAAAACTAGAAACAAGCTATCAGTGAAAATGCTTTGTGATGTGTGGATTTCTCGCACAGAGTTATATCTTTGTCTTGATTCAATCAGTTGGATACAGTCTTTTCATAGAATCTATGAAGGGACATTTCAGAGCCCATGGAGGAATATATTGAAAAACTGAATATCTCCCGATGAAAAGTAAAAACAAGCTACTTGTGAAAATGCTTTGTCATGTGTCGATTCATCTCACAGTGTTAAGCCTTTATTTTTACACAGCATTTTGGAAACACTCTTTTAGTAGAATCTAAGAGGGGACAATTCTGAGCCCGTTGAGGCCTATTGTAAAACATCCAATATTACGTGATCAAAACTAAAAACAAGCTATCTGTGAAAATGTTTGCAATGTGTGGATTCACCTCAAAGAGTTAAAGTATTGTTTTGGTTCAGCAGGTTAGAAACATTCTTTTTGTAGAATCTACAAGGGGCATTTCTGAGCCCACTGAGGACTATAGTGAAAAACCAAATATTCCGTGATAAAAAGTAGAAAAAAAATCTGTGAAAATGCTTTGCGATATTTGAATTTATCTCACAACATTAAATATTTGTTTTGATTCAACAGGTTGGAAATTCCTTTTTTTTTTTGTACAATTTATGGGAGACATTTCAAAGCCCATTGAGGCTTATAGTGAAAAACCGAATATTCTGAGGTAAAAACTATATGAAGATGTCTCTGAAAATAATTTACGATGGGTGATTTCATCTCACAGAATTAAACCATTCTTTTGATTCAGCAGGGTAGAAACACTCTTTTGGCAAAATCTTCAATAGGACATTTCAGAGAAAATCGATGCCTACGGTGAAAAACCGAATATCCAGCAATAATGTGCAGATTCATCTTACAAGGTTAAACCTTTATTTTGCTTCAGAAGCTTGAAAATTCACTGTTTGTAGAATCTGTGAGGGTACAATTTGAAGCCAATATCAGCCTGTAGTGAAAAACCAATATTCCACAATAAAAGTAAAAAAAAGCTATTGGCCAGGCATGGTGGCTCACGCCTGTAGTCCCAGCACTTTGAAAGGCTGAGGCGGGTGGATCACGAGGTCAGGAGATCGAGACCATCCTGGCTAACATGGTGAAACCCCATCTCTACTAAAAACACAAAAAATTAGCCTGGCCTGGTGGCAGACACCTGTAGTCTCAGCTACTTGGGAGGCTGAGGCAGGAGAATGGCATGAACCCGGGAAGCCAAGATCGTGCCACTGCACTCCAGCCTGGGTGACTGAGTGAGACTCCATCTAAAAAAAATAAAATAAAATAAAATAAAAACCTATCCGTGAAAATACTTTGTGATGTGTGGATGTATCTCAAAAAGTTAAACGTTGTTTTGATTCAGCAGGTTAAAACACTCTTTTTGTACAATCTACAGAGGAATCTTTCAAAGCCCATTGAAGCCTATAGTGAAAAATCAATATCCCGATATAAAAACTAGAAACAAGCTATCGGGGAAAATGCTTTGCAATGTGAAGATTTATCTCACAGAGGTAAACCTTTATTTACATACAGCAGGTTGGGGGACACTCTTTTTGTAGAATTAGGAAGTTACAATTAAGACTCCTTTGAAGCCTATAATGAAAAACACAATATCCAGTGATGAACCCTAGAAACAAGCTATGTGTGAAAATTCTTTGTGATGTCTGATTTCATATCAAAGAGTTAAACCTTTATTTTTGTTCAGAAAAATGAAAAACTTTTTTTTTTGTAGAATCTGCAAAGAGACATTTCTGAACCCATTGAGGCCAATAGTAAAAAATCAAATGTCTCATCATAAAAGCTAGGAACAAGCTATTTGTGAAAATGTTTTCCAATGTATAGATTCATTTCACAGAGTTAAACCTTTGCTATTATACAGGGAGTTGGGAACACACTTTTATAGAACCTATGAATGGACATTTCAGAGTTCATTGAGGCCTATACTGAAAAACCAAATATCCTGCGAAAAAAACTAGGAAAAAACTATCTGTGAAAATGCTTTGCGAGGTTTGGAGTCATCTCACAGATTTAAACTGTTGTTTTGATTCAGCAGGTAGGAAACACTGTTTTTGTAAAATCTACTATGAGACATTTCTGAGTCTGATGAGGCATATAGTGAAAAACCGAATATCATGCTTTAAAAACTAGAAACAAGTGATCTGAAAATATGCTTTGTGATGTGTGGGTTCCTCTCAAAGAGTTACACGTTTGTTTTGATTCAGCAGTTTTAAAACACTCTTGTTATAGAATCTACAAAAGGACATTTCGGAGTGCTTGAGGCCTTTAGTGAAAAACCGAATATCCCACAATAAAAATTAGAAACAAGCCATCTGTGAAGATGCTTTGTGATGTGTGGATTTATCTCACAGAGTTAAACCTTCCTTTTTATTCCATAGGTTGGAAACACTCATTTTGTACAATCTACAAAGGGACATTTCAGAGCTCGTTGAGGCTAATATTGGAAAATCTAATATCCTGCGAGAAATACTATAAAGAAGCTATTTCTGAAAATACTTTGTAATGTGTGATTTCATCTCACAAGTTGAACTTTTCTTTTGATTCATCAGTTTGGAAACTTTTTTTGTAGAATCTACAAGGGGAGATTTCATAACCCATTGAAGCATACTGTGAAAAATCAAATATCTCTTGATAAAAACTCAAAGCAACCTATCTGTAAAAATGCTTTGCAATGTGTAGATTCATCTTACAAAGTTAAACCTGTGTTTTGCTTCAGCAGGTTGGAAACTCTTTGGTTGTACAATCTACAAGGCAACAATTCCTAGTCCACTGAGGCATTTAGTGAAAAACCAATAACCCATGGTAAAAATTAGAAACAAGCTATGGGTGAAAATGCTTTGCGATGTGTGGGTTCATCTTACAAAGTTAAAACTTTATTTTGATTCAACAGGTTGGAAACCCTCTTTTTGTAGAATCTACAAAGGGACAATTTCAGAGCCCACTGATGCTTATAGTGAAAAACCAAATATCCCACAATAAAAACTAGAAACAGGCTATCTGTGAAAAAGCTTTGCATATCATCTCACAGAATTGAACATCGGTTTTGATTCAGCAGATTGGAAATATTCTTTTTGTAGAATCTACAAGGGGAAATTTTGGAGAAAATTGAGACCTACAGCATGAAATCAAATATTCTGCAATAAAAACTAGAGAAAATCCATCCATAAAAATGTTTTGTGATGTGTGGGTTCATCTCACAAAGTTAAATCTTTGTTTTCATTCAGCATGTTGGAAACACCTTTCTGTAGAACCTATGAGGGGACATTTCATAGCCCATGGAGGCCTACAGTGAAAAACTGAATATTATATGATAGAAACTATAGAAGCTATATGTGAAAATGCTTTGCAATTTGCGGTTTCATCTCATACAGTTTAAACTTCCTTTTGATTCAGCTAAGTTGGAAACACTCTTTTTGTAGAATGTATGAAGGGACATTTCAGAGCCCATTGAGGCCTGTAGTGAAAAGTTGAATAATTCATGATAAAAACTAGAAGCAAGCTATCTGTGAAATAGCTTTGCAATGTGGGGATTTATTTCACAGACTTAAACTTTTGTTTCTACACACTAGGTTCAAAACTCTCTTTTAGTAGAAGCTAAGGGGGACAATTTAGAGCCCTTTGAGGCTTATAGTGAACAATTCTAAGTTTTGTGATTAAAAAGTAGATACAAACTATCTGTAAAAATGTTTGGTGACTTGAAAATTCATCTCACAGTGTTAAACATTTGTTTTGATTCAGTACTTTGGCAAAAATTTTTGTAGACTGTACAAAGGGACATTTTGGAGCCCATTGAGACCAATATTGAAAAAATGAACATCTTGCTATAAAACTAGAAAAGTTCTTGGTGAAAATGCTTTCTGATGTGTGAATTCATCTCACAGATGTAAACCTTTGTTTTCATTCAGCCGGTTGGAAACACGCTTTTTATAGAGTTCAGGAGGGGATAGTTCGGAGCCCATTGAAGCCTCTATTTGAATACTGAATATTCCTAGTGACTTATGGTGTTGAGCATCTTTTCTGAGGTCTAAGAAATGTGTCAGGTATGGTGACACACGCTTGTGGTCCCAGCTACTCAGGAAGCTGAGGTGGGAGGGTTACTTGAGCCCTGGAGGTTGGTGCTGCATTGAGCCATCATTGCACCACTGCACTCCAGCCTGAGTGACAGAGCTAAAACCTGTCTCAAAAAGATAAATAAGACCTGGTGCAATGGCTCATGCCAGTAATCTAAGCACTTTGGGAGGGCAAGGTGGGTGGATCAAGAGGTCAGCAGATTAAGACCATCCTGGCTAACACGGTGAAACCCCGTCTCTACTAAAAATACAAAAAATTAGCTGGGTATGGTGGTGGGTGCCTGTAATTCCAGCTATTCAGGAGGCTGAGGCAGCAGAATCGCTTGAACCCGGGAGGCAGAGGTTGCAGTAAGCCAAGATCATGCTGTTGCACTCCAGCTTGGGCAACAGAGTGAGACTCCATCTCGAAAAATAAATTTAAAAATAATAATTAACAAATAAATAATTGACTTAATTTTTAGAACAGTTGTAGGTGTACAGAAAAATAGAGCAGAAGGCATATTGAGCTCTAATATCTGCCTCACAACACAGTACACACACTTCCTCTATTATCATCTTGTTAGTGCGGTACATTTGTTATGCTTGATGAGCCAACATTGATATTATTAAGTTCATGGCTTATATTAAGATTCACTCTTTGTGTTCTACCATTTATGGGCTTTGACAGATGCTTAAGCAATATATCCACCATTATAGGGTCACACAGAAAAGTTTCACTGCCCTAAAAATCTTCTGTGTTCCACCTATTCATCCTTCCCTCTGCTGAAGCCTCTGGCAACCACTGAACTTTATATAATGCCATCTGCTTAGTTTTGTCTTTTTTAGTATTCCATATAATTGGAACTCTACACTATGTGGCTTTTTGCATTGGCTTCTTTCACTTAGAAATACATGTTTAAGATTCCTCCATGTCTTGTCATGCCTTGGTAGTACATTTATTTTTATTCCTGAAGAATATTCCATTGTATGAATGTTTCACAATTAGTTTATCCATTTCCTTATTGTACGATATCCTGGTTACTTCCAATCTTTGTTGGTTACGTATAAGCTGCTATAAACATTCATATACAGAATTTGAGTGGATATAAGTTTTCAAGTCATTTGAGCATATACCAAGGAATACAATTGCCAGATCATATGGTAAGCGTATGTTTAGTTTTGAAGGAATTTGCAAAACTGCCTTCCACAGTGGCTTTACAATTTTGCATTCCCAGCAGCAATCAATGAGAGTTCCTGTTGTTCCATATCCTCATCAGCATTTGGTAGTCTCAGTGTTTGGATGTGAGCCAGTCTAATAGATGTGTAATGGTATCTCATCATTGTTTTAATTTGAATTCCCTAGTGACATATGGTGTTGAGCATCTTTTTAGATGCTTATTTTTGCTATCTATATAGCAAAGGGCAGATACAGATGGTGAACTGCAGGGAAAGAGCTTGCTATGATGATAGGAAGCTGCAGGCAGAGATGATCTCACAGTTAACTGGGCATCAACTGTGCCTTCTCCTGTCACATAAAATGTGATCTACCTGAGTTTTGACTGGAAACACAGAATATCTGATTGTTCATAAATATTTCTTACTGAAGCTTGAGGTTTATGTATGTTATGATCAAAAGGTGATATCACCCCAATATATAAGCAGGTTGGAGTACAACAGGGAATGATTGTCAGAGATGTTGAGAGTCTACATTGAATGGATGGTGTCACTGGCTGCCCATATATTTCTCATTATGGACTTTAACTTTTCATTTGCCACATGAAAGGCCACTGAGATAGGCTAAATCACATTTTTCTCTTGGGGATCTCTGTTACTGAGAAATTTTTGCATTCTGGGCTACACTGGGTTCATAATCTGACTATATATATATATATCGTGTGTATGTTTGTTCCTTCCCTAAAATGCTCAGTTCAGCTGCAGTTCTAGAGGCAAATACTACTAGGTTTCCATTTTAGAGAGTTGAAGATCTGAGGTCTGGAGAAGTTAGTGTGTAGAAAGTTATATTTAACAAGTGGCAAGACCATGTGGCTAGGTCAGATAAGCTGCCTTCAGATTTTACTCTTGAACTTCTACTGGATAATGTCTTTTTTTATAGAAAAGAAAAGAGTGAACTTAGATTTTTTTTTCAAAATCATGGACTGTAAGAGTTCTTTCAAGATATGATGAAAAGCAATAATTGTCTCATTTTACATTGCCTATAATTATTGCTCACCAGAAATTGATTATCCATGCAGCAACCTTTTACATTCCTCTCTGCTTTACTATGCATGAGGGGGCTTCACTGTAAATAAGAGGTCCAAGATTCAGAAATATCTTTAACTTGCAATGCTTGGTCACATGTATCCATCTGAAAAATATTTTGCTCATTAGCCATATGGACTCATATGGCAAACTACAGCCAGAGACACAAAATGTGGAAAGAAGAAAGGGCTATCAGAAGTCCCGTGTCTCCTTACATTTTGTATTTCTATTCATATGCATCTAGAATCATAAGGAATTTGAGCAAATGGGAAATGCAAAGTCCTAATCAAAGCATACCCACATTTCAGTTATCTGCATTATTGCACATTTAAATTTATAATGCATACATAGGATACAATTCAATAGGTATAAAAATGTTAAGTAACCTTTTCTCTCATGCACCCCAGTCACTCAGTAGCTCACTTTAGAGTCAACATTTTAATTTTGTTGTGCATACTTTCATAAATTTTCTCTCTCTCTCTCTCTCTCTCTCTCTCTCTCTCTACATATATATATATATACATTCTTTTTTGAGGTGGAGTCTCGGTCTGTCACCCAGGCTGGAGTGCAATGGTGAGATCTCATCTCACTGCAACATCTGCCTCCTATGTTCAAGCAATTCAACTACCTGAGTAGCTAAGATTACAGTGTGTGCCACCACACCCGGCTAATTTTTTGTGTGTGTTTTTAGTGGAGACGGGGTTTCACCGTGTTGGACAGGCTGATCTCAAACTCCTGACCTCGTGATCCACCCACCTCAGCCTCCCAAAGTTTTGGGATTACCAGCATGAACTACCACACCTGGCCATTTTTTTCTCTTTAAAATAAATTTTATTGTGTATATTTAAGGTTCACATATGATGTTATAGAATACATATAGATAGTAAAAATTCATTACTATAGTGAAGCAAATTACCATATCTATCACAGATACGCACATTTTTTGGTGTGGCAAGGGAAGGTAAAATCTTATTTAGCATGAATCCCATATACAGTACAATTTTATTACCTATAGTCCTCATGTTGTATATAGATGTATAGGATCGTTCATCCTACATATCTGCTACTGTGTATCTCTGACCCACATGTCTTTATTTCCTCCCTTCCTCTCTACCTGATAACTACTCTGTTGTTCTTTTTTTTTTTTTTTTTTTAGGCAGAGTCTCACTCTGTTACCTCCCAAAAGTGCTGAGATTATAGGCGTGAGCCACCGCACTTGGCTGCTTTCACCATTTCAGACTGAACTTGGAGAAGAACCTGAGGAAAAACATGACTTTAAAATTTTGATGAATGGAGAAATCTCTTTCCATTCACCTTCCTTTCCTCTATTTCATTCTTATTGTGAAATATGCAAACAAACATATGGATCCATCAGTTATTAAATAAACATCTGTGTGATACCTATCCAGGTGAAGAAATAGAGCACTATCACCACCAAGAAGTCCTCTGTATGCCCCTAAATGATCCTAAAGTCTTCCATCCCTTATTAGTAACAGATATAACAGATAACCACATTACCTGTGGATATCTGCATTTCTCTCCTAGGTTCTCTTTTTATTATGTATTTTTTTCTTTCTTTTCTTTTTCTTTTTTTTTCTTTTTTAGAGATGGAGACTTGCTCTGTCACCCAGGCTGGAGTGTAGTGGCATGATCTTGACTCATTGCAACCTCCAACTCCTGGATTCAAGTGATTCTCATGCCTCAACCTCCCTAATAGCTGGGATTACAGGCATGGGCTATCTGCCATCATGCCTGGCTAATTTTTGTATTTTTAGTAGAGACGGGGTTTTACATGTTGGTCAGGCTGGTCTCGAACTCCTGACCTCAGTGCCTGGCCTTATTATGCATTTTTTAGAAGCCTAAAGTCAAGTCTGGTTTTGCCTGATTTTTCTCTTACATAATTGGAGTAAAGTCTGTATCCTGCTGCCTCTGGCTCCTTTTACCCAATATTAAGTATTTAATATTCACACTTAGCATTGTTTCTGCATTCTATTAAAACAGTACAGCCAGTCACGATGGCTCATGTCTATAATCCCAGCACTTTGGGAGGCTGAGGCAGGCAGATCACTTGAGTTCAGGAGTTCCAGACCACCCTAGCCAACATGGTGAAACCCCATCTCTACTAAAACTACAAAAAGTAGGCCATGCAGTGGCTAATGCCTGTCATCTCAGCACTTTGAGAGGCCGAGGCAGGCAGATCGTGAGGTCAGGAGATCGAGACCATCCTGGTGAACACGGTGAAACCAAATCTCTACTAAAAATACAAAAAATTAGCTGGGCGTGGTGGCATGTGCCTGTAGTCCCAGCTACTCGGGAGGCTGAGGCTGAAGAATCACTCTGGGAGGTGGAGGTTGCAGTGAGCCGAGTTTGCACCACTGCACTCCAGCCTGGTCGACAGAACTAGACTCTGTTAAAAAAAAAAAAAAAAAAAAAGGCCAGGCATGGTGGTGGGTGCCTGTAATCCCAATTACTCGGGAGGCTGAGGCAGGAGAATCAGTTGAACTTGGGAGGTGGTGGAGGTTGCAGTGAGCCAAGATTGCACCCTGTACTCCAACCTGGACAACAGAGTGAGACTCAGTCTCAAAAAAAAAAAAAAAAAAAGGCCGGGCGTGGTGGCTCCCACCTGTAATCCCAGCACTTTGGGAGGTGGAGACAGGTGGATTACCTCAGGTAGGGAGTTTGAGACCAGCCTTACCAACAAGGTGAAACCCTGTCTCTACCAATAATACAAAAATTTGCTGGGAGTGGCAGCACCCATCAGTAAGACAAGCTACTCGGGAGGCTGAGACAGGAGAATTACTTGAACCTGGGAGGCAGAGATTGCAGTGAGCCGAGATCGCACCCTGCACTCCAACCTGGGGGCCTGAGCAAGACCCCATCTCAAAAATAAAAATAAAAATAAAAATACAGTACACCAGTGTGTATCCCTTCATTGTTGGTAGACATGTGGGTTGTGTTCATTTTTGTCAGTTACAAATGATGCTGTTGTGAACATTTGTGTATTTATATTTGGTTACCATTGGTGTGTATAGTGTGTATAGTGAACAGTATAAAACAAGAGGTGAAACCATAGGTTACAGCGTAAACATATCTTCCATTTTATTAGCTATTATTGGTTTCATCCCAATGTTAACACACCAACTGACAGTCTTACAATGTCTGATAATTCCCAAATCTTCGCATTCTTCTTGATACTTAATTTTGTCAAAATTTTAATTTGAGTTTTTGGTGGGTATGTGGCAATGATTGTGATATTAATTTACTGGGCCTTTTCTTCTCTGTAACTAGCCCTGTCAAGATATATGTGTAGTGTGGGAGGGGTAGGAGCCCCTAGAGGTAGCATGGGCTCTGGAATCCTTAATCATTCTATGTGAAAAAGTTGGTGGGGCAGTGATTTTTTTTTTTTTTTTTTTTTTTTTTGAGACAGAGTTTTGCTCTTGTTGCCCAGGCTGCAGTGCAATGGCGCAATCGCGGCTCATTGCAACCTCCACCTCCCAGGTTCAAGTGATTCTCCTGCCTCAGCCTCCCAAGTAGCTGGGATTAAAGGTATGTGCCACCACAACAAGCTACTTTTTTGTATTTAGTAGAGATGGGGTTTCACCATGTTTGTCAGGTTGGTCTTGAACTCCTGACGTCAAGTGATCCACCCGCCTCAGCCTCCCAAAGTGCTCAGATTACAGGCATGCACCACTGCCCCTGGCCTGTTTTCATTTTATTAATTGGCTAATTCATTCAGACACATAATTATCAAGTCAAATCTCACTCTTTCCTTAGCATTTATCTTCAGTTTAGCTTAGAAAATCTATTCCTATTTTAAAATATATACAATTATTTGAGTGTGGTGGCACATGCCTATAATCCCAGCTACTTGGGAGGCTGAGGCAGGAGTATCACTTGAACCTGGGAAACTGAGGTTGCAGTCAGTCAAAATCGCCCCACTACACTCCAGCCTGGATGACAGAGTGAGACTCCATCTCAAAAAAACAAAACAAAACACAACGAGAAGGTTTTCTCCAGATCATTTTTACATTTAATTATTCAGTCTGTTTTGACTATACCTTAATGTAAAGAATTCAGTAAATATAACTTCAATCCTACACACTATTAGTCAATGTACGTAACACGATTTATTGAATAAACCAGTCCATTCCCAACATCATTCTACTAAAAATACAAAAAACATTAGCCAGGCAGGTGGTGGGCACCTGTAGTCCCAGCTACTCGGTATGCTGAGGCAGGAGAATGGTGTGAACCCAGGAGGTGGATCTTGCAGTGAGCCTAGATCACACCACTGCACTCCAGCCTGGGCAACAGAGCAAGACTCCATCTCAAAAAAAAAAAAAAGGAATTTATTTCCCAACGTAAATTAATAGAGCCATTAAGGAAAATAACATGGAGATTCATCAGAAATTAAAAATAGAATTACTGTATGTTCCAGCAATCCCACCTATGTGTGTATAGCTAAAGGAATTGAAATCAGCATACTGAAGAGATAACTGCACTACCATATTCACTGCAGCATTATCCATAATAGCTAAGATATGAAAGCAACCTTGGAGGCCAGCATAGGATGAAAGGATAAAGAAAATGTGATATATATATATATATATATATATATATATATATATATATACACACACATACACACATACATACACACACACACATAAAGGAATACTATGCACTCTTCATTTTATTTTATTTTATTTTGAGACATAGTTTCGCTCTTGTTGCCCAGGGTGGAGTGCAATGGAGTGATCATGGCTTACTGCAACCTCCACCTCCCGGGTTCAAGCGATTCTCCTACCTCATCCTCCCTAGCAGCTGGGATTACAGGCATGCACCACGTAGCCTGGCTAATTTTCTACTTTTAGTAGAGACGGGGTTTCTCCATGTTGGTCAGGCTGGTCTAGAACTCCCGACCTCAGGTGATCCACCTGCCTCAGCCTCCCAAAGTGCTAGGATTACAGGCATGAGCCACCATGCCCGATCTTACTATTTACTCTTTTTTTTTTCCTTTGAGATGGAGTTTCCGTCTTTTTGCCCAGGCTGCAGTGCAATGGTGTGATCTCAGCTCACTGCAACCTCCGCCTCCTGGGTTCAAACAATTCTCCTGTCTCAGCCTCCCAAGTAGATGGGATTACAGGTGCCCACCACCACGCCCAACTAATTTTTGTATTTTTAGTAAAGAGGGGGTTTCACAATGTTGCTCAGGCTTGTCTCGAACTTCTGAGCTTGAGTGATCCACCAGTCTCAGCCTCCGAAAGTGCTGGAATTACAGGCATGAGCCACAGCACCCAGCCAAAAACACAGATTAGTGTATTAATAGTCTGAAGTACTGTAAAATACTGCTGAGAGTACAGATCACTAATATCATCATCACAGAGCACAAAACAAGTTCTGGTATTATTAAGAAAATCATAGCTCTGACTAAAACATACATGGAAAACACATTCTATTAGAAATTAAATTATACTAATACTATTGACAATCACTTTTATAGCTGTCACTGTAAACTCAAAGACAAGAAATAACTTCATCACCAGAAAACATAAAACAAGTACTTAGCCTTACTCCTGAGAAGGCTGTAGTTGCCTTTTACTGAACGACACCTCAGTTCTTGGGATAAAGTTTGAAACAGCAACTGGAAGGACAGCTTTAACTTTAAAATGGTTTTATTTTTAGAGTTGTCATGTTATAAAAGCTATTCTCACATAGCTAAGCTGTTGGAAAGAGACCAGGTTTTGTGAAGGTTTTTCATCAGGTATTTCATGTTGTCCTCACTGCAACCTCAAACAATGGCAAATGCTTCGTAAGCCATTGTGATGTTTACTCAGTTACTGAGTTAGCAACTGTAATGCTAACTCAGCTGATAAATTAATAAAATTCTGTTTCTTTAGGCCGGGTGCAGTGGCTCACACCTGTAATCCCAGCATTGTGGGAGGCTGAGTCGGGCGGATCACAAGGTCAGGAGATTGAGACCATCGTGGCTAACACGGTGAAAACCTGTCTTTACTAAAAATCCAAAATATTAGCTGGGTGTGGTGGCACGCATCTGTAATCCCAGCTACTTGGGAGGCTGAGGAAGGAGAATCGCTTGAGCCTGGGAGGCAGAGCTTGCAGTGAGCTGAGATTGCGTGACTGCACTCCAGCCTGGGTGACAGAGAGAGACTCCATCTCAAAATAATAATAATGAATAAATAAATAAAATAAAAAATAAAAAGGTGGAAGAAACTCAGACTTTCAAAAATTAAGGATCCTATTTTTACCTAAGATATTGGCTTTACTCTTCGGTTCCCTTGATTGACTTAGCCAATAATTTTTTTTCTACCTAACTACACAAGAAAAATGAAATGAAGGTGTAGAACTCAAGAATCCCTGTGCATTTCTAAAAGCCAAATTTTACAACCACTGCAATATTACCATTTACTAACATTTTCTTTCTGTCTCAGCCAAAGGTAAGGGGCCTCTAACTGGGACAGGCATGGTGGCTCACGTCTGTAATCCCAGCAATTCGGGAGGCCTAGGTGGGTAGATCACTTGAGGTCAGGAGTTCAAGATGAGCCTGGCCCATATGTTGAAACCGTGTCTCAACTAAAAATACAAAAATTAGCTGGGTATGGTGGTGGGCACCTGTAATCCCAGCTCCTCGGGAGGCTGAGGCAGGGGAATTTCTTGAACACAGGAGGCAGAGGTTGCAGTAAGCCTAGATCTTGCCCCTCTACTCCAGCCTGGGTGACAGAGAAAGACTCCGTCTCAAAAAAAAAAAAAAAAAAGAGAGAGAGAGAGAGGCCTCCAGCTGGATCCAAGTCAGTTAATTACCAGATCAAATCTGATCCTGGACCTAGTTCAGTTTCTGTCCTAACTTTCAAACTGTTTGGATCACAAATTTGTTCAGAGAAACTCAGAGAATTCCAAACACAAATCCATGGAGTTCTGAAATCTGAGAGAACTTACCCATGATCCCCAGCCACTTTGAGAGATCAAGGGACAAAAGTAGGTCCTTGCAGGTACCTTGCTTGTTCACTCAGCACTCCTGGGGATTGTTAAGTCTCTTCTTCAGATCCTACTTCTGACACCATCTGTTAAAAGAAAAACTTCAGCTGAATTAAATTTAAAGAAGTTCAATTCAACAATCAACAATTCATGATAGGGCAGTCCCTGGAATCACAGCAGATTCAGAGAGATTTCAGCACAGCCACGTGGTGAAAGATTTATAGACATAAAAAGGGAAATGAGGTACAGAAATTGGAGGTGAGGTACAGAAACAACTGAATTGGTTACAGCTTAGCATTTGCCTTAGTTGAGCACAGTTTGAACACTCAGTAGTGTAAGAGTGGTTGAAGTATGGTTGCTGGGATTGGCCTACACTCAGCTATTGTTACAGGTGCATACTCCTAAGTTAGGTTTTTCAACCTTGTCTACCTATTAAGTTAGGTTGCAGTTTGTCCACAAAGATTCAAATATAGAAGTATGGAGTCCTTCTCAGGACATATTTAGTGTGTTTCAACACTCTAAAATATATAAAATCAACCTAAACCCCAACCACCTTGGGAACATTTTCTCAGGGTCTCCTGAGGAGGGCTGTGTCATAGGCCATGGTCACTCATATTTCACTCAGAATAAATCTCTTCAAATATTTTACAGAGTTTGACTCTTTTACTCAACACTGTTCAGTAACAAAAGAGAACAAACTATCAAGACACACAGCAACAGACAAATTTCAAAAACTACACTGAGTGAAAGAAGCTAGACCCAAAGATTACATGCGCTATGGTTTCATTTATATGAAGTTCAAGAACTGGCAGAACTAACTTATGGTGATAGAAACCACATCACCAGTTGCCTTATGTTGCAGCAATACTGACTGGAAAGCGGTATGAGAGAAGTTTATGAGGTGAAAGAAATGTTTTGTGTTCAGATTAAGATGTGTGTCACTTGGGTTTATACCTTGAATATGTGTATATTTCACTCTATACATTTAATTCCTCATAAAATAAAATAAAATAAAATAAAACTGAAGAGAAGTAAATAAGAGTACTATGTCTTTATGCTACTCCAAAGAGAAGGTTTGCCTCCAAAAGAGAAGCCCGAGAGCTTTACTTTGAGCTATAACAAAAATAAGGTTTCTGAAGAAAGAGGAGATATCAGACAAAAAGTTGTTTCTCTAGGAATTAAAAAAGAAGCAGAAATAGATAAAGAAAAATTGTTCTTGTGAATTTAGTGCATAGCAAAATATTATTGTTTTTAGGGCTGAGTCTCTTTTCTCCTAAAACCTGGATATGCTGTATTCTTTAAGCCAATTTCAAGAAATAAGTGAAAAATCTCATAGGAAGAAAGAAAGGAAAATCGCTCTTTGAATATACACTAAAACCTGAATGTACAAATGGTACCTATCAGTGTACTAGGGAAAATGCACAATACACTTAAGTTGTTTAATTTGAATAGAATATAATAAAAGAGTAAATTAAAAGCTGTGGATAGTGTATAGATAAACCAAAAGGGATAATTCTGTATGTACCCTGCAACTGTTACCTTCTCTAGGCCTGAAGGGATGAAGGGCAGTATTAGTTATCGAAACTTGGAGACAAAAAGGCCGTGTGGAGATAACCACCTTCAAGACAGTGATCCAGGGCATTGGTGAGAGATAAAAGCATATGGCTTAGAGAAGGAAGTTATAGAAAGAAGATTATTAGTGGAGACAAGACAAGCCAGTGGGGAAGGAAAATGGTGAAAACAAAGAGGAGGGAAGAGGACAATAGTATGTATGATGAGTCCAGTCAGGCACTGGGGACAGGGAAGTGGGTGTGATTTTGTTTTATTTAACAACAAAATAGATAGAGAAATGAAAGGCAATGAAGTGCACATGAATAAGCTGGTTTCTACTGTGGGCAACTAGGGTTCAGTCATGCTGGAGACTGTGAAAGACGTCGAACACACCTTTATAATTGGCCACCTGAGGAATGAAGGAGCCGTGTACATAGTAATTTCCTGATTTTATCTATGGACTAAAGGTTGTGTTAATAGCAAAACCCACAGTTAATTTTGCACCATCCTAATACCTTGAGCCCTTAACTTCCTGGCATTTCTTGTCTGCTAGGAATAATACTCAGAGAATGGCCTCAGGCTGAGAGATGTTGAGATAGAAAGCTCTTTAGAATATAAGAGAAACAACAACTGAAGTTGCAGGTGATTTCCAGAGCAGCCTTTAGAGATAGGAGTGAAGAATGCATAGCTTCTGTTACAGATAGTAATCAAGATACACAAACTCTTCTGTGGACTTCTAAGGTGTGATAACTTCTGAAAGCAAAGAAAAATGGCATAAAAATAAAACAGAATGTGATAAGGAATGACTAGAGGATAGGCTGTAGGAAAGAAGGAGAAAGAGGAAAGGTCAGTTTAGGTTCAGTTATTTAAGAAAATCTCTTTGAGGAGTAGGAATTTGAAACCAGTTCTGCAGAAATCTGGGGGTAGAACATTTCAAACAGAGTAAAATAGAAGAACAAAGACTCAGAGGCAGGCTCAATCTTGGCAATAGGCTCAACAATCAGACAAAAAAAAAAGCAGAATAATGAGGGGATACAGAGTGATAGGAGATGAAACGGGAGAGGGGTTCAGATTACATGAATTTTATAGGACTTGGTGATTTAGATTTTATTCCAGTATGTTGAGAATCCACAGATCATTTTAAGCAAAAATAAATGGCATGATCTCATTTATATTTTAAAAGTCAGTTGGTTTTCTCTGTATAATATGGATTTTTATGGGGCAAGAAGGAAGGGAGTTGTTACAGGTACTTGAGAGGAAAGATGATGTTTGCTTGATAGGTCGGCAGCAATAGAGGTGGGAAAAAGCAAGCAGATCAGACTCACTTTTGGATCTTTAGTTCACTTAAAGTGTTGATACATTGGAGCATAAAAGATAAATATTTTACTTTTCATCCCTAAAAGGCAGAAAAATATAGGGGCAAAAGATGGAATGTTGGAAGTTTAGGAAATGTGGTTTTTGACTTGACCTTAAACTGTTCCAGCTGTATATGATCTTAGGGCGATCATACAGCTGTTTTGGCTGTGGCTTCTTCATTTCTGAAATGGCATTAATAATAACATTCCTATAGCTGAGGTGTTAAAGATTAAAACAATAGAGGTAAAGCAGTCTTGAAAATTTCAATGTAATACCTAAATTTGAGGTATTATAGGGATGCCCTAAGTTGCTTTCAAAAAATGCTATGTTATTACATGCTACTCTTTGATAACCTTTTATTTATGATAATTAATGTAATTAGTGTGCTAATTTTCTACAGTTGCACCCTGGGGCAATCGTGCAACAGTTGTAATTTTAAAAGTTGGGCAAATAAGTAAATGTCAATCTGTAATAAAATCCAAATGAGTCTGTGATGAATGTTGATGGTGACTGGTAATTTACCTGATAAAATATTGTAACTGCCCAGTTACCTTGGAATAGCTGATTTCTCAAAGTAATTACCATGTTCTGCATAGTGAAGTGTCATCAGAGAAAATTTTAACACATAGTGGTCATTTTTAATTTGGTGATTTAAATATCATATTGATTAATGAAATAGTAGCATTTTAATTCAGACTGTTAAGTCAAAAGAGAGAGACGTTTATCACATACTATAGAGTGCACTGTTGTGTAATAATCGCTCATTTCTTACCTGTTTTTAACTACCATTTAAAAAATATAATTCCTTCTAATAAAGATAAAATCTTATTGGATTAAAAGTTAAAAAGCAATTGGACCCAGTCTCCTACCTAGAACCTTATTGCTGTTAAGTCTAGGACATCTTTAAGAAGCCATCTTTACCTTGCTGTTTTCTGAGAGTCGTATGTTATGATTTCATTAGATCTGCAAACAAACAACAGAAGCATACACTGGTATGGTATTCTAACATTTGCCATGATATTGTTATCAAATTGTTAACTTTTGGTTAACTGTGTGTTTCTTTGTTTGCTTCACTTTCCAAGAATATGTTTCACAGATACTATTAGTTCAAGAAAGCTGGGGAAAAGAAAAAAAAATAAAGGTTAAGATCCTGACTAGAGAATGAATTAGAGAAAGCCAAAGTAATTGCCTGGAAAAGATATGTGGGAGGTTGGGTCAAGTTTAAAGGTTCAGAAGTAGATTTCGAGATAAGCATTTTTCTGGATATTTGGAATTATCTCCTAAAGATATTATTCTTTGAAATATGACCAAAAACATATAGCCAAAGATCAATTTTGTTTTGGCAAATCCAGTCAAAGAAAATAAGTTATCTAAAGGCTCAGAAGTGCTTTGTCCTAGTTCTTTCTCAGGCTTCTTAATCAATACTCACAACTCTGTACCAATTATTGGTAAGTAATATATATAGATTATCAGAGACTGCAGTTTCTGCCAGTGTGTCTGAATTAACCCTTTCAGTGTTTTGTGAACTTCAGTTGTAAAATATTAGCAGAATATAAAATAATTCTAAATTTTTAAAATTTTAAAGTGGGGAAACATTTGAGCAAACACTTCACAAAGATATGCAAATGGCCAGTAAGCATATGAAATGATCAACATTATTATTCACTAGAAAAATGTAAATTAAATCCACAATGAGATGCCCCTACACATATAACTAAATTGGCTAAAATTTAAAAATTATAGACAACTGAAAGTATCAAGCGATAGTGAGGATGTGGAACACAAAACTCTCAGTTTGCTAGCAGGGTTGCAAAAAGATACAGCAACTTTGGAAAACACTTTGGCAGTTTCTTATCATTTTAAATATTCTCTTACATACAACCCAGAAAGTCCTCTCTTAAGAATTTACCCCCAAAAAAGGGAGCAAGGGAAGTTCATGTAAATCTCTATATGCAAATTATTCACAATACCTTAAACCTAGAAACAACTCAAATGTACATCAATCAGCTAGTGATAAACAAAGTTTTCTATATAGAGATAGTAGGTTAATATTAGCAATTTAAAAAGAAGAAACTTAAAATCCATGAAAGAACATAATTTTGAAAAGACATGAAAGGCAATACACTGTTTCATTCCATTTATATGATATTCTGGTAAAGGCAAAAGTATAGAGACAAATCAGATCAGTGGTTGCCAGGGTATATAAGTAGGGGTTAGAGACTTGATACAAAGGAAATTGAGGGAATTTATGGGGGTGATGGGAGTATTCTGTATATTGATTGCAGTGGTAGTTATATGATTATGTACATTAATCAATAATCATCAAACTGTATATCTAAGAAGGGTAAATTCTAATGAATGTAATTTATCAATAATCATCAAACTGGATGTCTAAGAAGAGTAAATTCTAATGAATGTAAATTATACATCAATACATGTGATTTTAAAAAATTTATTTAAGGATATTATGAACAAATTTTGGCAACAATTTCAAAATTTAGAAAAAATGGACAAATTCTAAGAAAAATACTACTTACCAAAGTAGACACTGGAAAAAACCAAAATATGAGTAATCTGATTTACATTAATGAAATTAAATATTTAACATATTCAATTTTGGAATAGTCCATGCCAGGATTTGCCTGCAAATTCTTCTAAAGATTTAATAATGGAATAGTAATTCTTTTATGACACTTAGAGTTCTATAACACTTAGTTTCTGTAATTGCAGAAACCCTTTTCAACACATTTTATGATGGCCACATTATCATTATCTTGATAAGAAATCTTACAGGGCAGTACATGAAAGAAAAACACAATCCAGGCTTCAAATACAAATTGAAGTAAAAATCTTATGCAAATATTTTTTAAACAAATTCAGTAGCATATTTTAAAAGTTTAATGTAGACTAACAAACTTCCTTTAATTCCAGAAATGTAAGGATGTTTTAACGTTAAAAAATCAATGAGTAAACTTTTTTGATTTTGATAATTATACTTTGGTTATAGGGAGATGTCCTTTTTTTAGAAAGTCAAATTGATTCATTTAGGGGTATGTATTAGTCCATTTTCATGCTGCTGATAAAGATAAACCCAAGACTGGGCAATTTACAAAAGAAAAGAGGTTTAATAGACTCACAGTTCCATGTGGCTAGGGAAACCTCACAATCACGGCAGAAGGTGAAAGCCATGTCTCACATGGTGGCAGACAAGAGAAGAGAGCTTGTGCAGGGAAATTCCCCTGTATAAAATCATCAGATCTTTTGAGACTTCTTTGCTATCATGAGAATAGCATGGGAAAGACGTGCCCCCATGATTCAATTACCTCCTACTGGTTCCCTCCCACACATGTGGGAATTCAAGATGAGATTTGGATGGGGACACAGCCAAACCCTAACAGGGTAGAAGGGCAAACTTGACATATTAGTCTTAAATAATTAAAAAAAGAGAAGAATAAGAGAGGAGGAAAAGTCATAAATAAATGGAGCAAAACATAAACAACTGGTGAATCTGAAAATATCAGTAAAATACTTTGTGGTTTCTTATACTTTTCTTGCAACTTTCGTGTTTGAAAGGTTATCCTCCTTCTGCTCAAATTTGCCAAAAACATTTAAAAGTCTATTAGTGCAATGTACTGCTGAATAAAAAGAAAAATCAGATGATTGTCTAAAATCTCTGATAATAGTATTTTTTAGAATTGAAAGCCTCAGCAAACTGTAGCATTTTAATTGATAAACATAATCTTCAAAAAAAAGAAAAAAATCTGCAGCAAAATCCTTCATAATGTGAAATGTTAAACATTTTGTCTGCAAGATAAAATATGAGGCTAGATTACTTATTATCATTACTCCATCCCACTTTATTCTAATCCATTCATAGCCAGTGCAAGATGGCAAGGAGTAAAGACTAAAGACCAGAAAGGTAAAATGCCACTCCCATTTTCACATATACATTTGTGTTTATGAAATGTCCAAGATAATTTTCTACTTAATTATTAGAATTAATATCACAGTTTTGTGTGGTTTCTGATATAAGATCAATATTTTAAAAAGTGTATTTCTTTATACAATAAATAGAAGATTAAAATATAAAAAGATACCCCTTTGAACAGCATCAAAACATCAAATACTTGAGATAAATTTAATTAAATATATGCAAAATCTCTACAGAACTATATAACTTTATTGGGTAGTATTGAATGAAACCTAAATAAATCTAGAGATAGAATGTGTTCATAAATTGAAAACTTAAATTTATAAAGATGTCCATTTTCCTAAATTTATCTGTTGATTACAACATCAATCATAGTTCCAAGAGGCTTCTTTATCTTCAAAAATTAACATGTGAATTCTAGAATTTAGATGACAATGCAAAAGGCTAAGAACGGCTAACATCTCAAAAAAGAACAAACTTACAGTCCCAGATATCAAGGCTATAATATAAACCATAGTAATGAAGAAAGGTAAATATCACAAGCATAGATAGACCAATATAACAGTATAGAATCTTGTATCAGTATGGAAAAAGAAATCTAGATTTTTACCTCACTTCATTCACAAAACCATTTCATTCATGTAGATGTAAACAGGAATGGAAAAGCAATAATTGTATAAGATAAAAAAGAATATCTTCAGGGTCTGGGAAGGCAAAGATTTCTTAAGCGGGATATGAAAAACATTAATGATTTCAACTGTATTAAAATTAAAAAGTGTTTTCTTCTCTAAAAAGGCACCAATAAGAGAGCAAAAGCAAGTGAAACTAGATTATTTGTGGTTTATATAATTGACAAATGGCTTATATGCAGAATACATAAAAATTCGAACAATAAGAAGAGAGGCCACCCAATAGGAATATGGGTGATATTTTGAAAAAGCAGTTTACAAAAGAGATTATACAAATATCTAATAAATGTTTTAAAAGACGTCCAACCTCACTTGTCCTTAAATAATAATTAAGTCCATCAGCAGAAATACTACACATTCACCAGAAAAGTTAAAAGATAGAAAATAATTTAAAGTGTTGATGTGGTTTTGAAGCAACTGGAAATCTCTTATGCTATCAGGATGAATTTCAAACAACCACTTTGGAAACAGGTTTCATATTATCTACAACATTTGAACACATGCATCCTGTATGATCCAAGAATTTCATTTCTGGGTATGCATTCAACAGAATTGTATGCACATATGCAGTAATAGAAACTTATAACAATGTTCACAAATGGATTATTTAGCCACAGAAAGAAAGCAATGTCTAGCAAGACAGGAAAGAATAAATAGTGGTGTATGAATAGATTGTACTACTTTACATCTATCAAAATGAATATGATAAAGATACACACAATAACACCCGTGAATCTTGATCATAATTTTGAACAAGAGAAACAAATACAAACACATTCCGTATTAGTCTATTTATAGGGGGTAAATTATTCTTTGCCATTTGACATCAGGAGAGTGGTTACATTTTGGGAGAAGGGAGAGGGAAATAATGTGGTTGGGGCATGAGGAGCCTCCTATGTGTCCTTTGAGTGTTTCTTGACCCAGGTTGATAGTTTCATGGGTGTGTTCACTCTGAACTAATTCCTTGAGCTATACAATTATGATTTGCACAATTCAATTATATTATATTTCAGTGGAAGCTTATGAAAGAGAAACATTGCTGCTAAAATTCATTAAGTGAAGGCTTATGGGGAAGTAGACCTTCATAGCATCCCATACTTGCAAAAGGGGCAATCTAACTGAAGGATGACATCAGTATCAGATATCAGATATCACACAAACCAATGATCACTTTTACTGTCTCAACTGTCGGTCAACCTGACATTACAAATTTTCTGATGTAGTACAACATGAGGTACAAAATTTCACCTGTGATTTATTCTAGTCAAGCGTGTTTAACTGGCAGCCATTAAGGCATTAGGTGTAAATTTAGACACAGAAAGCAATCAAGCAAAGCCTCAAGGTATGCCATTTTGTAGGTCAATTGGCCTCTTTCCTTCAACAAGTCAGTACCATTTAAAAAGGGGGGTAATTCTAGATTAAAAAAAATTAAGGGGTGGACAATTAGATATAATGTGCAGGACTGCACTGAGACTGGTTTAAAGAAATCAGCCCTGAAGAAAAATGTTTAATTAATTAAAGACATCTAAATACAGCATGGATATTATATATAATGAAAATGCATGAAAATAAAAATGTGAAAATTATTGACTGAAAAAGAGGTTACAAAGTGTATATTTGATGAAAAATAATATGTAAGGCTAGAGGCAAAGGTACTAACAATGGTGCTTTCTTGTTTATAGGACTATTTCAACACATTTTGCTCCTCTGCATTTAAAAACTTTTCTCTGATGCACATATACTGTTTCCATAATAATAAAATTATGTTTAAATGATTCAACATTTCTGAATAGCAAATTACTATACATGTACACTTTAAAATAGACAATTTATAGGGCTATACCCAACTTGTGGCTGTGCACTGTCCAGTTACTATACATGTACTTCTTACCCTCCTTTCAATATCTAATTATAAAATTCTGAACTCATTGAGGGCTATTAGCACAGCTACAATTGTTTTTGCTTCTTCTAATTTGATATTTGTATGGTATTTTTAAAATTATATATTATGAACTTTTTGTATATATTTGAGTATTTTGATATTTTAACTATAAAAAGTACGATGTTTACTGAACAAAATAATAGATAATTATTTTTAAAAATGTAGAAATTAACAATTGCAGGCAATATCACTTCCCAGAAATAATTTCCAGTTTTATTACATTGTCATCATGGACTAAATTATACACTATTTTTACTTTTTGGAATATGCTAAGGTTTTCATTGAGGCCCAATACTTTGTCCACTTTGACTATTATTCCATGAGTATTTGAATAAATATACACATATTAGTTATCCTCCATTAATTGCTTATGTCCTCCTAAATCTCACTTATGTTTTTTCACTTGATCTTCCATCAGCTGAAAAAATAGTATTATAAATTGTATTTTAAAAAATGCTGCTGAAGTTTTTGCTTTCTGAATTTTGCATACATATTTAATAAATATTTATGACAGTTACTTATTTATAGTGACCTTTTTATTGATACAAAGTGTCTTTGTCCTACTTCATATTTTTTACCAACCATGAATAAAACCTATTTGTTTTAAATATTGTGATCTTTGCTTTTTTTTTTAATTTCCATTTGCCTGTAATTCTTTTGCCCAAAGCTTCACTTTCAAGCTTTTGAGTTAATTTTTATTAGAGTTGCTGCTTGTATGCAATAAATCATTGGCTTTTTTACTGAATGTAATCCTGGAAGGAATCATGATTCCTCTTAGAGTTTCCACTATCAAAAACCTAAAGAGTCTGTTTACGGAGATGTAGCTAGGGTTAAAAAAATAAGAGAGAAAGAGAGATGCAGAGGAACAAAGACACCAACCACAGGAAGCCATAAAGGGACAAGAGAAAAGATAGCATTACCAGAGCTAAGTGAGTTCTGGAGCTGCAAGGAAAGGTCGCATAGCAGGAGTTCTAGTTATGGAGAGATTCAGCCCCTGGCAGAAGCACAGAACCAAAGCAGAGGGAATCGGGGAAGAAATAACGCATTCTCCTCTCCACCTAACTTGCACCCTACAGGAGCCTCCCACTGAGTGCCTTCTGCTGAAATTCAGGCCACAAAGGAATCTGAATGATGTTGACTGCATGGCTCTGCATCCATGAGCACAGAGCAAGTTAGACAAGGGAAGAAAATAAATCCATGAAGTCAATAGAAACTTACCAGAACATTACTCCGACTTCACATTCATTCTTGCCTCTTGCTCAGATTAAGAAAATTGGATCTCCAGTACAGGTAGACCACAGTCCTAGCATAATTTAAATTGTGGCAGGGTGTCAGCAATTCAGTCTTATTCCCAACTGGATTATAAATGTTAATGTCACCCACTATCAGTACTCTTTATATGAGATAGCAAGGAGAGTGAGGGGAAAGAAATATTCAGTTAAAATAAATATGTAAATTAGCTACTACTGTTTTCACTTTTGGTCATGAGGCTAAATTTTATCATCATAATTTCCTTTTTCTATTATCCATTCCATTTTCAAGCAAACTTTACTACTTCCATAGTACAGGAATTATTGTCTCATGGGATGACCCAAATCTTCATTTCATAGGATCAAAGTCCCTAGTGATACTGTCTTTATTTGGTGGCTCTTTATGGGACATATAAGTGCTAAAAGGCTCCACAGCAGATCTCCTGGATTCCAACTAGGCCTACTTGCCTAATTTTCCTTTGTTAATCAGAATTAATCAATCCATTCAGTATAGTTAAACTCTTTATTGCCAGTTAGGTCAATGGCATTAGGAGCTAAAAATAGCAAGGGTGCAATTTCAGGTCCAAATTTAATGGAAACATAGCTATATTTCTTGAAAGAAAAGTTCC
The DNA here is from genome assembly GCF_000001405.40 of Homo sapiens. Lineage (NCBI taxonomy): Eukaryota > Metazoa > Chordata > Mammalia > Primates > Hominidae > Homo > Homo sapiens. The sequence goes on along the minus strand of NC_000020.11, from coordinate 25,944,823 downwards.
TTCCTTGGAAAAGAGAACCACCAAAGCTACTAAATACAAGTTTCCAGGAAGGGAAATAAAATTCTGTAAATAGAATGTCAGGTAAAATAATTCTACTTCTTAGTTCCTGACCCTACATATTCTAGCTTTTGGAAATATGGCTTATGTATTGGCTAATAGTTTAATCTGTTAGGCCAGCACCACAATTTCAAACAATATTGTGTCACACCTGGCATTGAAACTGAGCCTTTAGGAAGCCATTCCATCAATCTATCAGGCCAGCTGCTTACTGGTGATGGGACATGTAGGGAAACATGAATTTCATGGGCATGGATCTTTTGTAACAATTGTTTTGCTATTAAATGAGTTTCCTTGTCAAAGGCAATGTAGTATGGGATGTTATGGCAATGAATAAGGCATTCTATAAGGTGACATATGGTGACACTGGTAGAAGCATTGAGGGCAAAGAAGAGAAATCCATTTCTAGAATGTGTATTTGGTTTTATGTGGACAAATGATTGCTTACTCCACAATATAAAGGATTCAATGTAATCACCCTGGCACCAGGTGCCTGGTCGGTGTCCCTATGAAATGGTGCCATATCAGGAACACATTTGCCCTTGGTATTGACAAGTTGGACACTCAGTGATAGTAGACAGATCAGGGTTGCTAAAGGGTAGTCCATTGTGCTGAGTTTATGCATATTTACCATCCATGCAACTATGATTACTTTTTGCATGGTTCCACTAAGTAAGCACCTATATCACTGGGAGAAAGCTTGATAGACATCCACAGGAAAGACCAGACACCTAATCTACCTGATTGTTGAGCACCTTCTCTTTAGGGGATTCCCCTGGTGAATATGAATGAGAGTTGAGGAAAATTTGATAACTAAGCAGGAATAGCTAATAAAGGTCTGAACCACCTGCTCATTCAATATACTTGTGACTCCCCTTCCTGTTCAGCCTTAATGTCACCCATATCAATTCCATTTTATAATAACCTGCTAATTTTCAAGCACAATTTGAAGATTTGATAACTTGGATAGCACCCAGTTGATGGTGAACACTTCAAATCACATAGTTACATGGTGACAAGCCAGACTTCTTAAATAGATAAAAATATTTGGCAGAAGGGGACCTAGTTTTGTTCCAAAATTATTAGTTAGATGAATTATGATTGTCTTCTTGGGGTTACTTAGAAGTGTCAAACAGCATCATTCTAAGCCAGATACTTAGATCTACTGAGTCAAAATACCCACGCAGCAGAGGAGCCTACAGCACAGACTGAACCTGCTGCAAAGAGCTCTTTGTTCTAAATGGGTAGACTTGTGAGTTAGACTGTAATAGGTTTGAATACACACAACTGTAGTCATGTTACTTCCAAAATCCAGACAAGCCTCTCAGTCACTCTGCTCTTTCTGTGTGGTAGGCAGTACAAGGTATAGCTACCTATTATTCCCTAAGAAACAGATATTCTTACATACCCCATTTTGTAATAGCTTCTACATTAATTAGGACCCTTGTATAAAACAGAAATCTGCTTCAGGATTGGTATGGTGGCTCACACCTCTAATCCCAGCATTTTGGGAGGCCAAGGTGGGAGATCACGTGAGCCTAGGAGTTCAAGACCATCCTGGGCAACATAGGGAGACCCCATCACTATTATTAAAAAAGAAAAAAAGAAAAGAAAAAGAAATCTGCTTCAATGGTCCACAATAGAGACTTTGGTGAATGGACTACTTACCTCAGTTAGAGCAGGATTTAAAACCCCAGCAAAGGTTGCTGTAATACTCAGATACCAGGAACAGTGGAATGCTGTTACCATCCCCAGACCTGAAGGGACAAGGTGTATAATTTGCATTACTGAAGCCTAGAAAGAGCTGGTGCTGTGGAGAAGAGTTATCTGGTAGAAACTACATTCATGCAGAATTAGGAAGAAAGCAGGGTATAGATATCAGGATTTTTCTCTCTCTCCTTCTGCCATCTGACCCACTGCCAGTGCCTTACATTAATCCAATTCAACTAGGAGCTAGCTGGCAGAGGAACCTGAATGATAAAGTCTTAGGAGTTCACCTCCTGGAGCACAGAACAGAGTATTGAAAGTCAGATAAAGGATTTGGGTGGAGCTAAGAGAATTATCAACACATTTTTTCTTGTCCAATATGTCTTTTGCTTTAATTATTAATTTTATTTCATTACATATAACAGTGAAGATATGTTTAGTTTGAGTTTTGTCATCTTATGTAATGATCTCTGCTTTGAATGTTTTCTTTTTTCACATTTTCCTATAACATGTTCTTTGTGTATATGTTTGCATTTGCCTTTCATAAGATTTTGTATGTTTGTGTATATGTATCAGTTATGATGATACACAGCAGAAAAAAATATTTTAAAATCTGCAAATACACATAAAGTAGAGATGCACCAAATAAACATTTGGCTGAACACTGAAAGGCTGAGTATTAACATCATTATTCACCTGAGCCGAATATTACTATTGTAGAATGAATCCAAAGTTTTATGAAATTCAATTTTGATTGCAATATTTGTTACTGAAATTTCAGTAATCAAAAATTTAAAGCTTGACGTTATTCAAGGACAGTAATTTCTTGGCATTGTCAGCTGCAAGATTGTTCCTGTGATCATCATAGCATGGGCAGATGCTAATTTGTCTACCTTCCTATATCATACATAGGAGGAAGCTCCCACCAAGTTATTACACTTTCTTCCTCTATAATATTAAAAAATAAAGTATATATATGAAGATTGTGGATCCTGAAAATGTAGTTGATGGTGACGATGCAGCTTCATTGAAGCAATACCCCAGCAACTGCAGCTTTGCACACTGACTATTTTTAGAAGCAGAATTAGAATTGATGCCTTGAAATACATATTTTTATGCTTCTATTTTCCTGCACTTGTTCCATAATCACTTGAGAATATTTCTCTATAAACCTTAACTTTTAAATGTGGCAATGGAAAAGTGAAAATAGCTTTTAAGATAAAGCAATTGTCTCTGAATTTCCAGCTGCATCTAAACTTTCATGATGAAACTAATTTCGCTATGTTCTCCAGTTTAGGATGACAGGAAGAGCTTTACCACAGGTATCTTATAAGAAATATGTGCACTCTAATTGCATATTGTATGGTGATTTCCTCAACAAATTATAGCAAACAAACTAATTTCTCTTTAAGCAACCACTGGATCTTAATAAGTCCTGGGATGGAAGCTGTGCCATTAAGGTTTGTTCAAGCAGCTACTTTAATACGTGACCACTGCCAATTTACCTTGTATAGGTTCATAACAAAGCAGTTCCAAAATTGTATGCCTGTCATGTAGTATATCTTTAGCTGAAGATTTTAAGATTTCACCAAGGTTAATTAACCCTTGAAAGTAAATACTCAGATATTAAAAATAAATCTAAAGCATCATGAGGTCATTGATACCATGTAAGCTTAGAGATGCCAGAAATGTTGGTGGATTAGATCAGTTTTCTAATCTGAACTCCCAAAATATGAGGCAAAACTAAAGGTGAATGGAGAATTGGGCTAATCCAGAGGGTAAACATGCACACATGTGAGTGCAAGTGTGTGCTTGCATGAGATATGTACCCTCTGCGGCCCTGAGAAAGTAGCAGCAGAGATAGACTTCTCAGGGACACCTGGGCACTGCCCCTGCCTTTACACATTTGTCAGGTATATTGGCTCATGGGCTCATTCTCTTTATCAGAGAAAGATTACAGGTTTCTGATATAAACACCAAAAGATCAGGTGATATATTATTGAAAGTTCACTGCCTATTATAATCTGAGTAATATAAAATAATAATGGCATATGGATGGTCTGATGGCAATATTAGTTTCTTCTACTAGATAGGGAAGGAGGTGTCTTTCTCTTTTCGTGAATTTGGGCCTTTGTTGTAAATCAGGAGTTGACATATTTCTGGAACATAAGGGAAAACTACATCCAACCAGAATCTAACCTTTTAATCCATCCAAGAGTTTACTTAATTCACCCAATTAAAATATCGATTCTCTACAATACCTATTCATAATCTCTTTAGTCCATATTTTCTCCATTATGTCCAACTCCCACCATTCAGCTGTTGATTTATGGTGAGAACTATTTTTACTATTGTAGAATTAATTACTTAAAATATGTAATCCCTAACTCTACAGACTCATAAAATTCATGTTCACCTCTGCATTCCAGTGATCAGAAAAAATATGGGGCATATTTCCAAATATAACTCCTTCACTGTCTCTTTTCAAAGGGCATAACAGAGTGACAGGATTGAAGGAAGAGGGCAGATAGTTTAAAAATATTATATAGGGGGCCACCTCTTGAAAAGGAAGTCTAATATCCTACAGGAAGGCTCTGGCCCTAGGTTTTCATCTGTAAATCGTAGTTACTCTAACTCTTCTAGTTATTAGAGGGAAATTTTTCTTTATTCCTGTTGCTGTGCTGTTCATCTTGGAAAGGGAAAGTAAAAGCTTTGTAATAACACCTAAGATATTAATAGCCTCACAGATTACTATGATCATACAGGACAGCGTGTTTCATAGTTTTACATGTCTTAAAATCTTGTCTACAAACAGAAAATATTGGATGTAAAGAGTAGAAACCAATCTAAGAAGAAGAGCAAAGAAAAGCAACTAAAGATGCTTACCTTGAAAGAAAGAGGACTTAAGGCAACATTAGTTGTTTTCAAATATTGGAGGGCTTGCCAATGAATAACCAAGGGGACAAATTTTATACAGCCATTAAGGGTGGAGAAAGAAATGGTGGATACAAGTTTTAGGATGGCATATGTAAACTACTCTAAGGAATTAATAATTACTAGCATACATGGATTGCTTTAAGGGATGGGGGACACAAACAGCAGGGTCAAAGCAAAGTCTTATGGTCAGGAATACTGTAGAGAAAATACGGCCGTTGAATGGGGAGTTAGACTAATTAAGCTGTATAGACCTTTACAATTGTGATTAAAATTGTGTGAGTTATATGAAATTGTATGAGATAGTACTGATATTTAAGGATTATTGTATTATTTTCCTATTTGTCAGGCTAACAAGAGTGAAGGCAATGCATGATAAATGTGGTATAGTGATGATTAGTAGATTTGGAGTTGCAAACACGGAGCTTGAACTCAGAATTCAGTTCTATCACTGACATTAGTAAACTAGAATAAATAATTAACTTATATGAGACTCAATTTGTTTATTAAACATAATGATAATTATACTATATACCTCACAAGATTATTATGTGAGTTAAATTAGGTAGCAGGTATTCAGTACAATGAACCCTTAGAAATGGCCTAATATGTGCACTTGTAACTGTGACAAGTGGAGTCACAAAGAGAGGAAAGTGGCAGTTGCAGCCTAAAATTTTCCTGGGTTTTTATGACACATACAGAGATAGCTATAATTCAACAGGGTAAATGCTATAACAGAGGTGAATTTAAAAGTATCTTATGAACAAATGAAGTTGGGAAAGGTTGATTTTGGAGATGAATTAGAAAAACATGCAAAAAAGAAGTGCCATAAATCTTGCAAGACAAACAGTATTTAGGAAGTATGTAAAAATATGCCAGAAACAGTCAGCATGAGCAAATGCATAGATATTGAATAAAAATCTGCCTAAGCCCTCTCTCCAAAATAAAATAAAATAAAATAAAATGTAAGCCCTTCATGAGGAACAACAAATAGTAAAAGCTGACTTGACTATGTATTTGAACACACTTGGTATGGTACATGGAAGGTAGCAGGTACACAATATGTGCTTTTTTAAAAACAGATTGCTTGACTTCTGGTTCTGGCTATAATAAAATAATGGATTTCAGACTGAATCTTCTGCTGTAAACAACTATAAAACTAGACAAAATGTACCATGTGCCCATTTTAAAGCATTGTACAACACACAGCATAGAGTCGTGATCCTTGAAGTGAACTCCACATTTAAAGCTGGCCTTTTATATAGGGATACTTCCAAAACTGCAGGAAAGGAAAGAGGAGCCCGAATAGATCACAGCAATTTTTCTGAATGGAGAAACCGATGGTAGGATGCAGCTGAGGTGGCTGGAATTTATGAAGAACATTCCAGAGAAGAAAGAGTCGAACTGAGAAAGAGATCTAAAAATCTACAAATGAGTCTTCTTGAATTTTTTGAGTGAACAACATATTATGCATGTACAGAGTAAGATTTCACAAGGCCACAGAGAGAACAGTTTCTAAGGGGCAATGAGCGGAATGAGGATTTCACTGGTTCAACAATGTTGAAAGCCATTAGAGTTTCAACCAGTCAAAGTGAAAAGACTCACTGAGCATCTCCCAGTGTTTAAATAAGAACTCAGGAAAGTCAGCTTGCGAAGTGGGGCTCATCTACTCCTATCAGAAGAAATACTCTTAAATCAGCCTTAAAAACTTAAAAATAAGGACCAACTGGATCAAACTAATGTGCCAGTAAATTAACTGAGTGCTCAAAATAAAATTCAACACACTTCTACCAAAGACGGAAGTCTAGAATCTAAATAATATAGTATGAAAATGTCAAATATAAAACAAAAACAATTATTAAACATGCAAAAATAGCAGAAACCTATGAGAAAATTAGGAGAAAAATAAGCAATAGAAACAGACCTAAGATAGCCAGGATGTTGTTAAGAATAAAAACAAGCATTATTAAGCTGGTATTAAAGTATGTCCAAGGATTTAGAGGAAAAGAAGAAAGAGAGTGGAGAGATGTAGAATATCAACACAGTCATACAATTCAAAATTCGTAATTGTAGGTGGGAGAAAAGACATGTAATAGAAAAGGGAATAATGATAAAAAATACTTCTGACTTCTCATTAGAACAAATGTAAGCTAAATGAAAATCTAAAAATCATTTAAAGTATAGAGAAGAAATAATAAATCATTTCAGAATTATATATCCAGTGAAAATAATCTTCAAAAGGCAAAATTAACACTTTAATAAGATTAAAATAATAGGTGAAAGTATTTATTACCACCAGAAAAGCACTACAAGAAATGTTAAAGCATGCTCTTCAAGCACAAGAGTAGTGATAAAAAATATAAACTCACATCTGCCAAAGATGTGGAGTGCTACTGGGGCACAAGGACAGATAGGTTTTCCTTAAGGGACAATGACAACAACAAAGAATCTAAAGTTTCAACAGGAAAATACGTAATTGTTCTTATCCTGAGATGATAGTTTTAATATCCCGATTTAGTAATTGTCGTATCTGATTATCTTTGTCAGAAAAACTAACATATACAAGTTTTTTAACCCAAAAATATGAAGTCTTTTTATCACTTTATTGAGTCACGAGCTGCTATGGTTACCAAGAGTAAAGATTTTTGGAGCCCAAAGACGTCTCAGGCTTATTTTTCTCTCCATTCCTTACTTCTGTGCCTTGAAAAATATTACAAAGTAATTTAAGAGCACCCATTGTAGGGCAAAAGTGAAGATTAACTGTGGGTATGTTATGATAAATTGCTTGTATTAGTTATGAAGCCAGGTATCTATATGAATGTCCTTATCCAAACAACTGTATTTAGTATAAAAAATCCTGGAAAAGTGGCTTATCAATTTCAAAAACTTATCTCTGCAAATATTATATAATGGAATTTGTTTTCCAGTATCTTATATAGCAATGTCATCAAGTTTATAAACTGGATAATCTGCTAATTATTTTATGAGAATGGCAGAAGTCATTTAAAGTAGCCACATTCAACTCTGAGTGTATATGTGCATATGCCCACCAAAATACAAGCAGTGCTCAATAGGTAGTTTATGTTTGTGGGCAGGTAATCTTAAAAAATATTTACCTAAAAATCAACAGCCCTTCATGCTAAAAACTCTCAATAAATTAGGTATTAATGGGACATATCTCAAAATAATAAGAGCTATTTATGACAAACCCACACCGAATATCATACTGAATGGGCAAGAACTGGGCGCATTCCCTTTGAAAACTGGCACAAGACAGGGATGCCCTCTCTCACCACTCCTTTTTAACATAGTCTTGGAAGTTCTGGCCAGGGCAATCAGGCAGGAGAAGGAAATAAAGGGTATTCAATTAGGAAAAGAGAAAGTCAAATTGTCCCTGTTTGCAGATGACATGATTGTATATCTAGAAAACCCCATCATTTCATCCCAAAATCTCCTTAAGCTGCTAAGCAACTTCAGCAAAGTCTCAGGATACAAAATCAATGTGCAAAAATCACAAGCATTCTTATACACCAATAACAGTCAGAGAGCCAAATCATGAGTGAACTCCCGTTCACAATTGCTTCAAAGAAAATAAAATACCTAGGAATTCAACTTACAAGGGATGTGAAGGACCCTTCAAGGAGAACTATAAACCACTGCTCAATGAAATAAAAGAGGATACAAACAAATGGAAGAACATTCCATGCTCATGGGTAGGAAGAATCAATATCATGAAAATGGCCATACTGCCCAAGGTAACTCATAGATTCAATGCCATCCCCATCAAGCTACCAATGACTTTCTTCACAGAATTGGAAAAAACTACTTTAAAGTTCATATGGAACCAAAAAAGAGCCCACATTGCCAAGTCAATCCTAAGCCAAAAGAACAAAGCTGGAGGCATCACACTACCTGACTTCAAACTATACTACAAGGCTACAGTAACCAAAACAGCATGGTACTGGTACAAAAACAGAGATATAGACCAACGGAACAGAACAGAGCCCTCAGAAATATTGCCGCATATCTACAACTATCTGATCTTTGACAAATCTGACAAAAACAAGAAATGGGGAAAGGATTCCCTATTTAATAAATGGTGCTGGGAAAACTGGCTAGCCATATGTAGAAAGCTGAAACTGGATCCCTTCCTTACACCTTATACAAAAATTAATTCAAGATGGATTAAAGACTTAAATGTTAGACTAAAACCATAAAAACCCTAGAAGAAAACCTAGGCAATACCATTCAGGACATAGGCATGGGCAAGGACTTCATGTCTAAAACACCAAAAGCAATGGCAACAAAAGGCAAAATTGACAAATGGGATCTAATTGAACAAAAGAGCTTCTGCACAGCAAAAGAAACTACCATCAGAGTGAACAGGCAACCTACAGAATGGGAAAAAAATTTTGGAATCTACTCATCTGACAAAGGGCTTATATCCAGAATCTACAAAGAACTCATACAAATTTACAAGGAAAAAAAAAACTATCAACCCCATCAACAAGTGGACAAAGGATATGAAATGACACTTCTCAAAAGAAGACATTTATGCAGCCAAAAGACACATGAAAAAATGCTCATCATCACTGGCCATCAGAGACATTCAAATCAAAACTACAATGAAATACCATCTCACACCAGTTAGAATGGTGATCATTAAAAAGTCATGCAACAACAGGTGCTGGAGAGGATATGGAGAAATAGGAACACTTTTACACTGTTGGTGGAACTGTAAACTAGTTCAACCATTGTGGAAGTCAGTGTGGCGATTCCTCAGGGATCTAGAACTAGAAATACCATTTGACCCAGTCATCCCATTACTGGGTATATACCCAAAGGATTATAAATCATGCTGCTATAAAGACACATGCCCACATATGTTTACTGCGGCACTATTCACAATAGCAAAGACTTGGAACCAAGCCAAATGTCCAACAATGATAGACTGGATTAAGAAAATGTGGCACATATACACCATGGAATACTATGCAGCCATAAAAAATGATAAGTTCATGTCCTTTCTAGGGACATGGATGAAGCTGTAAACCATCATTCTCAGCCAATTATCACAAGGACAAAAAACCAAACACCATACGTTCTCACTCATAGGTGGGAATTGAACAATGAGAACACTTGGACACAGGAATGGGAACATCACACACCAGGGCTTGTCGTGGGGTAGGGGGAAGGTGGGAGGGCTAGCATTAGGAGGTATACCTAATGCAAATGATGAGTTAATGGGTGCAGCACACCAAAATGGCACATATGTAACAAACCTGCACGTTGTGCACATGTACTCTAAAATTTAAATAAAAAAATTTACCTAAATATCAATATGACTGCTTAAATAAATAACTTGCAAATTATTCTAAGAATACATGATTATGAAATATTTTCAAGCCTAACAGAAATAAAGATAACAGTATAATTATTCTTGATAACCCCAAACTGAAGAGAACTCAAAGGCCCGCAAAATTGGAAAATGGGTTGTAAAAGCTGTGATATAGTCAAATAATTGAAAACTACTCAAAAATACTACAAAAAAAGACACCAAAAGTATGTATTGTATGATCACTTCCATATAAAGTTTCAGAATGGGCAAGATCAATCTGTAGTGATAGAAACAAGAATAATGGCTGGAGGGTGACGGGAATTGATTGTTAAGTGGCATGAGAAATTTCTGGGGTAATGTCAATGTTCTATGGCCTGTGGGTGGCTCAATCATGTATTTTTATCAAAAGTCATTGAATAATGATTAAAAATTGTGCATTTCATCTTATCTAAAGTATACCAAAATTAAAAACAAGGAAAAATACTCTCAAAAAATATGGAAAAGTAAACTTTCGCACATTAGTCTCAAAAACCAATGATTTCTGATGTTCTTTTTACGCTATCAATGTCTTTCATTTTGAATCATCTAGGTTTTTCTGTATTACTGTGCTTCACCTCAGAGACTGAATACTTAACAAAATGCAGAATATGAATTTCAGTGAAGTAATGGCCAAAAAATAGGCCATAAACAGATTATTGTGAGATTAGTATTTGTGGTATGCACAGTAGCCTCCCAAAGATGTCCACATCCTCATTTCTGGAATCTGTGAATATGGCAAAATGGACTTTGTAGCTGTAACTAAGGTTACAAACCTTAAGATAGGGCAAGCATCTTTAAGTATCCAGGTGAACCCAATCTAATCATATGAACCTTCGAAAGCAGAGAACATACTTCAGCTGGAGAAAGAGGGGCTTGGCAGAGGGAGAAATTAGAAAGATTCCTCCTGAGAAGGTTCGGAGGCGTCATTGCTCGTTTTGCGATGTAGAGGCTCACATAGGAAGTCTGGAGACAGGTTACTAGGAGCTGACACCAGCAACCACCAGTTGACACAGGCAAGAAAACAATGACGTACAACTGTACAAGATACTGGGAATGGTGATACAACTGCAAACAACTAAATTCTGCCAACAACCTTAATAAATCTGGAAATGTACTCTTACCAGAGCTTCCCAATAAGATCCCTGTTGATTGTCACCTTCATTTGGACCTTGCCGAATGTTGAACAGGGGAACTGGTTGAGCCCACTGAGACTTCAGACCTACAGAAGTGTGAGATAATAATTTATGTTGCTGAAGCCATTAATTTAGTTGAAATTGTCATGGTGCCAATATAAAACAAATACTTTATTTTATAATGAGACTGGATAATGAAGGGCTTGTGTTGATTTTCAAGGAGATTGAAAAATATATCTCATAAATCTAGTGAAAACATGAAAGTTCTGGGGAGGATGATATTGATAATATCTTTTCTATTTGTATGAGTCCGGTTTTGCACTGCTGTCAAGAACTGCCTGAGACTGGGTAGTTTATAACGGAAAGAGGTTTTAACTGACTCACAGTTCTGCATGTCTGGGGAGGCCTCAGGAAGCTGACAATCATGGCGGAAGGTGAAGGGGAAGCAGGCACCTTCTTCACAAGGTGGCAGAAGAGATGGAAGTAGGAGCACAGGAAAAAACTGCCTCTTTTAAAACCAAAAGATTTCGTGAGACTCTCTATCACGAGAACAGTATGGGAGAAACCACCCCCCACCCCATAATCCTATCACTTCCCTCCCTCAACACGTGGGAGTGGGTGGGGACACAGAACCAAAGCATAGCAGCATTTATGTCAATTCTGCTACATCATTCCTGTTAGATCATCTCTCTCCGTTTTGTTTTCCTAGGATAGCCCATTGCTTGTATTAAAATCATTTCTAGGTATAAACTTTATTCTCAGTAAAACCTTGAAAATGTGAATATACCTGGCATTTTTACTTCCTCAATACGTAGGAAAATTCTGTACAAAGCCAAAATTCTTCTTTTGATTGCCCTCATAATATAGGAAAAAAAGATGGAAATATAAATATTTTATATGAAAACTAAAATCTTCTGATATGGCCTCAAGGCATGTTGGTCAGCCTCATCCCTTTCACAAACTGACATCAGTGACTGTTACTCTCAGTTTCCTTCCTTGTTTACTCACATACACTCTCCCTATTCCTCCCCCAAAATCATTACTTCTAGTTAAAATAGATCTTTCTTTCCATTTTTCATTCTTGTCACCATTTTCAGGAAAGAGCTATTGCCCCTTTCTTTGATCAAAGGCAACTCCCCAAGTACAATGTTTTTTTCTTGCCTGAGGGAGGTTATTTTTTCATGTTGGAAAGAAATGAAAGATTAGAAACCAAACCACACACATTCTTGCACACTGCAGTCACCAAGGAGGTAACTTTCCACCATTACTTGAGACAAATGCGTGTGTGCATTTTTAATCTAGTCTGACCTCAGAGGCTCTAAATAGATGAAGAAATACGTGTGTAATTGAAAAAAAAAAACTGTTCTCTCAGCCATTATTCAAATGACACTAACTCAAATAACAAATCTTAAAGCTCTTTAAAATGTAAAAACATTTTCTTGGTGGAACATCAAATGATAGCTTATTCACATTAAAATCCATAATTACAACAAGCCCCAGTGAACAGGTCTGGCTATTTTTCATTGAAAACAAAAAAGTATAACAATCATAGAACACCTGAATTTATTGGCTTTAATTAAGCGTGTTTGTTCTAAACTGATGTAATTTGGGCACAATCCATAGAAAAGAAAATATATTGTATATTCAGTACTGATTTGCCTGTCCATATAAGAATATTTACAGTCTAGTGAAAATTAGCCTGATGTTATATACAGAAAAGTATAAAACCTCTAATAACATTATTTTTTTTCATTTAAAGGCAAAGGTTTAAAATAAACTTTATATATTATAAAGTCAGTTAAAGTTATTTTTATTTCTCTTAACTAAATACATTGAGATATTAGAAGCAAAAATATAAATTTCTGAAATTGTATACATTATCAAAACAATTTCACTGAAGAATAGGGTTTAGATCAGGAATCAGAGTGTTTCTAAGAAGCCTATTGTTTACTTTCCTCCACCTATTATAAGTAACTAATAAAATATTTTTGCTACGTTTGAAATATTAAACTAATATTAAACATAACTGAACCAACTCAATGGATGAACTCTACCATTGAGGTAGGTCTATGTAACATATTTGTGATTATAGCAATAAAAGAAATGCATTTCAATTTTTTTTCAGTTTCTACTATATACTAGCTAATGGATTAGCTTTGTAGTAGTAAGTTGAAGAATGGGAAGCAGAAATAGAGTTGAAAAGATAATGAGATTTATTAAGTCCATGCTGTGGACTAGGTGTATGATGGACTTTCTGTACATATTTATTTATACAAGAATCTTATAAATTAAAAATTATCCTCACTTAATATATAAGAAAATTGAGACTCAGACAAGTAAAATAACTCATTCAAGGTTACATAAGTGGGTTTTCAATCCTTATTCGTCTAGTTCCAGTACCCATGACCTGGCTCTCTGGAAGGGAAACAAACTGAGGAAGAGAAAAAGTAAAATAAGCAGTGAAGGCAGAAATTGCTAAACTCTGTAGTGCTATCAGGGGCACATGGGCATCTTCCTGGAACTAGCACTACCAGAGTGTAGCCCTCTCCCTACATCAACACCATTTCTTCTTAGTGAGCTATAGAGAAACTTAGAAGGCAAGACCTCAACTGCCTAAGTGGACATAAATGTAAAATTTTTATGTCTTGTGCAGGTCCTGACTCAGAGTGAAGAACATGAGGCCCTTGCTGCCTCAGGTGAGGAACATAAAGGGATGTCAAATAAACTCAGTAATCAAGGTAAATGATAATGTAATATTTTATTAAATCAAAATTAATGCACGAAATCCATGATGAACAACATATTAACATTTTAAATAAAGACAAAATCAATATTACTGAGGTTTTCTTTTGCTTCATGCTTCCATGTGGCTTGGCAATGGTTCTGTGTTGTTACTGATCCTATCAGACCACTGAGCATCTGCTAGAGATGATAATAATAGAGTCAAAGGGTGAGTCAAATAGTGCATTTAAAATTCAGATAATAATCATATTTAATGACTACAGCTTGAGGTTTTAAAATTTCTTCATATGTGTAGGTGTAGTATCTTTATCTATTTTAAAAATTTTCTTCTTTCTTTCTTTCTACTTTTCTTGGAAATTGTCAAAAGTGTATTGTATTAGCCTTTTCAGATATCATACTTTGAAAATATTTATCATGTACTCCTATTTTTTGTTTTTATTTAATAATTTTATGCTCATCAATTCCACCTATATCTTTTCTGCTAGTTAGTCTACACATTAGTTTTCAACTACAAGTTGTTTTTTAAATGTCCAAGTCCTCTCACATTTTGCATGCATATTATAGTTTTTCATATTCTATTTTGTGTTGAAAACTCTTATTTCAAGAGCCTTTACTCAGTAATACTGGATGATGGATAAATTGTGTTGTGGGTGTTCCCATGGATTTTCTTTTGCATATGTGAGTTCCCTATTCCTCTGGGGCGAGTGTAGCTATGTATGTTAATAAACAAAAATGATTCAAGTCATTATAAACAAGATAATATGTGAAGAGTGCAGGCAATGATATCTTGAAAAAGAATAATTGGCACTGACATTGATAACTCAAATTGGAATAAAAGAGAATTAAATGTTCACTATCATGTAGTGATTCCTTAAATTAAGGAAGGATTTGGATGTAGATTTATAGGGGAAACATGTTACCAGGACATTCTTAAGAAAATAAAAGGATGGCTGAAAAAATTATGTAAAACCTGAAGGGTCATTCAAGCAACAAATAGACATAGGAGATCTCAGATAACACCACCCCAAAAATCTAGCCAAAGGATGGGCCAAAATAAGGAGAAAGTAAAAAGAGACATTTTATGAAATGACAGATGAAAAATAAGTCCTATAAAAGCAGCACATAGATTAAGCAACTAAAGAAAACTTCTTGCAGACTATAGAAAAAAAGGCTTAAATTTAAGTAAAACAAGAATAATGCAAGTTACAAAACTCCAGAGGTTGCAGAAGAGAATTAAAAAAAACTGTCCTCACATGATCTCTTATAAAAAGATGTAGACTGGAGCAGTCTAAAAGTAAAATCTGAAGGTAAAATAGAAACCACAGGAACTTCTACCAGTAACTGCACATTTGTAATTGATATCAACTCTCCCATGGAACACAACAACAAAATTTTCTTTGAGACACTAAGTGTTAACAAAGCCATGGGAAATTGCAAAGCCCAGATCCAAGAGATGAGCTTGACATTGAGCATCACTTTTTAGCTCAAGATTTTTACTGATTCTAGGAAGTTAAAAAACAGATCGCAAAACTAAGGAATACTTTTGGCAGTGAAATGCATGTAACTGTGAGTGTGCAAGGGAATGTGGTGGGGAGAATTGGAGCACAGTACCCTCCAGGCTTTGAGTTGGGGGCAAGGACTACACTCGATAAAGACCAGCCCACTCATGGACATAAACCTAGTGTCTGATTATCTGTACACTTATGGATGCATTAAAGTAACCTGCTAGTGTCCTTAGCTTACTGCAAAGAGCAAATGTAATTCTTCTCTAGAGAATGTTAACATTTCCAGGGCTTCAGATTACTCTCAGTTTTTCATGTATAATGCCTAGTACTCAATTTCAAAATACATGTAAATAAATACATGATGAGATATGATGAAGAAATTATTGAAAAAAATGAGGATGATGTGGTTTGGCACTGTGTGGCCCAAATATCATCTTTAATTGTAATCTCCAAGTGTTGAAGGAGGGACTTGGTGGGAGGTAATTGGATCATGGAGGTGGTTTCCTCCATGCTATCCCGTGATAGTGAGGGAGTTGTCATGAGATCTGATGGTTTCAAAAGTGGCAGTTTTGTCAGTGCAATGGATCACACCTGTAATCCCGGCACTTAGGGAGGCTGAGGTGGGTGGATCACTTCAGATCAGTTCAAAACCAGCTGGCCAACATGGCAAAACCCCATCTCTACTAAAAATACAAAAAAATTAGCTTGGTATAGTGGCACACGCCTGTAATCTCAGCTACTCAGGAGACTGAGACAGGGGAATCACTTGAACCTGGGAGGTGGAGGTTGCAGTGAGCCAAGATCACACCACTGCACTCCAGTCTGGGCTACACAGCAAGACTCTGTCTTAAAAAACAAAAAAAGTGGCAGTTTTTCCTGCTCTCTCTCCTGCTGCCATGTAAGATGTGCATTGCTTCTCCTTTACCTTTTGTCATGATTGTATGTTTCCTGAGGCCTCCCCAGCCATGCAGAACTGTGAATCAAGTAAATCATTTTTATTTATAAATTACCCAGTCTCAGGTAGTATCTTTATAGTAATTTGAAAACTGACTGATACAACAGACATATAAGAGAAAAATCAACGAAAAAAGTTTTGCCTGGAAAAAAATAATGAATCTCTTTATAATTGCATAATTATAGTACAGGTGTTCCTCAACTTATGATAGGGTTACATCCTGATAAGCCCAATATAATTGAAAATATCATAAGTAGAAAATGCATTTAATATACCCAACCTGCCAAACATCATCGCTTAGCCTAACCTACCTAAAACATGCTCAGTGCACTAACATTAGCCTACAGTTGGGCAAAATTATCTAACAGAAAGCCTACTTGATCAGCAAGTGTTGAATCTCTCATGTAATGTATTGAATATGGTACGTTATGTTGAAATTGTGATTGTTTTGCAGTATTGTAAAGTTGAAAAATTGTAAGTCAAACCATCATTAAGTCAAGGACTATCCGTATATTTAAATTCTTTTATACAGACACACACACACACACATACATACACACGGAGAAAGAGGGGAAGAGAGTGACAGAAAGATAAACAGTCAGAAAGAAAGAGAGACCAGAAATTACCAGTGTGAGAAATTAATAAAGGAGAGGACATCACTACAGTATCTATAGACATCAAAACAAGTATAAAAGATTTATAGTGGCCCCAGCTAGTGGGATAAGGCAACTAAAAGAAGTTAAATTTGTAAATATTGAAAAGGAAAGGTAAATGCTAATTTGGAGATGGCATGGCTATGTACAAATGTCAAAAATTATCTACAAACAATTAGAAATAAAAGCCAGTTTGGTAAGGTGACTGGATTTATAACAAATGCACAAAAAGCAAAAATCAATTGTATACCTATTACACTTTTTGTTTGATAAAGTAGAAATAATTCATCACAAACAAGGACAGAAAGGAAAGGGAATAAACACATCCTTAAATTGTGTGCCCTAGATGCCTCTCTTGTTTGACCCAAGGCTCAGTCCTGATGAAAATGGCTCATTATTTGTTAGAGAAATTTAAATTAAAACTGTAATGACATACCATTCTACACATACTAGTTTGTCTAACATTAAAAGACTAACAATAACGAATATAAATGAAGATACAGAACAAGGGAAATTCTCATAGACTGTTGGAGAAAAAGTAAATGGATGCAGCTACCCACTTACATATTTATACCACAAGATACAAGCAAGGATGTACATAGCAGCATTATTTGTTTAAAAAAAGATGAATTTTTAAAATTGCATATTGAATATTATTCAGCAATGAAAATGAACAAATTAGAACTACATGTAACAACATAGGTCAAACTCACAATGCATAATGTTAAGCAGTAAAATAAAATAAATGAGTGTGTATTTGTTTCCTGGGGCTGTTGTAACAACTTATCACAAACTTAGTGATTTTAAACAAGATAAATTTATTCTCTCTCAGTTAGAGAGACCAGAACAATATTTGTTTCACTGACCTAAAGTCAAGATGGCAGAAGGGCTATATTCTCAACGGAGACTCCAAAAGATAATCCATTCATGGCCTCTTCCATCCTGTGGGCCTTCCTCTATTTTCAAATCCAGCATCACAGCATCTTCAAACTTCTCTGTTTCTATTGTCCCATTGCCTTCTGCTCCCTCTGTCTCCTTTTTCCAAGGACACTTCTGATGGCATTTAGGGCTCACTCAGATAACCCAGGATGATCTCCTCTCAAATTTCTTTTTTCTTTCTTCTATTTTTTTTTTTTTTTTTGAGACAGAGTCTTGCTCTGCCACCCAGGCTGGAGTGCAATGGTGCGATCTTGGCTTACTGCAACCTCCGCCTCCTGTGTTCAAGTTATTCTCCCTGCCTCAGGCTCTCGAGTAGCTGGGATTACAGGCGCTGCCACTACCACACCCAGCTAACTTTTGTATTTTTGGTAGATACGGGCTTTTCACCATGTTGGCCAGGCTGGTCTCGAACTCCTGACCTCAGGTGAATCCACCTGCCTCAGCCTTTCAAAGTGCTGGGATTACAGACATGAGCCACTGTGCCCGGCCTCAAATATCTTAAATACATCTGCAAATGCCCTACTTCAAATAAAGTCAGGCTCCATGGATTAAGACATGGACATGCCTTTCAGAGGCATTATTGGCCTACCACAGAGTGGGTATATAAATATCAAAACATTAAGAAAAGTAAACTCCAAATAATGGGTATCTTTGAAGACAAATGAAGGAGTAGTAATCTATTTTGCAAAAAAAATGTTATTCTGAGTGGTAGTTGTGGAGGTGTTTGTTTTGTGATAATTCCTTAAGGTGTATACATTTTCTTAGGATTTGACATTACCTATATATGTTTATGCATAAATTATTCATAGATATACATATAATTAAAATTTAAGAAATAAATTATAATGATGCAATCTTCTAATGTTTTTTAATTTTTTTTAAAAATGTGACCTTTTAGGAAATAATGCAGTCACATAGATAAATTTAATACTTCCAATTTAAAAAGCAGATATAGTATTCTTTCATTATAAAATTATTTTTTATCTATTCTGCTAGCTCTCTCTCACTATACATATAGTTATGTATCTTCCATCTATATCCAAACTTTTTGGAATATGAAATTTGAAACACATATAACAATTTTACAGCTATTATAATAATTGTATGTGCTTATTCCTTTTAAACTTGAAAAACACCAAAAAGTGCAAAGAAGAAACAAAAAAAAAATCACCCAAATGAATTCCACCAACTGTTAACATTGGTTATTTCTGAAAATTTGAGGTGATTTATTTTGTTTTCTTTGTACTCTTTGGCATGAAGTATTTTTATAAAATTAGCAAAGTCATTACTATAAAAATCACTGAAATAAAACCTATGTAGAAATTGTAATAATGAAGATAACAAAGAGAGGAATCACTGCTTACATAGCCATTTATTTAGTGCTTCCCATCTACTACGCATTATTCAGTGTGTATTACATTTCGTTTTTCATCATCACAATAATTTTGCAAGATATATACATATATATAAAACAGAATATTGTATCTGTATTTATTATAGATGATAAAACAGAGGTGTTTTGTGAGTTTAAGTGACAGCCAGCAAACAATATTGCTGGGTTATGGTACCCAAGACTTCTGGCTTCAGTGTGAAAAAAAATATTCAATGTTTTCCACCGCCGCTCAGGATAATTCTAATTCAATTATGACTGAATCAGATGGATGTATTGACAATTCAGAAGTGCAGATTATTCAATGAAACCATGTATGTGTGTATGTTTGTTTTCTCCTCAAATCTTGCTCCCCTTCCTCATTCTTTCAACCAACACCTAACACCTCCCTCAAAACACACAATACACACAAACACAACTAATGCCTTGAGAGCTGAGGCCATAGCTGACACATATTTCAACACCAGAGTCTAGCACAGAATCTAGCACTAAAAGTCTCCCCCAGAGTGTTTACTATAAATAAACTAGTGATGAGACTGTAGCTTAAATCCATGACCATCAACTCTGCTGCCACACTTCCAAGCAAGAGTTAGGTCCGTCATTGAAGCTATGTAGTTGTGATTTATGCAGAAGCTTTGTAAAGAAAACCAGAGCTTGGGTAGTGGGTAGAAGTAATCTCTTCTCAATTTCCCCTATGAAGAGATAAACTCATTGCAGTCTATAGCTACCAAACACAGAGGTCACAAGATTTCTGTGACAAGAACTCCCACTGCTATGGTCTTCCACAAATAATGCTAATGGAAACAGAGAGAAAAAACAATTATCAAACAATCCAATAAAGGTCTGACTGCATGCTCTTTTTCAAGATTTTGCATCTGAGGATATCAGAAAGGAAAGCAATTCAGAGGTGCAAATTGCCTAATGTGCAAATCAATAACATGCTGGTCTAATGCTCGATTTCATGAGATTGCTGTTATATAAATGTAGGGAAAAGCAAATAATCAGGAGCCAAAATTGTCTCTTATTGGAGAAAGTTCATAATTAGTTTGCATTTTCACAGAATTCCAAATAGTACTGATTAATTAAGCCAATATGTATTCCAAGCAGCAACAGCTACGAATAGTCAGCCTGTGTGGGGAGAAGCACAAATCCAATGAACTCAAATTTAATACCCCTAATTGTACCAAAGTAAGTAACAGTCAATGACTGAGCATGCAGCCCTTTCCCTGGACAATCTCTAAAATAGTTTTTAACTGAATTTTGTGAACAGTATGTGGAGAAAATCTAAGGAAAAAAACACAGTGAAGGCAAGATTTCCCAAAATGCAAATCAGAAAACATTAAAATAATACTATGAAAGTTTCATTTTCACAATTAGGGTATTTTTCAAGTTCAATTCACTTTCTCATTGTTGTATTTTTCTTTTAATTGTTCAATTTCCAGACATATTTACGCACTTATTTGTAAATCTGTCTAAATTCTAGAAAAAATTTTGCCCATTTGAATGTCATAGAAACAGAAATACAAAAACAATTTTAAGGTATAAATATTCTTGAGGATTTATAACAAAATATTTTTATTCCTTATTCAACTAAAAATATTCCCTTATATCTGTGCCCCAATTAAAATAAAACTGAATAAAATGAATATTTTAAGATAATGGTTTTCAGCATTTTCTTACTTTTTTTGTAAATGGTACAAAACTAAGTAACCAGTTTTCCTTTGCATAAAGAACTGCTCACCACTCTCCAAGAACAGCTGTTTAATTCGGACAAAGAAGAAAATAATACAGATACACCTTTCTCTCCTCCAGAACAAAGCAAAGAGAAAGAGATCAAATTGACAGAGAGTGGGAAGAGAGATGATTTGTTCTTGAAGACAGACATGAAAGGTCAAGATACGAATTTTAGATAGACGGTCTAAGAACTTGAAAAGTGAAAAGATAATCAACTTTGTGATCGAGGTCAGGAGATCGCGACCATCCTGGCTAACACGGTGAAACCCCGTCTCTACTGAAAAATAGAAAAAATTAGCTGGGCGTGGTGGCGGGCGCCTGTAGTCCCAGCTACTCAGGAGGCTGAGACAGGAGGATGGCGTGAAGCCGGGAGGGAGAGCTTGCAGTGACGATCGTGCCACTGCACTCCAGCCTGGGTGACAGAGCGAGACTCCGTCTCAAAAAAAAAAAAAAAGAAAAAGAAAAAGAAAAAAAATCTTTGTGATGTTATATACTTGCAATGTCAGAAAAAATAAGATATTATGCTTCAACTTCAAAACATCGGCTATAGTACTGTAGTTGATGCAAGGGATGTAGATTTTAGGAAGAACAAAGAGACCATGAGCCAGACTTGAGTGCCCTTCCTCCAGGTGTTTTTTTGTCATCTTAATCAAACTAAGGCTCCTGTATATTTGGGATTCATTGCTAGAAGTTTAATCTGCCCCGTTGTTGCCTTTCCTCTGCTTCTTTGTTGCCTGAGAAGTAGACTGATTTATTGATTTTGATTTTTAAGTTCAAGAAGGATATTTTAGTGCCAGGCAAAAGTACCTAATTTATAAGGTGCTGAAAATGTGTGAAGATGCCACCTTTCCACTGAGTTTCTAAAAAACTTAATTGGTCTACTAAAATAATAGCCTTGATTTTGAGGCCTGACTGCCAGGTTACAAAGTGCTAGCTGGCTCAGATCTGTCCCTTTCAAGCTTAATGAACAGTCCTTGTTCAACTTCCAAACGTTCCATATGGTTAGTGCTTGATGGAACACAATATTTTCACCAAGAAAGAGAAGTTCAATACATTTACTCATAACTGCTAACTGAATAGCCTATATAGAGTCAAAATTTAGCCTATGTGTCTCTAATTTTTCTAATTAATTATATATATATATATGGAGAAGTTTTATGTTCATATATATATATATATATATATATATATATATATATATATATTTTGGAGAAATTCTATGTTCACTAGCTACTCTACTCTGGGGAACTTATATAAAATGGGCTGCCAGAACATGCATGATTGATTTGGTTTTGTCACTGATACCCACAAAATCTTGATTTCCCTTGACTTTCTACTCAGCAAGCTAGTAAATAAATTTATTAGTGGCAATATCATAGCACTTTTCTCTGATGAGCTCAAAGTATTTTCCAAACATCTCCTCATTAATCCTTACAATATTTCTATGAAGTTAACTGGCAGAGATATATCTATTTTAAGGTAGAGATCAAATTGTTTTATGGATAGGTGAGTTGTCCAGAATTGTATAGATTATTACTGGGGAAGAAGGAAGAAAATTAGGTTTCCCATATGTCAGATAACCATATAATTTATTCTGCAAACCAGGAAACTTGTGAAAGTGACAGGGACACTATTAATAATGATGCCAGGAGAACACTGACAAACTGAAAATACAACCATGCCACCTATATCCTACTGAATGGAATAGTAAGAAAATCACAATACCTAGTTGAAAGTTGTAAGCCAGAGGATTTGTTTCATTATTTTGAGTTGCTGTAAAATAAAATTCTACTATGAATAGTTTGTTGCATTTACTTCCATTATTTTTATATGTAATTTTTCAAACACACTTGGAATTATAACTTACATGTAATTTTGTATTCAGGATTTTTAATTTGACACTTCAAATTGTTTTGCTAATATACAAGAATGCTTTATAAACATTTACAAATTACCACATTATGTTAACATATATGGATTTACCATAATCAACATAACCATAGTTATTATTTATAATTATTTAGATTTATGAATAGTGCTCCAATGAGATTTTTAGCATACATTTTTCATATAGCTTTAACAATCTCCTTAGGATATATATATTTTTGATTGCCTCCAGTTATATTTTTTATCTTTATTTACAATTTATTCTAATTTTTAGGCTTTAAGTTTACCTTTTGGGGGAATTTATTCTTTAATCTTGTTAGAACTTGTTTTGGTGACTGGTAGACGGGAACAATCATGAATGGTGTCATTATTTGTCTTAGTCTGCTCGAACTGCCATCACAAAATACCACAGACTGAGTGGTTTAAACAGAAATGTATTTTCTCACACATCTGGAGGCTGGAAAGTACAAGATCAGGATCTGTGAATGTTTGCTATCTGGTGAGCGTTCTCTTGCAGACAGTCAAGTTCTCTCACTCTGTCCTCACATTGCAGGGAAAGAGATCAAGCTCTCTGGTGTCTATGTTATAAGGGAACTAATTCCATCATGAGAACCCTGACCTCATGACATCATCTAAACCTTGTTACTTCCCAAAGGCCCTGTACCAAAACACCATCACATAAATTCTGAATTTTGGATTAAATTACATCTATCTCATTATAATACTATTCTATTAATATTATTTAATTGGTAATATATGTTGAAGTTTCTGGAGATTATTGTTTTTCTATTAACATGATAAATTATAGTAAACTATTTCCTAATAGTCATCCATTCTTGCTTACTAACATGAACACTACTTGATTATGAAGTATGATTTTAATGGGATTGCAACTTTTAATTGTAAAGTACAGCTTTAGAATATTTGCAGTAATATTTATTAGGGAATAGGCCTGTATTTTATTGTGTGTAGTGTATATGAGAGAGACGAAGGGAAAGGGATGGGAAGAGAACACATGTGTTCAGCTGTGGTCAAGTTTAGAATAAATACAATATTTATTCATAAATATATTTGGAAGTATTTTTATTTTCTTTACATGGAAACATTTAAAGCTATGGATTTCTCCTTTCCCTCTCACTGTCACTCTCGCTCTGTTTGTGTGTGCACACACGTGTGTGCATGCATCATTTAGCCCTGCTGACTGATACACCTGGTTATTTATGATCAAAAGCCAGACATTGACCTAAGAGAAAAAGTCTTTAGATGGGATCTCCCTCCAAAGAAATTGTAGTTTTCTTCTGGCTTAGAGGTAGATCCTCTTGGTCCAATCAGACTGAAATGCCTTGAGGCTAGATTTCAGTCTTTGTGTCAGCTGGTGCATTTCTAGTTTGCCTTTTCAGCTAGGGATTAGCTTTTTAGGGATCTCAATGCCTAGGGAGATTTCTAGGTCCTCTGTTCTTGTTGAACTCCGATTTTGTCTATCCTTTTGCTGAGCGGTCTGCTTAACTTCCTTTTAGTCGGGTAGCTCCATTTTATGCTAAGCTTCTTAGTTGCTCACCTTCTGCAACTAAAGAATCAGAAAATGTTGTGAAGGAAAAACAAAACGAAATTGTTTTGTTTCTGCTGGCCCTTTATCAAGCCCTGGCCACCATGATAGTCATGAATTCCAATTCTTGTCTATGCAGGCCTATCAGATTTCTAACATCTCTGAGCTACCATTTTCTTCTTAGCTATCTGCTCAGCAAATGTATCCAAATGAAAGGTTGTGGAGAATGTTGAAATCAATTCAGTGTGTTTCTCTTCTTTCTGAGAGCTTACACACTCAAGTTCTGGATGCTTTGATTGCTATCAGAAGCCCTTAAATAGCTACTTATTTTTAATCAATTTTATCCAGCTTTCATAATTGTTCTTGCCAGGTGGGATGGCCTGATACAAATTAACTTGTCATAGCTAGAATTAGAAGAGGAAAACTTTAAATAGCATTGAGTTATCAGTACTTTCATGTCTTGATACATTTCTTCTTGAAAATGTTCATGCCTGCTGATTTGTCTGTTTGTTTGTTTGTTTTTTTTTTTCTGACAAACTCATGTTTTATTTTTGATGTGTGTGTGTGTGTTTTTTTTTAACAGGGATTTGGGGAATTATTTGAGAAAGCAAAACCAAACAATAACAATAGAAAAACTTCTAATGGTGATGACAGCCTCTTCTTCAGTAATTTCTCACTTCTTGGTACTCCTGTCCTGAAAGATATTAATTTCAAGATAGAAAGAGGACAGTTGTTGGCGGTTGCTGGATCCACTGGAGCAGGCAAGGTAGTCTCTTTTATTCTTCACTATTAAGAACTTAATTTGGTATCCATGTCTCTTTTTTCTTCTAGTTTGTAGTGCTGGAAGGTATTTTTGGATAAATTCTTACATGAGCATTAGGAGAATATATGGGTGTAGTGTCTTGTATAATAGAAATTATTCCACTGATAATTTACTCTAGTTTTTTTATTTCCTCATATTATTTTCCGTGGCTTTTTCTTCCACATCTTTATATTTTGCACCACATTCAACACTGTATCTTGCACATGGTGAGCATTCAATAACTTTATTGAATAAATAAATCATCCATTTTACCCAGTCTTAACCAGAACATTTTTTCAGAGCTGGTCCAGAAAAATCATGACTTACATTTTGCCTTAGTAACCACATAAGCAAAAGGTCCCCATTTTTTTTTCTTTAAAAGTTTTTATTTATTTATTTATTTATTATTATTATACTTTAAGTTTTAGGGTACATGTGCACAATGTGCAGGTTAGTTACATATGTATACATGTGCCATGCTGGTGTGCTTTCTGTTGTGGGGTGGGGGGAGGGGGGAAGGATAGCATTGGGAGATATACCTAATGCTAGATGACGAGTTGGTGTCTGTTTGTTGAGAGGAGAATGTTCAGAATTTTATATCTTCAACATCTTTTTCTGCATTAATAAGATACTGAGATTTTATAACTCTTGTCATTTTGGTCACTTATATTTTCATATGGAAAAAATCATATAATCCAGGGTTTCCAATATATTTGTGTATAATTAAGAAAATGATCTTATCTAATTACTTGATCAATATCTGTGATTATATTTTCATTGCCTTCCAATTTTAATATTTGTTCTCTATTCCTTCTTAATCTGTATTGAGGTTCTGATTAATTATTTTAATGTTGCAAATTGTTTTCACTTTTTCCATAAAATGAGTTCTTGAGTTTATTTCTTTACTGCATCTTTCTATTTTCAAGTCATGAACTTCTGCCTCAATTAAAAAAAAAAACCTCACCATTTCTATGAAATTGTTGTGTTCATATTTTATTTTTTATTTAGTGTATAATTCAGTATAGAATATATAACATTATAAAATATGTAACAATAAGATAAAAAATAAGATACAAAATGTAAGAGGTGTGAGTTTGGAAAATTATACTTGCTGTTATGGTGAAATAACTCTGACCAAATTAACCTTCCAGCAATAAAAATAAAATTGGAAAACTGGATAAAATATACATGGTAACATGTTAGGTCAACTTTGTCTGTCTTCAAACAACTATAAATATTGTTCTACCCTTGTTACTTATTTATTCTTTTCCATTTTGTTTTGCTCGATTTTTTTCTTATACCCATTTATTTGAGTAAATTTTGAAAATATCTGTTCTTCATTTTTGCTGTTTCTAGTGTGGTATATATTTCTCAGATAAAAGGTATTTTCCCTTTTATCTTTCCCTAAACTCACACTACATATATTGCATTTATCTTATATCTGCTTTAAAACCTATTTATGTTTTTTTAGGTCACTTACATCAGAGGAGTTGTATTGGTGCGGGAAGGGGAATTTGATTTAATGAAACAATGCATTAAAAATTTGTATTCACTTTGTGATTCAATGATAGTCAATGTGGCATGTAATTTTTTTCTGTCTATTAATATTATATTGTCTTTGTTGCTTTTCTCTAACATGAAATATATGTTACACAGGCACAGTGCTGGTATCTTTTCTATTATTATCTTTGAGTGGGACTCATTATTGTCTGAGCTATTTATTAAAATGGTGAAGGAAAAGATCAGTAAAGTAAATTATGTCAATAGGCAGTATCAATTTAGGTCTATTTTCCATGAATATTTTCTCAGCACCTGTGGTGTTATGATGTATATTGGTTTTCATCCACAGTTCCTGGCTTATAACTCCCCTAGCACTTGTCTTTTGTTATAATATTGGGTGTGTTAGGCCTCAGGAGCAGGCCTCTCACCTTCTCATGGCCTTTTTTCATTTTTATGTTCCTGCCTTACTGGTTATGGGTCTTAAGACCACCTCAGGAGAGAGTCCCACCCTATACCCTGGAGGGAGGAATGCTGATATCATGAAACTTCCATGAAAATCCAGGAGGACAGGGTTCAGTGAGCTTCTGGGCAGTTGAACACATGTATGTTCCTGGAGGGTGGCCCACCCAGGGATGACATGGAAGCTCTGCTCCCTTCCCCCATGCATTGCTCTAAGTGTCTCTTCATCTATATCCTTTGCAATATCCTTTATAATACACCAGGAAATGTAAGTGTTTCCTTGAGTTCTGTGAGCCACGCCAACAAATGAATCAAACCCAAAGAGGGGGTCATGAGAACCCAACTTGAACCCAGTAGGTCAGAAGTTCAGAGGTCTGGACTTGTGGCTGGTAGGTTGAGGGTGGGCAGTCTTGGGGACTGACCTGTGAGACCTGACACTATCTCCAGGTAGACAGTGTAGTGCCAGAACTGAATTAGAGGACACTCAGCTGGTGTCTGCTCCTTGGTGTATGTATGGAGGAAAAAACCCACACATTTGGTCACAGAAGTCTTCTGTGTTGCTGATTGATCTTTGTGATGTGAGACTAGAGGAAAAGCCTAGAGAGTTTTCTCTACACAGCAACTATATAATCTGTGGGAATATCTCTTTTTACACCTAGCCCTACATCTGTCTGGCTACAGTCATTTATCTGGCCTTGGAAAATGTGACCACAGAATCAGATATACACATGAGATTAAATAATACATGTGTATGTCATTTAAATATCTAGAAAAGTTATGACTTCACCAGGTATGAAGAATATAAAAAGAACTCTGTCAAAAATCATACAGTAAATAGATTTTTGAATTTAATCTAGTACTTAAACAATCAGAGTAGGGAGGTTAGATATTAAAATCAGGCTAAAGATATAGGCAACATGGATCTAGAAAACATGGATTGCATGGCCATTTCACTTAGAGTTCATGGGCTTGGAATCTCTATTAACATAATTTTTACAACGTTAGAATTTGTTCCCATATTAATGAGGGAAAAACAAACAATTACCCTGAGTATCTGAAGCTCCAGATCTCATTTTCCAGTCAAAATCTCTGAGAGGTAAACAACCTGAAAAAGTAGCCACAACTCACTGAGGTGATAACCCCATTTGCTTAAGATAATCTAATTGTTTTATGATTTTTTTATCCCAGGAAAACATTGAAAAAAAGTTTAGAGATGATGAAGTATATGAAAACTATAATATTTATACTTTAGAGATGTGATATTTATTTATAATTGTATTAGTATTTAAATATAGATTAGCATTTTACATTCCAATTTTAAATGTGTAACAGAGTATTTTAGATATTGGGTTTGTTTTTAGTTGAAATTATAAGCAGCTTTACCGAGTTGCTAGTAGTGGTTTAACATTGAAGATAATTTAAGATTCGTGATTTTGTGAGTTTAATTTATTAGCTCTATAAGGGTTGTTTAAGTACTCTGAAAGCTTTATTTGTTAGTTTGATAATTAAAATGTTCACAAAGATAATTGAACATATTAAATTTATAAATGTAGTTTAAAATCTTTAAGGGAGTTTAATTAACTATGTTGTAAATGGACCAAACATTAATCAAAGTCCCCCTTAAAAATAATTTTTAATGTACTAGATTTATAAATAGAACAATAAGATTTCTAATTTAAACTCAAAAATTTTTTAAATTGGTTAACAATTTAACATAATATGCTGCACATTAGTTCAGAATATGAAATCTTATAAGTAGTCCTTTTTACATTCAAGAATCACATTGATAAACATCACCAAATGCCCACTGGTAACCACTATGAAACTCTTTAAGCGATAGGTCCTGTATAAATTTTACTCCTCATGATTTGAAGATTATGCATAAATTCCTTCTTCTTGTTATTTTGTTTCCAATTTAGTCTTTACACAGACAAAACTCCTATAACAGAAAAACTGAAAACAAAGAGGGTGCATTCCTTCACTTGCTTTCTGAGGATGCCCTACTCTAAAAGACAGTAGCTTTCAATAAACTATGTCTTCTTCTCATTGTACTCTGTGACTCACCTTGAATTCTTTCCTGTGTGAGACCCAAGAACCCTCTCTTGAAGTGTGGATCAGGACCCCATTTTCCAGTAACACTAGTACTGTTATAATTAGGTAAATGTTACTCACACGTGAAACATGGAGCATAAATGATTGAATTTCATTTCTACACAACATTCTTTCCCTTAAACTGACAATTTTTAAAAATTTTTGTTTTGTTCATTTTTCTATGTATGTATCAAAGTACCAACTCCAAACTCTAACCCAGTTTTCTAATGAGTCTCATAATGCATTCAGAAGCCTTAGACATTTTATCAGATTTATCTTTTTGAAAATTTTTTTTCTAGATAACTCTAATTTACACAGGTTGCTGTGTACACATACTGTACATCTAAAAACCAGGAGATTCCCTGTACTTTATACCCTACCCTTTCTTCATTTACTTCCTCATTTTAGTGAAACTCTTCTCCAGTAAATTCCTGAGATAGGATGTATTGGATGTAGAGTTTTAGAATCTTGCCATGCTGTAAATGCTTATTATTGGTTCCTCCTATCTGATTTACAGTTTGGTTGGAGATACTATTCTGCATTAGAAATAATTTATTTTGCAATTTATAAGGCTTTGCTTCTCTTCTAGTGACCACTTTTATTTCTCTTCTCTGGAAATTTGAAGTGTCTTCTTTTTTTTTCTTCTGGAGTGTGCTGATTTGTGTGTGTGTGTGTGTGTGTGTGTGTGTGTCTGTGTGTGTGTGTTGGTCTAGGTCTATTTTCACCACTGGCTTGAATTCTGGTGGACACATTCAATCTGAAATTCATACACTTTAACTCTTACCCATTTCATAAAATTATTTATATATATCATACTTCATTGTATTTTTTTCTTTTCCCAAATGCCTGTATTTTGTTGCTGGCCCTATAGGACCAATTATTTAATTCATTAAACTTTCCCTTTCTCATTCCCAACTCTGTTTACACTAACTTTTCTGGAGATGCAGTCAGCTTTACCTTCCAAATCTCCCATTAAGTTATGTATTTCTGCAATAAATTTCTTAATTTTTAAGAATTCTATTTTTTTGAATATCCATTTTATAACACACCTTGTTCTTGTTGTATTATCTTCCCTCTCTGAGAAAATTAATAATTACTTTTTTCCCACACGGTATACACTCTGTTTACTTTCAGGTGTTTTGTTTTTTTTTTGTTTCTGTGTTTGTTATTGGCTGTACCTAGAATCTCGTGATTGTTGGTTATCTGTTTGTGTTGAAAAGCAGTACAATAAACATTTACAGTAAGCTTCAGGTTCTTAAGTAATAATTGTCAACTGTGGCTTCCAGACAGGGCAATCAGGTTGAGAACTTTTCCCAGAAAAGCCCCTCATGACATATCCACTGGTCTATTCCTTTGGGCTGATCATGATCTTCCAACTAGAGTCTTCCAGTCTTCTCTGAGGGTATAAGACTAATAGACTGTTATGTTTTGAATCTAGATAGAGGTGAAAATTGGGGAGATCTAGCTTTCAGTAGTTACTGTTCATTTTGCCCCCCTAATTTATGTATGACCAATGAAGATGATATTGCCAGTACTGAGATTCCCTGCTACCTCTCTAGACAGCAAATGTCTACTTTTCCACCAGCAGAACCTAGAGGCATTCACGAGGCTTGATGGAGTGGGCATTGGAAACAGTCTTTCAACCAGTGTTCCTGGGTTTTAGCCCTACCTTTACTTCTACTTTCAGAGGTATCCTGTGCAACCAATTTACGAACATTTTGTAGAATCAGATTTCCCCGCTACTTACAATTTTGCACTTTTTGGTAAGCTAAGTGAGTTACCAGCCATTTATGGACTTCCTATTTTCAAAACTGTTGCTGTTTTCTTTTTATATCACTTGAATAAGCCATTTGCCATCATGTTATAGTTTCAGGTGGGAAAATAAGTCTCTCTATGTGTTTAACATGCCATATTTGCTCAGGTGTCTGCATCTACTCTCACCATTTTTTGAAGAAAGGTTAAATTGTTATGGCACTAACAACTAGTCTTCATAGTTTGGTTTATAATTTTTAATGGTGTTTATTTTTAACAAAATTGGAGGAGTTTTTTTCTTTGTACGTTGATTTTTCTTTTGGTTTTCAGTTGTTTTAAGAAATAAATGGAGGGAGAGATATGCTTCCTTTGCTCCCATTAACCAAAAGAATAGTTTGAACAACACAGGAATTAACTTTTCCATTAAGTTTAAGAGGACCTACTTGAGACACAGCTGGGCCTTGTGCTTTTAAAGGTGCTATAACTTTATACCAGTTTCATTTTTTTCTATTGTTTGTATCTTCAAATGTTCTCATTTCTCTAGATTTATTTTTATAGTTAAATTTTCCCTAAAAAGTTAACCTCTTCATATATATTTTCAAATATAATGACCAAAAGGTACATATTACATTCTTTTGAAATTTTCAGTTATCCAGTTTTCCATTTTTCTTGTTATATTTTAATAGGCTTTCTCTTTTTTGTCATCTAATTTATTTGTCTTTTCAAAGAAACAATTTTTTGGATTTATTGAAAAATTCCATTCTTGTTGGGATGGGAGAAGATTAAATCCTTCAAATAATAGGCCAGGCATGGTGGCTCACACCTGTAATCCCAGCACTTTGGGAGGCCAAGGTGGGTGGATCACTTGAGGACAGGGGTTCAAGGCCAGCCTGGCCGATATGGTGAAACCCCTTCTCTACTAAAAACACAAAAATACAAAAATTAGCTGGGCATGGTGGCACATGCCTGTAGTCTCAGCTACTTGTGAAACTGAGGCACAAGAAATCACTCAAACCCGGGAGATGGAGGTTGTATTGAGCCAAGATTGTGCCACTGCACTCCAGCCTGGGTGACAGAGCAAGACTCTGTCTCAAACAAACAAACAAACAAACAAAAACAAAACAAAACAAAACAAACTTTAAACAATAGTATATTGTTTTACAGATTATAAGATCAATAGATATTTATTGTAAAATGCACAAATAGTGCAACATTTCTTAAAGTAGACAGTGAAATACCTCATGTTGCCATGTTTCTCCAAGAGGTACTATTGGGCCTTTATACAAAGCAATTCTTCCTTATACAGGACTGTTTGTCTCAATGCACTGTTTGGCCCAATGCATGTTGCATGTGATCTCTACCCTTTACTTGTAAGTGCTTGTCATGTCTCCATCATTGATACAACCAAAAATAACCTCCATTTCCAAAATCACTCCAAAGGAATGGTCCTGAGAAAGAGTTGAAAATTCTCAACTCCTCAGATTAGATCTCTATTAAATAATTGAACAAGTGTGCTAACTAATATTTGCAAAGCTGTTCATTATATAAGTTTATAAAAAATGCAAAGATGGTAATGACTTAAATTTTCAATAGATATGTTTTATGAAAATACTGGTAAAAATTAACATTTTACAGTCATTTTAAATGATGACAAGATATCCAATGTATTTTCAAATGAAATATGAGGTCACTACAAATCATAATTAGCATAATCCCATTTTTTAAGAAGTACACATATGCGTTTTATGAGTGAGAGTATTTCAGTTCTAATTAAATTATTGTCGGTGGATTTCTAAGGAATAGAGGAAATGATGAGGCATGTGGGATTGTAGAGAGAGGGAGATTTCAATTTACATTTAATTCACTCCTGGAGTGTTTGCGTTTTTGTAATAAAACATTATAAAATGTTATATCATTTACAGTATGATCACTTATAAACTTTCATTTCAATTAAAAGGAAATTTTTAAAAAGAGGACTACCAAATAACTACTGCAGCCATTGTAGTTTCATAAATGACTTTTTCCTTCCTTCATGTTGTGTTAATGTGTGCCTGCTAGGTCAAGACCCAGATTTGACACTGTATACAGTCAGGCTATAAGTATCAAAACAGAAGATTACCTATCTGGGTACCCTAGCTTCCCCATTCCTGAGCAAGTTGGGAAGCCATAGGGTCCAACTCTCTCAATATGTACTAATGAAACAGATATTCTTTTGCCAAAGGATATTCTTCTTGATGGTAAAAATATTAGCTAACATTTGTTAGCTGACAAAAATGAAGTATATTAAATATGCTAAGGGAAACTGTGGTTCAAGTGATAGAGATTTTTAATTCTTTTTGAGATCATGTAACTATACATGGTAAGTTTGATTCAGAATAATTTCTGCCAAAATAAAGGATGCTGTTGATGGCCTGCTCATCCCCTGCCTATTGACTATTATTCTCAAACTCAAGCAAAATTAATTTTTAGATAACAGGATA
Organism: Homo sapiens; assembly: GCF_000001405.40. Taxonomy (NCBI): domain Eukaryota; kingdom Metazoa; phylum Chordata; class Mammalia; order Primates; family Hominidae; genus Homo; species Homo sapiens. The sequence continues at coordinate 25,911,180 of NC_000020.11, read as the reverse complement.
AGAAATATGAGTAAGCTCTGCCTTTTGTGGGGCAGGTTGAAAGTATGGAAGAAATTCAGAAAGGACATAGTCAGGAATAGATGAGAAAAGAAAAATATATATTGGCCATTGATATGGTTTGGCTCTGTGTCCCCACCCAAATCTCATCTCGAATTGTAATCCCCACATGTAAAGGAAGGAACCTGGTGGGAGGTGATTGGATCATGGGAGCAGCTTCTCCCATGCTCTTCTCATGATAATGAGTTAAGTCCTCAAGAGATCTGATGGGTTTATAAGTGTTTGACAGTTCCTCCTTCACATGCTTACTTTCTCCCTTGCCTGCCACCATAGAAGACATGTCTGCTTCTCCTCCCACCATCATGGTAAGTTTCCTGAGGCCTCTCCAGCATGCAGAACTGTGAGTAAATTAAACCGTTTTTCCTTTACAAATTACCCAGTCTCAGGAAAGTCTTTTATGACAGTGTGAAAATGGACTAATACAGCCATGAAAAATGAATGATGGTTAAATGGTAGGAATAAGAAAGAACATTCTTGGCCTAGAGAGTACAAAAGGAAAGCCATGGGGTTGGACCTAAAAAGAATACGAAGGAAGAGGAGAGAAGAGTACTCACTGTGCTCAGGAGCTGAATTGGGAAATTTTTTACAAAACCAAGAAATACCAAACTTAGTGAACTATTATGGGACCAGTGAATAAAGAAATATTAAAGCGATGAAAAATAATTTAAGTAAATATGAGAAGAAAAATTAAGAATATCTGTATATTTTTGATCAAAGGATGTAATGATTAAAGTTACATTACAAATTATTCTATCTATGGAATTAATTATGGATTGAAAAGAATAAAAGTCAGACAAACTATAAACTTCTCTCATTCTTTATTTTGGAACTTAAAGAACTTATGTATCTAAGTTAATCAGATATTTTTATGTTATTTTTACAAAAGTACCTATACATTAATTTAGAAAGATTTTTATTGTCTGTTTTCTATAAAAATAAAGTGTAAGATTTTACCACTTCAGATAACATTTGCTATAAGTCAATCTATGTCTTCCAAGAAAATCTCTTGGTCAGGGCTCATACTTCTCCACCATGTTTCAGATTTGATTTCTTTTCAGAGAGGTAAGATTTGTTACTGTGTCCCCTTAAATTGAAATAGACGTAGTTAATGTGGCTATAGTGAGATTCATCTTCAATATCGTAATTGTGTTCTGAAACAGTCATCTTAAAATGAAATATTTTCTCCTCTAACTGGAGTCTTTCATTTACAATTAACTTAAACTTTTAGTCTTTACACTGGAAACTCTTCTTTAAAGAAGATATGACTATTTTGTTCTCATAAAAGCTAGACTCTTGCAGAAGACAGAAACTGCAACGGCAGGAAGATTAGTGTGGATCCTGGAATCTAGAAAGTTGTCTACAGACTAAAACGGTTACAGCAAGAAAGCTCAAAAAGAGAATAATCATTCAGAATAGGAAGAGATAGAAACCCCTAAACAATTAAAATAACAATACCAGGTGTGTATAGTCAGAGGGAGAGATTTTGCCTATATTATTCTGGGGAAAGAAATAAAATATTTCTGTATAACATCATAGAAATGTAAATGGAGATGTTAAACTTCTCTGATGGGTAGTTTGAGAAAAATTTTAAAAATTGAAAAGTTTTTTTTTTTTTTTTTGAGATGGAGTCCCGCTGTGTCATCCAGGCTGGAGTGCAGTGGCGCCATCTCGGCTCACGGCGAGCTCAACCTCCCGGGTTCATGCCATTCTCCTGCCTCAGCCTCTGGAGTAGCGGGACTATAGGCGCCCGCCACCACGCCCGGCTAATTTTGGTTTTTTTTTTGTATTTTTATTAGAGACGGGGTTTCACCGTGTTAGCCAGGATGGTCTCAATCTTCTGACCTCGTGATCCGCCTGCCTCGACCTCCCAAAGTGCTGGGAATACAGGCACAAGCCACCGCACAGGGCCAAGATTATTGTTTTAAAGTGTGAAAATTAATATTGAAATCTTGTGTTTATATAATATGGTGTCCTATAATTTCTGTTTGGAATATAAAATCAGCAACTAATATGTATTTTCAAAGCATTATAAATACAGAGTGCTAAGTTACTTCACTGTGAAAAGTAGTCATATAAAGAATATAATAATTATACTGGATTCTTTTTAAATGGGCTGTCTAACATTATATTAAAAGGTTTCCCCAGTAATTCATTATATCAAAATGCTCCAGGCTGGGCGTGGTGGCTTACACCTGTAATCCCAGCACTTTGGGAGTTCGAGGTGGGCAGATCCCTTGAGGTCAGGAGTTGGAGACCAGCCTGGCCAACATGGTGAAACCCCATCTCTAATAAAATAAAACAAAAAATTAGCTGGGTGTGGTGGTGAGCAACTGTAATCTCAGCTAATCAGGAGGCTGAGACAGGAGAATTGCTTGAACTTGGAAGGCAGAGGTTGCAGTGTGCCAAGATCACACCACCCCACTCCAGCCTGGGTGATAGAGCAAGATTCAGTCTCAAGGGAAAAGAAAAGCTCGAAAAATGTTTGCGTATTTTGGTAAAATTATTCATTGACTATGCTCAGAAATCAAGCAAACTGTCCATATTTCATTTTTAGAAATTACATATTAAAGATCTAAAACAAAGGATAAAATATATGTAAAAATATTTGTATTTCTGGATAAATTAGTTTCCTGAGTTAACTCCTTGATGGTTGACATTGAATCTATTTTAAATTAAACAAGGTGCTGATAAAACAAAAGACAAAGAAAGAAATTAAAAATAAAATTGAAAGATGAAATCAGAGCTTACCAGAGGTAAAATTTCCTCTGACAGCGTAAAAGAGATCTTCATACAAAAAGCAGAATTTATATAGTCTCTTTCCAAAAGACCATAAAACCAATCAGTTAATAGTTGATTTTTATGTGAAAAAGAGAGTGTAAAAGAAAAAATAATGACACCAAAATCCCTTTTAAATTCAAAGAGTCATAAAGTTTCAAAAATGTAATTCAGATAAGAAATTAATGTCAGCCACATTCCTCCACAGTAAAGGTTTGCATCAACTTTTCACCTAATAGTTTTAGCATTCATTAGAAAACTTGCTTTAACCATTATTTTACTAGGTGTTATAACAGGGTACTACATTCTTTCATTTTTTTTCTTCATTTATTAGCTGGAATAATTTCTAAAAGAACATTTCCTCCCAAATGTGTATTGATTACACCAAAACACAGTTTGGACAGGAAAAGCAAGATGAGTAGACAAAAGCTTGATTTTTATTCCCCTCCCCACTTTTCACAATAATAAATTAGTGCTTCAACAAACTTTGGTAATGATTAAAAACTTATTTCCCATAATAAAAATTTTAAATATTTATAAGTAAATGATAAATAATAATTTATCCAGTATTTCATGAGTACTTATAATCAGCCAGGATCCATTCTCCCACACTGCGGGGAAAGGAGCCCAGTTTAAAATTCCTGTCAGGACACCAGCAAGATGATGAAATAGAAAGCCTCAAAGCCCCTCCACCCTCCTCTCCAAGGAGACACCAGCTTGATAATAATACACAGATAAATCCCCTTTGTGAAAAGTACAGAGGAGAATTTAAAGACTCTGGATTCCCTGGTAGGCTTCAAGCCAGGCACATCTAAACCAGCAGGTAAATTTGTTGCACTCACTCATCCTCCCTCAGGAGTACAACGCAATGGAGAGAAAGCTCCAAACTCCCAGCTCATCTCTAGGGAGAGAAATAAAAGTCTAGACCATATGTCCAACATTTTGACTTTTTGGGAGGGCACTAGAACCTATCTACCCTGAATCTAAGTGCTAACAGGAAAGGATGCCAGATTGCATGCCTGCTGATAAAGTCACAGTTTGGACTGTCATTCAATCACCATCATTCCTCCTGTGACTCAGTATAACAAGATTGGGAGAATACTCTACAGTTCCTGATTCCCCCACAGAAATGAAAGAGAATACTGAGACACACATTCAGTGTTCAGACTTCAGGGGAGTTGTCAAGTGATTGTTTTCTGTCTTGCCTGAATTTAAGTGCTAACAGGAAAGCTTTCCAGGTTGGGGATATTAAGAACAAATGAGTTGAGGCAGTTTGGGTTAGCATACATTCACTTATCATACTATCCTTCCCTGGATCAATATGCAATGAGTGGGAGAAAACCCTCAACTCCTGGCTTCCCCTTGGAGAAGGAAAAAGCTGGAGTGTGCATCCAGAATTCCAACTTTTCCCAGTCAGCTTGATGGACTGTTTTCTGTCTGACCGGATACTCTTGATGTCTGAGGACTGCTGAGAACAAAAGAGAGCTAGGGGGTTATAGCAACTCCAGATAACCTACAGTACTATAGATAGATAACAAAGAGAGCAAGAGATTACACACTCCCGAAGAAAGACCTGCAAATTTTTCTAAGAATTTACACACAATTCCAGAGACAATACATTCACGGAAAGATTTGACACATTTCAGAATCTCTAACTGGGCTGACTGGTGAAAGGATTTCCCAGTGCAAAACCAGTCTGTAAAGACAGGGAGAAGTGGTTATTTTTTTCAAATCCTAGAATCGCAGCACAAAATTAAAAGGCACACAAGGAAACAGGGAAACATGGCCCAATAAAAGGACCAAAATAAGTTTCAAATATCAACCCTTCAAAAATGGAGGTATATAAATTATCTGGCAAAGTGACATATCCTGACATATTCTCCATGATAGATCACATGTTAGGTCACAAAACAAGTCTTAACAAATTTAAGACAAAGGAAATCAAGAACCTGTTTTGACCAAAAGTACAATGAAGCAAAAATTCAATAGTAGAAGGAAAACTGAAACATTTACAAATATATGGAAATTAAACAACATACAATTGAACAACCAATGAGTCAAAGAAGAAATCAAAAAGAATATTAGAAAACAAGCTGACAAAATATAAAAAACACAACATAGCAAAACTTAGAAATGCAGCAAAGGCAGGACTAAAGAGGGAAATTTATAGCAATAAATGCCTACCTTAAAAAAGAAGAAAGATCTCAAATAAACAACCTAATTTTACAACTCAAGGAACTAAAAAAGAAGAACTAAGCCCAAACCCAGCAAAAGGAAGGAAATAATAAAGATTAATGCAAATAAAGGATATTTTCACACACATATTTTCATTATAACCAGAAAGTAGAACCAATGCAAGTGAATAGATTTAAAAAAACTGTGGTATTACTATACAATGGAATATGGCAATTAAAAAGAGAAAAGACTCAACCAAATAAAATTAAAAATGAAAAAGTAGACATTGCAATTGATGCCACAGAAATAAGAAAAGATTATAAGAGACTGCTGTGAATGATTATGGTAGTAACTGGATAACCTAGAAAAAAATCAAATTACTGGAAATATACAACCCACGACACTGAATCAAGAAGAAATAAAAATATGAGCAAATCTGTAGCTAGTAAGGTGCTTAAATTAGTAATCAAAAATCTTCCAGCAAAGAAAATCTCAGGTGCAGGTGACTTTACTAGAGAATTCTGCCAACATTTAAGGAAGAATTAATGCCAATATTTCTCAAACATTCCTAAAAAAATTAAAGAAGAAAGAACAATTCTAAACTCTTGTTGTGAAGCTAGCATAACCCTAATATCAAAGCCAGACAATAGCGCTACAAGAAAAAAAATTAAATATTCCTAATGAATGTAGATGCAAAATCCTCAAGAAATACCAGCAAATTGAATTCAACAGCACTATAAAGTATCATCCACCATAATTATGATGGATTTGTTCCTGGAATGCAAGAAGGGTTCAACATGTGCAAATCAATATAATATGCCGCATTAACAAAACAATCAAAATAACATGTTCATCTCTGTAGATGGAGAAAGAGCATTTGACAAAATTCAACATTCTCTCGTTAGAAAAACACTTGAAAAAATAGGAAAAGAAGGAAATTATTCCAACAGAATAAAGGCCGTTTGTAAAAACCCACAGCTCACATCATATTAATGAAGAAAAACTGAAATCTCTTCTTCTAAGATCAGGATCAGGAACAAGGCAAGGACACCTTTATGAAGTACATAAAGTCCTAGCTAAAATAATTAAGCAAGAAAAAGATATAAAAGGCATCCAAATTGGAAAGAAGTAAAATTTTTTCTATTCACAGAAAACATCATCTTATATATATAAAAAACCCTAAAGATTCAACAAAAAGCTCTTAGAAATAATAAAATGAATTCAACAAAGTTGCAGAATTCAAAGTAAAGATTCAAAAAAACACAAACAGCAAACATTCTGAAAAGGAAATTTAGAAAACAATCCATTTGCAATGGCATCAAAATGAATAAAATACTTAGGAATAAACTTAGCCGGTGGGGGAAAGACTTGTACACTGAATACTGCAAAATATTGCTGAAAGAAATTAAGGAAGACACAAGTAAATGGAAAGCCATCTCATTTTCATGAATTGAAAGAATATTTATAAATTCTAATACTAGCCAAAGCAATTCCAATGCTAATTTTAGAGAAATAGAAAGGACAATTCTAAAATCCATATGGAAACACAACAGACCCTGAATATCCAAAACAATCCTAAGAAAGAAAAACAAAATTAGAGGCCTCACATTTTCTGACTTTGAAATGTACTACAAAGCTACAGCAATCCCAATAGTGTGATATTAATGTAAAACTAATCATATAGATGAATGGAAGAGAATGGATTAGTGGAACAGAATAGAAAGCCCATTGGGAGGCCAAGGCGGGCGGATCATCTAAGGTCGGGAGTTCAAGACCAGCCTGGCTAACATGGTGAAACCCCGTCTCTATGGAAAAATACAAAAATTAGCTGGGCATGGTTATGGGCACCTGTAATTCCAGCTACTCGGGAGGCTGAGGTAGGAGAATCGCTTGAACCCAGGAGGAAGAGGTTGCAGTGAGCCAAGATCACACCACTGCACTCCCACCTGGGTTACAGAGCAAGACTCCATCTCAAAAAAGAAAGAAAGAAAGAAAACCCAGAAATAAACCCACATGCATATAGTCAAATGATCTTTGACGAGGGTGACAAAACTATACAATGGAGAAAGGATAATTTCTTCAACAAATATTTTTGGGAAAACTGGATATCCATATGCAAAAGAATGAAAGTGAACCCTTATCTTACACTGTTCACAAATGTTAACTCCAAACGGATTGAAGACTTAAATGTAAGAACTAAAGCTGTAAAACTCCTACAAGAAAGCATAAAGAAAGGCTTTATCACATTGGTCGTGGCAATAGTTCCTTGGATTTGACACCAAAAGCACAGGCAACCAAAGCAAAAATAGGTTAGGGTGATTACATCAAGATAAAATGCTTCTGTGCAAAAAAAGAAACCACAGAGTGAACAGGCAGCCTACAGAATTGGAGAAAATATTTGAAAACTGTATATGTGCTAAGGGCTTAATATCCAAAATATATAAGAAACAACTATAACTCAAAAGCAAATAAACACATAACCCAATTTAAAAATGGCTAAATTCTTAAATAGATATTTTTCAGGAAGACATGCAAATGACCAACAGGGATATAAAAATATACTCAACATCATTAATCATCAGGAAAATGCTAATTAAAATCACAAGAGGATTTATCACCTCATAACTGTATGACCATTTTTTAAAAAAAGAAAATAGCAAGTGTTGATGAAGATGTGGAGAAATTGAATTAGAACCCTATGTACTGTCAGTAGGAATGTAAAATGGTAGAGCCACTATGGAAAACAGTATGGAGGGTCCTCAAAACATTAAAAAATAGACCTACCATATGATGCAGCAATCCCACTTGTGGGCATTTTTCCAAAATAATTGAATAATTCCAAAATAATTGAAAACAAGATCTTGAAGTGATATTTGCATTCCCATATTCATTACAGAATTATTCACAATAGCCAAAAAGTAGAAACAAACTAAAAGTCCATCATCAAATGAACAGATGAAGAAAATATGGTGAGAATATATATATATATATATTTATATATGTATGGTATATATATGTATGGTATATATATAGTATTGTATATATATATGTATGGTTATATATATGATATATATATGTGTATATATATATACACACACACAGTGGAATATTATTCAGCCTTGAAAAGGGAAATTCTGTCATATTTCAAAATGTATCAATCTTAAGGATATTGTGCTAAGTGAAATAAGCCAGACACAAAGACAAATATATCGTGATTCCATTTATATGAGGTATTGAAAGTAGCCAAACACATGGAAACAGAAGATAAAATGGTAGTTGTCAGGGTCTGGAGGAAACAGGAAATCTGGAGTTGCTGTTCACCAGGTGCGGAGTTTCAGTCAAGCGAGATAAAAACATTCTAGATTTCTGCTGTACAACAATGTGTATATCATTAACAAAATGGTCTGCAAACTTAAAATTTTGTTAAGATGGTAGATTTTTTGTTATGTGTTTTTTAATTACAAAAATTTCTGTCTGTATTTAGTTTACATTTTAGTAAGGAAAGACAAATAAGCTACTAAATGGTAATGAAAAATGCTGTAAGGATATCTAGAGCAATAAAAGAAGTTATGGATATGGGAGTATAATTTTAGATAGTGAAGATTTCTGTATTCAAATGCCACATGGAAAAATGACTAAGGGGAATGAGGAGATGAGTCATATGGAATGCCCAAGACACAGAAGGCAGGCAGAGAAAATAACAAGGATAAAGACACTGAAGTAAAATCATGCTTTCTATATTTCAAAACAGCAGCAAGGACACTAGTGTGACAGAGAAGGAATGACCAATGGGAGGCTGCAGATTTTGTCAGAGATATTTTCAAGGCTCAGGATCATACAGGGACTTGTAAGCCTGGAAAGCACTTTGAATTTTATTCAGAATGAGATGAAAAGCCATTGAAAAGTTTTTAAGCAGATGAGTAAAATAATCCACCTTGTATTTTAAGAGGAGCATTCTACCTTCTCTGTGGAATAGAGAGGTGGAAGGGCAAAGCTTGAAGCAGAGAGAGCAGTGAAGAGTGTACTGTAATATTCTTATGTGAGAAATAGTGGAGGGAATGAGAGGTGGTCAGCCTTAAACTGCCATTTGCTCTCTGTATCCGGGCTCAGGGACTTTCAGACTCTCCAGGGATTCCATACAGTTTTTACATTCGTTTCCCAGTTGCAAACATAATCTCTTCACTCTATGAGAACTCTAGATCTGAATCCTTGTTATGAGTCAGGAGTCTACTCTAGTTTACTCTCTTGTCAGTAACTAGACTTGAAATGTTTTGTTATTAATTGATATAGTAATAAGATTGGTTAGAGAAATAGCAAAGAGCGAGCATCCCCATCCTATGACCATATCAGCACCAGAAGAGAAAAACACTTCTACACAGTTTTTCCCTTGGCATAGGCCCTGGTATTCTGTTAGGGAACAGGTTATAAAGTAAATACAAAGGGTCTTTGTACTTACTTTCAGAATGTATTTTCTTTAACATGAAAAGAATCCAAGGCCTTTTTGCTTCTAATTGCTTTTTGTGTATCTACTACCATCCATTGCTAAATTATTGATACGTTTCCTCAAATCTCGGCATGATGTCCTACATTCCAAATTTTCAATAGCTGAAAATTTCACCTTTTCAGTGCCTTCATGTTTATCTTAGTAAAAAGTTGAGAAAGACTGTAATAGAGTTATTTAATCCGATTTTTTTCATCTACCATAATTTTTGAATAAGGAAAAACATCAACAGTTTTTCTCCTTACTTGGCAAATAATTTCCATAGAGAGGAAAAAAAACCAATCAAAACAGGTACAAAATGTAACAAAACCAAAGGACCATGTGAGGTGAAATTTAAAATGAGAAAAATGTCCACATTACTTTGGGCAATGCAACTCCTGGGAAATAGTAACTCAGCAACTGAGAGCTAAATAATTCTACAGGACTAAATATATATTCCGGTACCCAAGGGGAAAATGACATCATAGAGAGGTTAGGTCTATTAAAACATATTTGTAGATGTGTAGGTATAAAAATGCTTTTAGAGATGGGAAGAGAAAAAAACTCATTTGTTTAACAAGTACTGTTGGGTGCTTTTCACTAAAAGAGAAACATCATATATTTATAACACTGAGGATGTAAATTGCAGTACATTTCAAATTACTTGAGAAAATAAAGAAAATATCTGTTTCAAGTCACTGAATAATTCATCCTTACTTAGTGTTTGTCCCTAATTTCTGTGATTTTATGAATAATTCAGAGCAATGATTTTACCTTTCTCTACAGCTGTATTTGGCAAATGTCCACATTATTTTTGTTGCAAAGATGCAGCCAAGTTTCGTAGAATAGGAACAATGTTTAGAATGTATTTTTTCCATAATGAAAAATATTATGAAAGGGGCAACTAAGATATAGCTTACAGGGTTCTCTATTGTGATAACTAAAACAGACTTAGCCTCAAGTAAATCTGACATCTTGCTAACTGTTGGTGGTGAAGGAGAAAGAAGACAACACTGAACCAGACTGGGGAAAGATGAATTCAAATTAGTTAGAGATTTGTCACCCAAAGCAAAACAAATTCAAGCTTGAACTGAGTTGACATTGATAGTTATTATGAACTGCAAATCCCTCAAATTCATACATTGAAATCCTAACTCTCAATGTATTGGTATTAGGAGGTAAACCTTTGGGAGGTAATTAGGTCATGAAGAGGAAACCCTCATCAAAGGAAACTATTGCCCTTCTAAGAAGATATACAAGAGAGTTTTCTCTCCTCCGTGTGAGGATAAAATAAGACAGCCATCTGTAAGTCAGGAAGACAGCCTTCACCAAGAACCCAACCATGCTGACTCCCTGATTTCAGATTTACAGCCTACAGATCTGTGAAAAACAAATTGTTGTTTTAGCCACTCAATCTGTGTTTTCTGTTAGAGCAGCCCACATTGACTAAGAAAATACTAAACCCTTTATTTGATAGACGAAGATAGTGTCAGACAAGGTATCATATGAGTAAAAACCTAAGATTTATGTGTGTTCATTTTACATTGGAGCAGCTACTGAAACTTGAGACCAAAACCACTAGCTAACATCAGTATGCCAACCCAAAACATTTGGGACAGTAATGAAGATACAGCAAATGAATTGTTTAAATATATAATCAAGGCAAAGTTATCATCAGAAATATAGGAAAAAAATCCACTAAATTTGGTTTATGAGAAATTCATGATTCATTGTATAACTTGATACTGGGCTTAAAGCAGCAATCCTAATTCCAGATCTACCTTCAAGTCTGGGTCAGTGTTCTCAAATGCTGCCAGTTTCATGTCAGGACCGGCTTAATATTGAAGGTAACTGAGCATTGCTAATGTCTGACTGGAGCTGAAAGAGGCCAAAAGCAGAGTTATAACTTTTGGAAAACTGACCTGGTGTTAACTTCCATCCCTTCCATTTCAAACGGGAAGGTATCGCAATTAGAAGCTATTAGCAGTCTTATCTAATAACTTGTGGATAATTCCTTTTTTTTCTTTTTTTAAGAGTCAGGGTATCACTCTGTCACCTAGGCTGGAGTGCAGTGGTGCAATTGTTACAGAATCTTTGGGGTGTCGATTTTCTGGTTGGAAAACTGTGGTTGGTGACATCTTTGCCTGAGTTCTTGTCCTGCATCCAGGAAGAATTGTGTAGGTAGACAAGTGAAGGTTTAAAGGAGAGGAGCTTTATTAAGTGTTAGAACAGCTCAGAGGAGATCCATAGTGGGTAGCTCCTCTCTAGGTTGTTCTGTCAAGTGTTCAGCTCTCAGCAGAAAGGGAATCCCTGGAGAGGGTTGCTCCTGTCTGCAGCTGGTGGTTCCCAGACATCTCTGCAGGTCTCTGAAGCATTCAGCAGAGAAAGTAGCTGGCCCTCCCATTGTCTCCAGCTATCAGCAGAAAGGATAACTCCTTCCTGCCTCTAGTCTTCCCTCCTCTGTCTTCTGCCCTGTTCTGGCTGAGTCCTGGGCTTTTATGGATGTCAGAGGGGAGGAAGTGTATGCCCATTGGTCCATGGGCAGCCATGGGGGGGCCCAGGAAAAAGCACCATGAGATTTGCCTCCAGTCTGCAGGACTGGCAGCCTAGCCTGCAGGTGGGGTTTCACTGGGGACCCATCCGCTTCCACACAGGAGCCTGTCTGACTCCGACAGCCATCCATGGCACCCAGGCTGCTGGCATCAAGGGGCACTTGCAGGCCAGTGCCCAGCCACCCTCAGACCCCCTCAGCTTCCCCTCTCATGCTCCTGCTCCTCGGTGTCCAAAGTCCAGAGGGGGCTGAGGTGGCAGGGAACGGGCATGTCAGCACTGCTTCCAATGTGTGCACACTTGGCTGGGCTGTGACAGCACCCTGCTGGGTCCCAACCCCACTCTGAGATCAGAGCACAGAGCCAGGAGGTGGGAGAGGCCAGGCAGCAGGAGGAGGTGCCTCCAAGCCTGCAAGGGGCAAGGGGGGCGTTCCCAGCCTCCCCAAGAGTGCAGGGTTGCCTGAGTCTGCAGCATTGGTTTGGGTGGCTGGGTGGTGGGCTGGGGTGGGGACAGAGCAGGGGAGATGGATAAACTCCTGTCTGCTCCATGGAGTGGGAGGTCCAGGTCTACAGCTACAGCTGCACTTTGGGCAGCTGCAGCAGCACCCAGGGAGCTCCCATTCCAACTCAGAAGGGGCAGGGCTCCCACTTGTCCCCATCCTGCCAACTCCAGGGAGCATACAACCCCAGCCACACTTCTCCCTTGCAGCTGGCATGATGGCAGCAGCCGCTGCCATCAAAATCATAGCTTATTGTAGCCTCAAACTCCTGGGCCCAAGTGATCTTTTTACCTCAGTCTCCCCAATAGCTGGGGCCACAGGCATGTGCCACAATGCCCATCTAATTGTCTTTTATTTTTTGGTAGAGAAGGTGGTCTGGCTATATTGCCCAGGTTAATCTCTAATTCCTGGACTTAAGCAGTCTTCCTGCCTCATCCTCCTACATGGCTGGGATTACAGGCATGAGCGACTGTGCCCAGCTCCTGATAAATCCTTTCTTAATCAAAGTCTTCATCAGCAACCTTACTTACCACTATCTTACCAGATGATCTCAAGTATCCAAAGAAATTAAAAGTAGCTACTGCTGACAAAACTGTTGGGTTCCCTGATATTGTGCAAGAATAAAATTATGCTAGGTCTTCCGTTAGCTAGCTGTTCTTCTGTAACAGTCTCTTTCTATGTATTATTCAAAACTGATGCAACTTTTTAAAGAACTATTCCTAGAAACTTTCTCCCTTCCCAGTCAGAATTAATGTATTATTTATCCATTTAAAGGACTATATAAGTAGGACATGGTTTGGGTATATAACAGCACTTATGGCCATTTACTTTGTGGTTCAGTGATTTCTGTGTGCTTCTGACTTGTATATACTTTCAGCCCTTGTAGATGTAGTGCTGGTAGTTTTCCCAACTTAAATTTATCTTTATCATCCACCTTTATCCACAGTCCTCCTCATGATTAGCACATTGTCAATAAATATTTACTAAGCTGAACTGAAAGTTTTTATTATGCATAAATACTAAGATGTCCATGTCCATGGTCATGCAGGACAGCAGAAGTCCTATTTTTTTTTTTTACCAGTGTATCTATTACTACCAATTGCTTCAAGGTCAGGAGCCAACTCATGTATTAGACATGTAAATCTTGTGAAAATATTCATATTGGAAACAGCATGTAGCAAGTGCAAACAGAACTAAATAAATCCTTAAATTTATCACAGTCCCTTCAAAGTATGAATTCTTCTTCTAGCATTACATCAAATTTGATAAAATCAAAAATATTTTATCTCAATGTTTTAAAAGTGTTGATGCTGTATACATTGAGTTGTTGTACAATTGAATGGAACCCACATTCAAAGTTTTTCCTCAATGTTAAAATTAAATGGTTCTCTCTGTGATTCTTTCTGTTTGCAGTTCTTCTAATTTCATTGTTAGAATTTGCCTCTACTAATGTAATTCATTTGGCATTGCAGACTTTCTGATCTTTTCAAATGTGTATTTTGACAGGTGCCTCAAACATTCATCCTTGGTTTGTGCTGTGGGCTGAAAGTTTATATCTCTCCAAAATTTATATATTGAAATCTAATTCCCAATATGTTGGTGTTAAGATGTGAGGCCAGGCTGGACACAGTGGCTCATACCTGTAATCCCAGCACTTTGGGAGGCCAAAGTGGACAGATCACAAGGTCAGGAGTTCAAGAGCAGCCTGGCCAACATGGTAAAACCCCATCTCTACTAAAAATACAAAAATTAGCCAGCTGTGGTGGCACATGCCTGTAATCCCAGCTACTTGGGAGGCTGAGGCAGGAGAATTGCTTGAACCTGGGAAGCAGAGGTTGCAGTGAGCTGAGATTGTGCCACTGCACTCCAGCCTGGGCAACAGAGCAAGACTCCATCTCAATAAATAAATAAATAAATAAATAAATAAATAAATAAATAAATAAATAAAGAGGGGAGGTCTTTGGGATGTGAGTAGGTTAAGGGGGTAGGGGAGCTGTCATGAATGGGTTAGTCCCCTTATAAAAGAACCCATAGGGAGCTACTTTACCCCTTTTTCCCTTATGCCATGTGAAGATGTAGCAGTAAGTTTGAGAAACAAACCTCACCAGGTAACAACTGTGCTGGCACCTAGATCTTGGGCTTCCCAACCCCCAGAACTGAGAATAATAAATTTGGTTTATAAGTTACCCAGTCTAAGGTAATTTGTTACAGCAGTCCAAATGGACTCAAACAGGTTGTAAACCCTTGAAAAATGAGTATCTGTATTGAATCGCATATTTTAGCCAAAGTTCGCTTGTAGGAATATAGCCTATGGCCAAAGAATTAATAGCTGACTCTCATTTGAATGGCCAAGATTTGCTCTCTATTTCCAGTATTTTATTTTTGTGCCTGTATGTTGGATATAGGCAAATTTTTACACAACAGACCAGAAAAGTTCAATAGTCTTTCATTCTCTGCTTTCACTAACTTCTTTTAAGTATATTTCAACAATTATCTTAATATTGTCACCAGTAGATTAAGTGTACCATTATAAACACTCTATTTCTATTTATTCAAAACTTGAATTGAGCTAGCTGCTAATAACATTTTTTAATTAGCATTGCAACCATATTCACCTACCATATTTTTCCCTCTCCTTTGATTTCTGGGTCATTACTCACTTTCACAATTTGTATGTGACTCACCATTCTATACCTACTTTTGCCTTACCTTAAAACATTTTTTGATTTAATACATTTACATTTTTTCTCCTTTTGCTTTTGGAATTGTATTACTATCATGGGGGATTTTCTTTTCCTTTTTCAAGAGTTTCTCAAAATTCTTGACCAAAGCCCTATCCCCTGAAGTGAATAATATTCTTCACTATATTACCACATCACATGTTTACATCTGGCTAAAGTAAGAAACACTACTCGTGTTCTGTAGCTAATTGATAATTGTTAAAATAAACTTAACAATTGATAACAAATTATAGAAAATGATTATTTTAAGGTTTATACTTGTAATATTTGTAAATAATATGAGTTATCACTTATTTCTGTAGCTAATTGTATGGGGAGCACATGCAGTTAGTGGCATGTTTCTTAACACATTTCTCATATCAAGAATAACAAATACAATGCAGTGGGGAGTGGAGAAAAGAAATTAAATGTGGCTACATCTGTAAGTAACAATTGCAGCCACTTTGTCAAGGGTAAAACAATCGTCCATGAGCTATACAGATTATTTGTCACCAGAATAACTGAATCAAGAGGTTCCAACTCATTAATTTGTTTCATTCCCATATACCTGAACATCTGGGACATGAAGAAATAGTGTGTATGTGTTAATAGGCAAAGCTGTATTAATGACTTCTACCTATTAGAAGCAGTTATCTATTTTCCTGTTACTATCTAATTTTTACACAAAAATACTTCAGATGAATATTGACAGAAATTCAGAAAGAAGTATGGCATAAATTAATATGAAGGTAATGTAGTAATGGCAGAAAGTTACAGCTTAAAAGTTTTTACAGTAGGAAGATTATTGTAATAGTGAGAGCCATGTATAAGTTTGCTTTGAAATGATAATGTACAGCTAAAGAGTATAATGCTCAAATTTTTGTATATGTAGTTTTCATAATTCAACAAGTAGGGTTAAGAGACAATAAGAATTATACAGAATGTTGGGTTTTATTTCACGTCTGTTCCTCTTGTCAGACATTGCCGTCTTTCCCATGTTTCATCAGGTGTTCAGTAAGTTAACAACATTCACTCTGTGAAAAGTACCACATGATTTATTGTATAAATATAGTTGGAAATACACTGTGGTTCCTCATATCCTCAAGCTTATAATTCAGTTTGGAGACTACACTATATAAATGTAGAAATGCCATAATTATGCTTATAAATTGACTTTTTAAAACATGCAAAATAATATGGTAGAAACTGAATACATAAGTATGAGAGTGCCATATAAAATAATGATCAATGCCAGTGGGATTAATCCAGGAAAGTTTCTTGGGGAAGTGAATTCTAAACAGAATTTGGTATATTGTTTATTTAGCACTCATTTTATGTTTTCTAATTATAAGTATAATGTATTCTCATATTCTCAAGGTAATAAATTTGCAAATTTTAAATTAGTAGGAAGAGGAAAAGGAACTAAGATCCCACTGTCCAAAGGTAATCATTATTCAGGTTCTGCTCTTTTCCTTCCATTTGGTTCTCTGATATTTTCTTCATGGTTGCCATTATATTACATATTCAATATTATAACCCACTTTGTGTTTCAGTCAGTGTCTATACATACAACTTTGAATGATACAAATGTCTCATAGAAACTAAGTTTAATCAAATCAAGAAACTAAGTTTAATGCCAGTCTATATCAATGTACCATTTCCTTCTAGCTAAATATTTAGGCTTTTCCAAATTTTGTTAACATAAATAACTCCAAAGATATTTTTGTTAACATTTTCTCTTAGTGTTATTTTCCTAAGGTAGACTTAAACAATTTACTATAATAAATTATAGAAAATGATCATTTTAAGGTTCCTTATACTTGTAATATTTGTAAATAATATGTTATCACCTCTTTTGAATTAGTTATTTCTGCTTGATATTTTATTGCATTGATCAGAATTCCCAGAATTGTAATATAATGCTAATTATTAAATCTTACATTCCTTCTCATGTTAATAGTTATGATTTTGTAAATATGATGCTATTAGCAAATTTTAGATTGGCATCCTTAATATATTAGTCAGGTGTTAGTAATTCCACTTTTCCCTATAACTGTATTTTTCTTTTTAATCAGAAATCACTCTTGAGTTTTGTTCAATAACTTTATGATATTTATTCTGATTTTCATATTACTTTCTATTAACATATTGGTAAGTTTTTCTAAGATTTTCCATATGTTTATCTGAAAGAAGTTCTGTGATTTTCTTCACTGTTGCCATTATCAGATTATGTATCAGATTTACAAAAGTTTTGTTAAAAATTTGTTTCCCACCCATTTTTCTATGTCATTGGACATTTTGTTGACATTTCACATTTCTTGATTATTGAAGGAAATCTATAAGTCCATTGCTTGTAAAGGTTTTTTTGGAGAAAAGTTACTCTTTTTTAGTATATACTACTTTGTTATTGCTGTATTCACCTAATAAAGTTAAATTATCTATTTTATTAAGACTTAAAATATTAATATATCATAGTATCAACTTTAAATACCTTCACATCTGTTGTTATATGCTTTATTTCTAATTTTTAAATGTGTACTTTGTCTCAATTAAATTTTATTGAAACTTATCTATTTTCTTATCGTTTCTTTTTTAAACAAGCCAGTCAGGATTTTGCAATTATATTTTTTATGATTTATGATTTTATTGTTATTGTTACCCTCATATATCTTGCTTTTTTAAATAAATTTTTATAAATTCTTAAATTTGATGCTGTTTATTTTCTTTTTTTTTAGGTAGACCTTTACCTATTCTTTCTTCTCCCACTTACGTTTGAGTCACCTGCAATGTGTCAGCTTCTACATTCCCTGATCCTCCTTGTTGCTTTCCCTTATTTCTTCCTGTAATCCAGGTACGATAATCTTCCAATTGGCTCTCATGGCACCCTACACTTCTGTTATCACAGCACATGCTATTCCATTGTGCAAACGGATGGGCAACTAAGAGCACTTTCAGGACTTTATCATAATGTTTCAAAGTCATATTTTTTTAAGAGACAGGGTTGTGTTCTATCTCCTAGCCTGGGGGAATACAGTAGTGTAATCATGGTTCCCTACAGCCTTGAACTCCTGGATTCAAACAACCCTCCCACCTCAGCCTCTAGAATAACTTGGACTACAAGGGTGTGCAGTCACACCCAGCTAATTTTTTGCTTTTCATTTTTGTAGAGATGAGGTCTCACTCTGTTAACCAGGCTGGTCTTGACCTCCTGACCTCAAGTGATCTTCCCACCTTAGCCTCCCAAAGTACTGAAATTACAGGCATGAGCCACCACAACTGGTCTGAAAATTCTTAATTCCACTCATGGGCTATCTTCTAACTGTTCCCTTCCTCTATTTCTGTCTCCAGTAAATTTCAACTCGTTCTTCAAATCTGGCTTCTAAGTGACCTATTCAGAGATTCTCCAATGTATTCAAGTAAATAAAATAACTGACTTCTGTGTTTTTTCATTTTATTTTATGATTAATATCAAAATATTGAAATAAACAACGTGTCCTAAGTAGGTTTTCTTTCTATCTCAAGTTCTAGATTTTGAAGGCTTTAAAGATAGAAACAACAGAATCAGGTCCTTGAACACAGGAGTTAGTCAGTAAGCATTTGTTGAATAAACAATAACAGGACATCTTTCCACTTTCCTGAAACTCATCAAAGAATTCTTACTCATTCTGATCCATCTTCCCTTATGATGAGACCAAACCACTCACTGTGGTCAACGGCATTCAAAAATAAAAAGTGGGGGATTTCCAGAGGTTAAAAAATGGGACAAAACTATTTGAAATATTCATATATTTATGAACCAATTCATTAAAAAATTCTCACTATTAATATTTGCACATCATTAGGGACCGTGAGTATAGCAGAGAACAAAAAAGAAAAATTTTCCGGCCACATGAAATCTATATTTCAGAGGACAGAAGAAATGGTCTGATAAGAATCAGGAAAGAACATGATATGTCCAGATTAAATCATAACCTTTATGTAGAATAAGAGTGAAATCCCTGTAAGCTATGTTGATATTTGACCAGGCTACTTGAACACTTTTAGATAAGTGCTTTAAAGCTATTGGTGGCTTTTGAACAAGGAACTACTGTGGTTATTGAATTTCATGACAGAGTGCAATAGAAGTGGAAAATGTACATATAAATATTCTCAGGCCCCAATGTGCCATGTCATGGAAACTTTGGAATTTTCTAGATGACAGAGAATAGAAATATGAGACATGACAATGGAAATGATAGTGAAAGGATGAATGTTAAATACACTGCAGAGGAGTAAGAACTGGCTAGAATTGACAAATGATGAGTTAAGCAAGGTATGAAAAAATGAGGAGTCAGGTGAGTAAGAAGGGAGGGGGAATAAAATCATGCATCACTTAATAACAGAGATACTTTCTGAAAAATGCGTTGTTGGGCAATTTCATTTTCCTGCAAACATCATAGAGTGTACTTACACTAACCTAAACTGCAGCCCTCTACTACACAACTAGGCAATATGGTATAGCCTATTGCTCCTAGGCTACAAAACTTTATAGCATGTTACTTTACTCAATACTGTAGGCAATTGTAACACAATGGTAGATATTTGTGTTTCTAAGCAAACATCAACATAGAAAAGGTACAGTAAAATACAGTAAGATAGTCGTATGGGTCTACCATCGTATATACAAGTCTGTCGTTGACGAAACATTGTTATGTGGTGCATGACTGTAATATGGTATCATGTTGAGCAGAAAGTCTCAACCTTCTCAGTTGACGCACAGTGATAAAAACTATAATAAGAAATGTATTACTGATTACAAAATCTCATAATTATGAGTAATTTGTTCTTTCATAAATTTAAGAGAATTTCTCCAGAATAACAACACTCACTTTCATTCCTGTATGCTTGTCTTTAAAAGTAGAAGGAAAACTTGATGAAAGTATGGCTAAAGTTGGAACTTCTCTCTCTTCTACCCTGACTGCAGCATTAGTGACTAATTATAATTTTTATGACTATAACAATTAAATATTTCTCTTTCTGGACTTTACTTTTCCAGAAAGAGAATCTTTGGAAGAAAAGCTGATCTGTGAGGCAGTAAAGGAAAAGTGTTAATGTTTATGCCATATGGACCTTTAGAAGAAAGTCATTTTTTGATGGAAGCTTGCTTGTATCAATACATGCATGCATGGAAACAAATATTCTCTTCTTCCCCATGTCTTTTCTATGCTATCCTATTCCACCAGTCCTGAATTAGTGCTTTTGCTCTGCAGCTAACTCTCTCAAGTTCGTCTTTCTGAAGTCCGAATCTCTCTCTTGAATATTTCCGGCCTCAGTACCTACCCTGTAAATGCACTACACCTGATCCATTTACAGACTAGATAGTTTTTTGGTCCAAAAGATAATTCATGGAAATTCCCTTATAAATGTATATTAATTTATATTACTTTAACAATTGATTTTCATTGATCCTGATGAGGATTGCCTATTAGTTGATTACTATGTGTATTCTGTAAAGATATACATGGCTGGCAGAAAAGAAGATATTTTATGCCATAAAATATTATGAGACAATTTTTTAAAAATAAGACTATGTTTTTCCTGAAACGAGCTATTTCTACAAACATATGCTTTCATGAAATTTTATTTCTCATGATACTTTTATGATTACCTTATTGTATGCTGACTGTATTAATAAAGATAGAGATTCTATGAAGTTTTAAGAGATTTTCTCTCTTTTATTTTTTTTCTTTAAGTTCTGGGACAGAACATGTACAGAACATGCAGGTTTGTTACATAGGTACACATGTGCCATGGTGGTTTGCTGCACCTATCAACCCATCATCTAGGTTTTAAGCCACACATGCATTAGGTATTTATTCTAATGCTCTCCCGCCTCTTGCTCCACACCCCCCGACAGGCCCTGGTGTGAGATATTCCCCTCCATGTGTCCATGTGTTCTCATTGTTCAACTCCCATTAATGAATGAGAAAATGCAGTGTTTGTTTTTCTGTTCCTGTGTTAGTTTGCTGAGAATGGTGGCTTCCAACTTCATCCATGTCCCTGCAAAAGACATGAACTCGTTCTTTTTTATGGCTGCATAGTATTCCATGGTGTATACATGCCACATTTTCTTTATCCAGACTATCATTGATGGACATTTGGATTGGTTCCAATATTTGATATTGTAAATAGTGCTGCAATAAACATATGTGTGAATGTGTCTTTATAGTAGAATGATTTATAATCTATTGGGTATATACCCCATAATGAGATGGCTGGGTGAAATAGTGTTTCTGGCTCTAGATACTTGAGGAATTGCCACACTGTCTTCCACAATGGTGGAACTAATTTACATTCCCACCAACAGTGTAAAAGCATTCCTATTTCTCCACAGCCTTGCCAGAATCTGTTGTTTCTTGACATTTTAATAATCATCATTCTAACTGGCATGAGATGGTATCTCACTGTGGTTTTGATTTGTATTTCTCTAATGACCAGTGATGATGAGTGTTTTTTCATAAGTTTGTTGACTGCATAAATGCCCTTTTCTTTTTTGAGTTGGATTTTTGCTCTTGTTGCCCAAGCTGGAGCAGTTAACAGCACGATCTCGGCTCACTGCAACCTCCGCCTCCTGGGTTCAAGTGATTCTCCTGCCTCAGCCTCCCAAGTAGCTGGGATTACAGGCATGCATCACCATGTCCAGCTAATTTTTTGTATTTTTAGTTGAAACAGGGTTTCACCATGTTAGCCAGGCTGGTCTTGAACTCCTGACCTCAGGTGATCCACCCACCCCGGCCTCCCAAAGTGCTGGGATTATAGGTGTGAGTCACCATGCCCGGCCCTCAATGTCTTCTTTTGAGAAGGGTCTGCTTATATCCTTCACCCACATTTTGATGGGATTGTTTTTTTCTTGTAAATTTGTTTAAGTTCCTTGTAGATTCTGGATATTAGACCTTTGTCCAATGGGTAGATCACAGAAATGTTCTCCCATTCTTTAGGTTGCCAGTTCACACTGATGGTAGTTTCTTTTGCTGTGCATAAGCTTTTTAGTTTAATTAGATTCCATTTGTCAATTTTGGCTTTTGTTGCAATTGCTTTTGGTGTTTTAGTCATAGTCTGCTCATCCCTACATCCTGAATGGTATTGGCTAGGCTTTCTTCTAGGGTTTTTTTGGTTTTAAGTCTTTAATATGTCTTGAGTTAATTTTTGTATAAGATGTAAGGAAGGGGCCCAGTTTCTGTTTTCTGCATATGGCTAGCCAGTTTTCTCAGCACCACTTATGAAATAGGGAATCCTTTCTCTGTTGCTTGCTTTTGTCAGGTTTGTGGAAGACCAGATGGTTGTACATGTGTGGTATTATTTTTGGGGTCTCTGTTCTGTTTCATTGGTCTATATATTTGTTAGGTACCAAAACCATGCTGTTTTCGTTACCATAGCCTTGCAGTACGGTTTGAAGTCAGGTAGCGTGATGCCTCCAACTTTGTTCTTTTTGCTTAGGATTATCTTGGCTATATGGACTCTTTTTTGGTTCCATATGGAATTTAAAGTTTTTTTTTTTTTCTAATTCTGTGAAGAAAGTCAATAGTAGCTTGATAGGAATAGCATTGAATCTATAAATTACATTGAGCAGTATGGCCATTTTCATTATATTGATTCTTCCTATCCATGAGTATGGACTTTTTTTTTCCATTTGTTTGTTTCCTGTGTTATTTTCTTGAGCAGTGGTTTGTAGTTCTCCTTGAAGAGGTCCTTCACGTCCCTTGTAAGTTCTATTCCTTGGTAGTTTATTCTTTGTAGCAATTGTAAATGGGAATTGGCTCATTATTTGGCTCTCTGCTTGTCTATTATTGGTGTATATGAATACATGTGATTTTTTCACTTTGATTTTGCATCCTGATACTTTGCAACTTAAAGAGTTTTGGGTCTGAGACGATGGGGTTTTCTACATATACAGTCATGTCATCTGCAAACAGAGGCAATTTGACTTCCTCTCTTCCTATTGGATACCTTTTATTTCTTTCTCTTGCCTGATTGCCCTGGACAGAACTTCCAATTCTATGCTGAATAGGAGTGGTGAGAGAGGGCATCCTTGTCTTGTGCCAGTTTTCAAAGGGAATGCTTCCACTTTTGTAATAAGTGTTTATTGTGTTGAAGTTTTGTGAAAATAGTAGATTAGGTTTTTCTACCAGTTGCGTATCTTAAAAAATCATTTAGTACTCAGTTTTTACGTTTTAAGTAAAAGAGATCACAAATGACTAATTAAAATAATAATGAGAGTACTATAAGTATTCCAAAATAGTTGTTTCTAGTGGTGATATTTAGGGTGTATATTTGGTTTGGATTTTGTGCATATGTATTTCTAAGTTACCTACAGTGAATACATTTGTGGACATCAAACACTCTATGTTTCCTTTTTTTTTTGTGATAGCTTGTGCCTGACCTAATTCTACATTAGCGAGCAGATTGAAGAAGTGAGGAGACATCAGATAGATGTAGACACTTCACCAAGGAGTCCCCCTGCAGTGCCACAGGGGCAGTAGGCTCACTTATTCCATATCCTTGGCATTTGCAGGGATAGACATACACAGGGAGGCACGGGGAGCTCCTGAGGAGCAAGGGCAGATGGTCAATGGTGGGAAAAAGTTACAGTGCCATAGACCCTCTTTCTTTTAATGGAAACTCAGGGATGGATGGTCTGGCCATAAACTATTAATAGTACCTCTGGGAAATAATAATACTCAATACAGGGCCCATCAAAACTGTTTCTCAAATTTAAAAGAGCCACAGGGTTGCAGAACAGGGACTTAGAAATAGTAGAGGCAATTATATTTAAAATGGATGGTCACAATACCATGATTCTGGGTTAGTATGGTTTGCCTCCTCAGTAAATAAGACATGGAATCATAGCAGTAAAAGTATTTTGAGTCTGGCATTTTACACACAGAAATGTGAATCCATTTTTACATTTAAAAAATGCAAATCAATAGAAAATATGTGGTTTTATACATAGGATTTTGGTTTAAGCACTATATTTTAGTGCACAGTTTTCTACTTAACAAAATATACCTGCATTCAAAACAAATTATTTGCTATGAAGCAGAGAGTGAAATTTATCAGGGTCTTAATATTATAAGTTAAATTTTATATTTTGAGGTTATTACCCTGGTTTGGATTTTGTACATTTACACAACACCTTACAGAAGTGGTTTTCAAGCCACATTCCACAGAATGTCCCTTTTTAAGTCTAAGTAGTATTCCACTGTATATCTATACCACATTTTGTTTATCCATTCCTCTGTCAATGAATGCTTCCACCTTTTGGCTGTCATGAATAATGTTGCTATACACATGAATTTACAAATATCTGTTGAAGTCCCTGCTTTCAATTTTTGTGGGTTTAAACCCAGAAGTGGACTTGCTGACTGACATAGTAATTCTATGTTTCATTTGTATTTATTTATTTATTTATTCATTTATTTATTTATTTTTGAGATGGAGTCTGACTCTCATGGCTCACGGCAACCTCTATCTCCCAGATTCCAATGATTCTGCTGCCTTAGCCTCCTGAGTAGCTGGGATTACCGGCACACAGAACCACGCCCAACTAATTTTTGTATTTTTAGTTGAGACAAGGTTTCAACACGTTGGTCAGGCTGGTCTTGAACTCCTGACCTCGTGATCTGGCTGCCTCGGTGTCCTAAAGTGCTGGGATAACAGGCATGAGCCACTGAGCCCAGCCTATGTTCCATTTGTTTTTAATTTAGGAACCACTGTACTCTTTTCCACCATGACTATATCGCTGTAGAGTCCACGGGCAATGTACAAGAGTTTCGACTTGTTTACATCCTCACCAACATTTGTTATTCCCTGCTTTTTTGATGATTGCCATCTTAATATGTATGAAGTGATATCTTACTATGGTTTTGATTTGCATTTCCTTAGTAATCAGTCATGTTGAGCATCTTTCATGTGCTTGATGGCCACTTGTATATCTTTTTTGGGAAATTCTCTATGTAAGTCCTTTGCCTACTTTTTAATTGGGTTGTTTATTAATTGTTGAGTTGTAAGAATTCTTTATATATTCTGCATATTGATCCCTTATCAAAGATATATTTTGAAATATTTTCTTCCATTCTGCCAGTTGTCCTCTGATTGCACAAAAGTTTTAAATTTTGGTGAAGTCCAATTTACTTATTTTTTTCTTTTGTTACTTATGCTTTTGGTGTCAGAAAGCTTTTAGTTTATAATTTTAACTATATCATGTCTCCTGCCTCATATGTACCACTGGACAAGGTCCCTTTTATGTGCTCAGCTTCTGTCAGAGGTAAATGTATTTTGAAGTGGAGAATGAAGATAATTGCAAAATTGGTCTGGAGAACAAAGGTAATTATGAAAGTTCCAGATACAAGGAGAGAGGGCTCAATATGCCAGCAGTTCTCTACCAATCCATCCTAGTGGTCTTCTTTTAGGATTGCCTAAATAATGCAGGGGATGTGTGCAAGACACACAAGTGTTCCAGAAGCATGTAAACAGGGTACAGAGAAGAGGATAAGATAAAATAAGATGAGCTAAGAATATTAGGAAAGCCCTGTTCAGAAGATTGCCTACAGAGGCAAAAGGGACAGTTTCATTTTGCTGAGGGAAACAGGGTGGTAAGAAGCCTCGTGGGGAAGATCCCCGCTTACCCTGATACAGAGAGGTGTAAAATAACGTAATGGGAGAGCATTAGGCTGAGATAGCTCCCATGGCCTGGGTTCCTACATAGACAAAATGAAACAACCTTAGCCCACCAAGTGGCCCGCTGAGTATTAGCTGTGTAATGAGAGACCTACCACCAGGATAGTTCAAATAATGCAACTGCCCAAATTTTTGCCAAACAAATAATTTCTCTACTTCTACATTCACCCTATAAAAGCCTTCCCTACAAACGCCTCCAGTAGATCCTCCAACCACTTTCAGTTTGGAGCTGGCTGATCCATGAATCTCTGTTTGCTTAAGAAACTCTTTAAAATTTTAATATGCTTAAGTTTATCTATTTTTTTCTCATTTTTAAAAATTGAGATGGGATCTTCCTATGTTGTCCAGGCTGATCTTAAACTCCTGAACTCAAGGGATCCTCCTGCCTCAGCCTCCTGAGTAGCTGGAACTACAGACGTGTGCCTCCACAGCCAGCTTACATTTGTCTTTAAACAAGGGTTTGACCCCTTTCTGAAATGTATTTGTCTTAAGACCTGTACCCTAAGTGATATGGCAGGCTCATTTTAGACCGTTGGACACTTTTGTCTCTGGACCACAATTTGCCCTTTGTGACATGCTCTACTAAGAAATTCAAGTGTAATTCAAGTTAGTTTACCCTCTGCTGATCAGGGGAGATTGCTCTGGGTGCAAATTCAAGACAGGCACTCACACCTTCATTCATACCGCAAATCTCAGCATCACATAATACACCCATGTAATAAACCTGCACAGGTACCCTCCGGAATCTAAAATGAAAGTTGAAATTTCCTAAAATTTTAATCTCATCTTACTAAAAAACAAAGATAAATTTACTTCTTTCCAATGTTGATATACATTATACTGACATACACACTATATTCTATGGTGAATTATATTGATTGAATTTCACATTTTAAACTAACACTGAGTTACTGTGAACAACCCTATTGGGTGATAATGTATTATGTTTTTAATATATTTTAATACAATTTGCAAATATTCTGTTTTAAAATTGCATCTTTGTTCCATAAATAAACAGGTAGAAAATAATAAATGTTTGTATTATTCAAGTGAAGATTATAGTGATCTTTTTGAATATCTACTTAACCTCAGCTAGCTTTAAATTCAGAAATAGCAACTCCATAAAAATTCAACTTATTTCTACCTTATTACTCATACTTGTCTCCTTGAAGAAACTTCATTGCTATCATCCAGTTTAGACTGGGATGTCACAGATCTCTAGACTGAGTAGTATAATACTCACTATTCAAATAAAATCAAATTATTATAATGTTATGACACCTCCAAATACAAAAACGAAGCCCATGGATGTTAGGTTAAGGTATAGAGACAAGTATTCCTACTTACTATCTTTTAGGGCAGACATATATCCCAGCTAAGGTGATTGCAAAATGAAATGGATACCATATTGTGGAAGGGGACTTGAGACTCAGATTGTATTTTCTTTTTTGTTCTTTTTTTTATTATTATACTTTAAGCTTTAGGGTACATGTTCACAATCTTCAGGTTAGTTACATAAGTAGACATGTGCCATGCTGGTGCGCTGCACCCACTAACTCGTCATCTAGCATTAGGTATATCTCCCAAAGCTATCCCACCCCCTCCCCCGACACCACAACAGTCCCTAGAGTGTGATGTTCCCCTTCCTGTGTCCACATATTCTCATTGTTCAATTCCCACCTATGAGTGAAAATATGCGGTGTTTGGTTTTTTGTTCTTGCGATAGTTTACTGCATTCTCAGATTGGATTTTCATTCCAACTCTTACATACACAAGCTGCATGACTCTGGGTAAATTGCATATTCTCTTAGAGTTTCAATTTCTTCATCTGTACAATGGAGGTTAATGCCTATGGGCTATGGCTGATGTAGGGATAAAAGAACCAACAAGGATGCATGGGCAGGGCCTGGTCCATAGAGCAGCTGGCATCAACAAATGGAAGCCCCCTTCCCATCTTGTCTTTGTGTGCACCACAAAATCCAGAATATGTGGGTATAGAAAGTACTCTTACAAGAGACAGAATTGGAAAGTTTTGCAAAAAGAGATTGGAAAGGTGTCACATCTTGTGGCATGAGGATTTGTGGGCATACATTTGAACTTTGTGCTGTGAGATGTCCACAGAACTTCAGTAGCTTAAGAGAACAGTTTAGATGTCATCTTATTCATCTACCATAGAACTTCCTCTTCTTTTCTGAGATTACTAGACAGTAACTTTTACAGCTCTAATAATGCAGTTCTCTCCCAATTGTTTGGACAATTCTAATAGACACAAAGCAGTATTTCACCAGCAGATGCTACTGCAGTTCATATGGTGATTTCAAACTAAGAATCCCTTTAAAGTTATGCAATACATATTTTTTGGAAATAGGTTGAAAGTACTTTAAGATTAAAATCCTATGAAATAGGTTTACAGTAAATAATTATTTGTTGCAATGTCTATCCTAATATCTTATATTCACACATGTATCGGTGTCCTAATAAATATATGTGGTGAGTGAAAGTTACTTGAGGGCAGAGACTGTGCCATATGTTCCCTGCACCGCTGATGCCTATCTCAGCACGTGATGTACAGTAGATGCTCAGTAAATACTTTAACTTAAAAAATGCACTAAGAATAAATCTTAGAAGACATCAAAATACATATGAGTACAATCTGGGGACATGGTCAGGGGCTCGAAATTCAATCTTATTTATTTATTTATTTATTTAGAGACAGAGTCTCACTCTGTCACCCAGGTTGGAGTGGGGTGGCACGATCTCGGCTTACTGCAACCTTCCTCTCCCGGGTTCAAGCGATTCTCCTGCCTCAGCCTCCAGAGTAGCTGGGATTACAGGTGCACAATAACACGCCCAGCTATTTTTTTTTTTTTTTTTTGTATTTTTAGTAGACACAGGGTTTCACCATGTTGGCCAGGCTGGTCTCAAACTCCTGAGCTCAGGCAATCTGCCCACTTTGGTCTCCCAAAATGCTGGGATTATAGGCATCAGCCACCGCGCACAACCACAGAATATTTTAATGTAGCTTCAAAACCCCTTTGCAAATAGGTGTATTCATAACAAGATTCAAACAAGAAAACATTGAGCTTCATATAATAGAGGGGTTCTCCTGGATTTGCATGTGGCCCCATCATTTGTTTGCTGTTGGGCCATGGTCAGGTTACTTAGCTGCTCTCTGCCTCCACATAGGCTTTATGCCTGTGCATCCCTCATCTACAAAATGGGAATAATAAGAATATCTAACAGTTAGAAGTGGAGAAATATATGTAAAGTCCTTTGAAAAGAGCTTGTGAAAGCTCAATTGTCCTCAATAATTGCTCTCAACAATTGTCAGCTATTATTCAATAACAATCATAATCATGAAAATGTATGACTCAAAGAAAGATTCCTACTTCATATCCAGCTTGCCAAAAGAATATCAGACATTGGACCTGTGAAAGGAATGACATTGAGATTTATTTTTACATTGCTAAGTTGGTTTTTTCTTTGCCATTCAATTTCTGCAGTCCCTACTCTAAGTCCAGGGTCCACCTTTTTATTTCTCCTCCTAAGATGTCTTTCCTTCTTGTAAGGTTTTCTTTGCATTAAGAAGGGCCCTTTTCATCCACCCACTCTTTTACCCTTCCCAGAAGTTGGTTAATGGGCACAAAAATACAGTTAGATGGAAAGAACAGAAGAAGTTCTAGTGTTCAATAGTACAGTAGGGTGATGATCGTTAACAATAACTTATTATACATTTCAAAATGGCTAGAGGAAAGATGTGGAATTTTCCTAACACAAATAAATGATAAATGTTTGAGGTGATGGAAATGCAAATTATCTTGATTTGATGACTACACATTGTATGCATGTATCAGAATATCACGTGTACCCTAGAAATAATTATAATTGTCATGTATCAATAAAAACAAAAAGGGCTTATTTCCCTTTCCTTCCTCCCAGCATTCCCTCCTATCCCAGATACGTGTTGCTCCTGGGGCTCTCCTGCCCCACGTTCAGTCAGCACTGAGCCAGCAGGAAGGATCTCTCAGGTCATAACCTGAGATCAACTCTCCACCCCTTCAGGTAATGATCCTCCTGCTCTTAGTCATTTATATCCTTTGCTTCATAGATATTTTGAGTCAAGTGCCATCTAACCGCTGAGCTACATAATATCCCTTGGTTTTTAAAGATAATTAAAAGTGGATTTTAGTAACAATCTTGAGTCATCATAGAAGCTAATGAAGTTGGGGATTCCATGAAGCCATCCAACACATAAAGCCCATTTCCTGGGTCCCTTTTCCTTAGCTCAAGGCCACAAAAATCAGAACATGAATTCCAGCCCACATTTGCATTATGTCTAAATAATGATGAATTATAAATGAAGCTAAAAAATAGCTAAATACATTCTATTCTTCTACTTCAATAAATATACTGCCATAATAACCCACAAGGTCAAAGTCGAGTGTAGAATTCTCTGATTTCTTGGTGCTCTGCATGGGAATGTGGTAGTAAAGGGAGAGCTGATCCTCAACCCCAGGCTAAACTTTTTTCTTTCGTCATAGCTATCCCTTTCCTTACTTGAGAAGCCTTGCATACCCCTGTGTGGGGAACTCCCTAGGCCTCATGCAAGCTCCATACACAATTCTCACCCCTTCAGACAGCAGAGCCTTGGGCACCATTTGGACAAACACAGTTTGCACTTTGAAATGGACCCAGGAAAGAGGCCATGCAGGGTCAGGCACATTTGGCCAGGGGCCTGAGTGCCCAGACAGAGAGGCACCTTCTCAAGCGCAGGATTCAGGGCGGTGGTCCTCTTGCCAAGATCGATGGCTACGATTCCTCCGTGCAATGACGACTGCGTCATGTCTTCTCAGCACACCTTTCATTGAGTCTCAGCCACCGTGGGGAGTTCCACTGAAGCACAGGCTTCCTTTGTGCTGCCAGCAAACTCAAGCTACACTTTCCGCCCCGGGACGTCTCCACTATTGTAGGATTTTGCCTGAGCACAAATACAGCCCAGAAACACTTGCAGGTTAACAGCCTCAGGGGAAGACCTCAACCAGTGTGGGACAGGTGGGCAAATGCTCGAGGCT
The DNA here is from genome assembly GCF_000001405.40 of Homo sapiens. Classification (NCBI taxonomy): domain Eukaryota; kingdom Metazoa; phylum Chordata; class Mammalia; order Primates; family Hominidae; genus Homo; species Homo sapiens. The sequence continues at coordinate 25,880,136 of NC_000020.11, read as the reverse complement.
CATGTTTCAGGTGGACAGTCCTGGATAACTTTCCAGAGCCTCTCGGAAAGTCCTGCAGAAAAAAAGTGCATGGGAGCAGCCTCAGTAGCATGCCATTATTTTGGCTTTATTTTCTTGCCTGGTTCACTCTTCCCACATCTCACTCTTGCTTCTTGGAATCACTTCCCAAATAAACTATCCACACCCAAGTCTTTTCTCCAGCTCTGCTTTCAGGGGTACAGGCACACCTTGGAGATATTGCAGGTTTGGTTCTAGGTCACCACAATAAGGTGAATATCACAATAGAGCAAGTCACATGAAATTTTTTGCAAGTCACAAGAAATTCTTTGCTTTCTGGTGCATATAAAAGTTATGTTGCCAGGCATGGTGGCTCATGCCTGTAATCACAGCACATTGGGAGGCTGAGGCGGGTGGATCACCAGAGGTCAGAAGTTCGAGACCAGCCTGGTCAACATGGGAAAACCCTGTGAAAATACAAAAATGGTGGTAAGCACCTGTATTCCTAACTACTCAAGAGGCTGAGGCAGGAGAATTGTTTGAACCTGGGAGGCAGAGTTTGCAGTGAGACAAGATCACACCACTGCACTCCAACCTGGGCAACAGAGTGAGACTCCATCTCAAAAAAAAAGTTATGTTTAAACTACTGTAGTCAATGAAGTGTGCAATAGCATTATGTCTGAAATATAATGTATATACCTTATTTTGAAAATACTTGATTGCCAAAAAATGCTAACCATCATCTGGGCCTTCAGCAAGTCATCATCATTTTGCTGGTGGATGGTCTTGACTCAGTGTTGATAGCTACTGACTGATCAGGGTGATAGTTGCTGAGGGCTGGAGAGGGTGTGGGAATATCTTAAAATAACATGACAATGCAGTTTGCGGCATTGACTGACTCTTGCTTTCACAAAAGATTTCACGGTAGCATGCTGTACAGTTTGGTAGCATTTTACCCACAGTAGAATTTATAACAAAACTGGAACCTATCCTCTCAAAACCTGCCACTCCTCTATCAACTAAGTTTATGGAATATTCTAAGTCCTTTGTTGTCCTTTCCACAATGTTCACGGCATCTTCACCAGGAGTAGATTCCATCCCAAGAAACCACTTTCTTTGCTCATTCATAATAAGCAACTCTTCATCCATTAAGATTGCAGCAATTTGGCCAGGTGTGGTGGCTCATGCCTGTAATCCCACCACTTTTGTAGGCTGAGGTGAGTAGATCATCTGACGTTGGGAGTTCGAGACCAGCCTGACCAACATGGTGAAACTCTGTCTCTACTAAAAATACAAAATTAGCCAAGTGTTGTGGCACATGCCTACAATACCAGCTACTCGAGAGGCTGAGGCAGGAGAATCGCTTGAAACCAGGAGGCGGAGGTTGCAGTGAGCTGAGATCGCACCATTGCACTCCAGCCTGGGCAACAAGAGCAAAAATCCATCTCAAAAAATATATATATATATTGCTGCAGTTCACTCACATCTTCAGGCTCCACTTGTAATACTACTTCTCTTGCTATCTTCACCACAACTGTGGTTACTTCCTCTGCTAAAGTCTTGAACCCCTCAAAGTCATTTATGAGGGTTGGAATGAACTTCTTCCAAACTCCTATTAATGCTGTTATTTTTACCTCCTCTGGTGAATCATGAATGTTCTTAGTGGCATCTACAATAGTGAATCCATTTATAGAGCACGGGTAGAGTAGATTTGGCATAATTCTTACAAGGTGCCCTAGGATTTATGGAATGGCAAATGAGCATTGGCTTGTAATAAGAGAGTCAGTCTGTCCTATAAATCTTTTTTTTCTCTTGAGATAAGGTCTCACTCTGTTGCCCAGGCTGGATTGCAGTGGCATGATCTTGGCCCACTTCAGACTTGACCTCCTTGACTCAAGCAATCCTCCCACCTCAGCCTCCTGAGTAGCTGGACTAGTAGCATGCACCACCATACATGGCTTATTTTTTTTTATTCATTTATTTTTGGTTAGAGACAGGGTTTCACCATGTTGCCCAGGCTGGTCTCAAACTCCTAAGCTCAATCCATTCTCCCACTTCAACCTCCCAGAGTGCTGGGATTACAGACATGGGCCACCCTGCCTGGCCTCTAAATTCATGTTATGTAGACTGATTTTCATGGTTAAAATGTCCTGAATTGACTGTGGCCTGTTGGGAGGTGGGATGGAGAAAACTACTTACGGAAAATGAAGAAGAAAGGGAAGCACACCAGAAGCAAGAGAGTGTCATCGATTTTTATATCAAGGACTCCATGATAAAGAGAAGGAACAGGTAGCCTGTTTTTGTGGCTGACCATTGGACTGCAGACTGCACCTGCATCTACCATGTTCTTCTGGATACTCCCAGTTTTAAATTTTTGACCTGATATTCATGAACACAGTGCTACTGGTCAGACCCTTGTCCAGGTTTAAGCTTCAGAAAATAAGGTCTTCATGCAGTGGGAGGCCTGGTTAGGGTTATGATTCTTTCCTGGAGCTTCTGCCCCTTCTGACCTGGAGGTAAACTTGGCACCTACAATTTACCTCCACACTTGAACAGCCAAGGATGGGCTGAGCACAAAGGCTCACATCTGTAACTCTAACACTTTGGGAGGCCAAGGAAGGAGGATCGCTTAAGGCCTGGAGTTCAAGACCAGCCTGGGCAATATAGTGAGACCTTGTCCTGTAAAAACAAACAAATGAATAAACAAAACCAAGGATGGATGGGTGGCAGGGAGCAGTTCATCATGGGAAACCATTAATCTGAGAGCTGGAAGGACCCTTAGACCAGCCCCCTATTAACAGATGAGACTCTGCCCTGGGATTATAGCCTGAGGTAATGCATTGAACTTTTCTAGACATATGAAAATAATCAATTCTAAAATCCCCAAGCACACTGCTACTGTTTGCCATTGAATAATGTTTTCCAGTCCAGGTGTGGTGGTTCATGCCTGTAATCCCAACACTTTAGAAGGTTGAGGCAAGTGGATCACCTGAGGTCAGGAGTTCGAGACCAACCTGGCCAACATGGTGAAACCCTGTCTCTACTAAAAATACAAAAAATTAGCAAGCCATCGTGGTGCATGCCTGTAATTCCAGCTGCTTGGGAGACTGAGGCAGGAGAATACTTTGATCCTGGGAGGCAGAGGTTGCAGTGAGCTGAGATTGAACCATTGCACTCCAGCCTGGGCTACAAGACTCAAATTCTGTCTTGAAAATACTAATGATAATAATAATGTTTTCTACAAGCAAGGAGTTACTTTGTACTGGGAACTGGTGTGAAGGGATCCACCATGTGTCAGTTTTTGGATTGATGACAGTTATTTCCAGATCATGGAGGTGGGAATGCTTGTTGTTCATCTTCTATGTTCTTTGTTATATTGATTGATTTTCTTAAAAAGCTAGCATTTTTATTGCAATAAAGTCATAAAAATAAGTAAAATAAAGTAAAATAATCTAAAAAGGCCGAGGGCTGTGGCTCACACCTGTAATCCCAGCACTTTGGGAGGCCGAGGTGGGTGGATCACGTGAGGTCAGGAGTTCAAGACTAGCCTGGCCAACATGGTGAAACCCCATCTCTACTGAAAATACAAAAATTAGCCGGGCATGGTGGCAGGCACCTGTAATCCCAGCTACTCAGGAGGTTGAGGCAACAGAATTTCTTGAACCCGGGAGAAGGTGGTTGCAGTGAGCTGAGATTGTGCCATTGCATTCCAGCCTGGGTGACAAGAGCTAAACTCCGTCTCAAAACAAAACAAAACAAAAATCTAAATGTAATTGAGTTGAATATTTAAACTTTTAATTCACATTTCAAATTAGATTCCAATTCCATTTAAAAGAGCATATCATAGAAGCAAACGTACTCATTTATGTTAAATCTGTGGTTTCATTTAAGCAATTTGTTTTGTGAAGGGACACAAATCCAATCAGATTTTAACAGTGTATAAATATGTATTTATTAATTTACTTACAATGACAATACTCTCAACTCCCCATGTGAATAAAGGAGAGCATCGGATCTGTGTTCTGGGACAGTGTGCACTGTAGGTGTGTGGAAATGCTGATGCCCTCAGCTGTGTGGCAGGCTCAGTGGGACCTGGAGTGCAGGAGCCCCTGGGCCATTCACCTCTGGCCACAAAAGTCATTGCTCATTTACCCCCAACTGCTATAGAAATATTATTTTCAGTGGTTGTTATGATGCAAAAGAAAAGGAGCAGGGAGATTTATTAAAACTTTACATATAAGTTATGTTAGTAAATAAAGTCTACTTTCTTCTGGCTTAACTAAAAATCTATACTAGTATTTATGTCTTTTGGAAATTAGAGGTGCCAATTTAAATATTATGAAGCAAAGCAACTGAGTATTAGGTAAGACAGCCAAGTACAACTGCAGAATTGTAGAGGTTATGTGTTACATGTATAAGAATATTTCATAGCAATAATCTTTTAAGACTCTGTGAAGACACTCCACAGTGAAGCAGAAATTAGAACAGAATTAATAATACTGCGTATGCTCTCAGTTCACCAATTTATCAAAACTAGCTTTATGATTCAGGAGGGTTTCTGCTCTTTTGCAATTTGAAGAAAAGAAAGAATATTTTACTTTTTGACTCTTTAGATTTCCTTCACTAACAGTATTTCCAAGGCTAAGTAAGGGGGTTGCAAGTAACACCAAGAGAAAAAAGCAGTCTTGAGCAACTTTTTAAAAATGGTCTTAAAATATGGAAAATGAAGTCAGGTGTGGTGGCTCACTCTTGTGATCCCAGCATTTTGGGAGCCTGAGGTGGGAGGATTGCTTGAGTTCAAAAGTTTGAGACCAGCCTGGGCAGCATAGCAAGATCCCCATCATTGCAAAATATATTTTTTTTAAAAATTAGCTGGATGTGGTGGTGCATGCCTTAGAGTCCCAGTTACTTGGGAGGCTGAGGTAGGAGGAGCTCCTGAGTCCAGGAGTTCAAGTCTGAAGTGAGCTGTGATTACACCACTGTCCTCAAGCCTGGGCAACAAAATGATACCTCTCTCTCTCTCTCTAATTATATATATATAAATATATATATAAATATATATATATAAATATATATAAATATATATAAATATATATATAAATATATATATAAATATATATATTAATATATATATAAATATATCTATAAATATATATATATAAATATATATATAAATATATATATAAATATATATATAAATATATATATAAATATATATAAATATATATATAAATATATATATATAAATATATATATATATGGAAAAAATGTATATATATGGAAAAGGGAAGGGCCAAGAATATCAAAGACATTGAGGAAGAGGAAAGATTTGTGCTGGCAAATATCAGAACTTTTATAAAGCTACAGCAATTAAGACAGTGTGGTCCTCACTGATAAACTGACTAATGAAACAGAATAGAGAGCTCCCAAGCAAATCTCCACAAATTTAATCTTTGATATGTGATGTAGGTGACATGGCAGATCAGCAAGCAAAGAAAGGACTTTTCAATAAATAGAATAGAAAAATAATGGTTATTGATATAAGAAACAAAATGAAATTATATTCCTGCCTCACTCTATATACAAACATTAAATTCCAGATGGACAAAGACTTACATGTCAGAAACAAAACTTTAAAACTTTTAGTAGAAAATGTAAGTGAATGAGACACAAAAAGCCATTTAACCATTAAAAAAGATTAGACATTTTGACTAACACAAAATTAAGAACTTTTTACATCAAAAAGTGGAAAGATAGGCTGTGCACGGTGTCTCAATCCTGTAATCCCGACAGTACATCACCTGAGGTCAGGAGTTTGAGACCAGGCTGGCCAACATGGTGAAACCCCATCTCTATTAAATACAAGAAATTAGCCAGGCATTAGTGGCAGACACCTGTAATCCCAGCTACTTGGGAAGCTGAGGCACGAGAATGGTCTGAACCCGGGAGGTGGAGGTTGCAGTGAGCCACTGCACTCCAGCCTGAATGACAGAGCCAGACTCTGCACTCCAGCCTGAATGACAGAGCCAGACTCTGTCTCAAAAACAAAAAAAAAAAGAAATTAAAAAATAAAAGTAAAAAGTCAAAAGATAAACTATAAATTAGAGAAGATATTTGCAGTACCTAAAACCTACGAAAGATTAATATCATATCAAATAAGTATAAGGAGCTCCTATGAATTAATTTTAAAAATAGCAACCCAACAGAAAATTGGGAAAAGACATTAATAGGGATTTCACAAAAGGGAAAGCCTGCAAAACATAAAAATTTTCTCAACCTCATTACTAATCAGGGAAATGCACAAGATACTACACATCTATTCTCTCCACAAATATTAAGAAGTTTGACAATACGAAGTGTATTAGTCTATATTCACACTGCTGATAAAGACATACCCGAGACAGGGAAGAAAAAGTGGCTTAATTGGATTAAGATTCCACATGGCTGAGGAGTCCTCAGAGTTATGGCGGTGGATGAACAGCACTTCTTACATGGCAGTGGCAAGAGAATATGAGAAGGAGGCAAAAGAAGCCAAAGACAAAACCACTAACCCATCAGATCTTGTGAGATTTATTCACTATCACAAGAATAGCATGGGAAAGACCAACCCCAAAGATTCAACTACCTCCCCCTGGTTCCCTCCCTGAACACATGGGAATCCTGAGCAATACAATTCAAGTTGAGATGTGGGTAGGGACATAGACAAACCACATCATTCTGCTCCTGGCCCCTCCAAATCTCATGTCCTTACACTTCAAATATGATCATGCCTTCCCAACAGTCCCCCAAAATCTTAACTCATTTCAGCATTAACCCAAATATCCGCTGTCCAAAGTCTCATCTGAGACAAGGCAAGTCTCTTCTGCCTATGACCCTGTAAAATCCAGGTCAAGCTAGTTACTTCCTAGATACAATGGAGGTACAGATAATTGAGTAAACACAGCTGTTCCAAATGGGAGCAATTGGCCAAAAGAAAGGGGTTACAGGACCCATGCAAGTCCAAAATCCAGCAAGATAGTCAAATTTTAAAGCTCCAAAATGATCTCCTTTGACTCCATGTTTCACATCAAGGTCATGCTGATGCAAGAGGTCGGCTCCCACAGCCTTGGGTAGTTCTGCCCCTGTGGCTTTGCAGGGTATAGCCCACCTCGTGGCTGTTTACATGGGCTGATGTTGAGTGCCCGCAGCTTTTCCAGGCTCATGGTGCAAGCTGTCAGTGAATCTACCATTCTGGGGTCTGGAGGAGAGTGGCCCTCTCCTCACAGCTCCACTAGGAAGTGCCCCAGTAGGGACTCTGTGTAGGGACTCCGACCCCACATTTCCCTACTGCACAGCCCTAGCAGAGGTTCTCCATCAGAGCACCACCCCTGCAGCAAACTTCTGCTTGGATATCCAGGTGTTTTCAATCATCCTCTGAAATGTAGGTGGAGGTTTCCAAACCTCAATTCTTGACTTCTATGCATGTGCAGGCTGAAAACAATGTGGAAGCTGCCAAGGCTTGCACTCTCAAGGCCATGGCCTGAGTTCTATGTTGTCCCCTTTCAGCCATGGCTGGAGGGGCTGAAATGCAGAGAAACAAGGCCCTAGGCTACACACAGCACAGTGAACCTGGCCCAGCCCAGAAATCCATTTTATCCTCCTAGGCCCTGGGTTTGTGATGGGAGGGGCTGCTGTGATGACCTATGACATGTCCTGTAGACATTTTCCCCATTGTTTTTGGGATTAACATTCAGCTTCTTGTTACTTATGCAAATTTCTGCAAACACCTTGAATTTATCCTCAGAAAATGGGATTTTCTTCTCTATCACATTGTCAGGCTGCAAATTTTCCAAAACGGTATGCTCTGCTTCCTTTATAAAACCAAAGGCCTTTAACATCACCCAAGTCACCTCTTGAATGCTTTACTGCTTTGAAATTTCTTCCAGCAGATAACCTAAATCATCTCTCTCAAGTTCAAAGTTCCACAAATCTCTAGGACAGAGGCAAAATGCTGCCATTCTCTTTGCTAAAACGTAACGAGAGTTACCTTTGCTCCAGTTCACAACAAGTTCCTCATCTCCATCTGAGACCACCTCAGCCTGGACCTTATTGTTCAAAACACTATCAGCATTTTTGTCAAAGTCATTCAGCAAGCCTCTAGGAGGTTCCAAATTTTCCCACATTTTCCAGTGTTCTTCTGAGCCCTCCAAACTGTTCCACCCTCTGCCTGTTACCAAGTTTCAAAGTCACTTGCACATTTTTGGGTATCTTTTCAGGAGCACCCCACACCACGGGTATCAATTTACTGTATTAGTCTGTTTTCACACTGCTGAAAAAGACATACCCAAGTCTGAGAAGAAAAAGAGATGTAAAGAGAAAGAATTGTAATTGGATTTACAGTGCCACATGGTGGGGGACACCTCAGAGTCATGGCAGGAGGTAAAAGGCCTTCTTACATGGCAGCAGCAAGAGAAAATGAGGAGGAAGCCAAAGCAGAAACTCCTGATAAACCCATCAGATCTCATGAGACTTATTCACTATCATGAGAATAGCACAGGGAAGACTGGTCTCTGTGATTCAATTACCTCACCCTGGGTCCCTCCCATAACGTGGGAATTCTGGGAGATAGAATTCAAGCTGGGATTTGGGTGTGGACACAGCCAAACCATATCACCAATTATGGAGAGACTGTGGATCAACAAGATCATCTCGAACTAATACAGGAGGCGAGAGTTTAAATTAGAACAACTGCTTTGGAAAGCAATTTGGATTATCTTATAAGTTTGAGCATTCTCATATGTTATGGAAAAGTAATACCTCTACAACAGGCCCTGGAGAAACTCTTGCCCATATGTACCAGAAGTAGTAAAAAAAAAAAAAATGCTCATGTAATGCCATTCATAATAGCAAAAATCTGGAAATAAGCCAAATGTTCATTAATAGGAGAATGGGTAAATTAATAGGAGAATGGGTAAATAAATTATATCCTTAAAAACTAAATAATATGTCATTTAGGGTAATCATATGTATGCCATAAAACAAGTTTTTTTTAAAGGAAGAGAATCCTAAACATAAATTCAGGGTAGTAGTTACCCTCGGGCTGAAGGGTGAAAATCAGGAAAAAGGACAGAGGAAGAGCAGATATTAGGGTCAGAACCCTAGTTCTTTGGTTGTGTTGTAAGTTCACAAGTGATTACCATATTGTTCAAATACATTTACACAGACGTCCACGCACAAACAAGGATGAAATAGGAGCCAAGGTATACTATGAGCTAAGGATTATGACTAATCCAATTTTGTGCACTTTAAGCCATTTGAAAAACACAAAAGCAAAACAACAAAATAATTTTTAAGAAATTGAATATAGGGTGCTATGTTCTGAATGTGCCCCCCTAAAATTAATCACCAATGCCATAGGATTAGGAAGAAGGGCTTTTAGGTAGTGATTCAGTCATGAAGGGAGAGTCTTCACGAAAGAGTTTAGGTCCTTACACAAGGACTGGATGGAGTGGGCTTCCCCTGTTTTGCCCTTCTGCCTTCTGCCATGTGAGGACACTGCATCTCTTCCTGAAGACACAGTGCACAAGATACCATCTTGGATGCAGAGACCAGGCCCTCACCAGACACCAATCCTGCTGGCACCTTGATCTTGGACTTCTGCCCTGTGGAAATGTGAGAAATACATTTCTGTTCTTCAGAAATTACCCAGCCTAGTGTATTTTCTTATATAGTAGGACAAACTCATTAAGGCACAATGCCTGTTGTCATTTACTTCTACAATTTTCTTTGTTGCCTCTTTAGCACTGGGTCATTTTGTATTTGATCCTTCATAATATCTCTTACTTTCGGTTTTTCATATTTCTGTTCCAAGTGTATTCTTAGATACACATTTTCCACTATTAGTTAGCCTCAGGGGTTGCCTGGGAGTGTGTGTTTCTGTGCCACCGCTGTAGGACTGTGTGTGTGTGTGTGTGTGTGTGTGTGTGTCTCCCATTCTCTCTTCTCTCTCTGTCTCTCACCCTCTGTGTGTTTCTTTCCCTCTCTCTGTCGGTCTCTGTGTGTGTGTGTTTTTCTGTGTGTATGCCCATGTGCGTGTGTGTCTTTGGACGACTGTGCTCTGTTCGCCAAAATGCGATTTTTTGAATGTTGGCCAGTGTTTGGTGAGCCTCCTTCTGCATCTCTGCCTGGGTCCTGTGGCCGGTTGTCCATCGTTTTCACGGCGGTTCCACTTTGGGTTTGTGAAGGCCTTGATCACTTGAGGAGACGCGTCGGTCCCAGAGCAATCAAAGTCTCATCCGCATCCTGAGCGGCTTCTTTTCTAGGATCAAGGGGACCACACTCCAGCCCAGGACAAAATGCCACAGTAGCTCATTGTCCAGCAGGAGAGGAGCAGACCCACCTCCAAGAAGATGGTTGTACCCTTGCACGGCTCTTCTCTGAGCAATGAAGCCACACCACGATACAATTCTGAAGAGGAAGCCAGGAATTGGAGATGGTGACAATCACTGTCCCTGGAAGGCTGGCCTCTCTGGATAAGTCACGCGTTTCGCACCCCTCCCCTTATGCCCGTGGTGGTGGCAAGGTTCTGTAACCTGCCTGGGCTCTGGCCTCTGCTCTGTCCTCCCTCTTGCCCTGTCTCCCCTGTTTCTGAGGGGCCCAGTTGCCTCTTGGTCTGGCTGAATAACTTCTACGAAGATCACTTCCGAGTCCATCAGGGAGAAACTTCCTGGAGATCCTTGTCATGACTCTTTCTCTCTCCAAACCTGTTTCTGCTGGATTGGGCAGGTCTGATGAGCCTGGAACACTTGGCTTCCATACTTGTCTCAGACAGGGAAGCTTCCTTGGTCTCCTTGTTTCACCTCGTGGGTGGGTGGATTGCCTAGAATGAGCGCTAGGCGATCATGACTGGCCTTGTCTTCCAGGACAGATGGTGTCCCCTTACCTCTGCACGTCCTGTCTCACAAATGAGGGACGTCCTCTCCTCTGCACATAGGTAGACTGACTTCCTGAATCTTTTGGCTGTAATGAATGTCGGGAAACCAAGGGAACTGCACTGGGCCTGGATGGGGTTGGGGCTGGGTGCAGGGGAGGTTGCGTCAGGGCTACCTGGGCGGTGGAGGCTTTGGGGTGGAGTGAATGTTGTAGAAATCTCTTTGCTCCTCTGGTAGGCATTTCAAAATGTGGCTTGCACTGAGGCACAGGACTCCTCCTTGTTCCCAGATGTTCTTTGATTTTCCTTGGCACTAAGGGAAAGGCCACTTGTTCCGCCTTTCCACCGGTCACATGCCTGGAGCCATTGTTGGTTTCGCCATCGCAACATATCCCTCCGGTGACACAAATTCACACCATCTACTGAGGGATACGCCAGTGCCACGCGTGATCGCATTGTCTCCACCTCGGATTCGCACCGACCCTGTTTGCACCTGTCCTGGAAAGCGGTGTCCGCTTGCAGGAGCCCCAGGGCTTTTAGAAGCGGGGCACGCCACTGCTCTTTCAACGGAGGAGGGAGGCAGAGGGCTCACGAATAAGTGAACTTTCAGCTGACATCACTCCTTGAGGGCCATGGGATCATTCTGTGCTGCAGCGAGGCCCTACCTGCGTCACCAGATGTGCTGAGCACATCCTTTCTCACCCGGAGGGGTCCAAACTCGGATCTGAAGAGGAGCCTGAGAACCCAGCAGTGGCTCTGAAGCTCCCCCTCCCTCAGTGGAAGTCGGGTAAAGGACTTGCTGAAGACTGGACTCCTGCGGGTTTGGCCTTCGGACAGTATAGTTAAGGCCCCCTCTCCCATGCCGCCCCAAACTGGACCACGGATCCAGCCGCCGCCGCAGCTGCAGCAGGAGCCCTGCCTTCACTGAGCAGCGGTGGCATTATTTAAAGGGGACGCAGCCTGACTACCAGGAGCTGAGCGCGAGTAGGCCCAGCCAATGCGCATGCGCGAGGCGCGGGCTTCTTCTCCCATCACAGTGGTTCCCACGGTTGTCTTAGAAACCAGTCTCCGAGGCTTGGCAAAGCAGGAGCCCTCCTTGGCAGTGCTTGGGTGTCGGGGCTCTGAGGCTCCGGCCTGACCTCTTCACGGGGTCGACGGGATCGTCTCCGGATGCCAGGAGTCCCAAAGGGCCGACCAGGATGAGGAAACCCCAGGCGGAGTCCGGGGGAAGCAGCACGGCATCCCAGCCTCAGGCCTGCCCGGACGGTGATGGTTGGGGTGAGTCTCCCCAAAAGTCGTGCCGCCGTGATCTCGAGGACAGGTCGGCCTGCGTGCTCCTGGGCTGCTCTCTCACCCGAGGGTCCTTCTCATCCAGAGCAGAACCCCGAAGCCTCAGGGGTTGCGTGGGGGTGTGTGTTTCAATGCCTCTGCTGTATGACTCTGTGTGTGTCTCCCATTCTGTCTTCTCTCTCTACCTCTCAGTCTCTGTGTGTTTCTTTCCCTCTCTCTGTGGGTTTGTGTGTGTGTGACCGAGTGCGTGTGTGTCTTTGGCCGAATGTGCCCTGTGCGCCACAAAGCGGTTTCTTGCATGGCGGCCTGTCTTTGGTGAGCCTCTTTCTGCATCTCTGTCTTGCTCATGAGGCCGGTTGTCAATCGTTTTCACGGCCGCGGATCCGCTTTGGGTGTGTGAAGGCCTGGCCCACGTGAGGAGATGCGTCGGTCCCGGAGCAATTGAAATCTCATCCCCATCCTGAGCGGCCTCTCTCCTAGGACCAAGATGAACACACTGCAGCCGAGGACAAGAGCCCCATAGGAGCTCTTTGTCCGACAGGAGAGCAGAGGTCCCACGTCAGAGAAGATGCTTGTATCTTTTCACGGCTCTTCTCTGAGAAATGAAGCCACACCACGCTACGGTCTGCAAGAGGAAGCCGGGAATGGGAGATGGCAACAATCCCTGTCACTGGAACGCTGGCCTCTCTGGAAAAGCCACGCTTTTGGAACCCCTCCCCTTATGCCCATGGAGGTGGCACGGTGCTATACGCTGCCTGGGCTCCGGCCTCTGCTCTCTCCTCCCTCTCGCTCTGCCTCCCCTGTTTCTCAGGGGCCTGGATGCCTCTCGCTCTCGCCAAATGTCTTCAGCAAAGATGACTTCCCAGTCCGTCAGGGAGACACTACCTGGAGATCCGTGTCATGACTGTTTCTCTCTCCAAACGTGTTTCTGCTGGATTGGGCAGGTCTCATGACCCTGGAGCTCTTGACTTCCATACATGTCTCAGGCAGGGAAGCTTCCTTCTTCTCCACGTTTCCCCTCATGGGTGGGTGGATTGCCTAGAAAGAGCGCTAGGCGACCGTGACTGGCCTTGTCTTCCAGGACAGGTGGTGTCGCATTTCCTCTGCGCTTCCTGTCTCATTCTTGAGGGACATCCTCTTCTCTGCTCCTGGGTGGACTGACTCCCATGACCTTCTGTCCGAAACGAATGTCAGGGAACCAAAGGGACTGGGCTGGGGCTGGGGCTGGGGCTGAGTGTAGCCGAAGTTCCGTCAGGGCTACCAGGGTGGTGGAGGGTTAGAGGTGGGGCGAATTTTGCAGAAACCTCTTTGCTCCTCTGCTAGGCATTTGAAAACATGGCTTGGGTCAGGCACACGCCCCCTGCCACCCCCCGGGTCCCAGGTGTTCTTCGATTTTCCTTGGCATTGTGGGAAAGTTCACTCGTTCCACCCTTCCACCGGCACATGCCTGGACACCACCGTTTCTTTCGCCATCGCTCCGTATGCCTCCGGTGACACACATTCACACCATCTGCTGTGGGATACGCCAGTGCCACGCGTGGTCACATGGTCTCCACATCGGATTTGCCCTGGTTCCTGCCTGCAAGTGTCCTGTAAAGCATGGTGGGCTTTCCGGAGCACCAGGGCTTTTAGAAGCTGGGCAGGCCACTGCTCTTTCAAAGGAGGAGGGAGGCAGAGGGCTGATGGATCAGTGAATTTGCAGCTGACACTAGGCCTTGAGACCTATGGGATCATTCTGTGCTGCAGCGAGGCCCTGCCTGCCTCACCAGATGTGGCGAGCCCATCCTATCTCACTCGGAGTGGGCCAAAATGGGATCTGAAGGGGAGTCCTGAGAACACAGCAGGCGTCCTGAAGCTCCCCCTTCCTCCCAAGGTGGAAGTCAGCTCAAGGAGGTCCTGGGGACAGGACACCTGGGGGTTTGGCCCTGGGACAGGACAAGACACCCGCGGTCGCCTCTCCCACGCCGCCCCAAACTGGAGCCCGGATCCAGCCGCTGCGCAGCGGTGGCATTATTTAAAGAGGACGCAGCCTGCCTGCCAGGAGCGGAGAGCGAGTCGGCCCAGCCAATGCGCATGCGTGAGGTGCGAGCGGCTTCTCCCGTCACAGTGCTTCCCACAGTTGTCTTAGAAACCAGTCTCTGAGGCTCGGCAAAGCAGGAGCCCTCTGTGCCAGTGCTTGTGTGTCGGGGCTCTGAGGCTCCGGCCTGACCTCTCCACGGGGTCGACGGGAAGGTTTCCGGATGCCAGGAGTCGCAAAGGGCCGACCAGGATGAGGAAACCCCAGGCGGAGTCCTGGGGAAGCAGCACGGCATCCCAGCCTCAGGCCTGCCGGGATGGTGTTGGTTGGGTTGAGTCTCCCCAAAAGTCGTGCCGCCGTCAGAGATCTCGAAGACAGGTTGGAATGCGTGCCCCTAGGGTGCTCTCTCACCAGAGGGTCGACAGCAGAACCCCGCAGCCTCAGGGGTTGCCTGGGGGTGTGTGTTTTCATGCCTCTGCTGTATGACTCTGTGTGTGTGTCTGTGTGTGTGTGTGTGTGTGTGTGTGTGTGTATCTGTGTGTCTGTGTGTGTGTCTCCCATTCTCTCTTCTCTCTCTGTCTCTCAATCTCTGTGAGTTTCTTTCCCTCTCTCTGTGGGTTTGTGTGTGTGTGCCCGTGTCCATGTGTGTCTTTGGCCGAATGTGCCCTGTGTGCCACAAAGCGGTTTCTCGCATGGCGGCCTGTCTTTGGTGAGCCTCTTTCTGCATCTTTGCCTGGGTCATGAGGCCGGTTGTCAATCGTTTTCGCGGCCGCGGATCCGCTTTGGGTGTGTGAAGGCCTGGCCCACGTGAGGAGATGCGTCGGTCCTGGAGCAATTGAAATCTCATCCTCATCCTGAGCAGCCTCTTTTCTAGCATCAAGATGAAAACACTGCAGCTGAGGACAAGAGCCCCACAGGAGCTCTTTGTCCCACAGGAGAGCAGCGGACCCACGTCAGAGAAGATGCTTGTATCTTTTCACGGCTCTTCTCTGAGAAATGAAGCCATAGCACGATACAGTCTGCAAGAGGAAGCCGGGAATGGGAGATGGCAACAATCCCTGTCACTGGATCGCTGGTTTCTCTGGACAAGCCACGCTTTTGGATCCCCTCCCCTTATGCCTGTGGCGGTGGCACCGTGCTGTTTCCTGCCTGGGCTCCGGCCTCTGCTCTCTCCTTCTTCTTGCTCTGTCCTGCCTCTGCTCTGTCCTCCCTCTTGCTCCTTCTGCTCTGTCCTCCCTCTTGCTCTGTCTCCCCTGTCCTAGATGCCTCTCTCTCTGGCCACATGTCTTCCCTGTCCATCAGGGACTTCCCAGTCCGTGACTTCCCAGTCTGTCAGGGAGACATTTCCTGGAGATCCCTGTTATGATTGTTTCTCTCTCCAAACCTGTTTCTGCTTGATTGGGCAGATCTCGTGACCGTGGAGCTCTTTGCTCCCATAAGTGTCTCAGACAGGAAAGCTTGCTTGTTCTCCATGTTTCCCTTCATGGGTGCGTGGATTGCCTAGAAGGAGCGCTAGGCGACCGTGACTGGCCTTGTCTTCAAGAACAGGTAGTGTCCCATTTCCTCTGCAATTCCTGTCTCATTGTTGAGGGACACCTCTCCTCTGCTTCTGGGTGGACTGTCTCCCTGGATCTTTTGCCCGTAACGAAAGTCAGGGAACCAAGGTGACTGGGCTGGGTCTGGGGCTGGGGCTGGGGCTGTTGCTGGTGCTGGGGCTGGGGCTTGGTGCAGGGGAGGTTGTGTGAGGGCTACCTGGGCGGTGGAGCTTTGGCCTTGGGGTGAATTTTGCAGAAACCTATTTGTTGCTCTGGCAGGAATTTCAAATTTTGGATCCGGTCAGTCACAAGCCGCCTCCTGTTTCCCAAGTGTTCTTTAATTTTTCATTGCTGTGATGGAAATGTCACTTGACCCTCCCTTCCACCGGGCACATGCCTAGACAGCATCGTTTGTTTCGCCGTCGCCCCACATTCCTCTGGTTACACACATTCAAGCCATCTGCTGTGGGATTGGTCAGTGCCACACGTCAACGCATGGTCTCCACCTGGGATTCGCCCCTGTTCCTGTTTGCACGTGTCCTGTAAATTGCGATTGGCTTCCAGAGCCCCAGGGCTTTTAGAAGCCCGGCAGGCCAGTGTTCTTTAAAAGGAGAAGGGAGGCAGAGGGCTGATGGATCAGTGAAATTTCAGCTGACAGCATGCCTTGAGACCCATGGGATCATTGTGTGCTGCAGCGAGGCCCTGCCTGCCTCACCAGATGTGGTGAGCCCATCCTATCTCACTCGGTGGGGGCCAAAATCAGATCTGAAGGGGAGTCCTGAGAACACAGCAGGCGTCCTGAAGCTCCCCCTCCCTCCCTCGGTGGAAGTCGGCTCAAGGAGTTTCTGAGGACAGGACTCCTGGGGGTTTGGCCGTGGGACAGAAGAAGACACCCGCGGTCCCCTCTCCCACGCCGACCCAAACTGGAGCCCGGATCCAGCCGCCGCCGCGGCTGCAGCAGGAGCCTCCCTGCCGCCGCGCTGCGGTGGCGTTATTTAAAGGGGACGCAGCCTGACCGCCAGGAGCGGAGCGCCAGTCGGGTGGGCCAATGCGCATGCGCGAGGCGCGAGCGCCTTCTCCCGTCACAGTGGTTCCCACGGTTGTCTTAGAAACCAGTCCCCGAGGCTTGGCAAAGCAGGAGCGCTCCGTGGCAGTGCTTGTGTGTCGGGGCTCTGAGGCTCCGGCCTGACCTCTCCTCGGGGTCGACGGGAAGGTCTCCGGATGCCAGGACTCGCAAAGGGCCGACCAGAATGAGGAAATCCCAGGCGGAGTCCGGGGGAGGCAGCACGGCATCCCAGCCTCAGGGCTGCCCGGACGGTGTTGGTTGGGGTGAGTCTCGCCAAAAGTCGTGCCGCGGTGACCTCCAGGACAGGTCGGCCTGAGTACCCCTGCGGTGCTCCCTCACCCGAGTGTCGATCTCGTCAAGAGCAGAACCCCGAAGCCTCAGGGGTTGCCTTGGGGTGTGTGTTTCAATGCCTCTGCTCAAGGACTCTGTGTGTGTGTGTGTGTGTGTGTGTGTGTGTGTGTGTGTGTGTTTGTGTGTCCGTCTGTGAGTGTGTGTGTGTCTCCCATTCTCCCTTCTCTCTCTGTCTCTCAGTCTCTGTGTGTTTCTTTCCCCTCTGTCGGTTTGTGTGTGAGTGCCCATGTGCGTGTGTGTCTTTGGCCGAATGTGCCCTGTGCACCACAAAGCGGTTTCTCGCTTGGCGGCCTGTCTCCTTCTTGAGGGACATCCTCTCCTCTGCTCCTGGGTGGAAAGACTCCCTTGATCTTCCGTCTCAAACGAATGTCAGGGACCCAAAGGGACTTGGCTGGGGCTGGGGCTGTGGCTGTGGCTGGGGCTGGGTGCAGCCGAATTTGCCTCAGGGCTACCAGCGCGGTGGAGGGTTGGGGGTGGGGAGAATTTTGCAGAAACCTCTTTGCTCCTCTGGTAGGCATTTGAAAACGTGGCTTGGGTCAGGCACAGGCGCCCCCACCCGCCGGGTCCCAGGTGGTCTTCGATTTTCCTTTGCATTGATGGATAGGTCACTCGTTCCCCCCTTGCACCGGCACATGCCTGGACACCACCGTTTCTTTCGCTGTCGCCCGGTTTGCCTCCGGTGACACACGTTCACACCATCTGCTGTGGGATACGCCAGTGCCATTCGTGTTCACATGGTCTCCACCTCGCAATCTCCCCTGTTCTTGTTTGCACGAGTCCTGTAAAGCGCGGTCGGCTTTCCTGAGCCCCAGGGCTTTTAGAAGAGGGGTAGGCCACTGCTCTTTCAAAGGAGGAGGGAGGCAGAGGGTTGAAGGATCAGTGAATTTGCAGCGGACACTTGGCCTCGAGACCTATGGGATCATTCTTGGCTGCAGCGAGGCCCTGCCTGCCTCAGCGCATGTGGCGAGCCCATCCTATCTCACTCAGTGGGGGCCGAAATGGGATCTGAAGGGGTGTCCTGAGAACACAGCAGGCGTCCTGAAGCTCCCCCTCCCTCCCTCGGTGGAAGTCAGCTCAAGGAGTTCCTGAGGACAGGACTCCTGGGGGTTTGGCCCTGGGACAGGACAAGACACCCACGGTCCGGTCTCCCAAGCCGCCACAAACTGGAGCCCGGATCCAGCCGCCGCCGCGGCTGCAGCAGGAGGCTCGCTGCCGCCGCGCTGCGGTGGCGTTATTTAAAGGGGACGCAGCCTGACCGCCAGGAGCGGAGCGCCAGTCGGGCGGGCCAATGCGCATGCGCGAGGCGCGAGCCTCTTCTCCCGTCACAGTGGTTCCCACGGTTGTCTTAGAAACCAGTCCCCGAGGCTTGGCAAAGCAGGAGCCCTTCGTGGCAGTGCTTGTGTGTCGGAGCTCTGAGGCTCCGGCCTGACCTCTCCTCGGGGTCGACGGGAACGTCTCCGGATGCCAGGACTCGCAAAGGGCTGACAAGAATGAGGAAATCCCAGGCGGAGTCCGGGGGAGGCAGCACGGCATCCCAGCCTCAGGGCTGCCCGGACGGTGTTGGTTGGGGTGAGTCTCGCCAAAAGTCGTGCCGCCGTGACCTCGAGGACTGGTCGGCCTGAGTACCCCTGCGGTGCTCCCTCACCCGAGGGTCGATCTCGCCAAGAGCAGAACCCCGAAGCCTCAGGGGTTGCCTTAGGGTGTGTGTTTCAATGCCTCTGCTCAAGGACTCTGTGTGTGTGTGTGTGTGTGTGTGTGTGTGTGTGTGTGTGTGTGTGTGTGTGTGTGAGTGTTTGTGTGTCCGTCTGTGAGTGTGTGTGTGTGTCTCCCATTCTCCCTTCTCTCTCTGTCTCTCAGTCTCTGTGTGTTTCTTTCCCTCTGTCGGTTTGTGTGTGAGTGCCCATGTGCGTGTGTGTCTTTGGCCCAATGTGCCCTGTGTGCCACAAAGCGGTTTCTCGCTTGGCGGCCTGTCTACTTCTTGAGGGACATCCTCTCCTCTGCTCCTGGGTGGAAAGACTCCCTTGATCTTCTGTCCCAAATGAATGTCAGGGACCCAGAGGGACTTGGCTGGGGCTGGGGCTGTGGCTGTGGCTGGGGCTGGATGCAGCTGAAGTTGCCTCAGGGCTACCAGCCCGGTGGAGGGTTGGGAGAATTTTGCAGAAACCTCTTTGCTCCTCTGGTAGGCATTTGAAAATGTGGCTTGGGTCAGGAACAGGCGCCCCCACCCGCCGGGTCCCAGGTGTTCTTCGATTTTCCTTTGCATTGATGGATAGGTCACTCATTCCCCCTTTGCACCGGCACATGCCTGGACACCACCGTTTCTTTCGCCGTCGCCCCGTATGCCTCCGGTGATACACGTTCACACCATCTGCTGTGGGATACGCCAGTGCCTCGCATGTTCCCGTGGTCTCCACCTCGCATTCGCCCCTGTTCCTGTTTGCACGAGTCCTGTAAAGCGCGGTCGGCTTTCCTGAGCCCCAGGGCTTTTAGAAGCGGGGTATGCCACTGCTCTTTCAAAGGAGGAGGGAGGCAGAGGGTTGAATGATCAGTGAATTTGCAGCCGACACTTTGCCTCGAGACCTGTGGGATCATTCTTTGCTGCATGGAGGCCCTGCCTGCCCCAGCAGATGTGGCGAGCCCATCCTATGTCACTCGGTGGGGGCCTAAATCGGATCTGAAGGGGTGTCCTGAGAACACAGCAGGCGTCCTGAAGCTCCCTCTCCCTCCCTCCGTGGAAGTCAGCTCAAGGAGTTCCTGAGGACAGGATTCCTGGGGGTTTGGTCCTGGGACAGGACAAGACACCCACGGTCCCGTCTCCCACGCCGCCACAAACTGGAGCCCGGATCCAGGCCGCGGCTGCAGCGGGAACCTCGCTGCCCTGCGCTGCAGTAGCGTTATTTAAAGGGGATGCAGCCTGACTGCCAGAAGCGGAGCGCTAGTCAGGCCAGCCAATGCGCATGCGCGCGGCGCGAGCGACTTCTCCTGTCACAGTGGTTCCCACGGTTGTCTTAGAAACCAGTCCCTGAGGCTTGGCAAAGCAGGAGCCCTCCGTGGCAGTGCTTGTGTGTCGGGGCTCTGAGGCTCCGGCCTGACCTCTCCACAGGGTCGACGGGAACGTCTCTGGATGCCAGGAGACGCAAAGGGCCGACCAGAATGAGGAATTCCCAGGCGGAGTCCAGGGGAGGCAGCACGGCATCCCAGCCTCAGGGCTGCCCGGACGGTGTTGGTTGGGGTGAGTCTCGCCAAAAGTCATGCCGCCGTGATCTCGAGGACAGGTCGGCCTGAGTACCCCTGGGGTGTTCCCTCACCTGAGGGTCGATCTCATCAAGAGCAGAACCCCGAAGCCTCAAGGGTTGCCTTGGGGTGTGTGTTTCAATGCCTCTGCTCAGGGCCTCTGTGTGTGTGTGTGTGTGTGTGTGTGTGTGTGTGTTTGTGTGTTTGTGTTTCTGTGAGTGTGTGTGTGTCTCCCATTCTCTCTTCTCTCTCTGTCTCTCAGTCTCTGTGTGTTTCTTTCCTCTCTGTCGGTTTGTGTGTGAGTGCCCGTGTGCGTGTGTGTCTTTGGCCGAATGTGCCCTGTGCTCCACAAAGCGGTTTCTCGCATGGCCGCCTGTCTCCTTCTTGAGGGACATCCTCTCCTCTGCTCCTGGGTGGAAAGACTCCCTTGATCTTCTGTCCCAAACGAATGTCAGGGACCCAAAGGGACTGGGCTGGAGCTGGGACTGTGGCTGTGGCTGGGCTGGGTGCAGCCGAATTTGCCTCAGGGCTACCAGGGCGGTGGAGGGTTGGGGGTGGGGAGAATTTTGCAGAAACCTCTTTGCTACTCTGGTAGGCATTTGAAAACGTGGCTTGGGTCAGGTACTGGCGCCCCCATCCCCGGGTCCCAGATGTTCTTCGATTTTCCTTGGCATTGATGCAGGGGTCACTCATTCCCCCCTTCCACCGGCACATGCCTGGACACCACCATTTGTTTCGCCGTCGCCCCGTATGTCTCCGGTGACACACATTCTCACCATCTGCTGTGGGATACGCCAGTGCCACGCTTGGTCGCATTGTCTCCACCTCAGATTCGCCCTTGTTCCTGTTTTCAGGTGTCCTGTAAAGGGCGGTCTGCTTTCCGTAGCCCCAGGTCTTTTAGAAGCGGGTCAGGCCCCTGCTCTTTCAAAGGAGGAGGGAGGCAGAGGCCTGAGGGATCAATGAATTTGCAGCTGACACTAGGTCTTGAGACTTATGGGATCATTCTGTGCTGCAGCGAGGCGCTGCCTGCCTCACCAGATGTGGTGAGCCCATCCTATCTCACTCGGAGTGGGCCAAAATCGGATCTGAAGGGGAGTCCTGAGAACACAGCAGGCGTCCTGATGTCCCCCTCCCTCGGTGGAAGTCAGCTCAAGGTGGTCCTGAGGACAGGATTCCTCGGGGTTTGGCCCTGGGACACGACAAGACACCCGCGGCCCTCTCTCTCACGCCGCCCCAACTGGACCCCGGATCCAGCCACCGCGGCGGATGCAGCAGGAGCCTCGCTGCCCCAGCGCAGCGGCGGCGTTATTTAAAGGGGACGCAGCCTGCCTGTGAGGAGCGTAGCGCGAGTTGGCCCTGACAATGCGCATGCGCGAGGCGCGAGCTTCTTTTGCCCTCACAGTGGTTCCCACGGTTTTCTTAGAAACCACTCCCTGAGGCTTGGCAAAGCAGGAGCCCTCCGTGGCAGTGCTTGTGTGTCGGGGCTCTGAGGCTCTGGCCTGACCTCTCCACCGGGTCGACGGGAACGTCTCCGGATGCCAGGAGTCTCAAAGGGCCGACCAGGATGAGGAAACCCCAGGGGGAGTCCGGGGATAGCAGCACGGCATCCCAGCTTCAGGCCTGCCATGACGGTGTGGGTTGGGGTGAGTCTCCCCAAAAGTCGTGCCGCCGTCCGTGATCTCGACGACAGGTCGGCCTGCCTGCCCCTGGGGTGCTCTCTCACAGGAGGGTCGTTCTCGTCGAGAGCCGATCCCCGCAGACTCAGGGTTTGCCTGGGTGTGTGCGTTTCAATGCCTCTCCTGAATGACATTGTGTGTGTGTGTGTGTGTGTGTGTGTGTGTGTGTGTGTGTGTGTCTGTGTGTGTTTCTCCCATTCTCTCTTCTCTCTCTGTCTCTCAGTCTCTGTGTGTTTCTTTCCCTCTCTCAGTGGGTTGTGTGTGTGTGCCCGTGTGCGTGTGTGTCTTTGGCAGAATGTGCCCTGTGCGCCACAAAGCGGTTTCTCGCATGGCGGCCTGTCTTTGGTGACCCTCTTTCTGCGTCTCTGCCTTTGTCATGAGGCCGGTTGTCAATCGTTTTCGCCGCCCCGGATCCGCTTTGGGTGTGTGAAGTCCTGGCCTACGTGAAGAGATGCATGGGTCCGGGAGCAATTGAAATCTCATCCCCATCCTGAGCGGCCTCTCTCCTAAGATCAAAATGATCACACTGCAGCCGAGGACAAGAGCCCCACAGGAGCTCTTTGTCCCGCAGGAGAGCAGCGGACCCACGTCAGAGAAGATGCTTGTATCTTTTCACGGCTCTTCTCTGAGAAATGAAGCCACACCATGATACAGTCTGCAAGAGGAAGCCGGGAATGAGAGATGGCAACAATCCCTGTCACTGGAACGGTGACCTCGCTGGACAAGCCACCCTTTTGGAACCCCTCCCCTTATGCCTGTGGCGGTGGCATGGTGCTATATCCGGCCTGGGCTCCGGCCTCTGCTCTCTCCTCCCTCTTGCTCTGTCCTCCCTCTGCTCTGTTCTCCCTCTTGCTCCTTCTGCTCTGTCCTCCCTCTTGCTCTGCCTCCCCTGTCCTAGATGCCTCTCGCTCTGGCCACATGTCTTCCCTGTCCGTTAGGGACTTCCCAGTGCTTGACTTCCCAGTCTGTCCGGGAGACATTTCCTGGAGATCCCTGTTATGATTGTTTCTCTCTCCAAACCTCTTTCTGCTTGATTGGGCAGATCTCGTGACCGTGGAGCTCTTTGCTCCCATAAGTGTCTCAGACAGGAAAGCTTGCTTCTTCTCCATGTTTCCATTCATGGGTGGGTGGATTGCCTAGAATGAGCGCTAGGAGACCGGGACTGGCCTTGTCTTCTAGCACAGGTGGTGTCGCATTTCCTCTGCACTTCCTGTCTCATTCTCGAGGGACATCCTCTCCTCTTCTCATGGGTGGACTGTCTCCCTGGATCTTTTGGCCTTAACGAATGTCAGGGAAACAAGGGGACTGGGCTCGGTCTTGGGCTGGGGCTGGGGCTGGGGCTGGTGTTGGGGCTGGGGCTTGGTGCACAGGACGTTGTGTGAGGGCTACATGGGCGATGGAGCTTTGGCGTTGGGGTGAAATTTGCAGAACCCTCTTTGCTCCTCTGGCAGCAATTTCAAATTTTGTATCCGGTCAGTCACAAGCCCCCTCCTGGTTCCCAGGTGTTCTTTAAGTTTTCATTGCTGTGATGGAAATGTCACTTGTCCCCCCCTTCCACCGGGCACATGCTTAGACACCACCGTTTGTTTCGCCGTCGCCCCACATTCCTCTGGTTACACACATCCACGCCATCTGCTGTGGGATGGGCCACAGCCACACGTCATCGCATGGTCTCCACCTGGGATTCGCCCTTGTTCCTTTTTGCACGTGTCCTGTAAATTGCGGTTGGCTTCCGGAGCCCCATGGCTTTTAGAAGCCGGGCAGGCCAGTGCTCTTTCAAAGGAGAAGGGAGGCAGAGGGCTGATGGATCAGTGAATTTTCAGCTGACACCACGCCTTGAAACCCATGGGATCATTCTATGCTGCAGCGATGCCCTGCCTGCCTCAACAGATGTGGTGAGCCCATCCTATCTCACTCGGAGGGGGCCAAAATCGGATCTGAAGGGGAGTCCCGAGAACCCAGCAGACATCCTGTAGCTCTCCCTCCCTTGGTGGGAGTCGGCTCAAGGAGGTCCTGAGGACAGGACTTCTGGGGGTTTCGCCCTGGGACAGGACACCGGCCACAGCCTCTACCAGGCCGCTGCAAACTTTACCCTGGATCCAGTCGCTGCCGAGGCTGCAACAGGAGCCCATCTGCTACCGCGCAGTAGCCATTGTTTAAAGGGGCAGCTGCCTGCCGTCCAGCACCGGAGCTTTAGTCGGCCCAGCCAGTGTGCCTCCGCGTGGCTCTAGCTGATTGTCTCGTCACAGTGATTTCCACTGTTGTCTTAGTATCCAGTCCCTGAATTTTGGCATAGCAGGAGTTCTCCATGGCTGTGCTTCAGTGAAGGGGCTTCGTGCCTCCGGCCTGTCTTGCAGGAGTTTTAATATCCTTCCCATCCTGTGCTGCCTCCTTGCTAGGATCAAGACGACTGCACCCCAGCCAAGGACAAAGGCCTCAGAGGTGCTCATTGTCCACCTGCAGGAGTGTGCCCACAGAGCTTCAAGAAGATGGTTCTCACTCCTCTCGCCCTTTGCCCTCATTGAGAAAGCTACCCACAGCTATACACTGGGACGGAGAAGGAAGCTGGCTACAAGATGGGGCAAGCATGTCTGTCACTCAAACGCTGGCCTTCCTGGCCTAGTCACCCATTTGGCACATTTTCCCGGATGCCCGTGATAGTGGCATTGTGCTGTGGCATTGGCCTCTGCTCTGTCCTCCCTCTTGTTCTGTCTGCCCAGTTCCTGTGAAGCCTAGAGGCTTCTTAGTCTGGCTCAATGTCTTCAACAAAGAACACTTCTCAGTCCATTAGGAAGAAATTTCGTTGGGGTCCCTTTTATGATTGCTTCCCTCTCCAAACCTATTTCTGGATGATAGGGTGTCATGATCCTGGAGTTCTGGGCTTCCATACCTGTCTTGGACAGGGAAGCTCCCTTTGTCTGCATGTCCCAAGTGATGGCTTTGTGGTCCGTCCAGGAAGAGCGGGAGGCAACCCCACTGTGGCTGACCTTTGCCTTCTAGAAAAGTTAGTGTTGCATCCCACCTGCCCTTCCTCTCTCATTCCTGAGGGCCATTCCGTTCCTCTGCTCCTGGGGAAAGTGCCTCTAAGCACTGAATCTTTTGGCTGCCACGGATGTCAGGGAGCCAAAGGGACTGGGTTTTGCTGGGTGCAGGGGAGGTGGCGTCAGGGGTACCTACCGGTAGCGGGATGTCGGTATGGTGTCGTTTGTCGAAACCTCTTGGCCCCTCTGGCAGTCATCCCTGAATGTGGCTTGGACTCAGGCACAGGCCCTGTCTCACAGGTTTTCTAGTGTGCTTGGCTTTTCCTTGGCTTTGTGTGGGAGGTCCCAGTGACCCACCTGCGCACATCTGGACGTCACTATCCGTCTCAGCATCACCCCATATGGCCTCAAAGACCCACCCTGACTCCATCTGCTCTTGGGGAACATTAGTGCCACGTGTGGTCACATTGGCTCCATCTCGGACTCACCTCTGTCTCTCCTTGCACATGCTGCGGAAAGCAGTGTCGGGATGCCAGAGCCCCGAACCTTGGAGATGAAGTCAGGCCACTGCTCCACCTAGGAAGGAGGGAGGCAGTGGGCTCATGGGTCAGTGCATTTTCAGCTGACAGTTCACCTTGCAGCCCTTAGGATCTTTCTGTGCCCCAGCGAGACCCTTCCCGCCTCACTGCATTGTAACCCCATTCTTGATCACCCCGTGGGATCCATAGTCAGGTCGAAGAGGATTCCAGAGAGCCCAGCCGCACCCTGAAGCTCCTCCTCCACCGGTAACCGAAGCAGAAGACCGATCAAGAAGGTCCTGATGACAGGACCTCTATGGGTACAACCCTTGGGTCTCCCGCAGGACCCTATCGTAGTCCTCTTCCCACCCGCCGCCTCGGACTGCGCTGCCGCCGCCACCGCTGCCCCAGTCCCCTCAGCCGCGCGTCGCCGCCATTTTTTAAAGGATCCGCCGCCGGACTCTGCGGAGCAAGCGGGGATTCGGTCTCGCCAGTGCGCATGCGCAAGGCCTGAGCCTCCGCTTTGGTCGTAGTGATTGCCACTGTTGCCGTGGATGGGTCCCTGAGACTTTGCGAAGTAGGAGCCCTGTGTGATAGTGCGTCAGAGTCGGGCCTGAGAGCAGTCCTGGCCAGGGCTTTAACAGGATGGTCTCCGGAGCCTGGGATTCTCGGAGGGCTGACCACCAGGAAGAAACCTCAGAAGGTAGAAACCTCAGGCGGATCGCCGGGCGGCAGCGCGAGATCCCAGCCTCAGGCCCGGATTCGGGAAGGGTCGACGAAGCCCTTTTCCCAATCTTCACTTCACCCGCCGCCGCCCCAGTCCCCGCAGCCGCCGCTCCGCGGTCATTTTTCTTTTCTATCTTTTTTTTTTTAATAGTCGGAATCTCACTCTGTCACTCAGTCGAGTGCAGTGGCGGGATCTCAGCTGACTGCAAACTCTGCCGCCCAGGTTCAAGTGATTCTCTTGCCTCCGCCTCCCGAGTACCTGGTACTAGAGGGATTAGTCAGTGTCGGGGCTAAGACCAGTCCTGGCCAGGGCATCAACAGGATAGTCTCTGGAGGCCGGGATTCACGGAGGGTCGTCCAGGAGGAAGAAACTGCAGGTGGAGGGCCGGGCAAGCAGCGCGGGATCCCAGGTTCAGGCCTGCACGGACGGTGTGCCAGTGAGTCTCTTCAAAAAAGGAGAGGTTTGCTTGTGTGCCCGTGGGCTGCTCTCTCACTAGTGGGTTGTAGTCGTGGAGAGCAGAACCCTGAAAATTCAGGGGCTGCCTGGGTGTAGGTGTTACCGTGCCACTGCTGTATGTCTGTGCGTTTGTGTGTGTGCGTATGTCTCTCTCTTGTTTCTCTCTCTCCCTTTTCTCACTCTTTTGCTCTGTGTCCCTGTGTGCGTGTGTGTGTGTGTGTGTTGGGACATATGTGCCCTGTGCGCCAGAGGACGGTATCTTCTACGTCCGCCTTTCTTGTGGTCAGCCTCTCCCCGCGTCTCTGCCTGGCTTGCGTGGCCCGTTGTCAGTCATTTTTCTGGCGGTTCCAGTTTAGGTTTGTGAAGGTCCAGATGAGATGGGGAGCTGCGTCTCTCTCATAAGAATTTAAATCACCTCCCCACCCTGAGAGGCCTCTTTTCCAGGATAAAGGCCTCCACCCCCAAGCCAAGGATAATAGCCTCACCGGAGAGGTCATTGTCTACCTGCAGGAGCAGTGCAGAGCGACCTGAAAGAAGGTGGTTCTCATTCGTCTCTCTCTTTCATCTCCTTGAGAAATCTAGCCACAGGGTAACACAGGTTTTGAGAGGATGGGAACGGGACGTGGCAAGGATCTGTGAGTGTGCAGGCTGTGTTTCACATATCATTAAACATAGTCTAGTGAGGGTTCTGCAGATAACTGGCATTTAAGTTTGTTTTATTGAATCAAGGAAAAAGAAAAAATACTGAGAAAAAAATGACGCAACTTGCCTGCCAGCCCATCTGACTGTTACAAATTTAATAGTAATTTTAATTTATCATCTCATGTAAAGGTCCTTGGCAGTGATACCTAATTTCCTAAGATAGCCTTGCTTTATATTGTGTGATTAAGATGTCATGCATATCAGAGTATCTGGAAATTCTTCCCAACGTCCTTTACATACGTGATTAATCACATTTCCAAAATAACATACCAAAACGAATAACAGAAAATCATTTTAAGTTGTGGTTCCTTCATGCACAAAACATTTCATGTGTGTCTGGCCCTCTTCCGGCCACAGATTTCATCTTAACCTAAGTATTGAAATGCTTGTGCCCTTTGATTAATTTTTCTGTGTAAATACTTTGATAATAAGCTACATTGAGGCCGGGTGCAGTGGCTCACACCTCTCATCCCAGTTCTTTGGGAGGCTGAGGCCAGCGGATCACGAAGTCAGGAGATCAAGACCATCCTGGCCAACACAGTGAAACCCTGTCTCTTCAAATATACAAAGAATTAGCCAGGTAAGGCCAGGCTCTGGCTCATGCCTGTAATTCCACACTTTGGGAGGCTGAGGAGGGTGGATCACCTAAGGTCAGGAGTTTGAGACCAGTCTGCCCAACACGGTGAAACTCTGTTTCTACTAAAAATACAAAAAATTAGCTGGGTGTGGTGTCAGGTGACTGTAATCCCAGCTACTCGGGAGGTTGAGGCAGAAGAATCACTTGAACCCAGGAGGCGGAGGTTGCATTGAGCTGAGATCATGCCACTGCACCATCTGGCCTGGGGGACAAGAGTGAAACTCTGTCAAAAAAAAAAAAAAAACTGGTCTATACTGAAAATACAAAAATTAGACCCTGAAGGTCACGTCCAAATGAGAAAGACATTGTTTGGCTCAAATTGTCTGACACTAAGGAATAGTGCAGACTGGACAAGTGAGGTGGCTGACACCTGTAATCCCAGTACTTTCGGAGGCCGAGGCTGGTAGATCACCTGAGGTCAAGAGTTGGAGACCAGCCTGACCAACATCATGAAACTCCATCTCTACTAAAAAAAAGTACATGAAAATTAGCTGGCTATGATGGTGCATGCCTGTAAATCCCAGCTACTCAGGAGTCTGAGGCAGGAGACTTACTTGAAACTGGGTGGCGGAGGTTGTGGGGAGTGGAGATCACACCACTGCACTCCAGCCTGGGCAACAAGAGTGAAACTCTGTCTCAGAAAACAGAATAGTGCAGAGTAAGAGCAGATTTATATATGTATGTATGTATGTATGTATGTATGTATGTATGTATGTATGTATTTTCAGAGAAGCAGGGAATCTGGAATTTTGGGTGAAATGTCTGTTTCCAGAAGCTGAAAATGCTCTCAAATGGAAAATTCAGGTTAGCCTATATCAAGCTTCTCCTTGTTCTATGTGTGAAGACCATGGGACAGAGGGAGCAGCTTGAGCCAAGTCAGGATGGTAGGATGGGACAGGTGGCCAGGGCTGCTGCACTGGGGACCCTGGTGGAGGATTTCGCTGGAAACGCAGGTGGGACCAGACCATGAAGAGTCTCAAACACAGACTTGAGGACTCTGACCTTTATCCTGGGGGCAGCAAGAAGCCATGTTAGGTGAAGGAACAAGGCTGTTTCTCCCTCAGCACTAGTGCAAGGAAAGGCCAGGGAGGCCCTCAGTGGAAGCTTGCTGCTGGATTTGTTGATGTGCCTTTTCTCCTGCCTGCACTGGGGTCAGAATGGCCTTGGGTACTGCACACTTCCTACCAGGAATAGAAGGCCCCACAGCTATAGCACCTCTCTTCCTTTTAGTTCTTTGGAAGGATGAGCAAATTATTCACCCTCTCTGAGCCTCAGTTTTCTCATCCATAAAATGATGACAGTTCACCAACCTGGCAGGTCACAAGGATGTTATGAAATCAGGTGAGCACAGCATAGCAGGTGTATTTTTGGGTCCTATTATTACATGTGAACTAAATTGCCTTGTAGAAAAGGCACAGGCTCAGGGGACCTGTGTTTCAATCCCACTATGCCCCTGTAATGCCCACCTCTCAGGGATGATGGAAAGATTAAGTTCACGGAGATGATGCTTGTGCAGCATCTGATACCCAGCAGATACCTAAGAACCTAACCTACCACCCACCTGAGCAAGCACAACAGTCCTGCTCCTCCTGCAAGCACTGGGGATGCTGCCTCCCACCCGCCTTAGAACACTGCTCCTCCTCCCTCTCTGCAGGGGGCATTTTGTAGGCCTCAGTCGCTGGGCTTGCTGTCCTCTCACCTGCCTCTCAGCACGGGGCTCAGAGCACACATTCTTCACCTTTGCAAGAAGCTTCTCTACGCATCCTTGCCCCTAGGCTTGCTGAGTGCATTCACCTGTTGTCTTATTTATAATCAGGACAGAGTTGCTCCCTACTGTGTAGATGAGGAAATGGAGACCTAGAAAGGGAAGGAAAGACCAACACTTTGAGCACCTGCAATGTGCCTGAGGCAATGTACGCATTAGCTCTGCTTCACAGCAGCCCAAGAGGGAGGTATTATTCTTCCCCTGTGTAAATGTGGGTGTTGAGGCTCAGAGAAGGGCAGTGACTTGTCCAAGGTCACATAGCAAGCAACCGTCAGTGGCTGAGGGCTAACCCAGGTCTTTCTGACTTCAGAGTGTGGGATTTAGAACAAACATTTGCAACGTGAGATTGACAGATCCATCCCCCAGTGCCATTCCAAAGACCAGATGGGGTCATAAGTGTGTGAGTACCTGACATGGTGCCCAAGGACTGGGAGTAGAAGCAGAATCCCATCCACCTCCACCTAATCATACAGAGAAAGGAGACAGGAGCTGAGGGAGGGCAGTGCTATGTCCAAGCTCTCAGCAAGCAGTAGGCAGAGCCCAGGCCCCTGCTTTCCCATGCCCACCCCTTCCCAGTTCAGGGCAAGGCCACCTCTCCAGGGCCTTTCCCTCCCCTAGAGAGGAAACTCCCCAAGTTCCTCTGACCAGACAGGAGAGTGAACGAGAGAAGAAAATTCCACTTCAGCACACACACCTGGAGCCTGAGGCTGAAAGCTGGAATCCCAGACTTTGACACTCAAGAAGGCATCTCCACACTTTTTCAGCACCTCCACCTGGGACATTCATGAGCACCTGGCTTCCCTCCCAGGGGAGAGGGGTGTCCCAGAGACACTGGGGCCCTTAGAAGGCACTATGAGTTGGCAGTGACTGCAGCAGCGTGGTGGGATTGTGGGTGGTGTAGGAAGCAGGGGAAGCAGATCACAGCACTCAGGATGGCCAGAGCTGAAGGCATCAGAGTCCCCTGTCCTTGTTCTGCAAAAAAAAAAAAAAAAAAAAAACCCACGGCATATTCCCTTCCCACTCCACACCTCCCACGGTCAGCAGTAGGCCCCAGAGGAGGAGAAGCGAGGCCTCAGGAGGACAGCAGCCACTGCTGGCAAGACGTTGGTGTTCTCCTGTTGAACTGCACAGGTTGTCAGCATCAGACAAGGTCGCTCTGTGACCATGATGGGTCAAGACAAAGCAAGGTCACTTGGTAGCTATCATGGCTCAGCTCATGCAAAACATGGACAAAAATGACCTCACACCCCCTCCCCTGTGTCTATGTCATGACCACTACCTCTGTCAATTGCAGCGTTAGCTTTGGTCTTGTCTTCCTTCCTTCTAGGTAAGATTGGGGAAGATGCCAGGTGATAGAATCCACCCTGCCTCTGACAGCATCCAATCTGGAGCAAAGGCTTCTTTCAACCTTCCCCCAAGCTCCCAATACAAGCCCAAATTCTGGAACAAGTCCTTTCCAACACCTCCTTCAGAGAAGCTCCCTGGCTCCAGGCAGTGCTTGCTCCCCTCACTGCAGCAGGAAGCCTAACTTGCGAACTGCAGGTGTGCTCCAGGTGGTCACTGGATGCAAGGTATTGACAGATGGATCCCATTGATACCCCCACTGCATAACCATGTAAGCCTATCATCCCCCACTTGCACATGAGGAAACGGAGGTCCACAGGGTGGGGAAGGGAAGACATAATTTGTCCTTCAAATGCGATACCGGTGAGATGTGAGAGGCAGCATCCCTCATAACTCAGCAAGGCAGTGGGCACACTAGGACCCTCCCAGGCAGATCGGGTGCGTGGTCGCCCCCATTGCATAGCATGGGTGGGAGTTGGGGAGACCAGACATGGGTCTCACCACCTCTGCACTGGCCCGACCTCTCTGCAGGCCCCCAGGACAGGGTTAGCATCTGCTTGCTGGCAGGCCTGGCCACCAGAAGTATTTGCTTATGTCTAAGGTCCCTGTAGTTGTGGTTCACAGGATTGGGGCTGCTCCTGAGATTCAGCACCACACAGGCACTGCATGGAACTGTGCTATGGTGGTGGGCACTCGCTTTCCAGATAGGGCCCATGTTGCCAGCAGGCATGATGCATCATTTACCCTACCCTGAGTGCAATATGTGGTTTTATAGAAAAAAACTTGGGCCAGATGCGGTGGCTCACACCTGTAATCCCAGCAGTTTAGGAGGCCAAGGTAGGCGGATCAAAAGGTCAGGAACTCAAGACCAGCCTGGCTAATATAGTGAAACCTTGTCTCTATGAAAAATACAAGAATTAGCCAGATGTGGTGGTGGGCACCTGTAGTCCCAGCTACACCGGATACTCCGGAGGCTGAGGCAGGAGAATCGCTTGAACCCAGGAGGCAGAAGTTGCGGTGAGCCAAGATCATGCCACTGCACTCCAGCCTAGGCGACAGAGCAAAACTCCTTCTCAAAAAAAAAAAAAAAAAAAAAAAAAAGAAAGAAAAGGAAAAGTATTTGTAGATGAATGAAGGTGATTCCTTTGAATATTGAAAATGATTTTATTTTAGCCATTGGTCTGACACTCATTCCGATGGGGTGACATGTGTCCCTGCCTTAGTCATCAGAGCACAGGAGTTTGCTACACCTCCCCTCATCTGAAGATTCAGCCCATGAGCAGGAACGCCTGTCTTTGTGTCATACCAACAGAGAGGATGTGTCTGGTTTCACCATTCACTGCAGAGGCAGAAATTACCCAGAAAGAAGAGACAGTCTGTTCCCGGGAGTGTGTCCTTTTGACCCCGCATGGGGGTCATCTCCCTTCCTTGGCCAGGACCCCCAACCTGAACACAGAGGTAGAGAACATGTGAAGGGCTCCCATTCCCAGGTGGTCCAGGGTGCAAGCTCTGAGCCTGTGGTCCTGGTCACTGCCCTTTTCTCCACAGCATGGCAGTCACCATCCTGGGCTGGGGTACAGAGGGGCTTTGCAGAGATCAGCATAACAAAAGCATCACTGAGATGCTGCAATAGGAAACCGTGATACCTTCGTGGGCTGCCAAGGCAGCCTAAGCTATTTGTTGCTGCACTCAGTGTCCCCAGACAGCTGTGTGGCTGTCACTGCCTCTGATGTGTCCATTTTACTTCTCTTCTCCTGCCTCAGCTTCTGCTCTGAACTCTGTCTCTAACTTACAAGAAATCAAGCTCACTGGATTCTGAGCTCTTCGGGGTCAAGGACTGTGTCAGTAGTTCATGTCTCTTTCTAGAGATCACAGCTTAGTATCTGGCACAGAGCAGATACTCAGCCAATGCCAAATGATTCATTTGCCAGAAGGCTGAATATCATCCATAATCCTAGTCAATGCAAATACATTTTGCCGGTGGGGTGTGTTTGTCCTCTGAAGGCGTTTTCCCAGGCTTTGTAAATACATACAGGCCATTTAGAAATTTGAATGTCAAAGAGTAAAGGAGCTTAGAAAGTAAGCATTGGAGAAGTGTGGGAGGGTGGTATTATTTACAAAACATTCCTGGGTCCTTGT
This sequence comes from Homo sapiens, assembly GCF_000001405.40. Lineage (NCBI taxonomy): Eukaryota > Metazoa > Chordata > Mammalia > Primates > Hominidae > Homo > Homo sapiens. Next base: position 25,846,792 of record NC_000020.11, on the reverse strand, counting down.
GAGTTCTATACACCCTTGATGAGCACTGATTCTGGGCCAGGCCAGACACCCAGCTGGACCCAGGAGATACTGAGGTGAGTAAAGCCAAAATGCCTCCATTCAGCAGGAGGCGGGCAGTCACACCAAAGTGATAAAGGCACAAAATGCAGAGGCAGCAGAGGAGCAATGACTACCTTGTTCCAGGACTCTGTGACCTCAGGGAGAGCTTTCAGAGGAGGACATCTGTGCAAGGCTTGGAAGGATGAACACAAATTTGCCTAGCAGAAAAGGGAGCCAAGCAAATCCTGATGGAGAACAGCTTGGGTGAGAGTGTGAGCCACAGGATTGAGGGGCTCAGGCATGTAACTGGAGGAGCAGAAAGAATGAGGGGAGATAAAGTTGGGAGGTCAGCAGAGGTCAGTCACAGAAGGTTTTGAATCCTGGTGAGGAAGCAATGGGTGCTGCACAAGGGACATGGGCCTGGAGGAGATGCAGTTAGCTCTGAGTGAAGATGGAGCATGCCATCCACCAGGGAACCACAAGATGCAATAGAAATAAGAACCCTGAGAAGCCTGCACAAAGAATGAGGGGCCCAGGGGTAGCACCAAGAAGGTCCCTGTCAGAGGCCAGCTTTGAACGGAGACAGAAAAGACTCTTGAGGGCCTCAGCTGCTGCAAACCTCCTCAATAAATCATATTTTACCTTCCAATATTTGCTAAAGAATACTAACTATTGGAAGAGCAATGGCCCATTGATAATAATTATTCCCTCAATGTACATTTTTTACAATTCTCAAAATGCTCTCGGTCCAGTCTCTCATTGGAACCCCCATAAAATCCCATTTTACAAATAGGGAAATGAGGCCCTGTGATGTCACACCGAGGTTTGCAGCAGTTCCAGGATAGAAAATAGGAAGCACTTTCATCTCAGCCCTGGGTATAAGTCTCAAAATTCCTTTTCGGGGAGGGGATCCTTGAGGCCATCCAGCAGCCCATAGTCCAAGTCTTTTTCTTCCTCCTTGGGCTTCTCCACACCTGTATCCAAAGCTTCCTTCTCCTCCTTTGTTCTCAGGTACCACTACCAGTTGTTGGGCAGGGAGACCTCCTGCTGCTGCCCATCCTATGTTGCATCCTCCAACATGGGTGCACTGTGGTTCAGCCAGCACCTATACCACCTGCAGCCCAGGGCTCCTGTGGTGGGCCTGAGGTTCCTCCCTATCAAATGGAGATATGCTGGGGTTGCTGCCTTTGCTGAAGCCCATGTCCAGGTCATCTTGGGGGTGGCCAAGGTTACAGGGTCCTGGGGACAGGCCAGAGGGCTGCAGGAGCAAAAACCAAGAGGATGAGGGGATCTGTGAGACAGACCGCCTGAATCCACATCCTAGAGACTAGGTGCAAGGCCTGGGGAAGACTGGTTCACCTCTCTGGGCGTCAGTTTCCTCCCCTGTAAAGTGGGAGTTATAACAGATTCACTCCTACAGTTGTCTCTGAGCTTTATGGCAGGTAATGTGTGCAAAGTACTTCGCACAAGGCCTGGCACATGGTAGGTGATAAATAATAAACAGGGTTACTATGATATCATCATCTGAGCTAGGTCACTCATGCACTTCTCCAATGCTTCAGGGTGCCCCTCCATCCCTCACAGGGTAGCAGCAAGTGCTACCCCAGCAGGATGTGATAAGGAAGTCAGGCGGTTGGGGAGGATGTTTCTCGCAGCCCAAACCCCAGTGGAATGTTTCCCTCTGAACAGGGTCTGTGAAATGGTGGGGGCTTACAAATCGGTGCAGCTTGGACTAACAGGCTCCGGCGGCCACTTTGTTTTCTGGACATGCTTTGGACTGTGAGCCGAGCCTCTATGAATCATCACTTCAGCCTCTGATTGGTCCTGGGCCAAACTTTCACTTCAGCCCCTGATTGGTCTTGGGCCAAAATTTCACTTCAGCCTCTGATTGGTCCCAGGCTAAGGTCCCGGGCCAAGCGAAGTCGTGCTATCTCCAAGACAGCTCACAGACCAGTGAGCACATTCTTCCTCTTCCCAGTTCACAAAACCCCCAGATTCAGCCTCCTAGTTGGCAACCCTCTTTCGGGTCCCCTCTCTGCTGGGGAGAGCTTTCTTCTTTTGCTTATTAAACTTCTGTTCCAAACTCATTCTTTGTGTCCACGTTCCTTAATATTCTTGGCTGTGAGAGAAAGAAGGCAAAGACAAGAGCCTTTATCCTAACAACTCAATTGTTGGAGAGAAGATTCATGCATATTCTATGTGGCATCACACGCCATAGCCCTGGGATTGAAAGCCATGCAGTTTAAGGGATGGTGTTAATCTCAGTCCAAATAGGTAATAAGATCTTTCACGTTGCTATATTTTAGGGGTAGGAATGAGATTGGGGGTTTGATCAATAGTTTGTACCCATAGGACCAGGGATTTGCCCAGTCATCTGTGAGTAAATGCTTGGGCCAGTTTCCATGCCTGTATTGAATTAAATACTCATACGGTTCTGTGATTTTGTCAAATACAAATTTGGTCTTTGTCCCTATTTCCTGGCATACAACTCCTAAAATCCTTGGAATGTCCTAAGGGCTTGCTGTTTTTTTTTTTTTTTTTTTTTTTTTTTTTTTTTTTTTTTGAAACGGAGTCTTGCTCTGTAACCCAGGCTGGAGTGCAGTGGCGCAATCTCCACTCACTGCAACCTCTGCCTCCCGGGTTCAAGCAATTCTTCTGCTTCAGCCTTCCGAGTGGACTACAGGCATGTGCCACCATGCCCGGCTAATTTTTGTCTTTGTTTTCTTCTTTAGTAGAGACGGGGTTTCACCATATTGGCCAGTCTGGTCTCGAACTCCTAACCTCAAGTGATCTGCCTGCCTCGGGCTCCCAAAGTGTTGGGATTACAGGCGTGAGCCACCGCACCCAGGCTTTGGCTTTTTATATGTTAGTGATTGACCGATAGCTTCAGGATGTGGACTGGTCATCAGAAAGACCAAGGCAGGATTAGAGGGTTGGGACTTTCAGCCCCTACCCTCCCACCCCTGGGGAGTGGAGGGGACTGAGGATTAAGTTGATGGCAAGTGGCTAATGGTTTAATCAATCATGCATATGTAATGAGGCCACCTTACAAACCCCAAAGGAGTGGATTCGGAGAGCTTCCAGAGAGCTGAACACATGGAGGTTCCTGGAGGGTTGTGCCCAGGGAGGGGATGGAAGCTCTGTGCCCCTTCCCCCATACCTCGTGCTAGGCATCTCTTCATCTATATCCTTTGGAATATCCTTATAATCAAATAGTAAATGTGTTTCCGTGAGGTTTGTGAGCCATTTTATTCTAGCAAATTAATCAAACCAAAGAGGAGGTCATAGGAACCCCAAATTAAACCCATCAGTCAGAAGTTCCAGAGGCTGGGACTTGTGACTGGTGTCTGAAAGGGGGGCAGTTTTGGGGGCTGAGCCCTCAATCTGTGAGGTGACACTGTCTTATGGCAGATAGTGTCAGAATCGAATTGGTGGACACCCAGCTGGTGTCTGCTGCAGAACTGATTCCTTGCTTGGTGAAAGGGAGAAATCGCCTCATATTTTGAGGCCACAGAAGTCTTCTGGGTAGATTGTTGTGTTTTTGGTGTGAAGCAGAGGAAGAACACAGGTTGAGTTTTTTCCAAATGGGTTCACATTGGGGGTCCTCAACCTCAAATCCATCAACTCCATCGCTGAATTTTTATTTATGTATTTATTTTTATTTATGAGGTAGAGTCTCACTCTGTCTCCCAGGCTGGAGTTCAGTGGCACGATCTCAGCTCATTGCAGCCTTGATCTCCTATGCCCAAGAGATCCTTCTACCTCAGCCTGCCAAATAAGCTGAAACCAGAGGCACACACTAGCACTATGGTGTAATTAAAAATAATTTACAGTAGAGAAGAAGACTCACTATGTTGTCTGGGCTGGTCTTGAACTCCTGAGTTCAAGTGATCCTCCCCCTCTGCCTCCAAAGTGCTATGATTACAGGCATGAGCTGCCTCACCTATCACTGATTTTCTTTTTCTTTCTTTCTTTCTTTCTCTTTCTTTCTTTCTTTCTTTTTTTTTTTTTTGACAGAGTCTCACTCTGCCTTGCCTAGGCTGAACTGCAGTGGTGCAATCTTGGTTCACTGCAGCCTCCACCTCCCAGATTCAAGCGATTCTCCTGTCTCAGCCTCCTGAATAGTTGGGATTACACGTGCCCGCCACCACACCAGACCAATTTTTGTATTTTTAGTAGAGACAGGGTTTCACCGTATTGGCCAGGCTGGTCACGAACTCCTGATCTCAGGTGATCTACCTGCCTTGGCCTCCAAAAGTGCAGTGGCAGGGTCAGGGCATACTGCAGCCTTGACCTCTGGGGCTGAAGGGATCCTCCCTCCTCAGCCTCCCAAGTATCTGGAGTATAGGCATATGGCACCATGCCAGGCTAATATTTGTAATTTTTGCACAGACGGGGTTTTGCCATGTTGCCCAGTCTGGTCTTGAACTCCTGAGCTCCAACAATCTTCCCACCTGAGCCTCCCAAAGTTCTGGGATTACAGGGAAGAGCCACTGCACCCGGCCTATCACTGCATTTTTAAAGGGAAGGAGGACTATAGTGAGATTCACTAAGGCTTACAGAAAAGGTAGAACCCCAGATAGATTTAAAGACAGAGATTATAATATTCTTGAGATGATAATATCCAAATTTAGCTTTCATAGATAGGGAAATTTGAAGTACATCAGACTATAAGTTGGCATTTTGTGCAACTAATTAAAACTACGTTTGAAAGAGAGCAATTGCATATTTGTTACTGAGTAATATTAAGCAACCATGAAAATAAATAGAAATAACCAAGAAATTGTTATATTTAAATCCTCCCTCCTTTTTTGGAAAGAGAAGTATTGATATTTTTGGATTCTAATCAAAACTTCTCTTTTAAAATAAAATTGATGATTCTATGGAGATAGGGAGGGAATAACCTATGTTTATTGAACACCTAATATTCCACTTACCCAAATGTCATTTATTCTATATTCTAGGTTTTTGTTGAGACAGGGTCTTTCTTGCTCTGTTACCAAGCCTAGAGTGCAGTGGGGTGGTCACAGCTCACAGAGGTATACCACCATGCCTGGCATTTTATTTTATTTTATTATTTTAATTATTTTATTTTATTATTATTTTATTTTATTTTATTTTATTTTATTTTATTTTATTTTATTTTATTTTATTTTAATTTTTGCAGAGACGGTGTCTCCCTATATTTCCCAGGCTTGACTTGAACTTCTGGGATCAAGCAATCCTCCTGCCTTGGCATCCCAAAGTGCTGGGATTATACGCATAAGCCACTGTGTTCAGCCAATATTATAGTCTTGATAGTAGAAGTGTCTCAGTGTACTGGAAAACTTTGTCTAAATTTTGAAAAAATATTACAAAACACGTTGGTTTTATTTGGCCAATACTGATTTCTTTGCTCCATCATTATTTATTGGCATTATTAGCCTGTTGACTTTCAATTTCCTTACATCCCTTTCACTCCATTTCTTTTGTTTTGCACCCCAAATAGAAACTCTTTTTTTTTTTTAGATGGATTCTCGCTCTTGGCTCTTGTGACCCAGGCTAGAGTGCAGTGGTGCAGTCTTATCACTGTAATCTTCACCTTCCAGGTTCAGGCAATTCTCCTGCCTCAGCCTCCCAAGTAGCCTAGATTACAGGCATGCGCCACTACACCCTGCTAATTTTTTGTATTCTTTTTTTTTTTTCTTGAGATGCAGTTTCACTCTTGTTGCCCAGGCTGGAGTGCAATGGCATGAACTCTGCTCACTGCAACTTCTGCCTCCCAGGTTCAAGTGATTCTCCTGCTTCAGCCTCCCAAGTAGCTGGGATTAGAGGGTGAGCCACCACACCCGACTAATTTTTGTATTTTTAGTAGAGACAGGGTTTTGCCATGTTGGACAGTCTGGTCTGGAACTCCTGATCTCAAGTCATCCACCTGCCTTGGCCTCCCAAAGCGCTGAGATTACAGGCATGAGCCACTGTGTCCAGCTTTTTTGTATTTTTATATTTATTTATATTTTGATAGACAGTCTGGCTCTGTTGCCCAGGCTGGAGTGCAGTGGCACAGTCTCGGCTCACTGCAACCTCCGCCTCCCAGGCTGAAGTGATTCTCCTGCCTCTGACTCCCCAGTAGCTGGTATTACAGGCACCTGCTACCACACCTGGCTACCTTTTGTATTTTAATTAGAGACAGGGTTTCACCATGTTGGCCAGGCTGGTCTTGAACTCCTGACCTCAGGTGATCTGCCCACCTTGGCCTCCCAAAGTGGCCTTGCTTGAGGCCAGGAGTTTGAGACCAGCCTGGCCAACATGGTAAAACCTGCTCTTTACCAAAAATACAAAAAAAAAATTAGCCAGGTATGGTGGTGTGTGCCTGTATTCCAAGCTACTTTAATGGTTGAGTCACAAAAAACACTTGAACCCAGGAGGCAGAGGTTGCAGTGAGCTGTGATCACCTCACTGCACTGTAGCCTGGGTAACAGATTGAGACTTGTCTCAAGAAAAAAAAAATTCTTGGCAGGACGTGGTGGCTCACACCTGTACTCCCAGCATTTTGGGAGGCCAAGGTGGGTTGATCACCTGAGGTCAGGAGTTTGAGACCAGCCTGACTAACATGGAGAAACTCTGTCTCTCCTAAAAATACAAAATTAGCTGGGCGTGGTGCTGCGTGCCTGTAATCCCAGCTACTCAGGAGGGTGAGGCAGGAGAATCGCTTGAACCCAGGAGGCAGAAGTTGCAGTGAGCCGAGATCACACCACTGCACTCCAGCCTGGGCAACAAGAGCAAAACTCCGTCTCAAAAAAAGAAAAAAAAATCTTTACTTTGGATAAATACTTAGAAATGGAATTTCCAGGTCGGCCTTTAGATATTATTAATGGATTTAATATGAAAAACCTTTACTTGAGGATGTATAAAGCTTTAAAAGACAGGGTCCCTATTCTTAAGTTATAAGTAAAGCAGCATTTGTAAGGTAATATTCAGAAAACATCAGATAATATCCTATAAAGTCCTCCTGTTCTTGCTGATGACATTGGATGGCCAGTTAAGGATGACACTTCATTCTGTCCTCTGCAACCACGGTCCTGACATGTCTAAATGATACTTGCCCTATGAGAACACTGTGGATGTGAAAGCATTTCCTCAGGTTATCTTTTTGACCTGCTGGTTTTAATCTAATGATGGGATATCCAAAGTGAATCTAACTGAGTGACATGATTGTGGATCTGTTGGGGGGAATCAGAGACAGCTAGAGCAAGGGCAGACACGTGCTGAACTCATCTGTCTTAAGAGCCGAAGAAAGCAGCAGTGTTACTAGCAGAGCTACTGCACATCTGTACACGTGGCTCCAATGGCTCTGACCTGTTTTTTTCCCAGTATGAACCTAATACATGAGGCAAGTTAGAAAATCAGAGTTGGCCAGGCATGGTGGCTCATGCCTGTAATCCTAGTACTTTGGGACCCAACGTGGGTGGATCACTTGAGGCCACGAGTTCGAGACCATCCTCGGCAACACAGTGAAACCCCGTCTCTACTAAAATTACAAAAATTAGCTGGGTGTGGTGGCAGGCACCTGTAATCCCAGCTATGGGAGGCTGAGGTTGCAGTGAGCCAAGATCAGGCCACTGCACTTCAGCCTGGGTGACAGAGCAAGGCTGTCTCAAGACAAAAAAAAAGGGAAAGGAAAGGAAAGAAAATCACAGCTTGTTAGGCACTTGCAGCTAAACACATATGCACAAAAATTATTCAGTAAAAGCAAAACAGTTTTGGTGTATCTTGAGATTTTGTTTTATATCCAAAGGAAGACTATATCTTTCATCTTTGAACTAGTCTTTGGAAAATGCCTTCTATATAACAAATGTTATAGTTTTCTTCTAATTAGGTCTTGAGGTCTCTCAGGAGAATGGCTATAAACTCTACCTCACTCTAATGGGGCTCTAGGGGAGGGGCCTGTGGGTCTTTAGAGTAGCCTTTCACTGGACATTTCTTTTTCCTGGACCACAGCCTAATGCTCAAGTATCTGACCCATGACCAGGTGTCTCACAGGAAACTTGTTTATACTGGCAGATGCCCTTGTAACTTTTGTCTGACCTGTGTGCAGTTTATTCCTACCATGATACCCACTCTTTTTTTTTTTTTTTTTGAGATGCAGTCTCCATCTGTTACCAGGCTGGAGTGCTGTGGCATGACCTTGGTTCACTGCAACCTCCACCATCTGGGTTCAAGCAATTCTCCTGCCTCAGCCTCCCGAGTAGCTGGGACTACAGGCACGTGCCACCATGCACAGCTAATTTTTGTATTTTTAGTAGAGTCAGAGATTCACCATGTTGTCCAGGATGGTTTTGATCCCTTGACCTCATGATCTGCCCTACTCAGCCTCCCAAAGTTCTGGGATTACAGGCGTGAGCCACCGCACCTGGCCTTTTTTTTTTTTTTTTTTTTGAGACAGGATCTTGCTCTGGTGCCTAGGCTGGAGTGCAGTGGCAGGATCACAGCTCACTGCGGCCTTGACCTCCTAGGCTCAAGCAACCCTCCCACCTCAGCCTCCCAAGTAGCTGGGACTAGAGGCATGTCCCACTACATCTGGCTAATTTGTATATGATATGTATTTTTGTAGAGATAGGGTTTTGCCATGTTGCCCAGGTTGATCTTGAACTCCTGAGTTCAAGCAATTCACCTGCCTTGGCCTCCCAAAGTGCTGTGATAACAGGTGTGGGTTACCACACCCAGCCAATGTACATTTAATTATCGAAGTGCTATCTATACTATTTTATGGAAGTACTAATTATCAAAGTGCAATAGAGGTTTTGTTGTTGTTGTTGTTGTTTTTCTTTTGAGACAGAGTTTCACTCTTATTGCCCAGGCTGGAGTGAGTGGTGCGATCTCGGCTCACTGCAACCTCCACCTCCCAGGTTCAAGCGATTCTCCTGCCTCAGCCTCCCAAGTAGCTGGGATTACAGACATGTGTCACCACACCCAGCTAATTTTATATTTTTAATAGAGACTAAAATGGTCTCTCCATGTTGGTCAGACTGGTCTCGAACTCCTGACCTCAGGCGATCCATCCGCCTTGGCCTCCCAAAGTGCTGGGTTTACAGGTGTGAGCCACTGTGCCCGGCCAATAGAGGTTTTTAACCTTTTTGTAGATATTTTTGAAAGATCCTGTCTTCCTTTAAGAAAAGAGACAAGGCTGGGTGTGGTGGCTCATGCCTGTAATCCCAGCACTTTGGGAGGCCAAAGCAGGTGGATTGCTTGAGCTCAGGAGTTTGAGAGTAGCCTGGCCAAATGGCAAACCCTCATTTCTACTAAAAAAAAAAAAAAAAATTAGCTGGACATGGTGGCGCACGCTTATAATCAAAGCTAATCAAAGCTAAGGTGAGAGGATCACCTGAGCCTGGGAGGTTGCGGCTGCAGTGAGCTGTGATTGTGCCACTGCACTCCAGCCTGGGCAACAGAATGAGACCCTGTCTCAAAGTGAAAACAAAAACAAAAAAATGAAACAAGAGAAAAAAAAACAAGAAAGAAAATGGTAAGGGGGAAGTGCCTATTTATTAAGCTTTTGTTGTAAATAGTAACTTGCATATCAGATGTTTACTGTAATATTCTTGAAGCTTTGCCAAGCCTACAGCTTGCTGTGTGCTTTTCAACTCTATTTCATTTATTTGGGAAATAATATATCAATGTACTTTATTCATTCCCAGCTCTAACCATGGAATACTGGGAATGTCCCTTTCTGTGAAGGAGGTTTGTCAGCCACAACAGGAATATTCATGAACATGAAGGTACTTTGTTGAAGTCACACTAATTTTTTTACTCTTCCCCACTCTCAGCCTAGCCGGTCTGCACACTACATTCTCTCCATCCTTCAGCACCCTTCCATCTCTTCCTTCATCTTAAAAACCTTTCCTTTAATTTCAACAGCGCTGCCTGGGTTTGTCATTTCAGGGGTTGGGCATGTTCCAGGATCTGTCTATCGACTTCTCTCAGGAGGAATGGGAGGGCCTGGACACTGCTCAGAAGGACTTATAGAGAGATGTAATGATGGAGAACTATAGCAGCCTGGTCTCACTAGGTAAGGATGTCTATCCCCAAATAACTCATGAGTTTTGGCTGTAGCTTTCACTTGTCTGGGTGACTTTTCACCTGCTGCCTAGGGAATTGTTTTGTGTTTAGTAGATTAATAGATGGGCAGCTCTTTGGGGTCCTTCCATCTTCTCCATGCTTCAGACCTTTACACCTTCCTCTAGTCCTTCGTGAGTACTAAGGGACTAACTTTGAATTCAGGAACAGCAGGAGTATGTCTTACTTCTTTTCTTTCTTTCTTTCTTTCTTTCCTTCTTTTTTACTTACTTTCTTTCTTTCTTTTTCTTCTTTCTTTCTTTTTTTTTTTTTTGAGATGAAGTCTCACTCTATCGCCCAGGCTGGAGTGCAATGGTGCGATCTCGGTTCACTCCAACCTTCATCTTGGGTTCAAGCAATTCTCACGTCTCAGCCTCCTGAGTAGCTGGGATTACAGGCACTGGCCACCATGTCTGGGCAATTTTTGTGTTTTTAGTAGAGACGGGATTTCACCATGTTGGTCAGTCTGGTCTTGAACTCCTGACCTCAAGCAATCCACCTGTTTTGGCCTCCTAAAGTGCTGGGATTACAGGAGTGAGCCACTATGCCTGGCCATCTTACTTCTTTTCTTATAAACAGGTCTCTCTATCCCAAAGCCTGATGTGATTTCCTTACTGGAGCAAGGGAAAGAGTCCTGCATGGTTTCAAGGGACGTACCAGGAGGATGGTGCCCAGGTGAGTAAGGACTGAGCAGATGGGGAAGGCACTGCTGTTTAGAACCCAGCCCATCAGGGAGGCAGCACCATAAAGGTATTGGTTGAGGAATCTCTTCTGCAAGGTCCCATGTAAGAGTTGTGGCCTAAGACACATGGAGGAAAGTCAAGATACCCCCACCACACACATTTTTTTTAATTTTTTTAATTTGAGAGAGATTCTTTCTCAGTCACCCAGGCTGGAGAACAGTGATGCAATCTCGGCTCACTGCAACCTTCACCCGCGGGTTGAAGCGATTCTCCTGCCTCAGCCTCTAAAGGAACTGGCATTATAGGCACCTGCCACCATGCCCAGCTAATTTTTGTATTTTTAGTAGAGAAGGCGTTTCACCATGTTGGCTAGGCTGGCCTCGAACTCCTGACCTCAGGTGATTCACCTGCCTTGGCCTCTGAAAGTGCTGGTATTACAGGTGTGAGCCACTGTGTCTGGCCAAGAACCCCCTTTTACCTCCACCTCTTGGACAGTCTGTGCTACCCTCTTGTCATAATTTCTTTCCATTTCAAAGAATAATGCTCCCTTCTTCAGAAGCCATCCTGTTTCCTCTATCTTGGAGCTACTTCTTTCCCTTTAAAATTTAAACCCATGTAGTTGCTTTAAAAACAAATCTTTTAGAATATATTTATTTTTCATACTGATCCTTGACTTTTTTTTGCCTTGTCTTTTCTTGTCTAGTTTTCCTTTAATGCAGCCATTTCATGCATCAATGGATATTCATTCAGCACTCTTTTTTTTTTTTTGGATACAGAGTCTCACTCTGTAGCCCGGGCTGGAGTGCAGTGGTGTGATCTTGTCTCACTGGAAGCCAATAAGAAACGCTTGGGGATGACCTCCCTACAAGCACAGGAAAACCATTCCTGCGCATTTCTGCGCTGGAACGCCTACCTTTAGTGCCGTTTCCTGCGCTTTCTTGCAGATTTGTATCAGGCACTGGAGAACCTCCCACCTGGTCCATGCCCGGCTCCCGGTGAGCACCGAGACCCAACCTTGTGCACAGCCAGTCTTGTCATCAACAAACAGGGTAGTAAATTATAAAAAATAAAATAAAGGAAATGTAGCTGGGCGTGGTGGCATGCGCCTGTAATCCCAGCTACTCCGGAGGCTGATGCAGGAGAATCGCTTGAACCCAGGAGGTGAAGGTTGCAGTGAGGCGAGATCGCGCCACTGCGCTCCAGCGTGGATGGCAAGAGCGAAACTCCTTCTCGAAATAATAAATAAAATAAAGGAAATAGGGCCGGGCATGGTGGCTCACGCCTGTAATTCCAGCACTTTTGGTGGCCGAGGCGGGCAGATCACTTGAGGTCAGAAGTTCGAGACCAGTCTGGCCAACATGGTGAAACCCCTTCTCTACTAAAAATAAACAATTAGCCAGGCATGGTGGCGGGAGCCTGTAATCCCAGCTATTTGTGAGGCGGAGACACAAGAATCGCTTGAATCCCGGAGACAGAGGTTGCAGTGAGCCGAGCTCGTGCCACTGCGCTCCAGCCTGGGCGACAGAGCAAGACTCCATCTTAAAATAAAATAGGCCGGCCGAGGGTGCTCATGCCTGTAATCACAGCATTTTGGAGGCTGAGGCGGGTGGATTGCCTGAGCTCAGGAGTTCAAGACCATCCTGGCCTACATGGTGAAACCCCATCTCTACTAAAAATGCAAAAATTAGCCGGGCATGGTGGCGCATGCCTGTAATCCTAGCTACTTTGGAGGCTGAGGCAGGAGAACAGTTTCAACCCAGGAGGCGGAAGTTGCAGTGAGCCGAGACCGCCACATTGCACTCCAGCTTGGGCAAGAGGATTGAAACTCCATCACAAAAATAAATAAATAAATAAATAAATAAATAAATAAATAAATATAAAAGAAATAGACAAAGCAAATCTTAATGCATGAACTCAAACAAATGCTTTCACTGCCAGGCTCCATCTTTGCAAAACTGAACCTAGGACAATGTGAACGTTTCTAACTAGCAATTCTGGAGGACAGATCAGGGAGGCAGCGTGAGCTTGCTTTTCTGCAATTTAATTGACTGGTCAGTAAAGTCAGTGTTTGCAGGCATTTTCAATGTTCTATAGTGGGCTTCAGTGCCTGTGGCAGGCCAGGTTTGCAATAGCAACCAGAACAGTTTCTACTAACCCTTTACTATAATTTTGATGAATGCATAAGTTAACGTTAAAGAAATGGAGAAACTGGTGCCTGAGTATCACGGATGGAATGTGAAAACAAACCCACTGAGACCCCGTCTGGGTTTTCTCAGACCCTAAAATCTGATCGAATAATGATAGCGTTCGTACACATTCACCTCGGCCTGTCTTAAGATTCAAAAACTTTCCAAGACTCTAGGGAAATCTTTCCAGACGCTAGACCCGAGTTAAAGATTAGATGTTGATTGAATGAAACACTCCTGCTTGTAGGTGCAATCCCACATGGAGCTTAAGATATATATAAGCACTAGAAAAAAAAACTTGTAACTTTGAGTTGATCTGGTGATTTACCTGGCGCTTCTCCCTGTAAGTGGCTGCAGAAATAAACTTCCTTCTTTCCCAGTCTGTCTGTATCTTAGTATTGAACAATTGCGATGGAGCTGCCCAGCAAAGTCCTCTTCTATGTGGTTATCTGGGACTCCTTTTGGAGGGAACATTTTAAATTTTCCATTTCAAAGCATTCTGTTGGCCTTCTTACACTGTTTTTCTCTGCCTATCCTGGGACCTGAGTTCTCCTGGACATGAATCTGCAGCCACAGAGCCTAGAAGCTCATTCCTCCACATTCTGTGACTGTTCCCCAAACACAGGGAGAATTTGCAGAAAATAAGCCCAAAAATCTTGCCATTCTTTGCAATAAAACCCCACATTACAAACTGCTGAAAACAGGATTTTAGCCTGAATAGGTTGTTCCTCTATTTGAAAGCCTTTACAATTTCGGAGGGAAGTTTCCAAATCAATCAGTAAGTACCCCCCACTCCAGGTTTATCCTTATGTAAAGTGCCCCCTTTGCACATGCAAGATTGAATAAACCTTGAAAATATTATGCTAAGTGAAAGAAGCCGGTCACAAAGGACCACATGGTATGTAATTCCATTTAAATAAAATGTCCAAAATAGACCAACACATAGAAACAGAAAGTAGATTTGTGGTGGCCCAGGATTAGGGGAGTTGGGGGGAAATGGAGGGATATGGTGTTTACTTCAGGGTAATGAAAATGATCTAAAATTTATTGTGGTGATGTTTGCATAACAGTGCAAATATACTGAAAACCACTGAATTTTACACTTTAAATCAGTGGCTTCTGTGGTATGTTATCAATATTTCTCAATAAAACTTCAAAAAAATAGTGCCTATCTGTCTTTTTGTGTATTATTCCTCCAGAGTCCAGTCCATAGTTTTTACATTTGACGAAGAAATTAAGATTTTCTTTCTTCTTCCTCTTCTTTTTTTTTTGAGACAGAATCTCCCTCTGTTGCCCAGACTGGAGGGTATTGGCACAATCTTGGCTCAGTGCAACCTCCAGGCTAATTTTTGTATTTTTAGTAGAGACAGCGTTTCACCATGGTGGCTACACTGGTCTCACACTTCTGACCTCAAGTGAGTCCCCCACCTTGGTTTCCAAAATTGCTGTGATTACAGGCATGAGCCACCGCACCCAGCCCAAGATTAAGTTTTGTTGTTTTGATGCCCTAGGGACATCTTATTCTACCTTAATTTCTGACGCATCATCTCGGTGGAAATTTTACATTAGGCCCCAAAGTATTTTCCTCTTTTTAAGATTTTATCAGCTGAGTACAGTGGCTCACACCTGTAATCTCAGTACTTTGGGAGGCCAAGGTGGGAGGATCAGTTGAGCCCAGGAGTTCAAGACCAGTCTCTGCAATATAGTGAGACACACATATCTACAAAAAAATTTTAATTAGGTGGGCATATTGGTGCATGCCTGTGGTCTCAGCTTACTACATAGGCTGAGGAGGGAGGATCACTTGAGCCCAGGAGGTTGAGGCTACAGTGGCCATGATTATACCACTGCACTCCAGCCTGGGGGACAGAGCGATAACCTGTCTTAAAAAAAAAATTGATTGGAATTTTTTTTAGAAAACAAAGTATACACTTAGTGACTTGATACAAATGAATGAATTTGATAACTTACAGAAACCAAAACAAATAAATAAATAAAAACCCAAAGCCATTCTTCTTATGTGAATCTCTGGTGTCTCTGAATTATAAGAATTGTGAATTATGATTAATAACAAATACGCATGACAAGGACTCAGTAAGGGATAGGCATTAATAAACTGCAATGCATACTTACTGGAGTAAGGCCTTTAAAGATGTACAAGAAAAAGAAAGAAAAGGCATTGAAAAATTGCATTGCCTACCAAAATGCTAAAGTTTACCTAAGTCCATTAATCAGCACACACACACACACACACACACACACACACACACAGGCAATGGGTGTGTAAAATGGTCAACACAGTCTCCTATGAATGTATCCTTTTATTAATAGGTCTGTGGGGGTAAGAGATGAGGTTCTGTAGATCCTGGAATCAGGGATGGGGAATCTGTGGGGTCCCTGGGGTGAGAGATGACAATCTGTAGATTATGATGGGTAGTCTTTGGGATAGTGATGAGATCCATGGAATCAATTCTTGTGGGTATGTAGGGTCAGTGATGAGGGAATCTGGTGTCAGTGATGGGATGTGTGTGGAATCAATCTGTGAAAGCCAGATTTGTGGTGTCATCTCTCAGGCTGACACATCCTGATCTGTGTGTCAGTGGTGGAAATTCTATGAGGTCAGAGTGTGACTGTGAGGTCCCTGACACTGTGTGTTCTGGGTCTGGCCAAGTGCATAGATTCCCTTGCCTGGTCCTGGCTGGAGAGGCCCTTCTCAAGGACTCCTCACATGAAAGGTGGGTTGGCGGTGGGTTTTGTTTTTGTTTTTGTTTTGTGGAGGTGGGGGTGGGTTGGCTTTTTCTTTAGGGTTTAGTTTTGCCTCTTAGAGATCACAGACACATCCAGCTTTTAGGAAGAAATTTTTGTCTGAGTGGTCGCTAGGTCCTTTGGGCCAAGCCATCTAATGGGAGTAAAGCTGACCATTCCCTCAGCGCGGTTCACATCTAGGCAGTCGTTTTAAGGTGTCCTCAAGGTGGTGTGCAAGTGGGTTGTGGCTTTGAGTGGCAGGTGTGCGGGAAGAAACAACTAAGAAGACCCAGGAGCGCTCCTAGGCTGGATCTGTCACAGCTGGAAGAACAGCCTCCCTAACCCATCAGGCGCCAATGGGATGTACCTCTGGGCTGTGAGAGGCTGGTGGAGTTGGGACCTCCAGACCTAGAGATTATGGGCACAGAAACCTATTACTGCCAGACGCTGAGGCGTTGCCATGGGATCCAAGGGTGTTTCGGGTCAGCTCAGAGCCTTTCTCAGATAATTGTTTCGGTAACTGGGGAGCTGCTGTCCAGCACACGCCCCTATGAAGGCTTAATGTGCCGTCTCCCGCAGAGTCTTCTTTGGTCTGAGAGCCACTTGTTTCTTACATCCCTGTGCTAATCTCTCCATCTGCTCCTACATACTCCAGGCATTTGCCACATGCTGGTCCTCTCTTTCCTGACAGGCGAGCCGTCTCTCCAGCTTCTGTGAGGACAGTTCAAATTATGGAGGAGGGGGCAGGTGAAGGGCAGCAGTGCTGAGGGGAGTACCAGGCAGTTGGGGGAGCAGGGGCTCATTTTTCTTTGTAGCTCAGATTCCTAAGCCTGTGACTTTGAGTATCGGTGTCTTCCTTGCAATGTTTCAATCTGAGGTTCTTGGGGAGAGTGCAGAATTGGAGCCCGATGGAAGCCTGATGGGGAGAGGGTTGGGTGGAGGGCACATGGAGAATGTGTCAGGTGTGTCTATTCCTGGAACCTTACTTTGCCTGCTGGAGTTTCCCAGTCTGTTCCAGATGCACTCTCTCGACCCTGAAGGGACCTGAGGGGGGATGTTGGTCGCCAGTGTGTGCTCCCCTGGACTCGATTGGAATTGGTCCCACAAAGTGTTATTTATTTATTTATTTATTTATTTATTTATTTATTTATTTGGAGGGAGTCTCCCTCTGTCACCCAGGCTGGAGTGCAGTGGGACAATCTCAGCTCACTGCAACCTCTGATTCCCAGGTTCAAGTGATTCTCCTGTTTCAGCCTCCCTAGTAGCTGGGACTACAGGTGTCCGCCACCACACCTTGCTAAATTTTTTATTTTTAGTAGAGGCAGGGTTTCACAATGTTGATCAGGCTGGTGTCGAACTCCTGACCAGGTGATCGACCCACCTTGGCCTCTCAAAGTGCTGGGATTACAGGCGGGAGCCATCACACCCCGCCAATCCCACAAATTTAGGCATTATGGTACATTGCTACTTTTGAATCACTTATTTTTTTAGTTGTGTTTTCCCCCCTCCTTTTATTGATTGATTGACACAGAGTCTCACTGTTTCACCCAGACTGAACTGCAGTGGCACAATCTCGGTTCATTGAAACCTCTGCTTCCCGGGTTCAAGCGATTCTCCCACCTCAACCTTCCAAGTAGCTGGGATTACAGGTGCATGCCATCATGCCTGGCTAATTTTTGTATTTTCAGTAGGGACAGGGTTTCACCATATTGGCTAAACTGGTCTCGAACTTCTGACCCCAAGTGATCCTCCTGCCTTGGCCTCCCCAAGTGCTGACATAAGCATGAGACTCCTTGCCTGGACTTCCCTCCTTTTCCTTCAGGGATTTTAAATGTTTTCTTTCCTCCATCTATTTAATTATATGTGATTGCCTTGAGGATTTCAGCTTGAATTAAAATTACATATATTTACCTGTCTTTATTAATATTTAAACATATTAGAATAATACATGTTCATAATGAAAATGAAACATTACAAATAAATACAAGGAAAGGCAGTATTCCCCCTCCAGTTCCACTATTGAAATAACCAGTTAACAAGATGATGAGCATCTTTCCACGATGTTCTCCAAGATTCATATAAGTATTGGCCAGCAAACAACAGAATATACAGGCCAGTCTTGGTGGCTCATGCCTGTAATCCCAGCACTTTGGGAGACTGAAGCAGGTGGATCTTTTGAGGTTAGGAGTTCGAGACTAACCTGGCCAACATGGTGAAACCCCATCGCTACAAAAAATACAAAAATTATTTGGGCACGGTGGCGAGCGCCTTAATCCCAGCTACTTGGGAGGCGGAGGCATGAGAATCTCTTGAACCTGGGAGGAGACGTTTGCAGTGAGCCAATATTGCATTAATGCACCCCAACCTGGATGATAGACTGAGATTCCATCTCAATAAATAAGTAAATACATAAAATAAAGAGAAAAAAAGAAAGATGAAAGAAAGAAAAAGAAAGAAAGAAAGAAGAAAGAAAGAAAGAGAAAGAAAGAAAGAGAAAGAAAGAGAAAGAAAGGAAGAAAGAAAGAAAAAGAGAGAAGTAATGTGCTCAGTTTGCTAACATCGATAGTAAGAACAAATCCTCTAGCGGTGAAAATGTAAGAAGGAAAAAGAAATTTCTGTTAGTCTTGTTTATTGCACTGCAAGCTCTAAAAAGTACAGCCAAGTGTGTGATAAGTGCTTAGTTAAGATGAAAAAGGCATTAAATTTGTGCGTGGAAATCATAAACAGAAATGTGTTCTGATTGACAGCAATTGGGTCAATGCTACCCAAGTTTCAGGCATCCACTGAGGGTCTTAGAACACATCTCCTGCAGATAAGGGAGGGCTACTATGTAACGTTTCTTTCTTTTTTCTTTAATTATAAAGCATTCTCCTTTTTTAATATAACAATTGGCCACATATGTCACTTTAGATATAAAGATATTAGGATATCTTTATAGTAGATAAAAAGCTAACTCGTTCTTTGTAAGAGTTAAAGTATCTTTCATTATATGAGCATTTAAGATATTAAAGTACTCTTGCCACCAAAAATAGTGCTTCTATAAATATTCTTTTACTTATATCTTTATTTTTACTTCTGCTGAAACAAATTGCATGAGGAAACAAGTGTATGTGTATAAAGTGTAATATATGTGTATATATTTAATATGTGTATATGCAACTTAATATATACACAACATACAATAACATATACAACTTTTTTGTTTTGTTTTTTGAGATGGAGTTTTGCTCTCTCATCCAGGCTGGAGTGCGGTGGCATGATCTCGGCTGACTGCAACTTCCGCTGCTTGGTTCAAGTAATTCTCCTGCCTCAGCCTCCTGAGTAGCTGGGAATACAGGCATCTGCCACCATGTCCAGCTAACTTTGCTTTTTTAGTGGAGATGGGTTTTCACCATGTTGGCCAGGCTGCTCTCAAACTCCTGACCTCAAGTGATCCGCCCACCTTGGCCTCCCAAAATGCTGGAATTACAGGCGTGAGCCTCCGTGCCCAGCCTAACATATACAATTTAATGTATATACAAATATAGGTTGGGTGCAGTGGCTCACTCCTGTAATCCTAGCACAATGGGGAGCTGAGGTAGGGGATTGTTTGAACCCAGGAGTTTGAAATCAGCCTGGGCAACATGGTGAAACACTATCTGCACAAAAAACGCAAAAATTAGCTGGGTGTACTTGCAGGTGCCTGTGGTCCCAGGTACTCAGGAGACTGAGTGGGAGGATAGCTGGAACCTGGGTAGTCGAGGCTGCAGTGAGCTGTGATCATGCCACTGCATCTGAGTGTGGGTGACAGAGTGAGACCCTGTCTCAGACAAAAACAAAAACAAACCAAATATAATGTGTATGTGCTACACACTTGATTTCTTTCCAAAGGGTTATATAACACTCTACTTTCACCAGCAATATATGTGACTACTCATTTCCTACATACTATCACTTGTATGCAGTCGAGGAAACTTAGTAGGCCTGAATTGCCCAAACCTGGCATACTCCAAAGAAAGGTTTGACTCTATCCTAGCTCCCAGGAAATAACCTCTAAGTCCTTGGAATCTCCTGCCTATCTGGGAGTTAACAACGTGATTTATTATGGGGAACTTGGACCATGCAGTGTCAGCTTGACCTTGGGAAGGGTGGAGACAGAGAAACTAAGGCCATCCAAATGGGTGCTCTTGTCCATGTGACCAACCTCCAGTAAAACCCTCAACCCCAAGGCTCAGGTAAGCTTCTTGTTGGGGAGTATATTCTATACTTTTTGCCACATATCGCTGGGTGAATTAAGCACCGTCCACACGATGTCACTGGGAGAGGAAAACTGGAAGCTTGTGCTTTGTCTCTCCTGGACTCTGCCCTATGCACCTTTTTCTGCTGCTGATTTTCATCTGTATCTTTTTGTTGTAATAAACTATGAGTATAACAGCTTCACTCGGTTTTGTGAGTCTTTCTAATTAATCACTAAACCTTTGGGACCTCAGAACACAATGTTGTTTCTTCTTTAATTGAATTTTCCATGTTATGTAAGAAACCTATGTGCATAATTGAAAAATTACAAACTAAGAAAGAGCTTTCCATGCAGTCTACTCCCCCAACCTGTTTCTCCAATGCTCCCAGGTCTACTTCCTGAATAATCAAATGTTTAAATTTTCTAAACTATTTCTAATCTACATATCTGAGTGCTTGTCTCTATATTATATAATAGGTAGATCCTGCTTCTTCTCAATATATCAACTTGATATATTACCTGATGGCTTCCTGTTCTGATAGCTGATGACTTGGCTGACACTGGCCCTTTACTCCAGTGCCTGGACCACTTTTCAAACATGGTGCTCTCACCATTTTATTTTTCTTTTCTTTTCTTTTTTTTTTTTTTGAGGCAGAATATTGCTCTGTCACCCAGGCTAGAGTGCAGTGGCATGATCTGGGCTCACTGCAACCTCCACCTCCCAGATTCAAGTGATTCTTCTGCCTCAGCCTCTGGAGTAGCTGGGATTACAGGGACATGCCACCACACCTCGCTAATTTTTGTATTTTTAGTAGAGACGGGGTTTCACCCTCTCAGCCAGGTTGGTCTTCAATGCCTGACCTCATGATCCACCCATCTCAGCCTCTCAAAGTGCTGGGACCGCACTCGGCCACTCTCACTATTTTCAATGGCTCTCTTGGTCACCTTTCACTTGGGAGAGTAGCTGAGGCAGGAGAATCACTTGAACCCAGGAGGTGGAGGTTGCAATGAGTTGAGATGGTGCCATTGCATTGCAGCCTGGGCAACAGGAGTGAAACTCTGTCAAATAAATAAATAAATAAATAAATAAATAAATAAATAAAACAGAAAAGGAAAAAAAAGAAGCTCTCCCTCCATATACCTGTAAGGATCATTGTCTTAATTTTCTTCATGTCTTAACATGATTCTTGCCTTGTCAGAGATCATCCTATCTGAAATTGAAACTATTTACCACTTCCCTATTTTTTCCATGGCACTTAAAACTTTTTTTTTTTTTGAGATGGAGTCTCGCTCTGTCACCCAGGCTGGAGTGCATCGGTGTGATCTCGGCTCACTGCAACCTCCGCCCCAAAGGTTCAAGTGATTCTCCTGCCTTAGCCTCCCAAGTAGCTGGGATTACAGTCATCTGCCACCACGCCTGGCTAACATTTTTTTTTTTTTTTTGTATTTTAGTAGAGACGGGGTTTCACCATGTTGGCCAGGCTGTTCTTGAACTCCTTACCTCAGGTGATCCAAACCACCTCGGACTCCCAAAGTGTTGGGATTACAGGGGTGAGCCACCACACCCAGCCCTGGCTAATTTTTGTATTTTTAGTGGAGACAGGGTTTCACCATATTGGCTAGGCTGATCTCGAACCCCTGACCTCAAGTGATCTCCCTGCCTTGGCCTCCCAAAGTGTTGGGATTACAGGCATGAGCCACTGTGCCCGGACTGCCTTTTGACAAATCATCTCTGTTCTTATATTATGTCCACTAGAATGTAAACTTGATGAGAGCAGGAGATATTGTGAATTTTGTTCAATGCTATTTATCCCTAGAGCTTAGAACTGTACCATGTACACAGTAAGGAGACAAATATTTGTTGAATGAATATATTGAGCAGCTTTTCTCAGACTTTTTGGTTTCAGAAATTCTTTACTCTCTGTTTCTTTACTCCCGACCTCAGGTGATCTGCCCACCTTGGCTTCCCAAAGTGCAAGGATTATAGGAGTGAGCCAAAACACCCAGCCACTCTACTAATTTTTGTATGGTAGTAAGCACGGGGTTTTGACATGTTGGCCAGGCTGATCTTGAACTCCTGACCTCAAGTGACCCCCACCTCAGCCTCCAAAAGTGCTGAGATTACAGGCGTGAGCCACTGCACCCGACTAAAGAAACCAAAAACTTTAGATAAGTGAATTTGGAGGAAATATTTATAACAAGATAATTCTAATTTACTGTCTCTCTGGCTTAATAAAATATTAGTCAATACCCTAAGAAGAAAGGAACAAAATCTAAAAATTCACCATTCACAAACACAAATAGTCGGAAAACAAGGTCAAAACCAAAGAACTTGTTGACCAATTATCTCTCCTCTGAAATCAGCTCTTGAATGTGTTGAACTAGGATTGATCTCGGATTAGGAAATTTTTAAAATATTTTTTAAAGTTTCACTATTTGGAATTTAAAATTAATCCAAATTATGTAATATACAACATTTGGAATTTACCAATCAATACTCTATCATTTTATTTTTCACTCTTCAAATAATTTCTTGTTCAAGAGTTTAAAACGCTTTTAAAATTAATAGATTCTGCAGGCTATGGTCTGTAGAGACTGTCTCTACAAAAAATAACAATATATATACTTTTAAAATATATATAAAATATATATGTATTTAAATGTATATGGTTCAAGTATATAAAACATATTTTTAAAATTTCATTTTTCACTGGATTGTATGGTAAGCGTATGTTTAGTCTGGCAGGAACTTGCAAAACTGCCTTCCACAGTGGCTGTCCCACTTTGCATTCTCAGCAGAAATAGAGATGAGTTCCTGTCGCTCCATATCTTCACCAGCATTTGGTGTTGGTGTTTGCATTCAAGGCAGTCTAAGAGATGTGTAATGGTATCACATCGTTGTTTCACCCTAGTGACATATGGTGTTGAGCATCTTTTCAGAGGTCTATGAAATGTGCTGGGCATGGTGGCACATGCCTGTGGTCCCGGCTACTCAGGAGGCTGAGGCGGGAGGGTTACTTGAGACCTGGAGTTTGGGGCTGCATTGAGCCATGATTGCACCACTGCACTCCAGCCTGAGTGACAGAGCTAAAACCTGTCTCAAAAAGATAAATAAGGCCAGGCGCAGTGGCTCATGTCTGTAATCCAAGCACCTTGGAAGGCCAAGGCGGGTGGATCACGAGGTCAGCAGATCAAGACCATCCTGGCTGACACAGTGAAACCCCATCTCAACTAAAAATACAAAAAATTAGCCAGGCATGGTGGCTGGTGCCTGTAATCCCAACTACTCAGGAGGCTGAAGCAGGAGAATCACTTGAACCCGGGAGGTGGAGGTTGCCATGAGCCGAGATTGGGCCATTGCACTCCAGCCTGGGTGACAGAGTGAGACTCCATCTCAATAAATAAAAATAAATAAATAAATAAATAAATAAATAACTGACAATTTTTAGAACAGTTGTAGGTGTACAGAAAAATAGAGCAGAAGGCATATTGAGCTCTAATATTCACCTCACACCATAGTACACACGCTTCCTCTATTATCATCTTGTTAGTGTGGTAATTTGTTATGCTTGATGAGCCAATATTGATATTATTAAGTTCATGGCTAATATTAAGATTCACTCTCTGTGTTCTACCATTTATGGGCTTCGACAAATGCATAAGGACATATATCCACCATTATAGGGTCACACAGAAAAGTTTCACTGCCCTAAAAATCTTCTGTGCTCCACCTATTTATCTTTCCCTCTGCTCAAGCCTCTGGCAACCACTGAACTTTTTATAATACCATCTGCCTAGTTTTGCCTTTTCTAGTATTCCATATAGTTGGAAATCTATACTATGTGGCCTTTTTGTATTGGCTTCTTTCACTTAGAAATACATGTTTAAGATTCCTCCATGTCTTTTCATGCTTTGGTAGTTCATTTCTTTTTATTCCTGAAGAATATTCCTTTGTATGAATGTTTCAGAATTAGTTTATCCATTTCTCTATTGTAGGATATCTTGGTTACTTCCAATCTTTGTCAGTTGTGTATAAGCTGCTGTAAACATTCATGTGCAGGATTTGAGTGGATATAAGTTTTCAAATACCAAAGAATGCAATTGCCAGATTGTATTTAAACATACAAGGATGCAGATGCCATACACACAAATATGTATGTATATGTCATGCTCATATACAATTTTAAATACATATATGTGTTCTATGGATATATAAGTATTTCTCTACTTTCACAGAAATGTCACTCTAAATCAGTACCTAGGAAGGGTCATCATTTTCTTAATCTACAAATCAAGACATGATATGAGTGGCTGCATCCTTGTTTAGTACGTCCTCTATTATTGAGGATGTTTTCCTGTTTCCTTTTTCATTGCTGTTGTTTTGTTTTGAGACAAGTTTCACTCTTTTGAGTCAAGTGATGTGATCTCAGCTCACTGTAGCCTCCTGAGTAGCTGGAATTATAGGTGCCCACCACCACACCCAGCTAATTTTTGTATTTTTAGTAGAGACGGGGCTTTACCATGTTGGCCAGGCTGGTCTTAGCTCCTGACCGCAGGTGATCCGTCCACCTCAACCTCTCAAAATCCTGAGATTACAGGCGTGAGCCACCATGCTTAGCTCCTTTCATTATTTCAAACTGAGCTTGGAGAAGAACCTGAGGAAAAACATGACTTTAAAATTTTGATGAATGGAGAAATCTCTTTCCATTCACCTTCCTTTCCTCTATTTCATTCTTATTTTAAAATATACAAACAAAGATATGGATACATCAGTTATTAAATAAACATCTGTGTGATACCTATCCAGGTGAAGAAATAGAGGACTATCACCACCGAGAAGTCCTCTGTATGCACCTAACTGATCCTAAAGTCTTCCTTCCCCTTATTAGTAACAGATATAAGAGATATCCACATTACCTGTGGATATCTGCCATCCTCTCCTTGGTTCTCTTTATAATTTTATTATGTATTTTATATCATTTTTTTTTTTTTTTGGAGACAGAGCCTCGCTCTGTCACCCAGGCTGGAGTATAGTGGCATGATCTTGGCTCACGGCAACCTCTGCCTCCCAGATTCAAGTGATTCTCATGTCTCAACCTTCCAAGTAGCTGGGATTACAGGCATGGCCCATGTGCCACCATGCCTGGATAATTTTTGTGTTTGTAGTAGAGATGGGGTTTTGCATGTTTGTCAGGCTGGTTTAGAACTCCTGACCTCAGTGCCTGGCCTTATTATGCATTTTTTATATGCCTAAAGTAAAGTCTGATTTTGCCTGGTTTTTCTCTTACATAATTGGAGTAAAAGTCTGTATCCTGGTGCATCTGGCCCCTTTTACTCAATATTAAGTATTTAAGATTCACACTTAACATTGTTTCTTCATTCTATTAAAACAGTACACCAGCCAGCCATGATGGCTCGTGCCTATAATCCCAGCACTTTGGGAGGCTGAGGCAGGCAGATCACTTGAGTTCAGGAGTTCCAGACCACCCTAGCCAACATGATGAAACTCCATCTCTATTAAAACTACAAAAATTAGGCCACGTGGTGGCCAATGTCTGTCATCTCAGCACTTTGGGAGGCCAAGGCAGGTGGATCATTAAGTCAGGAGATAGAGACAATCCTGGCGAACACAGTGAAACCACATCTCTTCTAAAAATACAAAAAATTAGCCAGGTGTGGTGGCACATGCCTGTAGTCTCAGCTACTCTGGAGGCTGAGGCTGGAGAATCACTTGTATCTGGGAGGCAGAGGTTGCAGTGAGCCAAGTTTGCACCACTGCACTCCAGCCTGGGTGACAGAACTAGACTCTGTTAAAAAAAAAAAAAATTAGCCAGATGTGGTGGTGTGCGCCTGTAATCCCAATTATTTGACAGGCTAAGGCAGGAGAATCAGTTGAACCTGGGAGGTGGTGGAGGTTGCAGTGAGCCAAGATCTCACCCTGTACTCCAACTGGGGCAATAGAGTGACAGTCTCAAAAAAAAAAAAAAAAAAAACAGCCCAGGCGCAGCGCCTGCCACCTGTAATCCCAGCACTTTGGGAATCCGAGATAGGTGGATCACCTCACGACAGGAGTTTGAGACCGGCCTTACCAACAAGGTGAAACCCCATCTCTACTAGAAATAAAAAAATTTACCGGGAGTGGCGGCATGCGCCTGTAATCCCAGCTACTGGGGAGGCTGAGACAGGAGAATTCCTTGAACCCAGGAGGTGGAGATTGCAGTGAGCCAAGATCGCACCACTGCACTCCAACCTGGGCAACTAAGCAAGACTCTGTCTCAAAAAATATATATAAATTTATATTTATATATATAAAATAAATATAAAAAATAAAAATAAATAAAACTACAGTACACCAGTGTGTATCCCTTCATTGTTGGTGGACATGTAGGTTGTGTTCACTTTTGTCAGTTACAAATGATGTTGTTGTGAACATGTTTGTATTTCTATTTGGTTACCATTAGTGTGTATTTATGTACAGTATAAAGCAAGAGGTGAAACCATAGGTTACAGGGTAAACTTATCTTCAGTTTTACTAGGTATTATTCGTTTCATTCCAATGTTAACACACCAACTGACAGTCTTACAATGTGATAATTCTCAAATCTTCGCATTCTTCTTGACACTTAATTTTGTCAAAATTTTAATTTGAGTCTTTTGGTGGGTATGTGGCAATGATTGTGATATTAATTTACTGGGCCTTTTCTTCTCTGTAACAGGCCCTGGCAAGATATATGTGTGGTGTGGCAGGGGTAGGAGCCCCTAGAGGTAGCATGGGCTCTGGAATCCTTAATCATCCTATGTGAAAAAGTTGGTGGGGCAGTGAATATATATATATATATTTTTTTTTTTTTTTGAGACAGAGTTTTGCTCTTGTTGCCCAGGCTGGAGTGCAATGGCACTATCTCAGCTCACTGCAACCTCTGCCTCCCAAGTTCAAGTGATTCTCCTGCCTCAGCCTCCCAAGTAGCTGGGATTAGAAGCATGTGCCACCACACCCAGCTAATTTTTTGTATTTAGTACAGATGGGGTTTCACCATGTTTGTCAGGCTGGTCTTGAACAGCTGACCTCAGGTGATCCACCTGCCTCAGCCTCCTAAAGTGCTGGGATTACAGGCATGCACCACTGCACCCTAATATTTCCTGTGTGCAATGGTGTAGCCAGGGTGCAAAGCCAGTTCTTAATGATTCTGTCATCCAAATATTATATCTTCTTGCTTCCCCTTGAGATATGCTCATTCCTCCGTACAATTAAACAATCTCAATTACTCTTGAAAGAGCATAAAATCCTCCCTGTCATGGGTCCTTCCAAATTATTTGTTGGCTTGTGTTTAAAATATAAAAAAGAGAATGTAGATTTTGTTTTCTTCTTTCTGCTTAACCTGAACAAAATGTCATAGGTACCTCCTAGCCTGTTGGTAAATCGAGAGTCACTTGAATAATGAACAAGAGTGGAGGGAAACCACATGGATAATTTATCATTACACTATCATCACATACATGGAACTCATTAATGAAGTTTACAAAAAAAAATTGAGTCATTTGTGGAAAAGTGTAAAGAGAATATAGGAGATGTCTCAAGTGAAGAGAAAAAAGCTGCAGAAAATAATTACAAAAAAAGAGTGTTAAGATGTAAACACAAATTCAGAGATTCAGGAGCATGAAGGGCTAAGTTAAGGGAAAAAAGAGTTATCAATATTTTCTTATTCATTTTGGAGAGCAGGATGAATTCTTAAAAGGTCAAATAATTGTGAGTCTGATATATCTGATGATAATTTGTATTTTGTATTTCTAATGTTGTAAATGGTTGTTAATTTACAGTCATTATTTCTATTTCCTTTAGACTAGTGACCATGAGTTTGACTGACAATAACCCATTGGGTTAGTATTGTTATCTACGTGTGTTCATCATGCTATGTGTTAAAACAAGTCCATCAATTTTTGTCTTGTGTTTGTTTTCATTTAATTTTAGTTTAGTTTCTTTGGGACAGGGTCTCACTGTCACCCAGGCTGGAAGTGCGGTGGCATGATCACAGCTCACTGCAGCCTCTACATCTCCAGGCTCAGGTGATCCTCCTACCTCAGCCTCCCAAGTAGCAGGGACTACAGACATGAGCCACCACACAGTGGCTAATTTTTGTATTTTTTGTAGAGACAGTGTTTTGATATGTTGCTCAGGCTGGTCTCAAACTCTTGGACTCAAGTGATCTGCCCACCTTGGCCTCCCAAATTGCTGGGAGGACTG
The DNA here is from genome assembly GCF_000001405.40 of Homo sapiens. Taxonomy (NCBI): domain Eukaryota; kingdom Metazoa; phylum Chordata; class Mammalia; order Primates; family Hominidae; genus Homo; species Homo sapiens. The sequence continues at coordinate 25,818,586 of NC_000020.11, read as the reverse complement.
GCATGTACCACTGTCCCGGCCTGTTTTCATTTTATTAATTGGCTGATTCATTCAGACACATAATTATCAAGTCAAATCTCACTCTTTCTTTAGCATTTCCCTTCAGTTTAGCTGAGAAAATCTATTCTTATTTTAAAACATATACAATTATTCAAGTGTGGTGGCACACGTCTGTAATCCCAGCTACTCAGGAGGCTGAGGCAGGAGTATCACTTGAACCCGGGAGTGATATAGTGATTATATGTAGTATATAACTATATAGTGATTATAGTTTATAATTTTAACTATATCATGTCTCCTGCCTCATAAGTACCACTGGACAAGGTCCCTTTTATGTACTCAGCTTCTGTCAGAGGTAAATGTATTTTGAAGTGGAGAACAAAGATAAGTGCAAAATTGGCATGGAGAACTAACGTAATTATGAAAGTTCCAGATACAAAGAGAGAGGGCTCAATATGCCAGCAGTTCTCTACCAATCCATCCTAGCGGTCTTCTTTTAGGATTGCCTAAATAATTCAGGAGATAAGTGCAAGACACACAAGTGTTCCAGAAGCATGTAAACAAGGTACAGAGAAGAGGATAAGATAAAGTAAGATAAGAATATTAGGAATGTCTTGTTCAGAAGATTGCCTACAGAGGCAAAAGGGACAGTTTCATTTTGCTGAGGGAAACAGGGTGGTAAGAACACTCCTGGGGAAGACCCCCACTTACCCTGATACAGAAAGAAGGTGTAAAATAACGTAATGGGAGAGCATTAGGCTGAGATAGCTCCCATGGCCAGGGTTCCTACATAGAAAAAATGAAACAAGCTTAGCCCATCAACAAGTGGCCCGCTGAGTATTAGCTGTGTAATGAGAGACCTACCACCAGGATAGTTCAAATAATGCAACTGCCCAAATTTTTGCCAATCAAATAATTTCTCTACCCTACTTCTATATTCACCCTATAAAAGCCTTCCTTACAAACACCTCCAGTAGATCCTCCAACCACTTTCAGTTTGGAGCTGCCTGATCCATGAATCTCTGTTTGCTCAAATAAACTCTTTAAAATTTTAATGTGCTTAAGTTTATCAATTTTTTTTCTCATTTTTAAAAATTGAGATGGGATCTTCCTATGTTGTCCAGGCTGGTCTTAAACTCCTGAACTCAAGGAATCCTCCTGCCTCAGCCTCCTGAGTAGCTGGAATTATAGACGTGTGCCTCCACACCCAGCTTACATTTATCTTTAAACAAGGGTTTGACCCCTTTCTGAAATATATTTCTCTGAAGACCTGTACCCTCAGTGATATGGGAGGCTCATTTTAGACCATTGGGCACTTTTGTCTCCGGACCACAATTTGCCCTTTGTGACCTGCTCTACTAAGAAATTCAAGTGTAATTCAAATTAGTTTACCATCTGCTGATCAGGGGAGATTGCTCTGGGTGCAAGTTCAAGACAGGCACTCACATCTTCATTCGTACCCCAAATCTCAGCATCACACAATACATCCATGTAATAAACCTGCACAGGTACCCTCCAGAATCTAAAATGAAAGTTGAAATTCATTAAAATTTTAATTTCATCTTATTACAAAACAAAGATACATTTACTTCTTTCCAATTTTGATATATATTATACTGACATACACACTGTATTCTATGGTGAATTATACTGATTGAATTTCACATTTTGAACTAACACTGAATTACTTTGAAAAACTCTACTGGGTCATAATGTATTATGTTTTTAATATATTTTAATACAATTTGCAAAAATTCTGTTTTAAAATTACCTCTCTGTTCCATAAATAAATAAATATGTAAAAAAAATAAATGTTTGTATTATTCAAGTGAAGATTATAGCAATAATTTTGAATATCTACTTAACCTCAACTAGTTTTAATTCAGAAGTAGCAACTCCATAAAAATTCAACTTATTACTACCTTATTACTCATACTTGTCTCCTTGAAGAAGTTCATTGTTATCATCCAGTTTAGACTGGGATGTCATAAATCTCTAGACTGAGTAGTATAATATTCACTGTTCAAAAAAAATCAAATTATTATTATAATGTTATGACACCTCCAAATACAAAAAGCAAGCCCATGGATGTCAGGTTAAGGTATAGAGGCAAGTATTCCTACTTACTATCTTTTAGGGCAGACATATCCCAGCCAAGCTGATTGCAAAATGAAATGGAAACCATATGGTGGAAGGGGACTTGGGACTCACACAGATTGGATTTTCATTCCAACCCTTACATACACAAGCTGCATGACTCTGGGTAGATTGCATATTCTCTTAGAGTTTCAATTTCCTCATCTGTGCAATGACACTTAATGCCTATGGGCTATGGCTGATGTGGGGATAAAAGAACCAACACGGATGCATGGGCAGGGCCTGGTCCATAGGGCAGCTGGCATCAACAAATGGAAGCCCCTTCCCATCTTGTCTTTGCATGTACTACAAAATCCGGAATATGTGGGTATAAAAAGTACTCTTAAAAGAGACATAATTGGAAGCTTTTGCAAAAAGAGATTGGAAAGGTGTCACATCTTGTAGCATGAGGAGTTGTGGGCATACAGTTGAACTTTGTGCTGTGAGATATCCACAGAACTTCAGTAGTTTAAGAGAACAGTTTAGATATCATCTTATTCATCTACCATAGAACTTCCTCCTCTTTTCTGAGATTTCTAGACAGTAACTTTTACAGCTCTAATAATGCAGTTCTCTCCCAATTGTTTGGACTATTCTAATAGACACAAAGCAGTATTTCACCAGCAGATGCTACTGCAGTTTCTATGATGATTTCAAACTGAGAATCCATTTAAACTTATGCAATACTTTTTTTGGAAATAGGGTGAAAGTATTTTAAGTTTAAAATCCTATAAAATAGGTTTACAGTAAATAATTACTTGTTGCAATATCTATCATACTATCTTATATTCACACATGTATTGGAGTCCTAATACATATGTATGAGAGTGAAAGTTACCTGAGGTCAGAGACTGTGCCATATGTTCCCTGCACCACTGGTGCCTATCTCAGCACATGATATACAGTAGATGCTCAATAAATACTTTCCCTAAAAAGCGCACTAAGAATAAATTTGATTAGACATCAAAATACATATGAGTACAATCTAGGGACATGGTCAGGAGCTCAAAATTCAATCTTATTTATTTTTTATTTGGAGACAGAATCTCACTCTGTTGCTCAGGCTGGAGTTCAGTGGCATGATCTCAGCTTACTGCAACCTTCCTTTCCTGGGTTCAAGTGATTCCCCTGCCTCAGCCTCCAGATTAGCTGGGATTACAGGTGCACACCAACACGCCCAGCTAATTTTTTTGTATTTTTAGTAGACACAGGGTTTCACCATATTGGCCAGGCTGGTCTCAAACTCCTGAGCTCAAGCAATCTGTCCACCTTGGTCTCCCAAAATGCTGGGATTACATGTGTCAGCCACCATGCACAACCACAAAATGTTTTAAAGTAGCTTCAAAACCCCTTTGCAAATAGGTGTATTCATAACAAGATGCAAACAAGAAAACATTGAGCTTCATATAATAGAAGGGTTCTGCCTGGATTTGCATGTGGCCCCATCATTTGTTTGCTGTTGGGCCATGGTCATGTTACTTAGCTGCTCTCTGCCTCCACATAGGTTTTAGGCCTGTGCATCCCTCATCTACAAAATGGGAATAATAAGAATATCTGACAATTAGACGTGTAGAAAATATATGTAAAGGCCTTTGAAAAGAGCTTGTGAAAGCTCAATAATTGTCCCCAATAATTGCTCTCAATAATTGTCAGCTATCATTCCATAATAAGCGTAATCATAAAAATGTTTGACTCAAAGAAAGATTCCGACTTCATATCCAGCTTCCCAAAAGAATATCAGACATAGGACCTGTGAAAGGAATGACATTGAGATGTATTTTCACATCGCTAAGTTGGTTTTTTCTCTTTGTCATTCAATTTCTGCAGTCCCTACTCTAAGCCCATGGTCCACCTTTTTATTTTTCCTCCTAAAATGTCTTCCCTTCTCATAAGATTTACTTTTCCTAAAAAGGGCCCTTTTCATCCACCCACTCTTTTGCCCTTCCCAGAAGTTGGTTAATGGGGACAAAAATACAGTTAGATGGAAGGAACAGAATTTCTAGTGTTCAAAAGCACAGTAGGGTGATGATCATTAACAATAACTTATATATTTCAAAATGACTAGAGGAAAGATGTGGAATGTTCTCAACACAAATAAATGATAAATGTTTAAGTTGATGGATATGCACATTATCCTGATTTGATGACTACACATTGTATGCATGTATCAAAATATCACATGTACCCTAGAAATATGTATAATTGTCATGTATCAATAAAAATAAAAAGGCCTATTTCTCTTTCCTTCCTCCCCGTATTTCCTACAAAGTGGATTTTAGTAACAATCTTGAGTCATCACAGAAGCTAATGAAGTTGGGGATTCCACGAATCCATCCAAGCATATAAAGCCCATTTCCCGGGGTCCCTTTTCCTTAGCTCAAGGCCACAAAAAATCAGAACTTGAATTCCAGCCCACATTTGCCTTATGTCTACATAATTATGAGTTGTAAATGAAGCTAACAATTAGTTAAATATGTTCTATTCTCCTACTTTGATAAATATACACCCATAATAACCCACAAGGTCAAAGTCGAGTGTAGAATTCTCTGATTTCTTGGTGCTCTGCACAGGATTGTGGTAGTAAAGGGAGAGCCGATCCTCAGCCCCAGGCTAAACTTTTTTCTTTCATCGTAGGTAGCCCTGTCCTCACTTGAGAAGCTTTGCATACCCCTGTGTGGGGGACTCCCTAGGCCCCGTGCAAGCTCCATCCACAATTCTCACCCCATTCAGACAGCAGAAAGCCTCTGGTGCACAAGGGGGCACCATTTGGACAAGCAGTTTGCGCTTTGAAATGAACCTAGGGAAGAGGCCATGCAGGCTCAGGCACATTTCATCAGGGGCCTGAGTGCCCAGCGTGTGCCCTAGAAGAGAGGGTGAAGCTCTGGGTGGGCCAGGGTACAGTCAGTGGAGGGCCAGAGAGGCACCTTCTCAAGTACAGGATTCAGGGCAGGGGTCCTCTTGCCCAGATCGATGGCTACCATTGCTTAGTGCAATGGCGCCTGCGTCATGTCTTCTCAGCTCACCTTTCATTCAGTCTCAGCCACCGTGGGAAGTTCCACTGAAGCGCAGGCTTCCCTTGTGCTGCCAGCAAACTCAAGCTCCACTTTCTGCCCTAGGGCATCTCCATTATTGTAGGATTTTGTCTGAGCATAAATACAGCCCAGAAACACTTGCAAGTTAACAGCCTCAGGGGAAGACCTCAACCAGTGTGGGACAGGTGGACAAATGCTCCAGGCTCATGTTTCAGGTGAACAGTTCTGGATAACTTTCCGGAACCTCTTGGAAGGTCCTGAAGAAAAAACACCATGGCAGGAGCCTCAATAACATGCCATTATTTTGGTTTTTCTTTCTTTCCTGGCTCACTCTTCCCACTTCTGACTCTTGCTTCTTGGAATCACTTCCCAAATAAACCACCCACACCCAAGTCCTTACTCCAGCTCTGCTTCTAGGGATACAGGCACACCTTGGAGATATTGCAGGTTTGGTTCTAGGTAACCACAATAAGGGGAATATCACAACAGCGCAAGTCACACGAAACTTTTTGCAAGTCACACGAAATGTTTTGCTTTCTGGTGTATATAAAAGTTATGTTGCCAGGCATGGTGGCTCACGCCTGTAATCACAGCACATTGGGAGGCCGAGGCGGGTGCATCACCTGAGGTCAGAATTTCGAGACCAGCCTGGCCAACATGGTGAAACCCTGTGTCTACCGGAAATACAAAAATGGTGGTGCACTCCTGTAGTCCCAGCTACTCAGGAGGCTGAGGCAGGAGAATTGTTTGAACCTGGGAGGCAGAGTTTGCAGTAAGCCAAGATCGCACCACTGCACTCCAACCTGGGCAACAGAGCCAGATGCCATCTCAAAAAAAGAAGTTATGTTTAAGCTACTGTAATCAATTAAGTGTGCAATAGCATTATGTCTAAAATATAATGTATATACCTTACTTTGAAAATACGTGATTGCCAAAAAATGCTAACCATCATCTAGGCCTTCAGCAAGTCATCACCATTTTGCTGCTGGATGGTTTTGTCTCAATGTTGATAGCTACTGACTGATCCGGGTGGTGGTTGCTGAGGGCTGGAGAGGGAGTGACAAATTTCTTAAAAGAAGATGACAATGAAGTTTACTTCATTGACTGACTCTTCCTTTCACAAAAGATTTCACTGTAGCATGCTATGCAGTTTGGTAGCATTTTACCCACAGTAGAATTTATATCAAAATTGGAACCAATCCTCTCTAACCCTGCCACTCCTCTATCAACTAACTTTATAATTATTATATAAGCAAAAATGATATCCCTTGGTTTTTAAAGATAATACAAAGTGGATTTTAGTAACAATCTTGAGCTGTCACAGAAGCTAAAGAAGTTGGGGATTCCATGAAGCCATCCAAGCATATAAAGCCCATTTCCCTGGGTCCGTTTTCCTTAGCTCAAGGCCACAAAAAGTCAGAACGTGAATTCCAGCCCACATTTGCAGTATGTCTAAATAATTATGAGTTATAAATGAAGCTAACAAATAGTTAAATATGTTCTATTCTCCTACTTTGATAAATATACTGTCATAATAACCCACAAGGTCGAAGTTGAGTTTAGAATTCTCTGATTCCTTGGTGCTCTGCACGGGAATGTGGTAGTAAAGGGAGAGCCGATCCTGAGCCCCAGGCTAAACTTTTTTCCATCTAATTCCATTTATTTCCATTAAGATTGCAGCAATTTGGCCGGGCGCGGTGGTTCATGCCTGTAATCCCGGCACTTTGGAAGGCCGAGGTGGAAGGATCATCTGCGGTTGGGAGTACCAGTCCACCCTAACCAACGTGGTGAAACATCGTGTCTACTAAAAATACAAAATCGGCCGGATGCGGTAGCACATGCCTATAATGGCAGCTACTCAGGAGGCTGAGGCAGGAGAATCACTTGAACCCAGTAGGCGGAGGTTGTGGTGAGCCGAGATCGCGCCATTGCACTCCAGCCTTGGCAACAAAACAAAACTCCATCTCAAAAAAAAAAAAAAAAAAAAAAAAAGATTGCAGCAATTCACTCACGTCTTCAGGTTCCACTTGTAATTCTAGTTCTCTTGCTATCTTCACCACAACTGTGGTTGCTTCCTCTGCTAAGGTCTTGAACCTCTCAAAGTCATCTATGAGGGTTGGAATCAACTTCTTCCAAACTCCTATTAATGCTGCTATTTTTACCTCCTCTGGTGAATCTTGAATGTTCTTAGTGGCATCTGTCATAGTGAATCCTTTCCAGAAGGTTTCCAATTGACTTTGCCCAGATCCATCAAAGGAATCATGACCTATGGCAGTAACAGCCTTATAAAATATATTTCTCAAATAATAAGACTAGAAAGTCAAAATGATGCCTCAGTCCATGGACTACAGAATAGATGTTGTGTTGGCAGGCATGAAACCAGCATGCGTTTCCCTGTACATCTCCATTAGAGCTCTTTAGTCACCAGGTACATTGTCAAAAAGCTGAAGTATTTGAAATGAATCTTTTTTTCTGAGCTGTAGGTCTCAAAAGTGGGATTAAAATACTCAGTAACCCATGCCGTAAACAGCTCTGATATCATCCAAGTGTTGTTGTTCCATTTATACAGCATGGGTAGAGTAGATTTAGCATAATTCTTTTTTATTTTTTCTTTTATTATTATTATACTTTAAGTTTTAGGGTACATGTGCACAATGTGCAGGTTAGTTACATATGTATACATGTGCCATGCTGGTGTGCTGCACCCATTAACTCGTCATTTAGTATTAGGTATATCTCCTAAAGGTATCCCTCACCCCTCTCCCCACCCCACAACAGTCCCCAGAGTGTGATGTTCCCCTTCCTGTGTCCATGTGTTCTCTTTGTTCAATTCCCAAGTATGAGTGAGAATATGCGGTGTTTGGTATTTTGTTCTTGCTATAGTTTACTGAGAATGATGATTTCCAATTTCATCCATGTCCCTACAAAGGACATGAACTCATCATTTTTTATGGCTGCATAGTATTCCATGGTGTATATGTGCCACATTTTCTTAATCCAGTCTATCATTTTTGGACATTTGGGTTGGTTCCAAGTCTTTGCTATTGTGAATAGTGCCACAATAAACATACGTGTGCATGTGTCTTTATAGCAGCATGATTTATAGTCCTTTGGGTATATACCCAGTAATGGGATGGCTGGGTCAAATGGTATTTCTAGTTCTAGATCCTTGAGGAATGGCTACAGTGTCTTCCACAATGGTTGAACAGGTTTACAGTCCCATCATAGTGTAAAAGTGTTCCTATTCCTCCACATCCTCTCCAGCACCTGCTGTTTCCTGACTTTTTAATGATCGCCCTTCTAACTGGTGTGAGATGGTATCTCATTGTGGTTTTGATTTGCATTTCTCTGATGGCCAGTGATGATGAGCATTTTTTCATGTGTTTTTTGGCTGCATAAATGTCTTCTTTTGAGAAGTGTCTGTTCATGTCCTTTGCCCACTTTTTGATGGGGTTGTTTGTTTTTTTCTTGTAAATTTGTTTGAGTTCATTGTAGATTCTGGATGTTAGCCCTTAGTCAGATGAGTAGGTTGCAAAAATTTTCTCCCATTTTGTAGGTTGCCTGTTCACTCTGATGGTATTTTCTTTTGCTGTGCAGAAGCCCTTTAGTTTAATTAGATCCCATTTGTCAATTTTTGCTTTTGTTGCCATTGCTTTTGGTATTTTAGACATGAAGTCCTTTCCCATGCCTATGTCCTGAATTGTAAAGCCTAGGTTTTCTTCTAGAGTTTTTATGGTTTTAGGTCTAACATTTAAGTCTTTAATCCATCTTTAATTAATTTTTGTATAAGGTGTAAGGAAGGGATCCAGTTTCAGCCTTCTACATATGGCTAGCCAGCTTTCCCAGCACCATTTGTTAAATAGGGAATCCTTTCCCCATTGCTTGTTTTCCTCAAAGATCAGATAGTTGTAGATACGCGGCGATATTTCTGAGGGCTCTGTTCTGTTCCATTGATCTATATCTGTTTTGGTACAAGTACCATGCTGTTTTGGTTACTGTAGCCTTGTAGTATAGTTTGAAGTCAGGTTAGCATGATGCCTCCCGCTTTGTTCTTTTGGCTTAGGATTGACTTGGTGATGCGGGCTCCTTTTTGGTTCCATATAAACTTTAAAGTTGTTTTTTCCAATTCTGTGAAGAAAGTCATTGGTAGCTTGATGGGGATGGCATTGAGTCTGTAAATTACCTTGGGCAGTATGGCCCTTTTCACAATATTGATTCTTCCTACCCATGAGCATGGAATGTTCTTCCATTTGTTTGTATCATCTTTTATTTCATTGAGCAGTGGTTTGTAGCTCTCATTGAAGAACCAAATGCCTTCACGTCCCTTGTAAGTTGGATTCCTAGGTATTTGCTTCTCTTTGAAGCAATTGTGAATGGGAGTTCACTCATGATTTGGCTCTCTGTTTGTCTGTTATTGGTGTATAAGAATGCTTGTGATTTTTGTACATTGATTTTGTATCCTGAGAGTTTGCTGAAGTTGCTTATCAGCTTAAGGAGGTTTTGGGCTGAGACTATGGGGTTTTCTAGATACACAATCTTGTCATCTGCAAACAGGGACAATTTGACTTCCTCTTTTCCTAATTGAATACCCTTTATTTCCTTCTCCTTCCTAATTGCCCTGGCCAGAACTTCCAACACTTTGTTGAATAGGAGTGGTGAGAGAGGACATCACTGTCTTGTGCCAGTTTTCAAAGGGAATGCTTCCAGTCTTTGCCAATTCAGTATGATATTGGCTGTGGGTTTGTCATAGATAGCTCTTATTATTTTGAGATATGTCCATTCAATACCTAATTTATTGAGAGTTTTTTGCATGAATAGTTGTTGAATTTTTTCAAAGGCCTTTTCTGCATCTATTGAGATAATCATATGGTTTTTGTTTTTGGTTCTGTTTATATGCTGGATTAATTCTTAAGAGGTGCCCTAGGATTTATGGAATAGCAAATGTGCATTGGCTTGTAACAAGAAAGTCAGCCTGTCCTTTAAATCCTTTTTTTATTTTATATAAAGTCTCACTCCATTACCCAGGCTGGATTGCAGTGGCATGATCTTGGACCACTCCATACTTGACCTCCTTGGCTCCACAATCCTCCCACCTCAGCCTCCTGAGTAGCTGGGACTAGTAGCATGCACCACCATACATGGCTTATTTTCATTTATTTATTTATTTATTTATTTATTTATTTTTTGTTAGAGACAGGGTTTCACCATGTTGCCCAGGCTGGTCTCAAGCTCCTAAGCTCAAGCCATTCTCCCACTTCAGCCTCACAGAGTGCTGGGATTACAGGTGTGATCCACCGTGTCTGGCCTCTAAATTCGTGTTATGGAGACTCCTTTTCATGGTTAAAATGTCCTGAATTGACTGTGGCCTGTTGGGAGTCGGGATGGAGGAAATTACTTATGGAAAATGAAGAAGAAAGGGAAGCACACCAGAAGAATATGTCATCAATTTTTACATCAAGGACTCCAAGATAAAGAGAAAGTACAGGTGGCCTGTTATCATGGCTGACCATTGGACTGTGGACTGCACCTGAATCTACCAGGTTCTTCTGGGTAGTCCCAGTATTAAATTTTTGACCTGATAATCATGAACACAGTGCTACTGGTCAGACCTTTGTCCAGGTTTAAGCTTCAGAACATAATGTCTTCATGCAGTGGGAGGCCTGATTAGCGTTATGATTCTGCCCTGGGGCATCTGCCCCTTCTGACATGGAGGTAAACTTGGCATCTGCTACTTACCTCTACACTTGAACAGGCAAGGATGGGCTGAGCACAGAGGCTCACATCTGTAACTCCAGCACTTTGGGAAGTCAAGGCAGGAGGATCGCTTAAGGCCAGGAGTTCAAGACCAGCCTGGGCAGTATAGTGAGACCTCATCTCTGTAAAAACAAACAAACAAAACCGAGGATGGGTGGGTGACAGGGAGCAGTTCAACATGGGAAACCATTAATCTGAGAGCTGGAAGGACCCTTAGACCATCCCCCCATTAACAGATGAGACTCTGCCCTGAGATTATAGCCTAAAGCAATGCATTGAGCTTTTCTAGAGATTTGAAAATAATCAATCCTAAAACCCCCAAGCATACTGCTACTGTTTGCTGTTGGATAATGTTTTCTAGTCTGGGTGTGGTGGCTCCTGCCTGTAAACCCAACACTTTTGAAGGTCGAGGCAAGTGGATCACCTGAGGTCAGGAGTTCGAAACCAGCCTGGCCAACATGGTGAATCCACGTCTCTACAAAAATACAAAAAATTAGCAGGCCATCGTGGTGTGTGCCAGTAATCCCAGCTGCTTGGGAGGCTGAGGCAGGAGAATCCTTTGAACATGGGAGGCAGACATTGCAGTGAGCCGAGATCACACCATCGCACTCCAGCCTGGGCTACAAGAGTCAAATTCCATCTCAAAAATAATAATGATAATAATAATGTTTTCTACAAGCAAGGAGTTACTTAGTACTGTGAACCGGTGTGAAGGGATTTGCCATGTGTCAGCTTTTGGATTCATGACAGTTATTTCTAGATAACAGAGGTGGGAATGTTTGTTGATCATCTTCTATGTTCTTTGTTATATTGATTGATTTTTTAAAATTAGCATTTTTATAACAATAAAGTCATAAAAATAAGTAACTAAAATAAAGTAAAGTAATCTAAAAAGGCTGAGTGTGGTGGCTCATGCCTATAGTCCCAGCACTTTGGGAGGCCAAGATGGGTGGATCCCCTGAGGTCAGGAGTTCGAGACCAGCCTGACCAACATGGTGAAACCCCATCTCTACTGAAAATACAAAACTTAGCCAGACGTGGTGGCAGACACTTGTAATCCCAGCTACTCCAGAGGCTGAGGCAGGAGAATTGCTTGAACCAAGGAGAAGGTGCTTGCAGTGAGCTGAGATTGTGCCATTGCACTCCAGCCTGGGTGACAAGAGCTAAACTCCATCTCAAAACAAAACAGAACAAAAATCTAAATGTAATTGAGTTGAATATTTAAACTTTTAATTGACATTTCATATTAGATTCTAATTCCATTTAAAAGAGCATCTCGTAGAAGCAAATGAACTCAATTATATTAACTCTGTGGTTTCATTTAAGCAATTTGTTTTGTGAAGGGACACAAATCCAACCAGATTTTAACGGTGTATAAATATGTATTTATTAATTTAATTACTACGACAGTACTCTCAACTCCCCATTTGAATAAAGGAGAGCATCGGATCTGTGTTCTGGGACAGCGTGCACTATAGGTGTGTGGAAATACCGATGCCCTCAGCTGTGTGGCAGGCTCAGTGGGACCTGGAGTGCAGGAGCCCCTGGGCCATTCACCTCTGGCCACAAAAGTCATTGTCCATTTACCCCAAACTGCTATAGAAAGATTATTTTCAGTGGCTGTTATGATGCAAAAGAAAAGAAGCAGGGAGATTTATTAAACTTTTACATATAAGATATGTTAGTAAATAAAGTCTACTTTCTTCTGGCTTAACTAAAAATCTATACTAGTATTTATGCCTTTTGGAACTTAGAGATGCCAATTTAAAAATTAGGAAGCAAAACAACTGAGTATTGGATAAGACAGCCAAGTACAACTGCAGAATTGTAGAGGTTATGGGTTACATGTATAAGAATATTTCATAGCAATAATCTTTTAAGACTCTGTGAAGACACTCCACAGTGAAGCAGAAATTAGAACAGAATTAATAATACTGTGTATGCTCTCAGTTCACCAATTATTTATCAAAACTAGCTTTATGATACAGGAGGGTGTCTGCTCTTTTGCAGTTGGAAGAAAAGAAAGAATATTTTATTTTTTTGAGTCTTTAGATTTTCTTCACTAACAGTATTTCCAAGGCTAAGTAAGGGGGTTGCAAGTAACACCAAGAGAAAAAAGCAGTCTTGAGCAACTTTTTAAAAATGGTCTTAAAATATGGAAAATGGAGCCAGGTGTGGTGGCTCACTCTTGTGATCCCAGCACTATGGGAACCTGAGGGGGGAGGATTGCTTGAGGCCAAAAGTTTGAGACCAGCCTGGGCAGCATAGCAAGATCTCCATCATTGCAAAAAATAATATTTTTTTAAAAAATTAGCTGGATGTGGTGGTGCATGCCTTAGAGTCCCAGTTACTTGGAAGGCTGAGGTAGGAGGAGCTCTTGAGTCCAGGAGTTCAAGTGTGAAGTAAACTGTGATTGCACCACTGTCCTCAAGCCTGGGCAACAAAGTGAGACCTCTCTCTCTCTCTCTCTCTCTAGATATATATATATGGAAAAGAGAAGGTCCAAGAATATCAAAGACATTGAAGAAGAGGAAAGATTTGTCCTGCCAAATATCAGAACTTTTATAAAGCTACAGCAATTAAGACAGTGTGGTCCTCACTGATAAACTGACTAATGAAACAGAATAGAGAGCTCCCAAGCAAATCTCTACAAATTTAATCTTCGATACGTGATGTAGGTGACATGGCAGATCAGTAAGGAAAGAAAGGACTTTTCAATAAATAGAATAGAAAAATAATGGTTATTGATATAAGAAACAAAATGAAATTATATTCCTACTTCACTCTATATACAAACATTAAATTCCAGAGGACCAAAGACTTACATGTCAGAAACAAAACTTTAAAACTTTTAGTAGAAAATGTAAGTGAATGGGACACAAAAAGCCATTTAACCATTAAAAAAGATTAGACATTTTGACTATCACAAAATTAAGAACTTTTTACATCAAAAAGTGGAAAGATAGGCTGGTCACAGTGTCTCAATCCTGTAATCCCAATAGTATATCACCTGAGGTCAGGAGTTTGAGAGCAGGCTGGCCAACATGGTGAAACCCCATCTCTACTAAAAATACAAGAAATTAGCTGGGCATCAGTGGCAGACACCTGTAGTCCAAGCTACTTGGGAAGCTGAGGCATGAGAATCATCTCAACCCAGGAGGTGGAGGTTGCAGTGAGCCACTGCACTCCAGCCTGAATGACAGAGCCAGACTCTGTCTCAAAAACAAAAAAATTGAAATTAAAAAATAAAAGTAAAAAAGTCAAAAGATAAACTATAAATTAGAGAAGATATTTGCAGTACCTAAAACCTATGAAAGATTAATATCATATCAACTAAGCATAAGGAGCTCCTATGAATTAATTTTAAAAATAGCAACCCAACAGAAAATTGGGAAAAGACATTAATAGGGATTTCACAAAAGAGAAAGCTTGCAAAACATAAAAATTTTCTCAACCTCATTAGTAATCAGGGAAATGCACAAGATACTACACACCTATTCTCTCCACAAATATTAAGAAGTTTGACAATACCAAATGTATTAGTCCATATTCACACTGCTGATAAAGACATACCCGAGACAGGGAAGAAAAAGAGGCTTAAATGGATTAAGGGTTCCACATAGCTGAGGAGGCCTCAGAGTTATGGCGGTGGATGAACAGCACTTCTTACATGGCAGTGGCAAGAGAATATGAGAAGGAGGCAAAAGAAGCAAAAGACGAAACCACTAACCCATCAGATCTTGTGAGATTTATTCACTATCACAAGAATAGCATGGGAAAGACCAGCCCCAAAGATTCAACTACCTCCCCCTGATTCCCTCCCCGAACACATGGGAATCCTGAGCAGTACAATTCAAGTTGAGATGTGGGTAGGGACATAGTCAAACCATATTATTCTGCTCCTGGCCCCTCCAAATCTCATGTCCTCACACTTCAAATCCGATCATGCCTTCCCAACAGTCCCCCAAAGTCTTAACTCATTTCAGCATTAACCCAAATGTCCCCTGTCCAAAGTCTCATCTGAGACAAGGCAAGTCTCTTCTGCCTATGACCCTGTAAAATCCAAATCAAGCTAGTTACTTCCTAGATACAATCGGGGTACAGGTAATTGAGTAAATACAGCTGTTCCAAATGGGAGTAATTGGCCAAAAAAAAGGGGTTACAGGCCCCATGCAAGTCCAAAATCCAGCAAGGTAATCAAATTTTAAAGCTCCAAAATGATCTCCTTTGACTCCCTGTTTCACATCATGGTCATGCTGATACAAGAGGTGGGCTCCCACAGCCTTGTGTAGTTCTGCCCCTGTGGCTTTGTAGGGTATAGTCCACCTCGTGGCTGTTTTCATGGACTGATGTTGAGTGTCCATAGCTTTTCCAGGCTCATGGTGCAAGCTGTCAGTGAATCTACCATTCTGGGGTCTGGAGGAGAGTGGCCCTCTCCTCACAGCTCCACTAGGAAGTTCCCCAGTAAGGACTCTGTAGAGAGGCTCTGACCCCACATTTCTCTTCTGCAGAGCCCTAGCAGAGGTTCTCCATCAGAGCACCACCCCTGCAGCAAACTTCTGCTTGGATATCCAGATGTTTTCAAACATCCTCTGAAATCTAGGTGGAGGTTTCCAAACCTCAATTCTTGACTTCTATGCATGTGCAGGCTGAACACAACGTGGAAGCTGCCAAGGCTTGGTGTTTGCACTCTCAAGGCCATGGCCTGAGTTCTATGTTGGCCCCTTTCAGCCATGGCTGGAGGGGCTGAAACGCAGAGAAACAAGGCCCTAGGCTACACACAGCACAGTGAACCTGGCCCAGCCCAGAAATCCATTTTATCCTCCTAGGCCCCGGGCTTGTGATGGGAGGGGCTGCTGTGATGACCTATGACATGTCCTGTAGACATTTTCCCCATTGTTTTTGGGATTAACATTCAGCTTCTTGTTACTTATGCAAATTTCTGCAGACACCTTGAATTTATCCTCAGAAAATGGGATTTTCTTCTCTATCACATTGTCAGGCTGCAAATTTTCCAAAACTGTATGCTCTGCTTCCTTTATAAAACCGAAGGCCTTTAACATCACCCGAGTCACCTCTTGAATGCTTTATTGCTTAGAAATTTCTTCCAGCAGATACCCTAAATTATCACTCTCAAGTTCAAAGTTCCACAAATCTCTAGGACAGAGGCAAAATGCTGCCATTCTCTTTGCTAAAACATAACGAGAGTTACCTTTGCTCCAGTTCACAACAAGTTCCTCATCTCCATCTGAGACCACCTCAGCCTGGACCTTATTGTTCAAAACACTATCAGCATTTTTGTCAAAGTCATTCAGCAAGTCTCTAGGAGGTTCCAAAGTTTCCCACATTTTCCAGTGTTCTACTGAGCCCTCCAAACTGTTCCAACCTCTGCCTGTTACCAAGTTTCAAAGTTGCTTGCACATTTTTGGGTACTTTTTTAAGGAGCACCTCACTCCACTGGTATCAATTTACTGTATTAGTCTGCTTTCACCCTGCTGATAAAGACATACTCAAGTCTGAGAAGAAAAAGAGGTGTAAAGAAAAAGAACTGTAATTGGATTTACAGTCCCAAATGGTGAGGGGGGCCTCAGAATCATGGCAGGAGGTGAAAGGCACTTCTTATATGGCAGAAGCAAGAGAAAATGAGGAGGAAGCCAAAGCAGAAACTCCTGATAAACCCATCATATCTCATGAGACTTATTCACTATCATGAGAATAGCACAGGGAAGACTGGCCTCCGTGATTCAATTACCTCACCCTGGGTCCCTCCCATAACATGTGGGAATTCTGGGAGATAGAATTCAAGCTGAGATTTGGGTGTGGTCACAGCCAAACCATATCACCAAATATGGAGAGACTGTGGATCAACAAGATCATCTCAAACTAATACAGGAGGTGAGAGTTTAAATTAGAACAACCACTTTGGAAAGCAATTTGGATTATCTTATAAGTTTGAGCATTCTCATATGTTATGGCAAAGTAATTCCTCTACCATAGGCCCTGGAGAAACTCTTGCCCATATGTACCAGAGGTAGTAAAAAAAAAAAAACGCTCATGTAATTCCATTCATAATAGCGAATATATGGAAACAAGCCAGATTTTCATTAATAGGAGAATGGGTAAATTAATAGGATAATGGGTAAATAAATTATACCCTTAAAAACTAAATAATATATCATTTAAGGTAATCATATGTATGAAATAAACAATGTTTTTTTTTTAAAGGAAGAGAATCCTAAACATAAATTCAGGGTAGTAGTTACCCTCGGGCTGAAGGGTGAAAATCAGGAAAAAGGACAGAGGAGGAGCAGATGTTAGGGTCAGAACCCTGGTTCTTTGGTTGTGTTGTAAGTTCACAAGTGATTACCATATTATTCAAATACATTTACACAGAGGCCCAGGCACAGACAAGGATGAAATAGGAGCCAAGGTATGCTATGAGCCAAGGATTATGAGTAATCCAGTTTTGTGCACTTTAAGCCATTTGAAAAACAGAAAAGCAAAACAACAAAATAATTTTTAAGAAATTGAATATAGGGTGTTATGCTCTGAATGTGTCCCCCTAAAATTAATCACCAATGTCATAAGATTAGGAAGTAGGGCTTTAAGGTAGTGATTCAGTCATGAAGGGAGAGTGTTCACGAATGAGTTTAGGATCCTTACACAAGGACTGGATGGAGTGGGCTTCCCCTGTTTTGCCCTTCCACCTTCTGCCATGTGAGGACACAGTGCATCTCCTCCTGAAGACACAGTGCACAAGATACCATCTTGGATGCAGAGACCAGACCCTCACCAGACACCAATCCTGCTGGCACCTTGATCTTGGACTTCTAGCCTATGGAACTGTGAGAAATACATTTCTGTTCTTCAGAAATTACCCAGCCTAGTGTATTTTCTATATAGTAGTACAAACTCATTAAGGCACAATTCCTCTTGTCATTTTCTTCTACAATTTTCTTTGTTGCCTCTTTAGCACTGGGTCATTTTATATTTGATCCTTCATAATATCTCTTACTTTTGGTTTTTCACATTTCTGTTCCAAATGTATTCTTAGATACATATTTTCCACTATTAGCCTCAGGGTTTGCCTGGGAGTGTGTATTTCTGTGCCACCGCTGTAGGACTGTGTGTGTGTGTGTGTCTCCCATTCTCTCTTCTCTCTCTGTCTCTCACCCTCTGTGTGTTTCTTTCCCTCTCTCTGTCGGTCTGTGTGTGTGTGTTTGTGTGCGTATGCCCGTGTGCGTGTGTGTCTTTGGACGAATGTGCTCTGTTCGCCAAAATGCAATTTTTTGCATGTTGGCCAGTCTTTGGTGAGCCTCTTTCTGCATCTCTGCCTGGGTCCTGTGGCCGGTTGTCCATCGTTTTCACGGCGGTTCCACTTTGGGTTTGTGAAGGCCTTGATCACTTGAGGAGACGCGTCGGTCCCAGAGCAATCAAAGTCTCATCCGCATCCTGAGCGGCTTCTTTTCTAGGATCAAGAGGACCACACTCCAGCCCAGGACAAAACCCCACAGCAGCTCATTGTCCGGCAGGAGAGGAGAAGACCCACCTCCAAGAAGATGGTTGTACCCCTGCACGGCTCTTCTCTGAGCAATGAAGCCACACCACCATACAATTCTGAAGAGGAAGCCGGGAATGGGAGACGGCAACAATCCCTGTCCCTGGAATGCTGGCCTCTCTGGACAAGTCACGCGTTTCGCACCCCTCCCCTTATGCCCGTGGCAGTGGCAAGGTTCTGTAACCTGCCTGGGCTCTGGCCTCTGCTCTGTCCTCCCTCTTGCCCGGTCTCCCCTGTTTCTGAGGGGACTAGTTGCCTCTTGGTCTGGCTGAATAACTTCTACGAAGATCGCTTCCCAGTCCATCAGGGAGACACTTCCTGTAGATCCTTGTCATGACTCCTTCTCTCTCCAAACCTGTTTCTGCTGGATTGGGCAGGTCTGATGAGCCTGGAACACTTGGCTTCCACACGTGTCTCAGACAGAGAAGCTTCCTTAGTCTCCTTGTTTCACCTCATGGGTGGGTGGATTGTCTAGAATGAGTGCTAGGCGATCATGACTGGCCTTGTCTTCTAGGACAGATGGTGTCCCATTACCTCTGCACGTCCTGTCTCACAAATGAGGGATATCCTCTCCTCTGCTCGTAGGTGGACTGACTCCCTGAATCTTTTTTCTGTAACGAATGTCATGAAACCAAAGGAACAGGGCTGGGCCTGGGGATGGGGTTGCGGCTGGGTGCAGGGGAGGTTGCGTCAGGGCTACCTGGGCGGTGGAGGCTTCGGGGTGGGGTGAATGTTGCAGAGAACTCCTTGCTCCTCTGGCAGGCATTTCAAAATGTGGCTTGGACTGAGGCACAGGCCTCCTCCTTGTTCGCAGGTGTTCTTTGATTTTCCTTGGCATTCAGGGAAAAGCCACTTGATCCGCCTTTCCACCAGGCACATGCGTGGACACTAATGTTGGTTTCATCATTGCAACATATGCCTCCGGTGACATACATTCACACCATCTGCTGTGGGATACGCCAGTGCCACGCGTGATCGCATTGTCTCCACCTCGGATTCTCACCGACCCTGTTTGCACCTGTCCTGGAAAGCGGTGTCTGCTGGCAGGAGCCCCACGGCTTTTAGAAGTGGGGCACACCACTGCTCTTTCAACGGAGGAGGGAGGCAGAGGGCTCACTGATCAGTGAACATTTAGCTGACACCACGCCTTGAGGGCCATGGGATCATTCTGTGCAGCAGCGAGGCCCTGCCTGCCTCACCAGATGTGCTGAGCCCTTCCTTTCTAACCAGGAGGGGTCCAAACTAAGATCTGAAGAGGATTCCTGAGAACCCAGCAGGCGCCTTGAAGCTCCCCCTCCATCAGTGGAAGTCGGCTCAAGGAGGTCCTGAAGACTGGACTCCTGGGGGTTTGGCCCTGGGACAGGATACTCAAGGCCCCTTCTCCCACGCCGCCACAAACTGGACCCCTGAACCAGCCGCCGCCGTGGCAGCAGCAGGAGCCTCGCCGCCACCACGGAGCAGTGGCGTTATTGAAAGGGGACGCAGCCTAACTGCCAGGAGGGAAGCGCGAGTCGGCCCAGCCAATGCGCATGCGCGAGGCGCGAGCGGCTTCTCCCATTACAGTGGTTCCCACGGTTGTCTTAGAAACAAGTCCTCGAGGCTTGGCAAAGCGGGAGCCTTCCGCGGCAGAGCTTGGGTGTCCGGGCTCTGAGGCTCCGGTCTGACCTCTCCACGGGGTCGACGGGAATGTCTCCGGATGCCAGGAGTTGCAAAGGGCAGACCTAGATGAGGAAACCCCAGGCAGAGTCCTGGGGAAGCAGCACGGCATCCGAGCCTCAGGCTTGCCTGGACGGTGTTGGTTGGGGTGAGTCTCCTCAAAAGTCGTGCCGCAGCCGTGATCTCGAGGACAGGTCGGCCTGCATGCCCCTGGGCTGCTCTGTCAACCGAGGGTCGCTTTCTTTGAGAGCAGAACCACGCAGCCTCATGGGTTGCCTGGGGTTGTGTGTTTCAATGCTTCTGCTCTAGGACTCTGTGTGTGTGTGTGTGTGTGTGTGTGTGTGTGTCGGTGTGTGTCTGTGTGTGTGTCTCCCATGATCTCTTCTCTCTCTGTCTCTCAGTCTCTGTGTGTTTCTTTCCCTCTCTCTATTGGTTTGTGTGTGTGTGCCCGTCTGCTTGTGTGTCTTTGGACAAATGTGCCCTGTGCGCCACAAAGCGGTTTCTCGCATGGCGGCCTGTCTTTGGTGAGCCTCTTTCTGGGTCTCTGCCTGGGTTATGAGGCTGGTTGTAAAT
This sequence comes from Homo sapiens, assembly GCF_000001405.40. NCBI lineage: Eukaryota > Metazoa > Chordata > Mammalia > Primates > Hominidae > Homo > Homo sapiens. Next base: position 25,797,877 of record NC_000020.11, on the reverse strand, counting down.
TGTTTTCACTGTCGCGGAACCGCTTTGGGTGTGTGAAGACCTGGCCCACGTGAGGAGATGCGACGGTCCCGGAGCAATTGAAATCTCATCCCAATCCTGAGTGGCCTCTTTTCTAGCATCAAGATGAAAACACAGCAACCGAGGACAAGAGCCTCACAGGAGCTCTTTTTCCCACAGGACAGCAGCTGACCCAGGTGAGAGAAGATGCTTGTATCTTTTCACGGCTTTTGTCTGAGAAATGAAGCCACACCACAATACAGTCTGCAAGAGGAAGCTGGGAATGGGAGATGGCAACAATCGCTGTCATTGGAACGCTGGCCTCTCTGGACAAGCCACCCTTTTGGAACCCCGCCCCTTATGCCCATTGCGGTGGCACGGTGCTGTACCCTGCCTGGGCTACAGCCTCTACTCTGTTGTCACACTCGCTGTGCCTCCCCTGTTTCTCAGAGGCCTAGATGGCTCTCGCTCTGGCCAAATTTCTTCAACAAAGATGACTTCCCAGTCCGTCAGGGAGACACTACCTGGAGATCCATGTTATGATTGTTTCTCTCTCCAAACGTGTTTCAGCTGGATTCCGCAGGTCTAATGACCCTGGAGCTCTGGGTGTCCATACATGTCTCAGGCAGGGAAGCTTCCTTCTTCTCCAGGTTTCCTCTCATGGGTGGGGCTGTGGCTGGGGCTGGGGCTGGGTGCAGCCGAAGTTGCTTCAGGGCTACCAGGGCGGTGGAGGTTTGGGGGTGGGGCGAATTTTGCAGAAACCTCTTTGCTCCTCTGCTAGGCATTTGAAAACGTGGCTTGGGTCAGGCACAGGCGCCCCCACCCCCCGGGTCCCAGGTGTTCTTAGATTTTCCTTGGCATTGATGGAAAGGTCACTCGTTCCCCACTTCCGCCGGCACATGCCTGGACACCACCATTTGTTTCGCCGTCGCCCCGTATGCCTCCGGTGACACACATTCACACCATCTGCTGTGGGATACGCCAGTGCCACGCGTGGTCACATGGTCTGCACCTGGCATTCGCCACTGTTCCTGTTTGCACGAGCCCTGTAAAGCGCGGTCGGCTTTCCGGAGCCCCAGGGCTTTTAGAAGAGGGGTAGGCCACTGCTCTTTCAAAGGAGGAGGGAGGCAGAGGGTTGAAGGATCAGTGAATTTGCAGCTGACACTAGGCCTCGAGACCTATGGGATCATTCTTTGCTGCAGCGAGGCCCTGCCTGCCTCAGCAGATGTGGCGAGCCCATCCTATCTCACTCGGTGGGGGCCAAAATGGGATCTGAAGGGGTGTCCTGAGAACACAGCAGGCGTCCTGAAGCTCCCCCTCCCTCCCTCGGTGGAAGTCAGCTCAAGGAGTTCCTGAGGACAGGACTCCTGGGGGTTTGGCCCTGGGACAGGACAAGACACCCGCGGTCCCCTCTCCCACGCTGCCCCAAACTGGAGGCCGGATCCAGCCGCCGCCGCGCCTGCAGCTGGAGCCTCGCTGCCGCCGCGCTGCGGTGGCGTTCTTTAAAGGGGACCCAGCCTGACTGCCAGGAGCAGAGTTCGAGTCGGGCCAGCCAATGCGCATGCGCGAGGCGGGAGCGGCTTCTCCCGTCACAGTGGTTCCCACGGTTGTCTTAGAAAGCAGTCCTCGAGGCATGGCAAAGTAGGAGCCCTCCATGGCAGTGCTTGAGTGTCGGGGCTCTGAGTCTCCGGCCTGACCTCTCCACGTGGTCGACGGGAACGTCCCCAGATGCCAGGATTCGCAAAGGGCTGACCAGGATGGCGAAACCTTAGGCAGAGTCCGGGGAAAGCAGCACGGCATCCCAGCCTCAGGCCTGCCCGGACGGTGTTGGTTGGGGTGAGTCTCTCCAAAAGTAGTGCCGCCGTGATCTCGAGGACATGTAGGCCTGCGTGCCCATGGGGTGGTCTCTCACCCGAGGATCGTTCTCGTCGAGAGCACAACCCCGAAGCCTCAGGTGTTGCCTGGGGGTGTGTGTTTCAATGCCTCTGCTCTAGGACTCTGTGTGTGTCTCTGTGTCTGTGTGTGTGTGTGTGTGTGAGTGTGTGTGTCTATGTGTGTGTCTCCCATTCTCTCTTCTCTATCTCTCAGTGTCTGTGTGTTTCTTTCCCTCTCTCAGTGTTTTGTGTGTGTTTGCCCGTGTGCGTGTGTGTCTTTGCCGAATGTGCCCTGTGCGCCACAAAGCGGTTTCTCGCAGGGCGGCCTGTCTTTGGTGACCCTCTTTCTGCGTCTCTGCCTGGGTCATGAGTCCGGTTGTCAATCTTTTTCGCCGCCGCGGATCCGCTTTGGGTATGTGAAGGCCTGGCCCACTTGAGGAGATGCGTTGGTCACGGAGCAAATGAAATCTCATTCCCATCCTGAGCGGCCAGTTTCCTAGGATCAAGATGAACACACTGCAGCTGAAGACAAGAGCCCCACAGGGGCTCTTTGTCCTGCAGGAGAGCAGCGGACCCACGTCAGAGAAGATGCTGGTATCTTTTCACGGCTCTTTTCTGAGAAATGAAGCCACACCACCATACGGTCTGCAAGAGGAAGCCGGGAATGGGAGATGGCAACAGTCCCTGTCACTGGAACGCTGGCCTCTCTGGACAAGCCATCCCTTTGGAACCCCTCCCCTTATGACCGTGGCGGTGGCACGGTGCTTTACCCTGCCTGGGCTCCGGCCTCTGCTCTGTCTTCCCTCTTGCTCTGCCTCCCCTGTTTCTCAGGGACCTGGATGCATCTCGCTCTGGCCAAATGTCTTCAACAAAGATGACTTCCCAGTCCGTCAGGGTGACATTTCCTGGAGATCCGTGTCCTGAATGTTTCTCTCTCCAAACGTGTTTCTCCTGGATTCCGCAGGTCTCATGACCCTGGAGCTCTTGGCTTCCATATGTGTCTCAGGCAGGGAAGCTTCCTTCTTCTCCACGTTTTCCCTCATGGGTGGGTGGATTGCCTAGAAGGAGCGCTAGGCGACAGTGACTGGCCTTGTCTTCCAGGACAGGTGGTGTCGCATTTCCTCTGCACTTCCTGTCTCATTTTTGAGGGACATCCTCTCCTCTGCTCCTGGGTGAACTGACTCCCTTGATCTTCTGGCCGAAACGAATGTCAGGGAACCAAAGGGACTGGGCTGGGGCAGGGGCTGGGGTTGGGGCTGGGGGCAGCCTAAGTTGTGTCAGGGATACCAGGGCGGTGTAGGGTTGGAGGTGGGGCGAATTTTGCAGAAACCTCTTTGCTCCTCTGGTAGGCATTTGAAAACGTGGCTTGGGTCAGGCACAGGCCCCCCCCCACCCCCCGGTTCCCAGGTGTTCTTCAATTTTCCTTGGCATTGAGGGAAAGGCCACTCGTTCCCCTCTTCCCCCGGCACATGCATGGAGAACACCGTTTGTTTCGCGTCGCCCCGTATGCCTCCGGTGACACACATTCACACCATCTTCTGTGGGATACGCCAGTGCCATGCATGGTCACATTGTCTCCACCTCGGATTCGCCCTTGTTCCTGTTTGTAGGTGTCCTGTAAAGGGCGGTTGGCTTTCCGGAGCCCCAGGGCTTTTAGAAGCGGGGCAGGCCACTGCTCTTTCAAAGGAGGAGGGAGGCAGAGGGCTGAGGGATCAGTGAATTTGCAGCTGACACTAGGTCTTGAGACCTATGGGATCATTCTGTGCTGCAGCGAGGCGCTGCCTGCCTCACCAGATGTGGTGAGCCCATCCTATCTCACTCGGCGGGGGCCAAAATCGGATCTGAAGGGGAGTCCCGAGAACCCAGCAGGTGTCCTGAAGCTCTCCCTCCCTTGGTGAGAATTGGCTCAAGGAAGTCCTGAGGACAGGACTCCTGGGGGTTTCACCCTGGGACAGGACACTGGCCACACCCTCTACCGGGCCGCTGCAAACTTTACCCCGGATCCAGTCGCTGCCGAGGCTGCAACAGGAGCCCATCTGCTACCGCACAGTAGCCATTGTTGAAAGGGGCAGCTGCCTGCCGTCCAGCACCGGAGCTTTAGTCGGCCCAGCCAGTGTGCCTCCACGTGGCTCTAGCTGATTGTCTCATCACAGTGATTTCCACTGTTGTCTTAATATCCAGTCCCTTAATTTTGGCATAGCAGGAGTTCTCCATGACTGTGCTTTGGTGAAGGGGCTTAATGCCTCCGCTGTCTTGCAGGAGTTTTAATACCCCTCCCATCCTGTGCTGTCTCCTTGCTAGGATCAAGACGACTGCAAACCAGCCAAGGACAAAGGCCTCACAGGTGCTCATTGTCCACCCACAGGCGTGTGCCCACAGACCTTCAAGAAGATGGTTCTCACTCCTCTCACCCTTTGCCCTCATTGAGAAAGCTACCCACAGCTATACACTGGGACGGAGAAGGAAGCTGGCTACAAGATGGGGCAAGCATGTCTGTCACTCAAACGCTGGCCTTCCTCGCCAAGTCACCCATTTGGCACATTTTCCCGGATGCCCGTGATAGTGGCATTGTGCTGTGGCATTGGCCTCTGCTCTGTCCTCCCTCTTGTTCTGTCTGCCCAGTTCCTGTGAAGCCTAGAGGTTTCTTAGTCTGGCTCAATGTCTTCAACAAAGAACACTTCCCAGTCCATTAGGGAGAAATTTCGCTGGGCTCCCTTTTATGATTGCTTCCCTCCCCAAACCTGTTTCTGGATGATAGGTTGTCATGATCCTGGAGTTCTGGGCTTCCATACCTGTCTTGGACAGGAAAGCTCCCTTTGTCTGCATGTCCCAAGTGATGGCTTCGTGGTCCATCAAGGAAGAGCGGGAGGCAACCCCACTGTGGCTGACCTTTGCCTTCTAGAAAAGTTAGTGTTGCATCCCACCTGCCCTTCCTCTCTCATTCCTGAGGGCCATCCCGTTCCTCTGCTCCTGGGGAAAGTGCCTCCAAGCACTGAATCTTTTGGCTGCCACGGATGTCAGGGAGCCAAAGGGACTGGGTTTTGCTGGGTGCAGAGGAGGTGGCATCAGGGGTACCTACAGGTGGCAGGATGTCGGTGTGGTGTCGTTTGTCGAAACCTCTTGGCCCCTCTGGCAGTCATCCCTGAATGTGGCTTGGACTCAGGCACAGGCCCTGTCTCACAGGTTTTCTAGTGTGCTTGGCTTTTCCTTGGCTTTGTGTGGGAGGTCCCAGTGACCCACCTGCACACACCTGGACATCACTATCCGTCTCAGCATCGCCCCATATGGCCTCAAAGACACACACTGACTCCATCTGCTCTTGGGGAACATTAGTGCCACGTGTGGTCACATTGGCTCCATCTCGGACTCACCTCTGTCTCTCCTTGCACATGCTGCGGAAAGCAGTGTCGGGATGCCAGAGCCCCGAACCTTGGAGATGAAGTCAGGCCACTGCTCCACCTAGGAAGGAGGGAGGCAGTGGGCTCATGGGTCAGTGCATTTTCAGCTGACAGTTCGCCTTGCAGCCCTTAGGATCTTTCTGTGCCCCAGCGAGACCCTTCCCGCCTCACTGCATTGTAACCCCATTCCTGATCACCCAGTGGGATCCATAGTCAGGTCGAAGAGGATTCCAGAGAGCCCAGCCACACCCTGAAGCTCCTCCTCCACCGGCAACCAAAGCAGAAGACCGATCAAGAAGGTCCTGATGACAGGACCTCTATGGGTACAACCCTTGGGTCTCCCGCAGGACCCTCTCGTAGTCCTCTTCCCACCCGCCGCCTCGGACTGCGCTGCTGCTGCCACCGCTGCCCCAGTCCCCTCAGCCGCGCGTCGCCGCCATTTTTTAAAGGATCTGCCGCCGGACTCTCGGGAGCAAGCGGGGATTCAGTCTCGCCAGTGCGCATGCGCAAGGCCTGAGCCTCCGCTTTGGTCGTAGTGATTGCCACTGTTGCCCGTGGATGGGTCCCCGAGACTTTGCGAAGTAGGAGCCCCGTGTGATAGTGCGTCAGAGTTGGGTCTGAGAGCAGTCCTGGCCAAGGCATTAACAGGATCGTCTCCAGAGCCTGGGATTCTCGGAGGGTTGACCACCAGGAAGAAACCTCAGAAGGAAGAAACCTCAGAAGGTAGAAACCTCAGGCGGATCGCCGGGGCGGCAGCGCGAGATCCCAGCCTCAGGCCCGGATTCGGGGAGGGTCGACGAGGCCCCTTTCCCAATCTTCACTTCACCCGCCGCAGCACCAGTCCCCGCAGCCACCGCTCCGCGGTCATTTTTCTTTTCTTTCTTTCTTTTTTTTTTTTTATAGTCGGAATCTCACTCTGTCACTCAGTGGAGTGCAGTGGCGGGATCTCAGCTGACTGCAAACTCTGCCGCCCAGGTTCAAGTGATTCTCTTGCCTCCACCTCCCGAGTACCTGGTACTAGAGGGATTAGTCAGAGTCCGGGCTAAGACCAGTCCTGGCCAGGGCATCAACAGGATAGTCTCTGGAGGCCGGGATTCACGGAGGGTCGTCCAGGAGGAAGAAACTGCAGGTGGAGGGCCGGGCAAGCAGCGCAGGATCCCAGGTTCAGGCCTGCACGGACGGTGTGCCAGTGAGTCTCTTCAAAAAAGGAGAGGTTTGCTTGTGTGCCCGTGGGCTGCTCTCTCACCAGTGGGTTGTTGTCATGGAGAGCAGAACCCTGAAAATTCAGGGGCTGCCTGCGTGTAGGTGTTACCGTGCCACTGCTGTATGTCTTTGTGCGTTTGTGTGTGTGCGTATGTCTCTCTCTTGTTTCTCTCTCTCCCCTTTCTCACTCTTTTGCTCTGTGTCCCTGTGTGCATGTGTGTGTGTGTTGGGACATATGTGCCCTGTGCGCCAGAGGACGGTATCTTCTATGTCCGCCTTTCTTGTGGTCAGCCTCTCCCCGCGTCTCTGCCTGGCTTGTGTGGCCCGTTGTCAGTCATTTTTCTGGCGGTTCCAGTTTAGGTTTGTGAAGGTCCAGATGAGGTGAGGAGCTGCGTCTCTCTCATAAGAATTTAAATCACCTCCCCACCCTGAGAGGCCTCTTTTCCAGGATAAAGGCCTCCACCCCCAAGCCAAGGATAATAGCTTCACCGGAGAGGTCATTGTCTACCTGCAGGAGCAGTGCAGAGCGACCTGAAAGAAGGTGGTTCTCATTCATCTCTCTCTTTCATCTCCTTGAGAAATCTAGCCACAGGGTAACACAGGTTTTGAGAGGATGGGAACGGGACGTGGCAAGGATCTGTGAGTGTGCAGGCTGTGTTTCACATATCATTAAACATAGTCCAGTGAGGGTTCTGCAGATAACTGGCGTTTAAGTTTGTTTTATTGAATCAAGGAAAAAGAAAAAATACTGAGAAAAAAATGACGCAACTTGCCTGCCAGCCCATCTGACTGTTACAAATTTAATAGTAGTTTTTATTTATCTTCTCATGTAAAGGTCCTTGGCAGTGATACCTAATTTCCTAAGATAGCCTTGCTTTATATTGTGTGATTAAGATGTCATGCATATCAGAGTATCTGGAAATTCTTCTCAACGTCCTTTACATACGTGATTAATCACATTTCCAAAATAACATACCAAAATGAATAACAGAAAATCATTTTAAGTTGTGGTTCCTTCATGCACAAAACATTTCATGTGTGTCTGGCACTCTTCCGGCCACAGATTTCATCTTAACCTAAGTATTGAAATGCTTGTGCCCTTTGATTAATTTTTCTATGTAAATACTTTGATAATAAGCTACACTGAGGCCGGTGCAGTGGCTCACACCTCTCATCCCAGTTCTTTGGGAGGCCGAGGCCAGCGGATCACGAAGTCAGGAGATCAAGACCATCCTGGCCAACACAGTGAAACCCCGTCTCTTCAAATATACAAAGAATTAGCCAGGTGAGGCCAGGCTCTGGCTCATGCCTGTAATTCCACACTTTGGGAGGCTGAGGAGGGTGGATCACCTAAGGTCAGGAGTTCGAGACCAGTCTGCCCAACATGGTGAAACCCTGTTTCTACTAAAAATACAAAAAATTAGCAGGTTGTTGTGTCAGGCACCTGTAATCCCAGCTACTCGGGAGGTTGAGGCAGAAGAATCACTTGAACCCAGGAGGCGGAGGTTGCATTGAGCTGAGATCATGCCACTGCACCGTCCGGCCTGGGGACAAGAGTGAAACTCTGTCAAAAAAAAAAAACAAAACTGGTCTATACTAAAAATACAAAAATTAGACCCTGAAGGTCATGTCCAAATGAGAAAGACATTGTTTGGCTCAAATTGTCTGACACTAAGGAATAGTGCAGACTGGACAAATGAGGTGACTGACACCTGTAATCCCAGCACTTTGGGAGGCCGAGGCCGGTAGATCACCTGAGGTCAGGAGTTGGAGACCAGCCTGACCAACATCGTGAAACTCCATCTCTACTAAAAAAAAATACATGAAAATTAGCCGGCTATGGTGGTGCATGCCTGTGTATCCCAGCTACTCAGGAGTCTGAGGCAGGAGACTTACTTGAAACTGGGTGGCAGGGGTTGCGGTGAGTGGGGATCACACCACTGCACTACAGCCTGGGCAACAAGAGTGAAACTCTGTCTCAGAAAACAGAATAGTGCAGAGTAAGAGCAGATTTATATATGCATGTATGTATGTATGTATGTATGTATGTATTTATTTTCAGAGAAGCAGGGAATCTGGAATTTTGGGTGAAATGTCTGTTTCCAGAAGGTGAAAATGCTCTCAAATGGAAAATTCAGGTTAGCCTATATCAAGCTTCTCCTTGTTCTATGTGTGAAGACCATGGGACAGAGGGAGCAGCTTGAGCCAAGTCAGGATGGTAGGATGGGACAGGTGGCCAGGGCTGCTGCACTGGGAACCCTGGTGGAGGATTTGGCTGGAAATGCAGGTGGGACCAGACCATGAAGACTCTCAAACACAGACCTGAGGACTCTGAGCTTTATCCTGGGGGCGGCAAGAAGCCATGTTAGGTGAAGGAACAAGGCTGTTTCTCCCACAGCACTAGTGCAAGGAAAGGTCAGGGAGGCCCTCAGTGGAAGCTTGCTGCTGGATTTGTTGATGTGCCTTTTCTCCTGCCTGCACTAGGGTCAGAATGGCCTTGGGTACTGCACACTTCCTACCAGGAATAGAAGGCGCCAGAGCTATAGCACTTCTCTTCCCTTTAGTTCTTTGGAAGGATGAGCAAATTATTCACCCTCTCTGAGCCTCAGTTTCCTCATCCATAAAATGATGACAGTACACCAACCTCGCAGGTCACAAGGATGTTATGAAATCAGGTGAGCACAGCATAGCAGTTGTATTTTTGGGTCCTATTATTACATGTGAACTAAGTTGCCTTGTAGAAAAAGCACAGGCTCAGGGGACCTGTGTTTCAATCCCACTAAGCCCCTGTAATGCCCACCTCTCAGGGATGATGGAAAGATTAAGTTCAAGGAGACGATGCTTGTGCAGCATCTGATACCCAGCAGATACCTAAGAACCTAACCTACCACCCCCCTGAGCAAGCACAACAGTCCTGCTCCTCCTGCAAGTACTGGGGATGCTGCCTCCCACCCGCCTTAGAACACTGCTCCTCCTCCCTCTCTGCAGGAGGCATTTTGTAGGCCTCAGTTGCTGGGCTTGCTGTCCTCTCACCTGCCTCTCAGCATGGGGCTCAGAGCACACATTCTTCACCTTTGCAAGAAGCTTCTCTAGGCATCCCTGCCCCCAGGCTTGCTGAGTGCATTCACCTATTGTCTTATTTATAATCCAGACAGAGTTACTCCCTACTGTGTAGATGATGAAATGGGGACCTAGAAAGGGAAGGAAAGACCAACACTTTGAGCACCTGCAATGTGCCTGAGGCAATGTACGCATTAGCTCTGCTTCACAGCAGCCCAAGAGGGAGGTATTATTCTTCCCCTGTGTAAATGTGGGTGTTGAGGCTCAGAGAAGGGCAGTGACTTGTCCAAGGTCACATAGCAAGCAACCGTCAGTGGCTGAGGGCTAACCCAGGTCTTTCTGACTTCAGAGTGTGGGATTTAGAACAAACATTTGCAACGTGAGATTGACAGATCCATCCCCCAGTGCTGTTCCAAAGACCAGATGGGGTCGTAAGTGTGTGAGTACCTGATATGGTGCCCAAGGACTGGGAGTAGAAGCAGAATCCCATCCACCTCCACCTAATCATACAGAGAAAGGAGACAGGAGCCCAGGGAGGGCAGTGCTGTGCCCAAGCTGTCAGCAAGCAGTAGGCAGAGCCCAGGCCCCTGCTTTCCCATGCCCACCCCTTCCCAGTTCAGGGCAAGGCCACCTCTCCAGGCCCTTTCCCTCCCCTAGAGAGGAAACTCCCCAAGTTCCTCTGACCAGACAGGAGAGCGAATGAGAGCAGAAAATTCCACTTCGGCACACACACCTGGAGCCTGAAGCTGAAAGCTGGAATCCCAGACTTTGACACTCAAGAAGGCACCTCCACACTCTTTCAGCACCTCCACCTGGGACCTTCATGAGCACCTTGCTTCCCTCCCAGGGGAGAGGGGTGTCCCAGAGACACTGGGGCCCTTAGAAGGCACTATGAGTTGGCAGTGACTGCAGCAGCGTGGTGGGATTGCGGGTGGTGTAGGAAGCAGGGGAAGCAGATCACAGCACTCAGGATGGCCAGAGCTGAAGGCATCAGAGTCCCCTGCCCTTGCTCTGCAAAAAAAAAAACCCATGGCATATTCCCCTCCCACTCCACACCTCCCACGGTCAGCAGTAGGCCCCAGAGGAGGAGCAGCGAGGCCTCAGGAGGACAGCAGCCACTGCTGGCAAGACGTTGGTGTTCTCCTGTTGAACTGCACAGGTTGTCAGCATCAGACAAGGTCGCTCTGTGACCATGATGGGTCAAGACAAAGCAAGGTCACTTGGTAGCTATCATGGCTCAGCTCATGCAAAATATGGACAAAAATGACCTCATACCCCCTCCCCTGTGTCTATGTCTTCACCACTACCTCTTTGTCAATTGCAGCGTTAGCTTTGTTTTTGTCTTCCTTCCTTCTAGGTAAGATTGGGGAAGATGCCAGGTGATAGAATCCACCCTGCCTCTGACAGCATCCAATCTGGAGCAAAGGCTTATTTCAACCCTCCCCCAAGCTCCCAATACAAGCCCAAATTCTGGAACAGGTCCTTTCCAACACCTCCTTCAGAGAAGCTCCCTGGCTCCAGGCAGTGCTTGCTCCCCTCACTGCAGCAGGAAGCCTAACTTGCGAACTGCAGGTGTGCTCCAGGTGGTCACTGGATGCAAGGCATTGACAGATGGATCCCATCGATACCCCCACTGCAAAACCATGTAAGCATATCATCCCCCACTTGCACATGAGGAAACGGAGGCCCACAGGGTGGGGAAGGGAAGACATAATTTGTCCTTCAAATGCGATACCGGTGAGATGTGAGAGGCAGCACCCCTCATAACTCTTCGAGGCAGTGGGCACACCAGGACCCTTCCAGGCAGATCGGGTATGTGGTCATCCGCCCATTGCATAGCATGTGTGGGAGTTGGGGAGACCAGACATGGGTCTCGCCACCTCTCCACTGGCCCGACCTCCCTGCAGGCCCCCAGGACAGGGTTAGCATCTGCTTGCTGGCAGGCCTGGCCACCAGAGATTTTTTCTTATGTCTAAGGTCCCTGTAGTTGTGGTTCACAGGATGGGGGCTGCTCCTGAGATTCAGCACCACACAGGCACTGCACAGCACTGTGCCATGGTGGTGGGCACTCGCTTTCCAGATAGGGCCCATGTTGCCAGCAGGCATGATGCATCATTTACCCTACCTTGAGTGCAATATGTGGTTTTATAGAAAAAAACTTGGGCCAGGTGCGGTGGCTCACACCTGTAATCCCAGCACTTTAGGAGGCCAAGGCGGGCGGATCACAAGGTCAGGAACTCAATACCAGCCTTGCTAATATAGTGAAACCTTGTCTCTATGAAAAATACAAAAATTAGCCAGATGTGGTGGTGGGCGCCTGTAGTCCCAGCTACTCCAGAGGCTAAGGCAGGAGAATCACTTGAACCCAGGAGGCGGAAGTTGCGGTGAGCCAAGATCATGCCACTGCACTCCAGCCTAGGCGACAGAGCAAAACTCCATCTCAAAAAAAAAAAAAAAAAAGAAAGAAAAGGAAAAGTATTTGTAGATGAATGAAGGTGATTCCTTTGAATATTGAAAATGATTTTATTTTAGCCATTGGTCTGACACTCATTCCGATGGGGTGACATGTGTCCCTGCCTTAGTCAGCAGAGCACAGGAGTGTGCTACACCTCCCCTCATCTGAAGATTCAGCCCATGAGCAGGAACGCCTGTCTTTGTGTCATACCAACAGAGAGGATGTGTCTGGTTTCACCATTCACTGCAGAGGCAGAAATTACCCAGAAAGAAGAGATAGTCTGTTCCCGGGAGTGTGTCCTTTTGACCCAGCATGGGGGTCATCTCCCTTCCTTGGCCAGGACCCCCAACCTGAACACAGAGGTAGAGAACATGTGAAGGGCTCCCATTCCCAGGTGGTCCAGGGTGCAAGCTCTGAGCCTGTGGTCCTGGTCACTGCCCTTTTCTCCACAGCATGGCAGTCACCATCCTGGGCTGGGGTACAGAGGGGCTTTGCAGAGATCAGCATAACAAAAGCATCACTGAGATGCTGCAATAGGAAACCGTGATACCTTCGTGGGCTGCCAAGGCAGCCTAAGCTATTTGTTGCTGCACTCAGTGTCCCCAGACAGCTGTGTGGCTGTCACTGCCTCTGGTGTGTCCATTTTACTTCTCTTCTCCTGCCTCAGCTTCTGCTCTGAACTCTGTCTCTAACTTACAAGAAATCAAGCTCACTGGATTCTGAGCTCTTCGGGGTCAAGGACTGTGTCAGTAGTTCATGTCTCTTTCTAGAGATCACAGCTTAGTATCTGGCACAGAGCAGATACTCAGCCAATGCCAAATGATTCATTTGCCAGAAGGCTGAATTTCATCCATAATCCTAGTCAATGCAAATACATTTTGCCGGTGGGGTGTGTTTGTCCTCTGAAGGCGTTTTCCCAGGCTTTGTAAATACATACAGGCCATTTAGAAATTTGAATGTCAAAGAGTAAAGGAGCTTAGAAAGTAAGCATTGGAGAAGTGTGGGAGGGTGGTATTATTTACAAAACATTCCTGGGTCCTTGTGAGTTCTATACACCCTTGATGAGCACTGATTCTGGGCCAGGCCAGACACCCAGCTGGACCCAGGAGATACTGAGGTGAGTAAAGCCAAAATGCCTCCATTCAGCAGGAGGCGGGCAGTCACACCAAAGTGATAAAGGCACAAAATGCAGAGGCAGCAGAGGAGCAATGACTACCTTGTTCCAGGACTCTGTGACCTCAGGGAGAGCTTTCAGAGGAGGACATCTGTGCAAGGCTTGGAAGGATGAACACAAATTTGCCTAGCAGAAAAGGGAGCCAAGCAAATCCTGATGGAGAACAGCTTGGGTGAGAGTGTGAGCCACAGGATTGAGGGGCTCAGGCATGTAACTGGAGGAGCAGAAAGAATGAGGGGAGATAAAGTTGGGAGGTCAGCAGAGGTCAGTCACAGAAGGTTTTGAATCCTGGTGAGGGAGCAATGGGTGCTGCACAAGGGACATGGGCCTGGAGGAGATGCAGTTAGCTCTGAGTGAAGATGGAGCATGCCATCCACCAGGGAACCACAAGATACAATAGAAATAAGAACCCTGAGAAGCCTGCACAAAGAATGAGGGGCCCAGGGGTAGCACCAAGAAGGTCCCTGTCAGAGACCAGCTTTGAACGGAGACAGAAAAGACTCTTGAGGGCCTCAGCTGCTGCAAACCTCCTCAATAAATCATATTTTACCTTCCAATATTTGCTAAAGAATACTAACTATTGGAAGAGCAATGGCCCATTGATAATAATTATTCCCTCAATGTACATTTTTTACAATTCTCAAAATGCTCTCGGTCCAGTCTCTCATGGGAACCCCCATAAAATCCCATTTTACAAATAGGGAAATGAGGCCCTGTGATGTCACACCGAGGTTTGCAGCAGTTCCAGGATAGAAAATAGGAAGCACTTTCATCTCAGCCCTGGGTATAAGTCTCAAAATTCCTTTTCGGGGAGGGGGTCCTTGAGGCCATCCAGCAGCCCATAGTCCAAGTCTTTTTCTTCCTCCTTGGGCTTCTCCACACCTGTATCCAAAGCTTCCTTCTCCTCCTTTGTTCTCAGGTACCACTACCAGTTGTTGGGCAGGGAGACCTCCTGCTGCTGCCCATCCTATGTTGCATCCTCCAACATGGGTGCACTGTGGTTCAGCCAGCACCTATACCACCTGCAGCCCAGGGCTCCTGTGGTGGGCCTGAGGTTCCTCCCTATCAAATGGAGATATGCTGGGGTTGCTGCCTTTGCTGAAGCCCATGTCCAGGTCATCTTGGGGGTGGCCAAGGTTACAGGGTCCTGGGGACAGGCCAGAGGGCTGCAGGAGCAAAAACCAAGAGGATGAGGGGATCTCTGGGTCAGACCGCCTGGATCCACATCCCAGAGACTAGCTGCAAGGCCTGAGGAAGAATGGTTCACTTCTCTGGGTGTCAGTTTCCTCCCCTGTAAAGTGGGAGGTATAACAGATTCACTCCTACAGTTGTCTCTGAGCTTTATAGCAGGTAATGTGTGCAAAGTACTTCCCATAAGGCCTGGCACATGGTAGGTGATAATAAATAATAAACAGGGTTACTATGATATCATCATCTGAGCTAGGTCACTCATGCACCTCTCCAATGCTTCAGGGTGCCCCTCCATCCCTCACAGGGTAGCAGCAAGTGAAAGGGATCCCCCTGGCCTTGAGGAGCTCACATCTACTTATTTCCCAGGGGTCTCTGTCCAGTGCCCACACATGCCTGGCATGTAGTAGGTGCCTCATCCACATCTGGTGAAAGAGTGGAAAGCAGGTCATTATCATGTATTGTTTGGCACAGAATCTGCAGTAGGGGACAGAGAAGTGAGTGACTGTAGTTGTGCCCACCAGTTCCTGTCCCTGAACTTTCAGGGATCAAGAGGCCTTAGCAAGTCTAGTACCAGGGAGTGGGCACTGTGTGGTGGAGCAGGAGGCAGGTCTTAAGAAAGGCAGTGGGGTGAGGAGAGGAGATCTGCCTTTGAGGTCTGGGAGATCCTCTACCAGGACCTCAACAAAGGCCCCAGGAAGGTCATCCCTCCTCCCAGAATCTCTCTATACTCTTCTATATAATGGGGCTAGCCTGGAAGAGATACTTGCACAACCATGTTCAGAGCAGCATCATCCACAATAACCAAAAGGTGGAAGCAACCCAAGTGTCCGTGGATGGATGGACGGATCAACAAAATGCTGTCTATGCATACAGTGGAATAGTGTTCAGCCTTGAAAAGGCAGGAGATTCTGACACCTGCAGTGTCAAGAATGAACCTTGAGGACATTAGGCTGAGCAAAATAAGCCAGACCAAAAAGACAAATGTTGTATTATTCCACTTTTCTAAGGCACCTAGAGTCATCAAATCTATAGAGACAGACTGGACAATGGTGGCTACCAGGTCCTGGGGAGGGTGGTGATTGGGGAGTTGTTTTTAAATGAGTTACAGAATTGTAGTTTTACAAGATGAAAAGCATTCTGGAAATTGGTTGCACAACATTGCGAATGTATTTAATGCCACTGAAATGTAAATTTAAACATAGCTAGACAGTAAATTTTAGTTTATTTTACCAGAATTTTTATAATGGGGTAGTTATGCCTGTCTCCTTGTGTTGCTGTAGGATTTCATGAGATAACATATAAGGAACCACCCAGCATGTTGCCTGGCACATAGTAACTACTGTATTATACTGGGTTCATAAATAGCACTCCCCCTTTTCCCTTCCCACAGAGTGCAGTGAATAGAAGACACTTCTCTGCACCCCAAAAGCTCCATGCTGATTGTGAGAAGGAAATGCTGGATGGAGGGGTTCCTGGAACTACTGTGAGGGGTGAGCTTTCTCCAGATGTCTAGAAATGAGGCAGGGACCCTACATCTTCCACCCCCACTAAGGTTACCTTGCAGTTCCCAGCTGGCTCTATACTTCCTGGAAACTGCCACTTTTCTGCCTCCATTACCTCATAGCCCTGTCAGCACCATTATCTTCATCACCATGATCGCCATCACCATCCTTACAATCACCAACACTATCATCATCGCCATCACCATTCTTACCCTCGCCATTCTCACCATCACCTTGTTCACCTTTACCATTCTCACCATCATCATCACCTTCATCATCCTCAACATAACTATCACTTCATTATCACCACCTCCACCTTCACCATCACCATCCTCACCATCATCATCACCACCATCACAAGGATCCTTGCTACATGAAACCATGCATTCTGGGTAGCAGGGCTCTTGGGTCAGGGCTTCTAACACATCTTGTAGGATAGAAACCCAGCCCCTCAGGGTCTCACAGTTGGTGAAGTAACTGATTCTTGTGAGGTCATATTCCTCTGGGTGATGTGGGATGTCACAAGACCAATAAATATGGGCTGAAGCCCATCGCATCACTTCTTTTCTTGTAAAATAAGCTCCATCATCAGTAGTAATTGTATGATAGCAGAGAATAAGAACTCAGCAAATGTAAATAATTTGATGCTATCAGAAGCATATGAAGTGGAGTCCATATTCTGATATGCATCTATTCCAGTGAGGGCAATTCTTTACCACTTCCATGAAGGAAGGGAAAAAATATTATTACCACATTACCAGAAATCTGTCTGGTCTAGGCAAGGCAGTTCCTCTATCCAGGGTCTCATTATTGCTCATTGTCGGCCGTCAGGGCACTCATCTGGGCAGTAGGCAGCACTGCTGCAGGGAAGTTCACGTTATTGGAAACATGTAGCATCTTCTCCTGCTACCATCGCCACATTGTCCATGAACCCACTGGGCAAATGATGAGGAATCTGGGAAAAGATCTCATAACCAGAATATAATCATCCACATCAGGATATCAGCATTCACCCAACACTACTGTCCAATCAACAGACGCTATAATCTCACCCAAATTTTCTCAGTTGTGCCCTAAATACAGTTTTTTTGAACTTTGTAATCCAGGATCCAATCCAGGATTTCCCATTGCATTAATTGTCATGTCTCCTAAGCTCTTTCAACTTCAAAGAGTTCCTCTTTTTTTCCCTATTTTTCATAACCTTAAGAGTTTTAAGAGCATAAGCATTTATGAAGGATGTGTTCACCTTTTTCCATCTGATGTGTTTCCACATCCAGACTTAGGTCATGTATCTTTCACAAGAAAATCACAGAAATAATGCTGTGGTCTTCCTAGGACATCCCAGCAGGAGGCACATGATCAAGTTTGTGCCAGATTTGTCCACCACAAAGTCATCATTCTTCCAATTGTAATTGAGAAGTATTTCATATGAAGATATTAATTACACATACACATGAATGCATATTTATATGTAACATACATACAAAATATTATTTCAATGTCTAACCAATATAAAAGTTATTAATTAGATATGTTTAATTTTATTTCCTACTAAGTCTTCAAAATCTGGTGTGTGTTTTACCCTGACAGCACATCTCAGTCCAGCCTAGCCACATTTCAAGTGTTCAATATTCACATGGCTGTGGCTACCATATTTGTTAGGGCAGCACTAAAGCACTAAAGAACTTCTTCCTTGGAGAAGTTCTAAGCTTTCAAAATGTTTGGCAAATACATTTTATAAAATTCTTCAGAATCCATAAATAGGCAATTACACATTTAGTAAGCCATAGAATCCAACATGGCATTAAAAATGAATCCCTCGACAAAAAAGAAGGTAGGCAACATTTTCTTCAGACCAAATGGACAAATCAATTATGATTACCTCACATGCCCATTATTATTTATTAACATCTTTCATTAATACCCCCAAACCCCATCAACAGGTAAATGAATAAATGCATTGAGGCCTATCTGAACAATGTCCCAATTCCTTACCATTCTTACTTCTTTTGCAAGCAGAAAAGACTCAGTATTAGCAAAGACTATTCAGATAGTTTGTTCTTATGCCAGTAGTTGTAATTTTCTGGAGGTCTATGTGATATCAATTATGTACTTCAATACCTCTCACAAGTACTTTTCCTGTTTGGCCATTTTCTGCGGTATATCCATGTTCCTATTTTCTCTATTCTTTTATTTCTATCCTAGACTTTTCTTTTATCCTATAATTCTTTATCCTAAAAATATTAATTTAAGGATAACGTCACAAAATATTATATTTCTTCAGATGATACTCCAAATTGATACTTAATATACAGAAATGACTATCATGGACATAACCCACAACATGTGAAATGTATGGCTCATTCTACTGACATTATAAAGGAAAGTTAATGACAACTGAATTTCTAGTCATTTTCCACCCAACCAGTTGCTTATAAAATGTCAAGGAATTGTAGGTATGTACACAGTGGCTATTTTTGGGTGGGGTGTTCAGCAACTCTCCTCTTGAGAGCCCCCCTTTTCTTTGAGGACCATTTCAATGAGAACCAACTAAGCCTGACCCAACCTACCAGCCCCAGCCCTAGAGGTGATCATTAAAAAAGCCAGCTGGAATACAGGATAGCTCTGTCCTATAGCAACCTAAAACACTACCTCCCTTGATGTGCATATAGAAAATCTATGTCTTGTGGCCAGGCATGGTAGCTCATGCCTGTAATCGCAGTACCTTGGGAGGCCAAGGTGGGCGGATCACAAGGTCAGGAGATCAAGACCATCCTAGCTAACACAGTGAAACCATGTAAGACTCTACCCTTGGATCATAGCCACTGTTTCAGTACTTTTTTTTTGGAATCATCAGGAAGGACTCTTGCTTTTTCTACTACTGTGGTCTGCGAGGACAAAGTAAGTGTGTTATTTGTAGCACTATCTCTTGCTACAGAGAGAGAAGAGAGTCATCTTCAGAAGGAAAAAATGAGGCTAAAACAAAAGGAAAAGTGGCAAGAGAAAGAAGGAGAACATTTCTTGATGATTTTATATAAGCCCCTGGGTCCAGCTATGCACGGCAGCGACTTGGGTTAAAGCTCTGTCGCTTATGGGACCATTGACTTAAATATAAAATAAAGTATTAAAAGCTATGAACTTTTAGATGAAAATACAGAAAAAAAATCTTTGTAATGTTCAGTTAATCAAAAATGTCTTAGATGAAGCCCCAAAAACCAAATGCACAAGAACAATTAATAAATTGGACCCCATCAAAATTAAAAGCATCTGCTATTTGAAAGATAGTGTTATGAGAACAAAAAAGAAAACTCAAGGGGAAAATACTGGCAAGTCTCATATCTAATAAGGGATTTGAATCCAGAGTATATAAAGAAACTATTAAAATTTAATAATGAGAAAATAAGCAAAGAAAAAAACAAAAAAGAAAGAAGCAAAATAAACGTGAACATACACTTTACCAAATATATACAGATGGCATGTACGTACATAGATACTAAATATTATTAGGCATTAGGGAACCACAATAAAATACTATTGTACAAACAGGAAAATGTCTAAAATTTTAAAAGAAGGCCCATACAAAATGTTGGCAAGAGTGTGGAATTCTTATATACTGCTGATAAAAATATAAAATGGTACAACCATTTTGGCAAACATTTTGACAGTCTCTTAAAACTAAACCTAAACCTATTAATTATTACACTCCTAATATTTACTCAAAGTTAGAAGAACTTATATACATGAATGTTCATTGCAAATGTATTTGCATAAGTCCAAAACCAGAAGCAATGCAAAAACCCATCAGCAGGCAAATGGATATATAAGTTGTGACCGATCTGCACAATAGGATACTACTCAGTCATAAAATTAATGGCCTATTTATGCCTGCCATGTAGCTGAATCTCAAAATAATTATGCTGTGTGAAAGATGCCAGACGCCTCCTAAAAAGGGTCCATACTACACTTCATTTGTATAAATGTCTAGACAAGGCAAACTATTTTACAGTGACAGATTGGTGATTGCCAGGGAGAGTGGTAAGGTAGGAAGATAGAAAAAGTTTGGGATTATAAAAGGGCAAGGGGAAACTTTTATGAGTGCTGGATATGTTCATTATTTTTATTTTGGTGATGGATTTGCAAGTATACATAAAAAATAACACGCAATGGAAGTAGAAACAGTAATTTTGTTTCTTTCTTAAAAAAGCACAATTTACTTACTAATGGGATGTGTGTGCCTGTTGGGCACACAGCACAACTTTTCAAATCTTAAAATCGGACTGGATCTCAACCACTGGACCTTATTCCTATTCCACACTGACTTTAGCACAATACTTGTTTTATCGCGGTAATTAACACCACCCACCTTAAAGGTAAAGAAATGCACTTCTAACTAACTACTTTTGAAACTCTGAACTGCCTCAGGCTAGTAGTTCTTAAGGTCTCCAGCAAATGTTGCTTTGTTTCTCTCAAAAATATACAGCCTGGGCAACCTGGCAAAACCCCATCTCTACTACAATTAGAAAACTTAGCCAGGCATAGTGGTGCATGCCTGTTGTCCCAGCTACTCAGGGAGGCAGAGGCCGCAGTGAGCCTAGACCTCACCACTCCACTCCAGCCTGGGGGACAGAGTGAGACCCCCATCTCAAATACAGACACACACATACACAGACTCACACGCTATCCACTGGTGCCCCTGTCAGTTAAACACAGCATCTCAGGGCACCTTAGCACACAGTGTGAGAGCCGTGGTCCTAAACACTTCAATTAAAAGTGAAACATCTCTGGCTGGATTTTTAGAATATTTACTTTTTAATGCTTTATATTTATTTTTATGTTTTAATTAATTTATCTGAATACAAGAATCCAGACATTTGGAAGTAAAACAATGGAAAACATGCCTGCAAACACTAATCAGCACAAAGCTTATGTTGCTATGTTATTTTTGACAGTTTAGACTTAAGCCAAGAACTATTGCTAAGATAAAAAAGATTTTACGATGTCAGTCACTAGAAAAGTATGCCAATTTTAAATATGTATAAATATAAAATATCCCTTCAAGTTATTTAATACAGAAACTGATATAACTAAAAGAAAAATGGACTAATCTACAATATAGATTTTAACATACCTTTCAATTACCGATGGAACCAACAGAAAAAAATCCATAAGAGAAAGGGAGATTGGATGAACACAATGAACAAACTTGACATAAACTGACATATACAGAACGTGACACTCAACAACTACTGAATACACATCCTTTTCCAGTGCACGTATCATATTTACCAACATAGATTATATGTCGGAATTTAAAGGGACTCATCAGAGTATTCAGTCATGGGATTTTGCCTAAACTTGTCTGGCCTTCAACAGGGTTCAAATACAGTTAAATTCTTATTTCATCTAAAGAGTCCTATCCTTTTTTTTGGAAATTTTACCGCAACAATCTAAATTTGCATAACAACTGAACCCAGCCCTTGGAACTTGAGGTTTATTCTAGCCAAAGGCAGATTAAACTAAGTAGTAATGTCCTTCAAATTGTTGTCCCCTGCTCCGGTAATGGAGTATAGCTCCAAGAAGCTAACAGACTGTTTGTACTTCATACTATACATTCTATGTTACATCAAAACACGGTATAAACCTTGAAATCAGCAGCAGAGAGAAAATGAGATCAACAACCATCTAGCTGTGACCTCACTACTTAGTAATTACGCTTTTAGCTGACTCCTTTACTTGATTCCTAACTGCTTATTTCTGGCAGGGTAGCACTAATCCCTGACCAAGCTGACCTTTTAAGAAGTGAGCAGAACGAAAAGGCTCTACCACCAGTGATCAGTTTAACAAGCTGCAACACTAGTCACTGGCTGCAACTCTAGTCACTGGCTGCAACTCATATTGTGGGTTTTAAGAGCTCAGAATTAACATGGAAATACTATTGACTCCAAAAGAAACTCAGAAATCTCTGGGAATCCAGCAAAGATAGAAAGGGTCCTCTCAATAGTCACCACTCACACTTTGCTTTGTTTTGGTAACTATTTTTATTACATACAGAGAATATCAAAAAAGTTTGCCTTTTCCTCATTGTGAATGCTAACCCTAAAATGGTAAGGCTCTTCTTGTAGGTTGAAACCCCCAGGCTCTCACTGGCCCTTCAACAGAAGGCAGTGAAGTCACCTGCAAGAATGATCACCCAAAAACTTCCAGGCTGGACGAGTTGGGACTCAGTTCCTGCAGTTCCCAAATTCACAGTTCTCTTGGGACACGGTTATTTATGGAGCTCCTGAAGATGAGAAATTCCACCCAGGAAATTCTGTTTATAAAAATTATTCACATCTAATTATCTCAGGAGACATTAACACAGCAATGTTGAAAATTTCCCATTAATTGTTAATCCATGGAGAAAAACTGGACAATTATTTTTTAAAATATGAAAACCTTCATATAATACAAATTATACTCCCACATGTGATTCAATTTCTATTTATTAATGCCAGAGAAGTTAATAATTGCGAATTGCCAGTGGTTAAAAAAAATAAATCATTAATCATTGGAGAAGTGCAGAAGGTTTAAAAGAGGTAAGAATTAGCTTTTGGCTTTGGGGCGTTTTACGCTTTCCAAAAGGTTTTGCTCTTTTTTTTTGCTCATGGCTTTCTCTCTCTCTCTCTCTCTCTTTCTTTCTGATTTCAGTTTCTTTTGATTTCTCCTGCTTAGAAATGGTGCGAGAACTTTGGATGTGGAACGTGGAGGAGGAGGAACACGAAGTGGGGATCTGCACTTGGGGTGGTCAGCACTGCGGATGCCCAGCAAAGTCACTGCCTGGTCCACATCCCGGAGGGGTCTCTGCGCCTCAGTCGGCATCGCAGCTGATGGTGAAACTTTTGGTGTGGCAGAAGAGTGTCCACAAACTTCGGAAGGTATCCGCTACATCCTCCATAGCCGTGTATCCCTGCCCAGGGCAATCTTCTGGGGGAGCGGAAAGTCCTGCTCCCGGGCCAGGGCTGGCTGGCTGGAGCCACTTGTGCGGCGCAGCCCTGGCGGAGGTTCAGGCGGCCCCGGTGTCGCAAGCGGCTGTGAGTGATGCCTCCCTGGGGCCGGAGTGGTCCCAGGAAGGCTGCAGACCAGGGCTGACCAGCGGGCAGCATGGTGGCCGCGATGGAAGGTGACGGGGTTCGCAGCGCCAGGGGACCCAGCAGAGCCCGAGCCCGGGCATCCCGCATCTCCAGCAGCATCGCAGGTAGGCCTGGTGCTGGTGAAGTGGCGGCCAGTGCACAAGGCCTACGACCCAGTCCCAGAGGCCAGCCCATTGTCAGCTAACTTCAGGAACCCCGGGCCAGCTGAGGCCCCGGGCCCCATGGGCAAGACAAAGGGCAGAGGGTCCGCAGGCGGGGCCGAGTGCAGGCAGTGCAGGCCTGGCTCCACCGCCGCGGAGCTCGCAGGGCGCAGCAGGCATCGGGCAGTGACCAGGGCTTCCAGAGGAGGCTGTGCACCCCTGCAAAGGCTCCTGCCCTGCGTCCAGCCTATCCGCGGGGACTCCACGTGCACCCCCTCCTCATTGTCCTTGTCTAGGGCCGCGGCGGCAAGGTCCTTGCTCCCATGGCGTGACTCCAGGGTGCAGGAGCCTGGGCTGAGCAGGTGGAGTAGGGTGAGCTCCGCCAAGAACCCAGCGAGAGTGGCGCCCCAGGGCGGCACAGGAGGCCGCATTTAACATGTCAATCATCTGAAAGATTTTATGGCATCTTTTTTTTGACATCTTATAATATCTATAATGTTTATTATATCTTGTGATATAATTATTAACACCACTTCAGTGTGATTATTATGATTATTTTTATACCAACACATCTTCAATTATTAATATTCCCAGTTGCTAGAGAAAACTGAAAACTACTAGTTTTGAAAGCCTCACTTCTGCCAATGGAAGCACATTCCAGCATGTCGCCAACGCAATCCACTTTCCACCACTTTCACAAAAAACGTTACTGCACAATTATACTATCCTACCCTTATATACTTTTTGTGTGTGTGTGTACTTGTATGTATGTATGTTACATAGGTCATATATATATATATATATATATATATATATGCCAGAGATGAACAAGCATTAGAAAATTAAATGCACACAGGTCATGTCAGTGCTATGTATAATGTGGTATACTAAGTATAGATGTTCAACAGTGTGGGATCTAGGCTGGAACAAGACTCCTAGTCTTAAGCAATTCTTTCTAGGTTCAGTCTCTGGAAATAATGCCTTGGATCAAATGTGTGAGAAAATCAATGGGTTTTAAAGACTATTCTATGTCAACTATAACATTTAATTTGGGGATTTCTGTCCCTTATAATGTCTACCTCATTTTGGATGGAATCCTTGAGGCCTGGTTTATTTTTCTTTTCCTTTCTACACATCGCTGCTCAGAGTGATGAATGGAGTTGTGTTTTGAATAAAATATCTATGCATCCTTTTGTGAGCAAGGAGCATGATGGTACTTAGACCTACCATTTCTCGTTACGGTGGTTACGGTTACAGAGGGGCTGGGGTGTTTACCTGGAGCCTGGACATCCACTGGGACATGATACCCACTGGGAATTTTTTGTGTCAGCCTGGTCTCTGATGTCCACCTGGGGATTGGGTATCCACCTAAGGCCTGATGTTTACCTGGAGCCAGATGTGCACCTGAGACCTGATGTCTATCTGTGGCCTTATGTTCACCTGGGGACCGATGCACACCTGAAGGATAGGTATTCACCTGGGGCCTGATACCCACCTGTAGTATGGGTGTCAACCTTGGGGCTAATGTTCAGCTGGTGTCCACTGTCTACTTGGGGCCTGGTGTACACATGGGGCCTGGGCATCCACCTGAGACTTGATGTTTAATATGGTCTGGAGTTCTTTTGGGGCCTGTTGTACCCTGGAGCCTGGGTGTAAACCTGGAGCCTGATGTCCCAGGTGGACACCCGGGTCCCAGGTGATCTTCAGGCCCTAGGTGAAAACTCCAGGCTCTAAGTGGACAACCAGGCCCCAGGCTGATGTTTACTGGGGCCAGATGTCTACCAGGCCCCAGGTGAAAACTCCAGGCTCCAAGTAGACAACATGGCCCCAGGTTCCAGGTAGACACTAGAATCCAAATCAACACCAGGCCCCAGATGGACACCCAGGCCTGTGGTGGACATCAGACTCCAGAAGGTCATCTGGCTCGAGGTGGACATCAAGCCCCAGGTGGATACCTAGTCCCCAGGTGGATATCAGGCCCCACTTGGACACCAGTCCCTGGGTAGATACCTTGGCCTCAGGTGGATATCCAGTCTCTAGCTAAGCATCAGGCTCCAGGGGGACCCAGGCCCTAGCTGACTGGGGACTAGTGTTTATATGGGGCCACATGTCCGTCTGGGCCCTAGGTGTCAACTTGTAGCCTGATGTCAACCTGGGAGCTGGTGATCACCAGAGAGGACTAGTCCTCCTGGTGCCTGATGTCCAACTTGGGACTTTGTGTCCACCTGGAGACCGATGTCCATTTGGGACCAGATGTCCAACTGGAGCAAGATGTCCACCTGTAGCCTAGAACTTCACCTAAGGCCTGATGTTCCCCAGGGCCTACAGAGCCTATGTATCTACCTAGGGACTTGTGTCCAGGTGGGGCCTGAATTCCACCTGGGGCCTGGAATTAACCTGGGACCTGATGTCCACCTGAGACGTGGGTGTTCCTCTGGAGTCTGATATCTATCTGGGGCCCGGGTGTCCTCCTGTGGTCTGATGTCCACTTGTAGGCTGGTGTCCACCTGGGGCCTGGGTGTCCACCTAGGAACCTGATGTATACCTGAAGTCCAGTGTCTACGTGGGTACTGATGTCTACCAGGAAAGTGATATAAACCTGGGGCCTGATAGCCACCTGGGCCCTGAGTGTCCACATATGTTCTGATTTCTCTTTTGGCCTGAGTGTAGGGCCTGAGTGCCACCTGCTTCCTGATGTTCACCAGGAACCTAGGTATTCACTTGGGGCTTGCTGTTCACCTGGGGCCTAATGTCCATGTGAGGCCTGGTATTCAGCTAGAGCCTGGGCATCCCCCTGTGGCCTGATGTTCAGTTGCTGACTAGGAATTCCACTAAAGCTTGATGTCCACCTGGGGCATAGGTAACCACTTGTGGCCTAGTGTTGCCCTGAAGCCTAGGTGTCAACCCAGGGCATAATGTCCCCTTGGGGCCTGCTGTCCACCTGCAGACTGGTGTCTACATAGGGCCTGGTATCCACCTGGGGTCTGGTGTCTGCCTGGGGCCTAGTGTCCACCTGAAGACTGAGTATAGACCTCAGATCTGATGTATGCCTGGGGCCTATTTATCCACCTGGGGACTAGCATTCATCTGGGGCCTCATGTCCACTTAAGCCCTGGGTGTCAACCTGGTGCCTAATGGCCACCAGGGATCTATGTACTCACTTGGGGCCTGGTGCTCCCACAGGGCCTAGGTATAAACCTGGAGAATGATGTGCAGGTGGAGGTGGATGTCTTCCTGGGTGCTGGTGTTCACCTGGGGACAAGGGTCTCCCTGGGGACCAGTGTTTATCGGGAGCCTCATATGCACCTTGAACCTGCTGTCTACCTAGGGCCCGATGTCCATGTTAAGGCTGGGTGTCCACCTGGGACCTGGTTGTCCACTTGGGGCCTAATGTCCACCTAAGACCTAGTGTTCACCTAGGGCCTGGGTGTCCACCTGGAGCCTGATGTTCAGCTGGAGATGCATCCATCCGAAACCTAGGTATCCACCCAGGTTCTGGTGTCGACCTGGGGTCTTATGTCCACCTGGGGACTAGATATCTACCTGAGGCTTGATGTCCACCTGGAGCCCGATATCCACCTCAGAGCTGGGTGTCCACCCAAGTTCTGGTATCCACCCGGAGCCTGGTGTTCATCTGGGGCCCAGTGCCCACCTGGAACCTGGGTATCACCATGGGGCCTGGGTGTCCACTTGGAACGTGATGTGCACCTGGGACCTGAGTTTCCACCTAGGGCCTGATGACCACCGGAGACCCAGGTGTCCACCTGGGGTCTGATGTCTACCTGAAGCCTAGGTAACCACCTGTGCCTTGGTGTTACCTGTGCCTTGATTTCCACCTGAGCCTGATGTACACCTGGGGCCTGGGTGTCCATCTGAGGCCTGATGTACACCTCAAGTCCAGTGTCCACTTGTGGCCTGATGTCAACTTGGAAGCTGATATCCACCTGGGGACTGATGTTCTCCTGGGGTCTGATATCCAACTGGGATCAGATGTTCACCTAAGGCCTGGAGTTAATCTGGGGCCTGATGGTCACCAGGGACCCAGGTGTCCACCTAGGGCCTAGTGACCAACTAGGGCCTGATGTCCACCTGGAGTCTAGTATCCGCCTTGGCCCTGATGCTACTTGAGGCCTGGGTGTCTTCCTAGAACCTGAGTCCCCAACTGGGCCCTGATGTCCACCTGAGGCCTGGTGTCCTTGTAGGGCCTGATATCTACCTAAGGCCTGGGTATCCTCCTGCAGCCTGATGCTCACCTGTAGGCTGGTGTCCATATGGGGCCTGGGTGTTCACCTGTGAGCCTGATGTACACCTGGAGTCCGGTGTCCCCTTGGTTACTAATACGTACCAGGAAAATGGTATATACCTGGGGCCTGATATACACCTGGAGCCTGTGTGTCCACTTGAGCCCTGATGTCCACCTGGGGCCTGGTGTTTACCTGGGGCCTCTATCCACCCACTACCGAAAGTCAAGTTAGGAAAAGGGCCCAGGATAGGTGAGGAGCACAGAACAGGGACCTCATTCATAAGAAATTCTGCTGTAGAATGTGTGCTCTAAGCTCTTAAAACAGCTCTGCCTCAGGAAAGACTGTCCAGGGCATAGGAAGCCCACACACAGGGTGGGATGACAAGTTTGCATCTGGCATGGCTGGGAGCCCTGGGGGCCTCTGCCCTTTTGGCCGCGTTGTCTCCTGGCTTTTAGGGTGGTGGGATTCTCGGCTCTGATTGCAGCAGGTGGATTCACTTAGCTCTCCTCCCCTTTTAGCATTACTGTCTTCTGTAATAAACCTCTCACTTTGATCTGCCAGGCTGTCAAATGCTTTGATTGCCCTCTCTGTTTTGTTCCAATGGTTCATCAATCCAAATATCCACAACACAAGGACAGATTTTAGTCTCTTCATACAGTGGGATATTTCACAGCTATTAAAACAAATCAAATAAATGCTTGTGTATTGATATGCAAAGTTGTCCTGCATCAATAACTTTTAAACACATTTTATGATCCCACATCTATATCTATACATAATGTTTGCCACTGCTTAAACAAAACAAAATCTAAGCTTTAGACTCCAAATGGAATTACAGGGGAATCTTGATGTCTGTGTTCTGCAGTTCTGTCATGTTTGAAATTGTCAAATAAACATGGTGCCTTTCCAGTAGCCACTCAGAATTCCTCCTCTCTGTCCACAAAGCATTGTCACCCTCCCTGTCCCATTTGCCCCAGCCCTGTGGAGCTCGCTGAGCTGGCACCATCATCTCTTGTAATAGACGAAGACATTGAGGACCAGAGAGGGGAAGCACCTTGTTGACATCCCACAGCTCTGAGTCAAAGTGGACTTGGTCTCCCTTACTAGATGTTTCCTAAAGTCCAGGGAGCCCTGGAGGCCCAGGAATGTAAGGGCTGGAGCCTGGGGCTTTCTGTCCTGAGGTAGGGGAGCTCACGGCTACAGTTCACGGCTTGAGTGCATTTCCTCTCAAGTACAATAACGGCTGCTTTGTAAGATGGAAAATATAAATGGCTGCCTGCAAATTTGTCAGGTAATGTGTTTGTCTCCCCTATGGGACTGTAAACTTGGACCTGTCTGAATCACCCTAGTGTCCCCAGCACCAGGCCAGAGCCTGACATATAAAATGACTGACTTCATTAAATACCAACACCTTCTAGGTGCCAGGTACTGCTCTAGATGCTGGAATCTGCAGTGAATAAGATACCCAGAATCCCTGCCCCTCACTGTAGTAGAGCAGAACAGATGATGAATAAGTAAGCATGCAGGGTGTGAGATGGGTGGGAGACCGCATTGTGGAACCAGGCAGTGTGCAAAGCGGACACTCAGGAAAGAACCTGAGGGTTGAGCTGTGGATATAATGTGGATATGATGTGGATATGATGGAGGAAATTCGCCCCTAACATGAGTGGAGACACTCCAGCTACAATAACAAGCGAAGGTGGAGAAGGAAGCACAGAGGCAAGCAGCTGGGGAGATGTGGGGGTGGGATCCAGGGAAGGTTCTCTCTTTATTGCATCTATTTTCAAATTGAAATAGGAAGCAAGGCAACAGGTGTAAGGAAGGCTGAGGAAGGTTTTAGAGGTTTAAGGAGGAAGGAGGAGGCAAGATACTGTTGCTTGGGGACAGGGCAGCACTTCTAGAGCTGGGTGCCTGGGCTCCAGGGCAAGTCACTTCATCTCTTCCTGTGCCAGCATCTCCTCAGCTGTGAAATAGTGATTATTATAGAACAGATTCATAGAGTTTGATGATAATTAAATCAGTTGGTATTCATAACATGCTTAGATTATATATTTTTTTATTAAGATAACAAAGAAGTCTGGCAGACTTATGGACTCAGGAAATGAGTGAGTCTGTAGAACATCATCCAGTGCCCACTGGAGGTTTGGGCTTGATGATTAAATGAGAGCAAAAGGCATGTGTGTTTCTCTCTGGCTGTGCACAGCCACCTGAGTGCAGGAGCAGAGGGAGTGGGTGCCTGGTTTTCAGCAGAGTGCAGTTTTCCCCTGGGAGTACAATTATTTGTGGGGCAAGAGAGTGGAGAGTGTTAGAGAGGGTGGATGACAGGCTGGGCCATATAGTCTCAGCTGGGAGGAGGGGAAATTTGCAAGAAAGTGAGTGAGACACAAAAGTGAAAATTTGGAGTCATTGAAGTGTGTCGGAGTTGGGAGGCAGCTGGAAAAAGGAAAATGGTGGTCAAAAAAAGGGTGTTTGAAATTGAGGGTCTGGAGTAGCTACAGTTTCTGCAGTGATAAGGACAAGAATTTACAGGTAGGAGTGGGTGACACAGGGAGGGTGGAGACAAGGTCTCTAGGGGTGGAGGGACCAAGAGCCAGAGCATGAGGAGGACTCTCTATGTGCATGTTGACATCACCTCAGCAGGAGAAAGTGCCCATGAACCGGGAGCCAAGTCCTCAATGCATAGGGATGCGGCCCTGGGTGCAATCTGAGGGCAAGAGCTTCAATATTGATTCCCTTCGTGTGTCACCGTGTCCTTGGGTAATTTTTCTTTGTGTGAACATCACAGAGTGTGCTTACACACACCTCAATATTGTACCTACTGTACACCTAGGCTCTGTGGCACAGCCTACTGCTCTCAGGCCGCACACCTGGGCACAGGTTACTGCAGTGAATACTGTTGGCAGTTGTAGCACAATGGTCAGTACTTGTGCATCTAAACGTATCATGAAAAGTACAGTAAAATCATAGTATTGCACTATATAAAAATATAGTATGGTACCTAGACATGGTGCACTGGTCTAGGACACTTATCATGAATGGAACGTGCAGGGCTGGAAGCTTCTCTGGGTGCGTCAGTGAGTGGTGAGTGAAGTTGAAGTCCTAGGGCGTGACTGTGCACTACTGTAGATTTTATAAACACTGGACACTTAGGCTACACTACGAGATATATATTTCTTTTTCTATAGAATTATAAATCTTTTTTAATCAATATATTTTTAAAGTAACTGTGCCATAACGTTACAATTGTTATGTCACTGGGCTAGGCAGTAGGTGTCTTTCGGCCCCATTATAGTTTCATGGGTCCACCACTGCACATGCGGTCTGGGTTGATGGAAACATCATTTCGTGGTGCATGAATGGATTTTTATGGGAGAGCAGGATGATGAGCTGAAAGAGGGAGGCAATGGGAAGCAAGGAGGACCTATCCTGCTCAGGCCCAGGGAAGGGCTGCAGCAGAGGACAGCAAGGCAGCAGTGTCCTCAGGGGATCGGGCCTCTTACAGCAAGGAAGAAAAGGAAGAGTTCCCTGAGGCTGCTGAAACCCAGAGGGCTGCTGGTGCTGGAGCAGGATTTTGAGGACATGCAAAAGGGTTTCAGCAAGGGAGGGAGGAAGGAAGGAACTGGGGAGCGAGGGTCAGCCCAAGATAACCAGGTCTCTCCCAGGAATCTTCTGGCCACTCAGAAGTAGTGCTCACACCCAGTTGAGCCCACAAAGGGCACCCGTGCCCAGCGTGAGAACCTGGTCTGCCTATTGCCCAGCCCTGACACAGCCCAGCCATTGCTGGCACCTGCTGTAGCCCCTAAGATGGATCAGCCTGGTCGGGTCCTCAACAGCCCTCACTGAGGCAGGTAAAAACACAGGCACCTGTGATAAGAGGCAGGCAGAGGCAAGTCACATAGTAGTGTCAGACCAGGTGCTGCAGGAGCCCAGTCAGAAGGGCACTGAATCCAGGCAGGCTTTCTAGAGGCAGTGACTCAGGATTTGTGTTCCAGTTGTGATGGTGGCACATCCAGGAAGCAGCGCATGGTCCAGCTGGGCACATTGGGACTGGAGGCTGTTTTTTCGTTTTTGTTTTTGAGACGGAGTCTCACTCTGTCTCCAGGCTGGAGTGCAGTGGCATGATCTAAGCTCACTGGAGGAGGCTGGTTTTTAATGAGTCTTGAGGCCAAGGCAAG
The DNA here is from genome assembly GCF_000001405.40 of Homo sapiens. NCBI lineage: Eukaryota > Metazoa > Chordata > Mammalia > Primates > Hominidae > Homo > Homo sapiens. The sequence goes on along the minus strand of NC_000020.11, from coordinate 25,766,334 downwards.
GGTCATGACCAGGGTCCAGCCTCAGTAATGCACTCACCCCTTCACCCTGGGGCACTGCTGCAGGCCCACCATCACCAGCCTACATTTGCTCCCCTCCTGCCCTCTCTTTCCAGGAAGCCCCTCACCTGTCACTTCATGAAGAATATGGAAGCCAAGGAGGTCTTCTTCAGGCATTCTTCTCCACCCATGCACTTCCTCCCTCCCTGCCAGCTTCAAAGGCATTGATGTCCAGAGAGACCCTCCCCAGTTGCCCCACCTTTCCGTCAGCCTCTTCCAGGAAATGTCCTCTGACATCTCTCTGTCTAGGTCTCCCTGTCACTCTAGTGCACACCAAGACTGTTCTCCCTTTTCCTGTCAGCCACTGAGTCCACTCAGATATCTTCTGCTTCCCAAAATTAAAATTACAAGTCAAAACAGAAACAGCTTCCATGTCCTTACACATTGTAGACACTTGGCTACAGCAGTGAATGACATAGACAAAGTCCCTTTCCTCATGTAGCCCTCATGCTAGTAGGGTGAAACAGATAATAAATAAACTAGTCAAATATTCAGCATGTGAGTTGGTGATGAGAGCATGGTGGTTCATGCCTGTAATCCTAGTGCTTTGGGAGGCCGAGATGTGAGGATGGTTGAGGTCAGGAATTTGAGACCAGTCTGGGTAACATAGTGAGACCCTGTATCTACAAAAAATAAAATAAAGGAAAAGTGAAGGAGGATAGAATGTATCAGTGGGAAAGGGGGATGGGAGAGCCACATTTTAGACAGGGTGGTCCAGGAAGGTATAGCTCCAACCACTATTCCTCTGGCCCATTCCACATCTATCCCCATCCCACCCCCTGCACAGTGCTTGGGTCAAAGCCTCTCAGTCCTGCTTGTATTTCTCCAAGAGTGATCCAGGGACCAACTGCATCAGAACTGTGGGGTGAAGTCATAGCCCCTGCCTGTGAGAAGTGCGGATTCCTCTGCCCGGACCAGAATCCCTGGGAACTGGACCCAGGAATTTCCCAAGATCTCTGGGGGACTCTGAGACAGCCCAAAGTATTAGAGCTGCAGGTTTCCTCCTGAAAAGGGAGCACTGTCTCAAGGGGTCCCGGTCACCCAGCTCTATCTTGTAGCCACCAGACCAGTCTCAGCCTTGGAGAATGCTGCTCTTTCCTCTTGGAATGCCCTTCCCAGTGTTCCTTGCCTGGTAGCTCTTACACATCCCTCAAGACCCAACTCAAGGGCTACCTCCTCCTGACGTCACTCCCAGAACTTTCTCCTGTGTTTCCACTCTCCTCTTCACCAAGTGATGTTGACATTTCTATGTGACCATCTCTCTCTCTCTCTCTAGAACAGAAACGCCTACAGTTGCGGCCCCCTGTAGTGCAATTTGTGTCAGTCTAGGGAGAGTGGATTTGGAGCCCAACCACCATTGAGGAAAATCCATCTGACGGACATGGTGGGTTTCAGCCCAGACACAGGGGTCAGCGAGGGGTGGTGTGACAGTGAGCGCAGACCCTGGGTGGTGGTGACAGTGGCTGTCATGGGGAGGAAAGGAATGGAAAAGGGACCTCATGGGAGCAGAAAGACAGGCCTTAGCTGCAGATGGGCCAGGACCCCGCCAGGAATCCAGAACACGCATCCTAATCCCAGCTCCACTATAAGTACACAGCGGAACCCTGGCAATGACTTTCCCCTTTCTGAGCCTCATTTTACTCATCAGTAAAATGGTGACAATAACTCCAACTTCACCAAGGAGATGCTAGGCTCCATGACATGATGGATCTGAAAATGCCTTATGTTTCATGGCACAAAGGAGAGGGATCCCTGACATGCGACAAGCACAGGGAGAGAGGAAGGAAGGGGTCTGTAAATGGCCAGGTGGCAGCCCCACCCCTCCACACACACAAACACCCATCGTGTCACCCACACTGGTGATTTTCCCAGGAGGGCCCATGGCCTGGAATTAGCACTGCCAGGTGAGCAGGGAGGACAGCAGTCCCATTACAGGGGTGAGGAAACAGGCTGCGGATGGTCCCACAGGGAATAAGGAGCAGGGTCTAACTCCCCACTGCAGGCAGGGAAGATTGAAGTTGCTCCCTGGGAAGAGGAAGGGAGGCATTGACTGGCACTCCGTGATTTAGATGAGAAGCCCAAGCTCAGCCCGATGACTTGAGCTTCCTGATGTAGAAGGTGAAGGATGCAGAGGAGACAGAGGGCAGGAGGAAGAAGATAAGGAAGAGAGCAGCAAACTGGAGTCACTACAAGACACTAGCTGCTCCAGGCTGCTCTGTCCCATTCTAAGAGAAAAGGAAAAGTAGGAGAGGGGATCACAGATCATGTCCAGATTCCTCACTGGCATACATGCTGCTATGGAAACATCTCTGATGGTCCAGGTTTGTGGTGGGAGAGATTGCAACGCTCTGCTTCCTGGAAATCTGTGTTTACAGCCAACACAGTTGCTGCCTGAGACAGCCCCACCTGAAGACCCCAGAGCTGCCCCAGCTTGCCAGGTTTCCCCTCCTCCTGTTATCACCCCATGCTGCTGAGAACCTGCCTGGCAGGCTTCCCAGCCAAGGCTGGGGCCTAATCTCAAGTGAAACTGACATGTCCCTGTGAGGACTGAGGAACATCCTCTCTCCCCACAGAGCCTCACTCAGGTTCTCATCTACTTCCTTGGGGTCTGCCCCGCCTCCCTCAGAAGTTTGGAACCACATACTGTTCTGGAGGGGACCTCTCACTGCTGCAGAACCTGTCCTCCAGGATACCGACAAGTGTTCATCTCGGTCGTGGCTAATTAACTTACCATATGGTAGTGAACTCCCTTCTGGGGCCCCAATATTTTGTTTATTTTTAAAAAATAAAATTAGTACCATTGTTTATTTTCTGAATGTACAGAAATATTTGTCTGATTATTATTTACATGCCCTTTGGGAAAACTTTATAAAATAAAAAAATATGAAGGAGAATCTTACCACACAGAGATAATCACTTTAATTATTTTTCTATTCATATTTGCACATACAGGTACATATGGGATCATGCTCTGTATCTGTTGGGAGTGCATTAATCTGAAAATTCAGTCACTTAAACAAAGACAGGTTCATTTTTCTTACATAGTTAGAGTACCTATGGTTCCTGGCTATGGTTCACTGGTTCAACAATGTTAGGCCCAGTATCTTTGTGAGTCTATTGGAATTTAGCTCACGGCTGTAAGACGGCTACTGCAGCTCCAACCACTACATGAGTTTACAAGGCCAGCAAAAGCAGTCACTTCTGTATTCTTATTAGAAAAGCAAGAACTTCAGAGGTGACTCCCAGAGGATTTCTCTTTAGGTCTGGAAATCTGTGTTTAGATTGGCCAGAACCTGATCTCATGACCATCCCTAGCTGTAGAGAATAGCATTGTCATGATTGACTTTGGATCAATCATAATTTATTGACTGAGAGTGCGCATGTGGTCCCCTAAAGAAGATCAAGAAAGGAGGGAATTTGCAGTCTGTACTACAGCATGCATACTGTTTTATAATCTGCTCTTCCTCTTAATTGCATATTTCCAACATCTTTCCATACTAAGAAATATAGATTCAGTCATTCATTTAACAACAAATTATTGAGAGTGTACTGTGTTCTAGGAACGTAACTTGGCATGGAGGACACAATAATGAACATAGTATACTCCTTGCCTCCATGGAGCTTAGCATCTAATGAGGGATACAGACATTCATCAAAGAGGTTCACAAAGAAATGTAAAATTACGATTGTAATTTGTGCTGAAAAGGAGGGAGGTGTGTGGTGTGTGAGAGCAGTGACAGGATATTTGACTCAATCAGGAGGGTCTGTGTTCTGAATGGCCAGAAGCCAGCCCCTTGCCTAGCTGTAGCACAATTATTGCTGTATGTAGTCCAATCTCTTATTGCTGGACATTTACATTCTTCCCACATCTTACCTACTATCATCGATGCAACAATAAATACCCTTCTCTAAGTACCACTTGGCACACTTCTCTGATTATTTCCTCAGGATAAATTTCTAGGGTAAAGCCAGGCACCATGGTTCATGCCTGTAAGCACAGCTACTCAGGAGGCCAAAGTGGGAGGATCACTCGTGGCCAGTAGTTCGTGGCCAGCCTGGGCAACATAGGGAAGTCTTGACTCAAAAAACAAACATCCTAGAAGAAATGAACAATTCTTAGATGTCGAATTGCCAAATCAAGGGGTGCACCATCACCATCCCCATACTCACCATCACCATCCTCATTATCATCAGTCTCACCCTCACCATTCTCACCAGCATCAGCAGCAGCATCCTCACCATAACTATCAGTATCTATCACCACCTTCACCATCACCATCCTCACCATCACCATCATCTTCATTATCACCACCACCATTTTCACCATCACCATCCTTACCATCACCATCACCATGCTCACCTTCACCATTCTCACCATTATCATCATCATCCTCAGCATAACTATCACTATCATGATCACCACCTTCACCATCACCATCCTCATCACCATCATTATCACCTCATCATCACCATCACCATCCTTATCATCACCATCACCATGCTCACCTTCAACATTCTCCCCATCATCATCATCATCCTCAGCATAACTATCACTATCATCACCACCACCTTCACTATCACTTTCCTCACCATCACCAACATTATCACTATCACTATCCTCACCATCATCCTCAACATGACTATCACTATCATTATCACCACTTTCACCATCACCATCATCATCATCATCACAACCACAATTATGAAAATCTTGGAGGAAAAGGAGAGGAGGTAGCATATTAAAATACAGGTACTTTGATGGGGAGGAACAGGCAGAGTTGAAGCTGGGGAGGGGATATCAAACAATGGAGACCCCCAGAACAGAAAGCTAAGAAGCTCAGGCTTTGCCCAGAATCAGAGGCATCCTTGGAGATTTATCAGCAGGAGAGTATGCAGTCAGATTTGTGTTTAGGCAGAACATTGAGCAATCCTCAGAAGAAGCAGAGGGAGGGAGGCCCACAGAGGAGACAGAACCTTCAACACCAACCAGGGTCCTGGTCCTGGGTCCAGCAGATCTGGCAGGAATGAGGAACGGGAGGCTCATGGGTAAAGGCTGCAGCCAGGCAGGGAAAGGCCTCACTCTCCCTGCCACTCCTTTCCCTGCTCCCCACTTTCCTGTCCCATCTTTGCTAATAGGCTCAGCATCTCCAACTGCACCCACCGACTAGATTTGCCCCAATTCCTCCTCCTCTCTCATGCCTGAGGCCCAGGTGGCTTCCAGAACTGACCAGGTCTACTTTAGAATTTTAATGAGATAATCTGGGTAGAAGTGCTGGTGCCCTGCCAGCCACAGCAGGTACTCCTCATATGGTAAACTGGAACTGTCTTCTCAGTTCCCACAGCCTTGGCTTCAAATTCTGCCTAATCCAGATGACCACTGTCTCTCACCTGAGCAGAGAAGCCTCCCATTGGTCTCGCTGCTCCAGACCTTCCTCTTTCCAGATATCAGCCTGATAATTTTCTCACTGCAAACCTGGTCATGTCCCTCCCTTGTCCCTTTGACTAAAGGGTAAGATCCAAATCCCTTAGCATAACACCCCAGGCACTGAGGAGCTGAGACCCCTCCATTTCCACCTTGACTTTTTCCCCTCCCCTTCTAGTAGCATTGCTGACCCACTTGCCTTGTTCTTTCACCACATGGCTTTGATCCTGTTGCTCTTCTGCCTGGAGCGTCTTCCTACATCTTCTCTGCCTGGTGAATTTCTACTTAACCTTACAAATCCAAGCTCACCTTCTCTGTGAATCCTACTTCCTCCCCATCATGCCGCAAATTGTCTCTCTCACTAGACCTCCAGCCCCTAAAAATCAGGGACAGCTTAATGCATGTTGGAAATGGCTACTCCTCACTTCATTACCCTAATTAGCTAGTTATATTCCCTTATATTTGTGTTTCCCCATTTACTGAAGCTTTCCATGGGTCAGGCACTGAGATCCAGGGGAGGACCCGGAGGGTAGGACAAGCATGAGTACTGAAGGCTACAATGGCACAGGCACCAAGAGGCCATGTGGAGTGCAAGAAGCCTCATCTCTAGAGTGTCTTCCTGGTTTACCATGCGCTTTCTTCCCTTCCCTTATTGGAGTCACCTTGTGCTGGTTTTGATAGCCTGTGTCCCTGAAACATGCACTCCCACACACACAAACAGACCCACATCTATCCACAGGTACCTTGCCCATACATAGAGAGACCTCTGTGTGTATCCCCCAGAGCTACAAATGCCAATCTTGAGAATGAAGATTTTGCAAGTGCTCTGTGCCAGGCATGATGCCAGGTCCTTGACAACACAAGACCCCTCTGGTTTCTCCCACTCAGCTGTGCAAGGTTTGGGGTTGAGGAGCTCCCCCTGCCAAGGTCACAGATGTGAAACATGAGGTAACAGCTATTTGAATGTAAGCCTGTAGGTCACCAAAACATATGCCATCTGCACCCCACCATAGTGCCTCCAAAGCACATGAAGACATGAGTCCATCAACTGTGACTCATTAGTACCCAGCAATATTTCCTCCTCCACTTCGTTTCCCACTGCCACTCCAATATCTCTGCCCACAGTCCCAGAGCCACCTCTGCTTAACGGGGAGGTCAGGACAGATGCTCCATTCCACCCGATGCCATCTCCCAGGGTGCAGCCTCCTCATGGGGAAGAGGACTACCATGGCTAGTGGTGACATGGGTGGCTCTGGCCCCCAGCACTTCTCCCCGGGACCTCTGCTCAGGACATGGCACGGACAGAGGTGAGGTTACCATAAACTGCCTCAGAAATGACTATAAACCAGCTCAGACCATTCCAGCACCGAACACGCTGATAGCCCAGGGTGGGCCCACAGAAGGGTAAGGGCTAGGGAGTCCAGGGCTGCAAGAGTCCCCCCTCCCTGAGCCCTTGAGCACAGCCACCCAGGTGTAAAGGACAATACGGGGATTCTGGGGATTTCCAAGTCTGGGCCCTAGAGGTGAGTTCTAGCAGGGCCCCCAGATATCCTCCCCATCCATCCCCTCATCCTGTCTCACATATTCTAAAAACAAGGAAACAGGCCTAGAGAGGGAAGGGGCTTGAGCAGTCTCTCAGGCAGTTAGAGACAGAGCCCAAGTTAGAATCCATGTTTCTCTCCCTTTTTTCCCCTAGGTCTGTCTCTGACTAGCTACGTGACCTTGGAAGAGTCACTCCACCTCTCTGGGCATTGAAGGTTTACAGCTTCTGACATGTTCATTCCAGAGGGTTGTCAGGACCTGACAGCCCTTCACCTAAACAAAACACTCTACAGTCTACAAATATTCATATATCTCTTCTCTTCTCTGACCTCTGTAATACCCCTATGAAGCTGTGAATATTGGTGCTTGTGTCCTATTATGCAGATGCAAATACTGGACTCAGAAAGACAAAAATCACACAGGAAGTTTGGGACAGGACTGGAACTAGAACCCAGGTCTCCCAAAGCAGGGTCCTTGCCATCATTAAGGCTGGGAATACATTAAGACTCCAAAATATGGAGAGTTGCTCAATGCATGCCACCCAGGTTAGAGCTGACCAACCCCAGAATGCTCAGCAGCTCTGGGACCCTGGAGTAGAGGACTCAAGGCAGAGGGTGATGCCTAAGTCACACACATCTGAGCTCCAATCCAAACTCCATTACGCAGCTGTGTGACCCCACTTTACGAGGCTCAGCCTTCTCTACTACAAAATGAAACTATAGAAGGTACCAAAAAGCTCAGGATGAGGGGAGAACTGCGCCCTGAATGCAGGACTGCCAGGCAGGTGGTAAGCACTCATTAACTTTTGTTTCAAGCACACAAATCATATGTTGTTTTTCATCATGTCTCCCCATGGTGTCTGGTCTATGGCTCCAGAACCAGGAGGCTTCTGATCAATCTTTATGCTAAATGATGGACAGATAGATGGATGGGTGGTTGGACAAATAAATGGATGGATGCATGGATTGACAGATTGATGCTGAGATGAATGGATGGATGAATAGATGGATGAATGGATAAATGAATGGACGGGTGCTCAGAAGAGAAGACAATAAAACAGGGAGTCAAAATGAAAAGAACAAGAAGATGATTGAAGGATGGGGCTGAAACATGGAAGAGAGGTACAAGATCCAGCCCTTCTGGCTCCACTCAGCCCCACAACCACATACCTTTGGGTAGCGCTGGTACATGCTCCAGATTATACCCCTGGACACCATGATGCTGCCACAGAAGGTTTCATTGAACTGGGGCCCATCATGGCTCAGGAGGAATGTACTGAGAGCCAGAAGACCCATATATTGAAGCTGAAGCAGAAGGTCTTCTGATCTGCCAAGGTCTCCTCACCTGCCATGGCTGCCAGCCATGTGCACCTGTGCACCCCCGTGCACCCCTGCCAGAATGGGCCCATGCCATACAGCATAAACATCCAGACAGGCTCACAGGAAGAGATGAAGCTCTTGGATCACTGCAAATCAAGGCTTAAAGGTAAAGGGAGGGCAAGACCCCTTCAGCTCCAGGCCCATTCCCTGGACCCACCAGTTCAGCAGGGCTGGAGGCAGCATGCTTTGGTGGACCAGTGAACCCACTCCCCACCCTCTCTCCTTCCCTTGGGGCCCAGAAGGCCTGGAGTGCATGTGTGAATCTGGGTGAGGGAGCAGGCAAGGGAGGGACAAGGGGTGGTTACAGGGGCTGGGCCCCAGGCAGGCCTGTGACAAAACCTTCTTTGCCTACTTTGGGGCTGAACTGAGTAAGCAGTTGATCCCACACCTTCTAGCCCTGGGAAGCAGGGTAAAATTCTGCAGCCAAAATATGTTAGAATGCTGCCAGAGGATTTCAGGATCCCACTGTCAGGCATTTCAAGATCCTAGATTTTAGACCCTTCAAGGATATGTGTCCATCTGGGATTCAGGCATGATGGCCCATATGTACTGGATGGTGACGATGCACATGGCACCATTCTAAGCATGTTACAGCTATTAACTCACTTAAGGGACTCCATGAGGCAGGTATTGCTATACCCACTATGCAGAGGACACTGAGCACAGACAAGTAACTTGCCCGAGGTCACACAGCTGGAAATGGTAGAGAAGCTGGAACGTGAACCCAGAAGCTGTGCCCCTGGCCACAGGGCAATCCTGCTTAACGGCAGCAAGAGGTTATGGGTGAGAGCTCTGATGGCAAGGCAGGCTGCCTGGGTTTAGATCCTGGCTCCTGTACTGCGCGGCAGCATGGTCTTGATCACATTACCTACCTGTGTCTGTTTCCTCCTCTGTAAAATGGGGATAATAACGGTACCTCCCAGCATTAGCGCTATCTCCAGGCCTAGGTGTCCTGGATCCTTCTGCCCCCTTTACACTCTGTGCAGCATCCAGGCCTGCTTGTAATGAGCTCCTCTACTCCCCCACCAAAGCTCTGGTGAGTTAATGTCCCTGTGGGGTATAAGCGACTGACAGTAACTTCCTCAATCTCCTTGCAGCCTAATCTAGAAGATGCTTTCTAAAGAATAGCATTCTAATGTGAAATTTTAGTCCTGTGAAAGGCTAATGGGAGAAATCAGATTCCTTTACAAGATTACAGAAAAAAACAGGACAATGAGTATCTCTAAAAGAGAATGTTCACTTGTGTCGATGGGGTTAGGTGGCCAATACAGGATGAAAGGCTTTCATTTGGCTCCCTGACTTGCTGAGTTTGGGGATTTCCCTGGTCCTGGTCATTACCTCTTTCCTCCTGCCCAGCATGTGCTCACACCAGCCCCTCTGCTTCATAGTCCTTCCCACAGGCTCTTTTTCTTACATTTTTTTAGAGAAGGTAAGCTCAGAGGGACTTTTAATACGCCAATCGATGTTAATAAAATGCAAATCAAAGACACGTGCAAACATGCTTTCAACCAACATTAATGAGGAAACAAGACACAAATTATTTTTCTTTTTATATTTTATTTTATTTTTCAGATGGAATCTCGCTCTGTCACCCAAGCTGGAGTGCAGTCGCATGATCTCCACTCACCACAAGCTCCTTCTCCTGGGTTCACGCCATTCTCCTGCCTCAGACTCCTGAGTAGCTGGGACTACAGGCGCCTGCAACCACGCCCGGCAAATTTTTTGTATTATAGTAGAGATGGGGTTTCACCATGTTAGCCAGGATGGTCTCGATCTCCTGACCTCGTGATATGCCCACCTCAGCCTCCCAAAGTGCTGGGATTATAGGTTGAGCCACTGGGCCTGGCCCTGTTTGTTCTTTTACATTAACTTTACAATGTATTTGCCATGTTTTAAAAATAAATTTAATTGGAATTTTATTGAAATTTTATGAGACATGATTTAGTCAAAGATGAACACACAACATTATTATTACTGTTTCCATCCAGGTATGGCATATTTCTTTGTTTTCTCTAGTTGTCTTTTATATTGCTCAATAAAATTTGTGGCTCTGGTACATTTCATAATAATCATACATCATATTTCATTATTTCTAATTATTATAATGGATCGCATGTACATTTACTATGTACCACATATTATGAGATAATGAATATATTCATTATCTCAATTCATAAAACAATCATGTGATTTAGTTGGTGTTATTACTAGATTATTACCATTGTACAAGTAAAGAAAATAAAGACAAAAAAAAAAAGAAAACAGACTCAGCAAAATCAAACCAATAAAGACTTAATTAGAATTTTTGGGCATATATTAAAAATTTAATACAACTCAATGAAAGCAAAAAAAATTTTAAAAAATGACCAGGCAGATTTGAGAAAGAGCCAAACAGAAATTCCAGAAATAAAAACATAATTGTTGAAATTGAAGACAGATTTGACAGCAGATTACATATAATTGAAAAGGAAAATGTAAACTGGAAGACAGGCTGAAGAAATTGCTCAGAATGAAACCCAAAGAAGTAAAAAATAAGAAAGAAACAAGAGAAATGGAAGACAAGAGTGATAAGATATTACAACTAACAGGATTTCATAAGTAGAACAATAAACTGTTAGAAAGGTTTTGTAAAAAAGATAACGGCTTGGAATTTTCCCAAAGTGATGAAAAACTCCACCCTTCATATTCAGGAAGCTCAATTTAAAAGGGAAAAAAAATCACCTAAATGTATCATCATAAAAATAACGGAACCCTGAAGAAAAGAATATATTGAAAACAAGCAGAGAGAAAATTCACATTATCCATGAAAGAATATGGATTTAGACCAAGAGCTAATGTCTTAAAAATGGAAGCAAGAAGACAATGTACTAAGAAAAAATAATCACATACGAAATTAATATATGTTTTAATAAACAGGCCAAATATAAGACAATATTTAAGTCATAAAAACCAAACAAATACTGAATTTGCTAACTAAAAGACCTTCACTAAAGGAAATTCTAAGAGATGTTCTTCAGTAGAAGGGTGTTCCCCTAGATGGAAGACTTGAGTTGCGAGAAGAAATGGTGAGTACGTAAGAAGACAAATATGTGAGTAAATATAAATGAACACTGACTATATAACATGTAGTTTCCAGTGGATTAAGAATAAGATGAGAAGCAAAACCATAAAACTTCTAAAGATAATACAGTAAGACTACCTTAATAGCCCCAGTGGGTTTTCATATAAAACCTAAACAAATTCTGTTCACCAAAAAAACACTATCAGGATCAAAGACCCAAATATAAGGGGTAAAACTATAAAATTTGTAGAAGAAAACATAGGTATAAATCTGTGACCGTGAATTAGTCAATGGGTCTTAGATACAACACCAAATGCAAGAGTGACAAAAGGAAAAAACAAACTGGACTTTAACAAAATTCAAAACTTTTGTACATCAAAGGATACCATCAGGAAAGTGAAAAGAACCCACAGAATGAGAGAAAATATCTATTAAGTCATACATCTGATGAGGAACTAATGTCCAGAATATATAAAGAATTCTTAGAATAACAAAAAGACAACCCAATTAAATGAGCAAACAGTCTAAATGAACATTTCTCTAAAAAGATATACAAATGGCCAATCAGCACACGAAAGGATGCTCAACATCATTAGTCATTAAGGATATGCAAGTGAAAACTACAACTAGATACAACTTCACATCTACAAGGATGGGTATATTTTTTTAAAAAACAAAAATAACAGATGTTGGCAAGGAGGTAGGAAAAAATGGAACCTCCATACACTGCTGGTAATAATATAAAATGGTACAGAGACTTTGGAAAACAGTTTTGAAGTTTTTCAAAAATTTAAACATAGATTTACCATAGGCCCACTCCTAGATATATAAAGAAAATTGTAAAAATACGTCCGCACAAAAACGATTACATGAATCTCATCACAGTACGTTAATAATCATAGTCAAAAAATGAACATAACTCAAATATCCATCAACTAATGAATGGATAAACAAAACATAGTATACTCATGCAATGGGATTCAGGCATATAAAGCAATGAAGTGCTGACACAAGATACAACATGGATGAATCAGGACAACATGCTAAATAAATGAAGCCAAACACAAAAGGTCACATATGATTCTGCTTTTTCTGATATTTGGCATATGCTAGTCCATAGAGACAGAGAATAGATTAGTGGTTGCCAGGGGCTGGGGAAAGGGGGAAATGGGGAGTAACTGCTAGTAAGTATGGAGTTTCTTTTTGAAATGATAAACATGTTCTAGAGTTAGAGAGTGGTGATAGCTGTACAACTGTATGAATACATTAAAAGCACTTAAAGCGCCTGCAGTCCCAGCTACTCGGGAGGCTGTTGCAGGAGAATCGCTTGAACCTGGGAGGCAGAGGTTGCAGTGAGCCAAGGTCACACCACTGCACTCCAGCCTGGGTGACACAGTGAGACTCCAATTCCAGAAAAAAAAATGCACTTAGTGTACACTTAAGAGTGGATACTAGGCTAAAAGTGAAGTGACAGGCCTCAAACTAGGCAAATCTTCTATACACATATCTGACAAGGGACTTCAGGAAATCTTAAAAGTTTCAATGTTGAAATAGGAGACTATAGACAAAAGACTTGAACAATGCACATAAGGAACGCAAATAACCCACAAACAAATGAAAATAAGCTCAGCCTTCTTCCAAACCACAGAAGACTATTTCATATTCAACTGAAAAAAATGATATCAAGTAAAGGCAAGAATGTGCACAAACCAGTACCCACATAAGCTGCCAGTGGGAATGTAAAAAGGTGTTACTTCTTAGCAAATTTGGTATCATCTATTAAATAGTTCACTGTGCATAATCTTGGGCCAAGCACTGCCATTCCTGGGCACATGCCATGGAAAATCTCTGCATGTGAACCAAAAACCAGCACCATTGTATGGATTATAAAAAAAAATAAAAAATAGAATGGACAAACAAATTTCACTCTCTACAATCATATAATCGGACAGTGCAGCAAGGAAAATGAATGAATGTAAGAAAACCACAATGGTAGCAAAAACAGCAAGTCAGAATATATAAGGAATGATTCCTTTTATGTAATGTTTCAAAATATGGAAAACTCAAAAATATCTTCGGTAGGGAGAAAAAAATACATTCTTAGAATATATTAGGCAAAGACTTTTACTTGTTTCTTTTTCAGTTTAAGGATCTGCTGTTCTACTTTTGCAATTTCTCGATCTACACGATCCATACTCTGTATTAACTCTTCCTTTGAAAGTTTTGAAGGTGAAGCATTTTGATCATCTCCACACGGTTGCCCCAGAATTGGAGAGGATGGAGCTTCATGTTTGCCTCCAAATGCTGGAACCTTTAGAGAATAAAACCAAGAAAAACAATGCATTTCTCACTAATAGAGTCCAGATTGCCTTAAATGAAAAAGTCAGTTTTAAACCACAGCAGAGCCATGTGTACTAAGAAAAGCAATTCTGTCAAGAAATAAAAATAGACTTTGGGTATGGTTAAAGTATAAATCTTATGTTTACAAAATACTGTGATTTCCAGAAATCACTGTATTAGGAATGTGCAATAACATACAAATAAAAGCCATTTTTAAACACATACATACACACACACACACACACACACACACACAAAGAATAAAACCATAAAACTCTGTATTTTAAACTTCCAGCACATCTCAATACAGACCAGCCACATTCCAGGGGCTCAGTGGTCCCAATGGTCAGTGGCTGCCACATTGAAGTGAAGCTCTGAGTGCTGAACCACACCCCCCACCCTCCATTCCCTTTCAGAGGCAAGGGAGTACCCCATCCTTGCAACATCTGAAAATGGTAACCTGAGAGAGCAGTGGGCTGCAAGCAGGAAGTGTCCACGGGTGGATTACTACTTCCCATCTGCTGGTTGGTAGAGTTAGGGGGAATCCTGTTTTACAGAGCAGACACTGATCAAAGGATGATTGTGCCCAGAAGAAGGAAACCCCATGTCTTCAGGTGTGTCCATGGGCTTGATCAAAGTTTAGATATGCAGTGAATAGATTAAAGGCAAACTTATTTTGCTGTTGGTCCTAATGATCAGGCTGTGGTGTGTTTCCTCTTGTGGTATGGGGAACTGTGTGCATTTAAGCACCAATCACATGCATACCTGCCATTTCTGTATTACTCAACACCATCTAACAAGAGATCAAACTTTTTAAAGGAGGGGGAAAAATCAGTATTTGTAGGGTGCCTACTGTTTGCCAGGTAACTTTTAATCCTCCTCCTAAATTCACAGTCAATCGTGCAGCCTACAGGTGTCCTCTCTCCACAGGTAGAAGCAATGCCAGTTCTTCACCTGGATGCTTCAGTCTCTTACCCAAACCCAGTGCATGCTGGGATTATAGTCCGCAGCCCTAGAACCAACAGGCTGGGAGTAGAACAGATACTACAACTCCGAACATTCCGTACGAAGGTCCCGCTTTCCAAATCACACTTCCATGCGTCCAGTGCAGTTCTGCCTTGCTGAGGGAAGCGTGGGTGTTCCCAAACCTCTCCTGCCTGCGAGGAGACAGCGGGGCCAGGGCATCTGGTCTCACCTTGTAATTGTGACACTGTGTCTCCTCGAAGCTTCCCGCTCAAAGCTTGATTTTCTGCAGGCCGGCAAGGACCCCAGAGACTCTCACAGCCTCCTCAGGGTTGCCATGATAATGTTGATCCTCCAGTATGTGGGCGCACACGGCCCCTTTCTTCTGCCCCACCCCTCCCCTCAGCCCCGCCCCTTCCTTCTCGCCCCGCCCCTTGTCACGCCCTTCGAGCATGCGCCGTGTAGCCTTCTCCGTAGAGGTGGGGCTATCAGCCCGTGGACCTGGTAGCTGCAGGCTTTCTTTGTATCCTACTCGGGAAGCTCCCTCATAGTGTCTGAAACCGTCATTTCACTGCCAGAAGTGAATATACACGGTCCTAGTAACCTGGCACTTGCCTTTCCAAAGTCACCTTTCCCTCGGACTCTCCGTGCTGCCACGAATCCTCTGCACCCCAGGAGCACCCCGGTCTGGCTGCGCCCCCCACACCTGGGTCAGGCCTCTCACAGGGACGCCCCAGCCGCTGTAATAAAGTCACATGAGAAAGGCCTGTGACGTTATTAGGAGAAAACGTCACAGGGGAAAGGCCTGAACACTGCTCCATCCAGTCAAGAAGCAGCCACAAGGAAGGGACCCCCTAAGCTGCTTTTGGGGCCACATCCACCACTGACCCCCACCCAGGCTGGTTCCCAGGTCTTGGGGTCCTAGTGATAAGGAAGGGAACTGCTGGAAGGGAAGAGCGTGGTCCCTTCAAATGATACGGAAGGGGGAAGGGAAGTATGGGTTAGAGGAGGGCATGGTCCCTGGCTAGGGCTCCACCCCCACGGACCTAGGTGAGGACAGGCATTTTTGTTTTCTTGCCCAAATGTTGCATTTCCCAAGACCACCGTGGCCTGCCACGCCCCCATCTTGTGCCTATAAAAACCCTGAGGCCCTAACAGGCAGACACACAGGTCCTCTGGACGTCCTCTGGGCATAGAGGGGAGTACTCTGTGGAAGAGCACAGGATAGACTCCAGCAGACCAGCAGGCTATCCACCGGCAGAAGGAGGTGAAGTTTGGCCAGAGAGCCAGGCCCCCCGGGCGCCCAATTCCAGGGGAAAACCATCTCCTTTCTGCCTCCCCCATCTGTTCAGAGCTACTTCCACTCAATAAAACCTCGCGCTTATTCTCCAAGCCCACATGTGATCCAATTCTTCCAGTACACCAAGGCAAGAACCCCAGGATACATAAAGCCCTCTGTCCTTCCAATAAAGCAGGGGTCTAATTGAGATGACTAACACAAGTCGCCTACGGACAGCTAAACTAAGAGCTGTAACACACGTCCACTGGGGCTTCAGCTGTAAACATTCACCCCTAGATCACTGCCATGGGGTCAGAGCCCCATAGCCTGCCCCTCTGTATGCTCCCCTAGAGGTCTGAGCAGCAGGGCACTGAAGAAGCAAGTTACACCCCCATCGCACGCCCTGCAAAAGGGACAAGTGAACTTTTCCCGTTTCACTAGTATGGACTTCTCTGCCATAATTAACACAGACCAGCAAGACCAGAAGGCCCCTTGGTCCCTCCCAACACATAAGGGAAGTTTGTTTGGTGAGGTCATGTTCAGTGTCTGCATTTCTGCTGTGAATAGGGCTCCCTTAGAAAATCTTTTAATTTTGCTTTTTAAATATCCCTTTATAACCACTTTCAATACTTTGCTGGTGGAACTTAACAGTGATAATTATCTGAATCCATTTTTCCATTTACTTTCTCAGATTAACTCTAAGTACTCCACAACTACACACTTCTGAAACTAGTGTAGGCGCAGCCTCAGCTCCGTGCAGGGTGGATGCACCAGAGCAGACTCTCCCTGGGACATCTTTCTGGAGCATTAATAACAAGTCAGTTGAAAGCCCTGCCTTGCCAGTTTCCACAGTCACAATGTGGCCTTGGTATGATTTTATTTGTATTTATTTGTATTTATTTTGGGGGGGTTGTTGACCTTTTGTATATAAAAATTAAGGTCTTGGAAAATTTTTTGAAAGTATTCATTTACCAGTTGGTAATTTATTTTGAAACTCATTTGATTTGTCTGTCTCTCTCCTCTTTCTCAGACTCAATTATCCCACAGGTCTCTAAGGCTCTGTCTATTTTCTTTAAATTCTTTTCTTCAGATTGAATCATTTCTATTGCTGTGTCTTCTGTTTCTAATCTGTGGATAAGCTCAAAATATTTTTTCATCTCCTTATCTTTCTATGTGGTTCCTTTTTATACACATAATTTCCATTTCTCTGCTGAAGTTTCACATCTGTTCATTTGTAATGCGACTATTTTCCTTTATCCCCATGAATGCATATATAATAGCTGCCTTTAAATCCCTGTCTTCTGATTACAATATCTTGGATATATTGGGGTAGCTTCTACTGCCAGCATTTTATCTTCTGTATGGATTGCATTTTCATGTTTCTTCACAGGTCTCATTAATTGCAAAATTGTGTACTACAAACTAAAAAGGATATTTATAGAGACTCTGGATTTGGTTGTGTTTATTTGAAGAGTTTTTTTTTTTTTTAAGGTGTTACTGGGCTGAATTGAAACTTTATTACCTATCTCCCCTACACTGGGCACAGGTGAAATCCTCATTATTTCTTATTCACACATATGTCGTGTTTATATTATATGTAGATGGATTTCTATAATAATATATAGTATTTTTATCCTGGTTTCATGTTTGTTATTTTTAAGAGTGTTAGTTCACCAAGCTACTCCACAATGAGTAGAAGCCAGAACCTCAGTTTTGTTTGATTTTTGGATTTAATATGAATGAAATTATATAGTATGTATATTTTACATCAACTTTCCTTTATGAGACATTATATTTGTGATATTCATTCATGCTGTTGCATATAGCTATAGTCTATTTTTTAAGTATTTTTATATTGTGGTAAAATATATACAAAATTAACCATTTTAACAATTTTTAAGTGTGCAGTTCAAAAGAATTAAGTACATTTACATTGTTTTGCAACCATCATCCACATTCATAGGAAATGTTATATTTTTCATTCTGCAAAACCAAAACTGTGCCCATTAAACAATACCTCCCTTTTACCCTCCCTACAGCCCCTGGGAACCACTCTTCTACCTTGTGTTTCTATGAATGGAACGACCATAAGTACCTCATGTGACTGGAATCATACAGTATGGTGTAGAAATCATGAGGAACAATGATATACACTGTATAACATATGTTTATTAATTTGAATAAAAACACTAACAGAGCAGTAGTACATGGTGATTACAGAGGAAGATAAAAAAGAAAAAGATTGGAAGGGTGTTTTATATCTGTGACAATGGTACCTCAAGTTCCAGAGCAGTGAGGCTGCCCCAATCACAGTGCTAGTCACAGTGGAGTTAGTTGGAAGTCCAGAGCCCGTGCTCAGCCCAAACTTCACTGAGCCCTGAGGCACTCTGCACCTACCACCTGGGCACTCATTGGCCCTGAGATTCTTCATGGCCTGATCTTCTTAGCCTTGAGGGTGTTGCTGGCCTACTGGGATGGAGGCTCAGTGGGCCGGACAGGTTGTCACTGCAGGAAAGAGCAGTAGCTATGACGCTGCAGGAGCCACACCTCAGGCCTCCCTCCCAGTGCCTGCCCAGGGATCCCCATGCAACATGCTCTCCTGCTGACCAGGGAGCCATGTCCACAGGCTGTCTGAAGCTGGCTGTAAGAGAGAGTCTCCTCCTACCCTCTGAATATCTGCTACCCCCAAGTTTTATTCCAACTGTGCTTTTCAATGGACCTGAACCAAACCCCAAATTCCTCCTGACTCTGAAGATGACAGTTCTCTCTTGTTACAGAAGTGGCTGCATTTCTTGGAGGACTTTGATTTCCTGGACCCAGAGGGAAGGACAGGATGCTGACAGGGCCTGGATAGAAGATGCTGAAGGGGACTTGTTGGGGTGGGAGGAGCAGGGGCTGGTCTCTAGGGCTTTTCTCTTAAAGGGCACCCTCTTCTTCAATGCCATTCAGCTTCAACCTGTTTTCAGAGTTGGATATAAACAGCCCCTCCTCTAGGAATTTGTCATTGATTGCAGACCCCTACCCACACCCTCCACTGGGATGGGTTTCTTCCTTCTCTGTGCATCCAACCCTCCCAGTAAATCTAAGAGGCAGAGGGTGGAGCCAGGGGGCGTCCTGCCCAGGAGGGTCTCTGACTTCCACATTCCCAATATCCCCCAAAGTGAGGGCCCCAATTGCTCATCTTCCTCTTTTGAGTGCTGACCTAATATCCCTGGAAGGCAGACAGCCAAGGTTCATCAGAAAGGCACTCCGGCCCATGGCTAGCCCCACTCCTCACCTGCCCTCATGCTGTGCTACTGCCAAGGCTATGAGGGTCAGGGGTTGTGCACCAAGCAGAACTGAGACCTGTGTTAGCCTCTGGGCTCCAGAGGAGACAGCATGGGCACTGAGGCTTGGGAACCTTCTGCCTCAACCCTCTCTCATGACAGACAGGGAAATTGAGGCCTTGCATAAAGAGAAAGCGCTCAGCCATTTAGGACCTGTCTGATCTTTCATGGGTGCAATTTCCCTCTCCTCTCATGGGCACCACCTGAGGGACAGGCTAAGTTCAGCTCAGCCCAAACCTCACACAACTTTGCAGTCAGACAGCCCTGACGCATCACTACTCAGGAAGCAGAGGCTGGCAGCTGCTATGGAACCTCCACCACTCATAGGTGACATGGGCCTGACACCCCAGCTCACAGGGGCAGCTGTGAGGCTCTCATGAGAGGAGGTCTGCTGAGTGCTGAGATCCAAGGGCTCAATCCTCGGCTCTCTCCTCCCAGGCCTCAGGATCCCGGTCCCTGACCTGCCTGCCCCAGGCTCACTCCCATCCACACAGTCCTTCATGGCAGTGTCCAGCATCACTGAGGAACATGCCCAGAGACAGCACACAGCCTGGGCCATCAGAGTGCTAGAGATGATGAGCACCCGCTTTTAGGTGCCTGTCCAAGGTCTGTCGTGTGAAATCTCACCATTCCTGTCTTCTGTATCCCCTTACCCAGGTCTTTCACTTGGAGTAACTAAGGACCCCCAGCTGTCTTCCCCCAATTCTCACCTTTTTCCCCTAGCTGGTGTCCAAAGCCAGCGGGCATCCCCAGTTTGTTGTTTTTTTTTTTTAATTTTCTGGTGGGATATTAGCAAGTAATAAGATCATGGGGTCCCCTGCTCCACCATTCCCAAAATCCACAGTGAGCCAAGGTCTCCCAGGCCCTTTTTCTGGTCTCTCTAATGGAGGCATTTCAGGCACTGTGGTCACAGGAGGGAAGAGCTGGGGGAGAAAGGTCCCCTGCTTGCTTGATGTAGAGGCCTCCAGCTGGGAGGGACGGTCCCTGTCCTCTGACTCCCTGCAGCCCCTCCCCACCACAGGCACACTCACCTGCTGCTGCCCCAGATTTGCTGGGTTCCTCTCCAGGGTGACCAACTTGGAGGTCCCCTACTGTGAGGGTCAGGGGTAAGGTCAGTGAGATTATCCTCCATCAACCATTTTTCACCCCAGCCACACTAACCTCAAACCCTGGTTAACTGGCCTTGGTCAGCTGATGCAATACCCCCACTACCTCCAGTGAGTCCTGATTCTAGACTCACTCCCAGCTCCAGCACTCACGGCTTTGCCATCTGGGCATGAAGCCGGGCCTCCCAGAGGCTGCTTTCTCATCAGGAAAGGGCAGTGGAAACCACGCCTACCTCAGGGCCTCCTGAGGACTCAGTTGAATGTGACTATCACCATTGTTCTCACCATTATATTTATCAAGAAGAGCCAGATGCAAGGACCCTCAAATTCCCTTTCTCCCTTGAACCTCATCAGGACTCTGTAAGGCCTGCACAACAGGTTCATTATTTGTACATTTTTCAGATGAGGAAACAGAGACCTGCTCAACCAGGTCTCCCAAGACACCACATCTTACTTCCACCGTGGCTGAGCCCAGAATGGAGATGCCCATAGAGTCCAGAAGATGGAACCCTGGTCAGTAGTGGTGCTGGGGTATGGGGTGAAGGTAGCTGGGACAGGGCCTCCAGGTGGGAGGAGGAGTTCGTCTCTCCTCTGGGGATCTAGGCAAGTTACTGCCTGCTTTGGGTCTGTTTCCTGCCGTGTTGAGGTGCAAGACAGAATTAGCCGCAGAGGCCTGGCTTCCTGGAGAATTGCTGGGCTAGTCTGGGGAAGAAAGGAAGCCCCACCTACCACATCCAGCCCACAGCCTGGAAAAAGCTCCATGCCAGCAGGATGGACCAACATGGGAGCCAGAGCCCTGCTAATTCTGCCACTCATCATCCTGCTCAACAGCCCAGCTGCCATCACCACATTCCATTACCAGGGTCATCTGGCTACAAGAAAAATTACTGTTAAGCATGAGTTTGAGGACATCCATGTCTGTGTTAGTGACTACCTTGGGGGATGAGTTCAAAACACAGGAGGCACAGCTGGAAGCTCTAGCTGCCACTTGTGCAGCTGGGAGGGTGGAAGTTGCACCAGCTGAAAGTGGAGGACTGCCTTGCTAAACCTGACTGGGACGCTAAGGTCTGGAATCATCAGAAAGCAACTAGTGAGCCAGATGAAGACAGAGTTTATCACAGAAGAGGTGTAGGATTACCGTCCCCATTTTAGAGCAATCCACTCATGCAGCAGAAAGCAAAAGCCCAACACATGGAGCTGGGCAATAATGGACAGTCTTTGCAATAAACCTGTACTGTCTGAGAGTACACCTTAGTAGAACTATTAGACATAGCAAAAATACTTAAATAGTTGCTGAGAGAAAGGTTAGCCACATGGTTTGTGTGACTAGGACTCTGATAGAAATGGCATCTCCCTAGCTGACAGTGAAGCTAAAACAATGAACAAATAACCACCCATCCTGCTTTGAGACAGTGTTTGCACAAAGCTACAACTGTTCAGGGCAATCATAGTGTTATGGACTGGATTATCATGGCCATGAGCGAGGCCGGGCCAAATGAAGGAGACTTCTCAGGTCAGACCCTGGCATGGCCATCACTGGAGGAAACATACATCAATTTAAGTGAGTTGGGTATGTGGCAGGACATATATATCCAATAATTTGAAGGATCAGATAAGGCTGTGTTTACCATGGTCATGAAAAATCAGTAGTTAACAAAATGTCCCTTGGAATTGGCATGGTGCCCTCATATACATCTTGAGTTCCCTCATGGGAAAAGATGTGTGTGATGTGGGAGAACTGTAGCTAATCTTGGAGAAAGAGGGAAGAAATAAGGTCTGACTGCTTACCAAAGGAAAAGGAAAAGAAGGACATGCCAAGTCTTTCAGTAACTCAGTTAGGGTTACTAGAAAAACTAATGTATAATCTAATCTCAGCTGGGGTGGACAAAGAAAAGGCCATATTTGTGGGCATTTGGAAGGAGTTGACTTCTGCTAATGCCCTGCCTAGTGCCCTGCCTATTGCCCCAGCAGAAGAGTAGAAAGAAGAAAAAACTTTGCAGAAAAGAACTCCAATCTATGTTCAATGAGTGGCGTCCTTCCCAGCCTAGAGAATAGGGTTAAGGCCGAGGCTGCCTTCATGTATGAGCAATCGAGGTGACCAGAGGTCCATGTGGAGTTCACAATTCATTTAAGTCCAGAAAACAAGCAGAGGACCTTAGCAGTGGTAGGCACAGGTGTCAAATGCACCTTAATTCATGGAAATGCAGAAAGACATCCTGATAAGTGGGGAGCTATAGATGGCTATGGGGGATGAACAATCTGAGTTAAACAAACTTCTTTCCCCCTTGGTTCTGGTTAGAACCTCCTGCTTGCTTTACTGTATCTCATCTAGTCCACAAAACATCTTGGGTATAAATGTCCTCTTAAGGCACACTTTACGAACATCTGTTGGAGAATTATGCCTATGGATTTGGGTAGTAAAAGCTATGTTAAGAGGGAAAGTAAAAGAAAATCTGTACACCTTTCTTCCCCACGGTGTGCTATATTATTTGGCCAGCCCAGAGTCCCTTCAACAGTAGCAGTGTCTTTAGATGTGACCATAAGTCCTGATGGGAACACTGGGGCTCTCGGGCAAGTCCAGAATAAAAAAACAGTTCCCCTAGGATGTTTGTGGAGGAGTGGTGAAATCCACTGTTTTGACTGAACAGGTATACAAGGCTTGCAGCAAATGGAACCCATTTGCTGGATGAAAGGCTTGTCTGCCAGGCCTGAATTAGCCATTGCTCAAGCCTCCACTGTACAAAAATGGCATGCAGATCTGCAACAACATAGTATCCTCTCCATGAGTCCCTTGGGGAATGAACTGCCTGCTATGTTAGGGCCAGTGCACTATGAGACAAGGGCTGCCCCCAGTGCGGATCCCTCACAAGAGATGCTTCCAATGTACATGAAGGCACGGCCTCATTTTTGAAAATGATTGGTATTCAGATCAAGCCACACATAGTAACATGCATGTGGATGGCTCTAGCTGTACAACTAGACAGATGCTATCTGGATTGAGGAGGGAATGCAACAAAGCCATCAATGGGCAGAGCTTCAACGTGCATAATTGGTTGGTATCCATGAGTTATGGCCTATCCAGGTGGGCCTGTCTGTACAGAGAACTATAGGGTCTTAAGGGTCTTACAACTTGGCTTCCCAATGGTCCTGAAATGGTTGCTATGTGCTTTAAAAACCCTTATGGCCAGCTGCCATGTGAAACGACATTTGGGAGAGGCTACAAGAACCCACTGTGAGCTTAATCATGTACTGTGTTTCAGCACACTGGTCAGATTTCCTTCCTGGTAACATGGATGCAGATACTCTAGCAAAAATTAGAACATTGGCTTCCTCACAGTCATCTGAGCTAGTTGATTGGGTACATGAACATAGTGAGCATCACAGTGCACGAGTGGGCTGGCAAATAGCGAAGGTAGGATGATTGCCCTCCACTATGCAGATTTAGTGGTGGCAATAACAGTCTGCTTAGTTTGCTCTCACCTGAGCCCTCACCACACACCACATACATAGGAACTCATTCATAAGACAGCTACCCCTCTGATAAGCTGGTAAAGAGACTACATCGAATCCCTGCCAGTAAACTTGAGACAAAAGTATGCACTAAAATATGTGGATACTCTTATAGTATTATTTCAGGCCTTCACTTGCAAAAGGGCAAACCAGACAGCCACCATCAAGGGCTTGAAGCAACTCGGTGTCATATATGGATATCCTCAACACACTGATAGTGACTGAGGCACACATTTCATTGAACATGATGTCCAAGGTTGGGCACATGAAAAGGATATAGACTGGGAATTCTATTTATTATGTAATCCTCAAGTGGCAGGTTTGATTGAAAGGAAAAATAGCACTAGACTCAACTGTGAGCACTCTTAAAATCTAATATTTTGCATGGCTGGGTGAAGGTTTTGACTCCAACCATTAGACACCTTAATTCAGTTGAAACAAATATAGGGTTGGAACTATACCAATGATTCAGGATCCCCATAAAGGAGGGTCTATTAACCATCATTGTAAAGAAAATCCAACCAGATCCATTTCTACTGTAGCTGATAAAAGGCCAATGGCACGTATTATTTAGGACTCCCCAAGACCTCCAGCCAAGAAAGGGAGCCCTTGAATACTGTTGGACTGGCAAATTTCCCCTGGTTGGATAGGCTATTTCTTTCCAGAGAGTGAGAACTTCCCCAGCCAGCTAAAGTGGTCTCTGTTGATCCTGTTGGAGTCTGGGCAAAAATGTGCCAAATACCAATACACTGGAACACAACTTCTTTTAAAGAACACTTTGATCAGTGGTTTAACATAGTCTTTTGCTGTCCCTGTAACTTTACAGATAATACTGGCACATTTACCCCTTAGGCCCCATGTTTGGTGTGCACTCCCAGCCCATAATCCTTTGGGTGCCTATGTCCTAACTAACAGGGACAAAGTCACTACAATCATTCTGCTTGATGGGAAAGAACTGCCCTTTCAACTACTGCTAAACACTTGTATTTACACCCATAGTCTTCTGTTCCTGTTGCTGCTCTGCTGTATTTTCTCTACAATGGGCTCAACATTATGCTGACAGTTCATAAAAGGATGCCTACTGGCATTGTGGTTATTTTATTCCAGCACCTCTGGTATGCCTTGGTATGTATCACCTATGCAGAAAAATGACTTGCAGAATGTACAGATATTCATCAAGTCTCTTCAACAGTGGAATACACCTTTAGAAGATGTGACAAGAAGTGATGTAATTAGCCTATTAACAAGACACTTAACAGTTATGGACATGGAAAGCCCTTTTCAATAAATGCCACACAAAAACATGTAGTAACTAGAGCTACGCCACAACCAAAGGATTCTAAGGAATGAGTCTTATTATAAGACCTTGACATTCTCACTGTAAAGAAGGTCTTTTTAAAATTTGAGATGGTTTCATTTGGCTGACACCAGCTATAGGGCATTTAAGTCAGTTAGTGCCCCTATGATGTGAGCAATGAAACCACGCCTCATGGCTCAATTATACCCATAGTAAGGGCTGGATGTCCCAGGAACAATGCCAACACATTGTAATACTGCAAGCCATGGACTGGGTTACTACAGACTCATCTCAACAACCTGGAATAAATTGGCAGCTCCAAATGGTACTGAATGGTTGTATGGATTTAATCTCTGGCCTTGGTCACCATTGGGATGGCTAGGACACTACATGTTAGGTTTTCTATTGGTCCAAGGATGATGGGAAAAGCAAACTGATAAACCTGTTAATTTCCCATATGTGACTAGTAGGTGGATAAGGGCTTTCTTTTATTGGTATGATTATTTAGCTTCAATCTCTGTGCCATTTGTAGGCATTGAAAACACATTAACTATACTCAGCTTTTTCTCAATGACAGCCTCCAAGGTATTTTTTAATGAACTCTGAGATGACCCCCATACTGAAGGCTATTCTACAAAATTACATGGTATTCGATGTATTAACTGCTGCACAAGGAAAAGCTTTTGCCATGATTAAGACGGAATGTTGTGTATTTATTCCTGATCATTCTAGCAGTATAACTCTAGCCCTACAAGACATGCATAAACAAATAACCACAGTGTCTGACTCTAACCTTTCTCCCAATGGCTCTCCTCCTGGTTTGGATCCTGAGGAACATGGTGGCAGAAAGTGTTATTAATTCTGTGTCTGATACATGTCATAGGTGTCATTGTCTGTTGTTGTCTGTATTGTTACTGCTATATCTGCTTATAAGCAAAAAACACAGTGATAAAACATGTCACCTACAGTCTCTCCACAAAAACTAATGGACCATCACAGAAGAGCAGAATGCTGAGATAGTTACAGGTGGATAAGATGGGTGGAGTGTAAAGACTAAAGTAACTCCATCCTGAATTATAATTTGCCATTTGACTTTGATTACCCCCAGTTCCAGGAATGCCTTTAGGATATCCACTTTATCTACTGCTCTTTATATAAGACCACATCCTGCCCCTAGGTCAACAGAAACCTTGATGTTACGGCACAAATTACAGGATATGACACACATAGATAGCAATCTCATCATTTCCTGGAAGGTCCACTTTAATTGTCTGGCACATTGGTCATATGCCCTTTTCTATAGGGTATAAGTCCTGGGTCTGGAGGGTTACGGCGCAGAGATCTACCTGTATTGCACCTGCCAAAGATCATGCTTCATTCTCTGTGTCCCCCCAATAAATCACCCTCTACTGACAAACTGGATTTGTCTGCCTTAGTGGTATTTTAGTGAATTTTTTTGTATTTTTTAACGGAAAATTGTATCATTTACAATAAATACAGTTCTACTTTTATATTTTACAATCTGGAATATTATAGTGAAAATTCTTGTCTTCTCCCCAAACTTTCAGGTAAAAAAAAAAACACTAGTTTGTCACCATTAAGTATGATGTTAGCTACAGATTTAAAAAATAGATGCATTTTAGTAGGTCTCAAAATTTCCTTCTATTAGTAGTTTGCTAGGGGTTTTCTCAGGGATGGATATTCAATTTTTGAAATTTTCTCTGTGCCTATTTAAATTATCACTTTTTGTTCTTTACTAGTATTGAGCATCATCTTGATTAAATTTTAGATATTAAGTCACAATTGCATTTATAAAACAATATCATATGGTCTTCGTGTATATGCATATTTTATGTGACTGGATTTGGTTTGCTATATTTTCTGGGGATGTATGTATATACATAAATATGCCACATTGGTCCATAGTCCTTCTCTGTCATATATTTGGGTCTGCCCTTAGTATCACAGAAATACTGGCCTCCTAGAATAAATTGGAAAATGTTCCCTCTTTTTCAATTTTTGAAAATATTTTTGGGTGAAGAGTTAGTATTATTTATTGAATATAGGGACAGTTTTCCATAAAGGCTATTTTGCCCTGGAATTTTCTTTGTGAAAATATTTTTAATTAATAATTTTGCTTGTTATATAACAATTCATAATATATAAACATATATTCATCTATTCTACTTACTCAGTTTTTTTATAATTTGTACATTTCAAGATATTAATTTCTAATTTGTAGTATTCTATGTGTAAAAAATTTTTCTAGGCTGTTAACATAGAAAAATCAGAAAAATACAGAGCAAGGCTTCAGCCCTATTAATGAATGACTCAAAGTCTCTTTATTGTAGGATGGGTAATTAAAATATAATTTTATCCTTACTGTTTATATTTATCGTGATGCAAATAAGGTATTGAATTTAAAATATTAGTGAAACTGCCATTTAGCTTTGGCTTTTATCAAGGCGGCAGACTGAGTAGACCTTTTAATTTTCATTGATATTTAAATAAGACAAACATAATTTTTAATTAGAACAAACAGAAAATAATATTCTATTTGAAGAATGGTATAAAGATGATAATTTGATGAATCATGTCTTTTAGTACTTGGTTAGTGCATACAATATGTTAGGTAAGATTCTAAGCCATTACACACACACACACACACACACACACATCATACGTAAGAGTTTGAAATGAGGAATCCAGAGATTCTTGAGCAGTGATGAATTGACATATTTTCAATCTTACTTGGTAACTTTAAAACTATCATTAAAATCTACTGTTTTGGCTTACAACAACTAAATGCACATAAAGGTATTAAATAACTTTATTAGAAAGCTTGACTAACTCTGCCTGGAAATAAATGTGTAGCACAACTGAAAAGTAACACACCATTATACAATACCAGACAAAAGTATTTTAAAAGAAAAAAAAATTAGGACTAAAAGATGCCATTAAATTGGTCACCGCAGAAATACAACAGAGCACATTTTTAGGCACTGTGATATGTTAACAGAATATTAATGAGTGTGTAAACACAGTCCCGTGTGCTCATCATTACAGGAAAAAAACTTTTAAAACTAATAAACTAATTCAGCAATGTTGCAGGATACTATATCAATGTACAAAACAATAAATTGCATTTCTATACACTTACAACAAAATATATGGGAAAAATTAAGAAAATTCCATATGCCATAACATAAAAAATAATACTTATAACTAAGACGGTAAAAGATTTGTACAATAAAAACTCTAAAATAGTGGCAAAGGCAATTATAGAAGAGACAAAAAAAACTTAGTGTTCATGGATTGGATAAATTAATATTAAAACATTCATACTACTAAAAGTGATATAAAGATTTAAAGCAATCTCACCGGGTGCAGTGGCTCACACCTGTAATCCTAGCACTTTGGGAGGCCGAGGTGGGTGGATTGCTTGAGGTCAGGAGTTCGTGACCAGTCTGGCCAACATGGTGAAACCCCATCTCTACTAAAAACACACAAAAAAATTAGCCAGGCATGGTGGCGTGCACCTGTAATCCCAGCTACTCAGGAGGCTGAGTCAGGGGAATTGTTTGAACCAGGAAGGTGGAGGTTGCAGTGAGCTGAGATCACCTCACTGCACTCCAGCCTGGGCCCTGGGTGACACAGTGAGACTCCATCTCAAAAAAAAAAAAAAAAAATTTAAAGCAATCTCCATCAAAATTAAAATATCATTTTCCAGAAAAATAAAAAATTTCTAAAGTTTGTAAGGAATTAGAAAAGACCCAAAATAACCAAAGAATTTTGAGCAAGAACAAAGCTGAAGGCATCAAACTTCTTAATTTCAAATGATATAACAAAGCTACAGTCATCAAAACAGCATGATGCTGGCATTAACACAGACACATAGACCAATGAAACTGAATAGAGAGCTCAGAAATATCCATCTGAACACAGTCAACTAATTTTCAACAAAGATATATAAATATACAGTGAAGAAAGAATACACTGTTCAATAAATGGTGATGGGAAAACTGGATATACACATGCAAAAAAAATTTAACCCATCTTTTACAGAATACACAAAAATTAACTTAAGAGATTAAAGACTTCAATATTGGACCTGAAACCATAAAACTTTTAGAAAACAACATTGGGGAAAATTCTTTGGCATTGTTTGCGGCAATAATTATTTTTTGTATTTGACACTAAAAGCCCAGGGAGAAAAAAAATGAAACGACATCAAACTAAAAAGTTTCTACTGCATAGCAAAAGACAGTCAATCAATTTAAAAGGCAATCCACAGAACCGAAGAAAAATACTTGTAAGCCAAATATCAGATAAAGGGTTAGCATTCAAAATCTGTAAGAAATTCATAAAATATAACCCCCTCTGAATAAAAATAACAATAAAAATAACACATTCTTTTTAAAAGTAGCCAAATAATCTAAATGGATCCTTTTTCAAAGAAGCCATTAGTAATCATCAGGAGAATGCAAATCAAAACCAAAATGAGATAGCACCTCAAGCACATGTTAGGGTAATGTTTATTAAAAATTCAAAAGAAAACAAATGTTATCAATGATGGAGAGAAAAGGAACCTTGTACACTGTCACTGGGAATGTAAATTGGTAAAGCCATTATGGAAAACAGCATGATTATTCATCAAAAAATTAAAAATAAAACTATCATATGATTCAGGAATCCTACCTATGGTTAAATATCCAAAGAACATAAAATCACATATTGAAGAGATATCTTCACTCCTATGTTTCTTGAAGCAATATTCACAATAGACAAGATATGAAAACAATGTAAATGTCCATCAACACATAAATGAATAAAGAAAATGTTATAAAGCTAGGCATGTGGCTCATGCCTATAATCCCTGTATTTTGGGAGGCTAAGGCAGGAGGATTGCTTGAGGCCAGGAGTTCAAGACCAGCCTGGGTAACATAGCAAGACTCTGTTCCTACAAATTAGCTTGGCATAGTGGTGCACCCCTGTAGTTCTAGCTACTTTTGAGGCTGAGGTGGGAGAATGATTTGAACCCAGGAGTTTGACGTTTCAGTGAGCTATGATAATGCCACTGCACTCCAGCCTGGGGAACAAAGACAGACAACTGTCTCCAACAATAACAAAAGAGAAGTTAATATAAATATATGTATACAGCATAGAGACTATATTAATAATATGTATTGTATAAGTAAATTATATTAATGAAGTAGATCTCAAATGTTCTCACCATACACCAAAAATACCCTTGTATGAGAAGTAATTGACATGTTATTAAGCTTGATTTTGGTAATTTTACAATGTGTGTGTGTGTGTGTGTTTATGTGTCTGCGTGCACGTGTCTATACCTCAAAACATCATATTGTGCACCATAAATATACAAAATTTTTGTCAATAATATCCCAATAGAGGCGGGAAACTATCGAGTATTACCAAAACAGTATCTAGCCACATATAAATTTCATTTAAAACCCTTTAAAATGAATTCTAGATTAAATTTAAAATCCAAATTGACATAATTTTTTTTAGTCAGGGAGGTTACAATGAGCAAGCATGGCTTAAAAGCTAGAATTGAATATTTAGCTAAAGTATCATTCATAAACAGAGTAAGTAAATATTTTCAAAAGTAAAAACATTGAGAGATTTGATTACCAAAACAAATTTTTTAAGAATGTACTTCAAAAAGAGAGAAACATTTTCTTGTACAAAGTTAACATAAAAATAAAAGTGCAAAAGACTTGATATCTGAAATGTCAATCTATGGTGAACATTGAACTGAAGAAACTACATAGTCCTTAGATGCCTCAGTTTCAGAAGCATAAAAATATAATAAAAGTGTAATTCCACGCATTTTATTTAAACTCAGTAAGCTAAATCTGGGGCTACTTGAACAATTTAACTATAGAATGAGACTAATTTTTAGAAATATTTTTCATCACCAACACATTAAAAAATTATAGCACTTTAATTCCATTTTTTGGAGAATATTAACTATTCTTTTATCAGAGCGGATTTGTACCAATGGAACGAGAGTGGCATAGACACAGGCTACAAGGTTCTAGATGCTCAGGATGACTGGGTTATACGTCCATAACAGGGATGAAGAGGATGAGATGATAAGGTCCACCCAGTACATGACAACAAAGCAACTCACCAGTGGCAGGATGATCTGGGTAACCCTTTTCTCTGGCGAGGATCTTGGGGAAAGGCTGGTACTGTGAAGATGCTGGGATCACCTCTGATGCTTGGACAAAAAGATCATCATGTATGCACTTGAGAGCAGCGTAATCCTACAAGGAAAACACTCCCCACATGATGGACTTCATGGGAGAACGTGAGCAGTATTTGCGGACCTTAAGTAGATTGGTCTGGGTCACAATGGAAGAAGCCACAGTGAAGAATATTATGTCACTACTGAAAGACAAATTGAGGGAACAAAAAAGAAAAAAGAGGACACTGACAATGTTATTTGTAAATTTATGTTTAAAGCTTTCCAACCAGAAGTTGCTGAGGCTGATTATGCTGGCCTGGTGTATACTCAGGAGACAGGTGGTATAGATACATAGGCCCCTCGTCACTCTGTTTATTTAGATCAAGGACTTGCATTTGAAGTTATTCCCAAAATGCAGTGATTCAAGCATATCTGGAGGCAAAACATCCACTACAGTGAGGACCATCACTACCCGAATGAAGGCCAAGTGACGGCTCATCCAGTCATGTGGCTTAGGTTTTTGATCCTGAAGGAGTGTGAAGATGTGGAAGAAAAGCAAAAAGGTGTTGTCTGAAAGTCCAATGGCAGATTCAGAAGAAAAAAAAAACATTTTTAGGCATAACTGAAGTGAAAAGTGTGTTCATATTAATGACAAACATATTTCATATATCTGGGAACAAAACAATGGATCTCACATTATCAATGTTTGTTCTTTAGTGTCCAAAATGATTACATCATTATTTTAATTTTACCCACTTCTTGGTTAACTCTATCTCATATAAATTCTGCATAATCCAGTCTCTGCACTATTTTCTACACCAAATAACTTATACATGTAAAACATCAACACATTCATAATTATGCCTGTGTAGATGCACAATTTCTAAATTTCTATTATACCTGTGCCTCTCTTTTTAGAAATCATATCCTTGTTGTTTAATATTCCTGCATTCTATATTAAGCATCTAGGATGGTAAGGAACATATAAAATTGCTCAATGGTATTTGCTCAGTTAAATTAAATGAAAATTTATTCTAATAGGAAAGAATCACTAATAAACAAATGCTAATATCCAGTTGACTCTTTCTCACATCCCATCACTTTGATACATCTCATTCTTCATCACTCTCCTGTGAGTTTGGACTCGGTAATTCTACTGAATGCACTATAATAATTAATGATAATATCCTTATTTTCAATCAGCTGATTCTCAATCTTGATTTCATCCGAAACCTTATATTTCCTTTGCCATGAACTGTGAAATATTCTCAGTATGTGAGAATTAAAATGAACATACTTAAGGGGCATTATTGCCCCTTAAAGATTATATTATGTTTACCAGTAATCTACTAATTCTTTTACCTAAAAATGATGCTGATTTTCTCCAAGCTTATTTTTCATCCCAGAAATATTTTATGAGACTCTCTTCCTTTCAGCACAGGATTGCCATCTCTCAATTATCGAGAAAAAAATTGCCACTTTAGTCACTACATGACAACCATGAACTTGCTTCTAAATAATCACATGTTGATTCTCTTCCTGAGACATCACTTACTGCAGGGATACTCTCAAATGCCTAGAAAAATACTCTCTCCAATAGTAAAGGTAATTCCCCTAAAGTTTTCACCAAATATCTCCAATACCAGAATATCTTGTAAAGTTTCACAGCATAATGATGCAGTTACTGTCTCATGTTATTTAGCTTGGGTTCAGGCATCATTATTTTATCAGTTGAATTTAATCCAGATCTAATAACAGTTTAGCTTCATGACATGGAGAAATAGAAAACCACCACCTTCACTCAGATTATTATGAGATGAAGGTGTGTCCATCTCTATATTCAAGGACACTTATTACTGTACTGTCTCATAAATATAAATATATAAGGCAAAGCAGAAATGTTGACAGCATTCTTGGCTAATAATCAGGCTAGGCTGATAAATGACTGAGGTAGAAAATTGCCTTAAAGCCACCTGATACATATAGACAATTTTGTAAGACATACATTGTATAGTTAATTAAATAATTGTTACTTTTTAAAGGCTTAATCTAGTAAGATAACACATTTATTTTAGCTGCAAGAACCAAACAACAGAGAGCTCCTACCAGCATACCGTGGCACCCTTGGCACAGTTTGGTTCTACTAGCGATTTGGAGCCAGAAATAGTAGGATCATATTAAATTAATGGCTTAATGTTCTCTAAATATTAGGATTATATTCCATTACCAGTAACAGAATAGTTGGGCATGGATTAATAATATGTGTACAATGATTTATTAACTATATTTATGTAATTTTATTGGTTTACTCCATGTTATAAACCATGTATCGAAAAGAGATGATATAAATAGTTAGATAAAATAACATTGATAATGTTAGTATTTTCTTCTCTCACTACCAACAGATATTGAGCTCACCCTCTCTAATTCATGCCCTTCCCTCTGTAAGTGGCCATCACACACTGAAAAGGACTTGACTTTCTGAATTATCAAATGGTGTATTTCTCCATGAGAACCTGGAGGGCATTGCTACTAAGCCTGGAAAGGAAAGAACCATGGTCCCCATGGAAAAGGTGCACAAATAATTACATTTAATAATAAATTATTTTTATTGTATATTTAAAAAATATATCTCAATTGACAAAACTGAACTGATTGTTGTCTTCAATATATCAAAAGTGTTTTATTTTATGCAAATTTTAAACTGTGCATCGTTAATTTCTTCTAATGATTCTGGCAAATTTATTATGAAAAAACTCATGGAATTTGCAATAACAGGATGACAAACTGGGAGAAATAAAATAAATTAAAAATCCATGGAAGTTACTTACACTTTGGTCAGACTGCAAAAAATAATTGAGTTTTATTTGATACACTAAAAATATAAAATCTGAACACTTTTTAGCTCAGACTATGAGAAGTGACAACTAGAGATTGCTAGGGCTAAGCGTAAAGCTATTCTCAGAGAACAGACAATGCAAATTAAGTTCACTCTCATTTTACTGACTTTAATTTTAGGCTGTTCTCAATATCATAAGTCCCAAAGTGTAGACATGATCATGGATAATGATGGGGAAAATAACACCATTAAATGCACTAGGCAAAAAAAGACGATCATAACATATGTGGGGTTAGATCAGACATCTGAAGAAGAGATAAGGCATATAATGAAAGACAGAAGTCATTTATAAGAACCCAAGAACTATTTGTATAGAATGAATATGTTCCATTGAGGGGAAAAAAGTAGTCTGGTAAAATGTATTCTTTTACCTTCATCACAAGATTTAACTTTTAAAGTGGTTTTATTTTATAAATAATATTATTTGAATAGTGAGTAATCTTTTCACTTTGCCTTCTGTAGATTTAAGAATAAAATCTATTTTTAAAAACTGTTTTGTTTTATATTAATCAAAATGTCATTTTAAACATACATTTTTTCCATATTAGCTGAGGAACCTTGTAAGACCTATGATTGGTCATAAAAACAAAAGTAATTATGAGCATTTTGGGTGTCAACTTGAGGGAGGTTGATTGACAAATGACAATAAGTGGCAACCTCAAAAAGTCAGATGACATTTAGAAAATAAAAACTCATTTTCACTAAAATTAGTTTCATAAACATATCTTTTTAAAATACACAAATGCCAGAAGAATAACTAGATAAGCATCAGATGTTACTGATTTACTGCAGTGCATCAACAATTCTCTAGAAATTAAACATAGTGTGGGGTGCAGCTGAAAGTACAACTCTTGTTGACAAGCATAATGCTAATTCTGAGACATTTAATTCTCAGCTGCCCTGGGGGAAAACATAGGCAGGGAAAGTATCGCTGCTGAATTAGGAGGCAGAAAAATAGCTGGAGAGACTTGATCACAAATTGTGTGCTACCAATTTTGAAAAACCCTAAAAATACTACAGGAAAATTTTTAGTTTCTATTTTGTTTATTTTTTCTGACCATCCCAACCAAGAAGACATCAATTAGTAGACACACATCTTTACTAAAGGCTTGAAAGTTTTATTTTTACCCATTATTTCCATGTGTATTACAGCAAAGAGACTGCAAGTCATAGCTATTAACTGTGTCAAATATTAAATTTGGAGGGATATTTCCAAGTGGGAAATTGAAAGGTGAAGGAACGCATTTTTTTCTGTGTACACTAATTAAAAGCAATTGAACTTTGTTCTGATATTATCCTCCCTCAGAGCATAAAATGCAGACAGACATTTAAAATGCTTTAATTAATTTATTTAATATTCACAGACATAATGACTTTGTGCTTTTAACTTTTCTGGAGAATTCTATGCCTTCGTTGATCATAAATTTTTGAGCTGAGTTTAGGCTGCTGGCCTAAAAACAGGCACACTTGCCCCTCTACTGCCACTGCCAGGGCCCAAAGACTGGGTCATTGGTGTCCAAGTCCCCAGCTAAACTTCAGCACAATTTCAACTAGTAACTGCACCCTAAGCCGCTGAGGAAATCACAGAAACCACTGACCTATGTACTGCCAAAGAAGTCATAAAAAGATCACACTACAACAGGCACACAAAATCAAAGCCAGAGTAATTTCTGCAGTCAACAACATACATATATCCTTAGGAAAACATATTTATCTTTTTTTTAATTATTATTATACTTTAAGTTTTAGGGTACATGTGCACAATGTGCAGGTTAGTTAACATATGTATACATGTGCCATGCTGGTGTGCTGCACCCATTAACTCGTCATTTAGCATTAGGTATATCTCCTAATGCTATCCCTCCCCCCTCCCCCCACACCACAACAGTCCCCAGAGTGTGATGTTCCCCTTCCTGTGTCCATGTGTTCTCACTGTTCAATTCCCACCTATGAGTGAGAATATGCGGTGTTTGGTTTTTTGTTCTTGCAATAGTTTACTGAGAATGATGATTTCCAATTTCATCCATGTCCCTACAAAGGACATGAACTCATCATTTTTTATGTCTGCATAGTATTCCATGGTGTATATGTGCCACATTTTCTTAATCCAGTCTATCATTGTTGGACATTTGGGTTGGTTCCAAGTCTTTGCTATTGTGAATAATGCCGCGATAAACATACATGTGCATGTGTCTTTATAGCAGCATGATTTATAGTCCTTTGGGTATATACCCAGTAATGGGATGGCTGGGTCAAATGGTATTTCTAGTTCTAGATCCCTGAGGAATTGCCACACTGACTTCCACAATGGCTGAACTAGTTTACAGTCCCACCAACAGTGTAAAAGTGTTCCTATTTCTCCACATCCTCTCCAGCACCTGTTGTTTCCTGACTTTTTAATGATTGCCATTCTAACTGGTGTGAGATGGTATCTTATTGTGGTTTTGATTTGCATTTCTCTGATGGCCAGTGATGGTGAGCATTTTTTCATGTGTTTTTTGGCTGCATAAATGTCTTCTTTTGAGAAGTGTCTGTTCATGTCCTTTGCCCACTTTTTGATGGGGTTGTTTGTTTTTTTCTTGTAAATTTGAGTTCATTGTAGATTCTGGATATTAGCCCTTTGTCAGATGAGTAGGTTGTGAAAATTTTCTCCCATTTTGTAGGTTGCCTGTTCACTCTGATGCTAGTTTCTTTTGCTGTGCAGAAGCTCTTTAGTTTAATTATATCCCATTTGTCAATTTTGGCTTTTCTTGCCATTGCTTTTGGTGTTTTAGATATGAAGTCCTTGCCCATGCCTATGTCCTGAATGGTAATGCCTAGGTTTTCTTCTAGGGTTTTTATGGTTTTAGGTCTAACGTTTAAGTCTTTAATTCATCTGGAATTAATTTTTGTATAAGGTGTAAGGAAGGGATCCAGTTTCAGCTTTCTACATATGGCTAGCCAGTTTTCCCAGCACCATTTATTAAATCGGGAATCCTTTCCCCATTGCTTGTTTTTCTCAGGTTTGTCAAAGATCAGATAGTTGTAGATATGCGGTGTTATTTCTGAGGGCTCTGTTCTGTTCCATTGATCTATATCTCTGTTTTGGTACCAGTACCATGTTGTTTTGGTTACTGTAGCCTTGTAGTATAGTTTGAAGTCAGGTAGTGTGATGTCTCCAGCTTTGTTCTTTTGGCTTAGGATTGACTTGGCGATGCGGGCTCTTTTTTGGTTCCATATGAACTTTAAAGTAGTTTTTTCCAATTCTGTGAAGAAAGTCACTGGTAGCTTGATGGGGATGGCATTGAATCTGTAAATTACCTTGGGCAGTATGGCCATTTTCACGATATTGATTCTTCTTACCCATGAGCATGGAATGTTCTTCCATTTGTTTGTATCCTCTTTTATTTCCTTGAGCAGTGGTTTGTAGTTCTCCTTGAAGAGGTCCTTCACATCCCTTGTAAGTTGGATTCCCAGGTATTTTATTCTCTTTGAAGCAATTGTGAATGGGAGTTCACTCATGATTTGGCTGTTTGTCTGTTGTTGGTGTATAAGAATGTTTGTGATTTTTATACATTGATTTTGTATCCTGAGACTTTGCTGAAGTTGCTTATCAGCTTAAGGAGATTTTGGGCTGAGACAATGGGGTTTTCTAGATATACAATCATGTCATCTGCAAACAGGGACAATTTGACTTCCTCTTTTCCTAATTGAATACCCTTTATTTCCTTCTCCTGCCTAATTGCCCTGGCATACAGAAATACAAACTACTATCAGAGAATACTACAAACACCTCTATGAAAATAAACTAGCAAATGTACAAGAAATGGATAAATTCCTCAAAACCTACACCCTCCCAAGACTAAACCAGCAAGAAATTGAATCTCTGAATAGACCAATAACAGGAGGTGAAATTGTGACAATAAACAATAGCTTACCAACCAAAAAGAGTCCAGGACCAGATGGATTCACAGCTGAATTCTACCAGAGGTACAAGGAGGAACTGGTACCATTCCTTCTGAAACTATTCCAATCAATAGAAAAAGAGGGAATCCTCCCTAACTCATTTTATGAGGCCAGCATCATCCTGATACCAAAGCTGGGCAGAGACACAACCAAAAAGGAGAATTTTAGACCAATATCCTTGATGAACATTGACACAAAAATCCTCAGTAAAATACTGGCAAACCAAACCCAGCAGCACATCAAAAAGCTTATCCACCATGATCAAGTGGGCTTCATCCCTGGGATGCAAGGTTGGTTCAATATACGCAAATCAATAAATGTAATCCAGCATATAAACAGAACCAAAGACAAAAACCACATGATTATCTCAATAGATGCAGAAAAGGCCTCTGACAAAATTCAACAACCCTTCATGCTAAAAACTCTCAATAAATTCGGTATTGATGGGACATATCTCAAAATAATAAGAGCTATCTATGACAAACCCACAGCCAATATCATACTGAATGGGCAAAAACTGGAAGCATTCCCTTTGAAAACTGGCACAAGACAGGGATGCCCTCTCTCACCACTCCTATTCAACATAGTGTTGGAAGTTCAGGAAAACATATTTTTCTACAAAAGCAAATTTTAAAAATTGGAACACCAGATGTGTACATATCAATAGAATGACACAGGAAACATGAAAAAAGCAGGGAAATATGACACCACCAAAAGACCACAACAATTGTCCAGTAATATGATTCAGATGTGTTCCCCTGCCCAAATTTCATACTGAAATGTAATTCCCAAGGTTGGAAGTGGAGACTGGTGGGAGGTGACTGGATCGTGGGAGTGGATTTCTCATGAATAATTTAGCACAATTCCTCTTGGTACTGTCCTCATAATAGTGAGTGAGTTCTCATGAGTTCTGTTCATTTAAAAGTGTGTAACACCTCCCCTTTGTTCTCTTGCTCCTGCTTTCACCATGTGATGTGTGTGCTCCCCCTTGGCCTTCTGCCATGATTGGAAGCTTCCTGAGGCTCCTCCAGAAGCAGATGTTACTAAGCTGCTTGTAATGTCTGCAAAACTGTGAGCCAACTAAACCTCTTTTCCTTATAAATTACCCAGTTTCAGATATTAGCAATGCAAGAACATGCTAATACATTCATCAACAGACCCTAATACAAAAAGAATTGCTCAAAATGCCACATGAGGATACAAAATATTGATTTGAAAGAAGCTCAATGAGATACAAGAGAAATCTAGAAACAAATACAAAGAAATCAGAAAATCAATTCAGGATAAGAACTGAGAAATTTACCAAAGAGATCAATATTTTAAAGAAAAAGCAAGCAGAAAATCTGGAACTAAAAAATTCATTGAAAGAAATACAAAATACATTGAAATCGTTAATAATAGAATAATCAGAAAAACAAATCTCAGAAATTGAAGACAGGTCTTTTGAAATTATCCAGTCAGACAAAAAAAAAAAAAAAGAATAAGAATGAACAACATCTTCAAGATGTCTGGGACTACACAGAGTGATGGAACTTATGAATTATCAGTATTCCTGAGATCACCATCTATTAGTCCATTTTTGGACTGCTATAAAGAAATACCTGAGACTGGATAATTTATAAAGAGAAGAGGTTTAATCGGCTCACAGTTCTGCAGGATATACAGAAAGCATAATGGCTTCTGCTTCTGGGGAGGCTTTAGGAGCCTCCAATCATAGCAGAAAGCAAAGGGGAAGTGAGGCACATCACATGGCTGGAGTAAGAGAAAGAGGCAAGGAAGGTGCACACTACACACTTTAGATCAACCACATTTCACAGTAACTCACTCACTCACTGTTACAAGAACAGCACCAAGGGAATGGTACTAAGCCATTTATGAGAAACTTCCCCAATGAACCAATCATTTTCCACTAGGCCCCACCTCTAACATTGGGGCCTCACCTTCAACATGAGATTTGAGTGGGAACACAGATCCAAACCATATCATCCTCAGATGTAGATAGAACAAAAATTTAGAAAATATATGTAAGGAAATAATCAATGAAAACTTCCCAACTTTATCAAGAGAGTCAGACATCCAGATACAGGAGGCCCAGTGATACCCAGGAAAATAGTTGCACAAAGGACTTCACCATGGCATATTATATTCAGAATGTCTAAAGTAAAAGTGAAAGTATTTTAAAATTAGCAAGAGTAAAGTATCTAGTCACCTATAAAAGAAACTGCATCAAACTAACAGCAGATTTTCCAAAAGAAACCTTGCAGGCCAGAAGTGAATGAGATGGTATCTTTACAAAGTGCTTAAAGAAAAACACTGTCAGCCAGAAGTTTGTATCCTTTTGATAAGCTTCATAAATGAAGGAGAATTAAAGTTTTCCCTAGACAAGCAAATGCTAAGAGACTTTGTCACCACTAATCTAGTCCTACAGGAAATGCTTAAAAGGGTCTTAAGCATGGAAACAAAAGGTTGATAGTCACAAAAATATACAAAAATATAAAATTCACAGTTTGTATAAAACAATCACACAAGGAGCAAGAGAAAAATATAAAATGGCAACATGACAGAATTTCCTCAAACCACAAAGACAGAGAAAAATAAAGAAAAAAAGTTATAAAATAACTTGAAAACAAAAATATAACAGGAACAAAATGTCATATATCAATGTTAAACTTGAATGTAAATAGAATAAATGCTCTGCTTAAAAGATAAAGATTGGCAGAATGAATTTTTAAAAACCATAAACCAACTATATGGTGCCTGTAAGACACTCATCTTACCCATAAAGACACATATAAACTAAAAATAAAGAGGTGGAAAAAGATATTCCACACAAATGAAAATCAACAGTAAGCAAGATAAACACTGTACAATAAAAATGGTTTGAAAAAAGACAAAAAAGGTCATTATATAATGAAAAAGAGATCAACTTAGCAAGAGGATATAACAATCCTAAATACATATACATCCAACATCAGAGCACCCAAATTCAGAATTCCAATATTTCTAGACCTGAAAAAAGAGACAGCAATACAATAATAGTGGGAGAATTCAACACCCTGCTCACAGCACCAGACAGATCATCAAGACAAAAATTAACAAACGTTGGTCTTAAATTGGACTTGAGACCAAATGGATATAACAGACATTTACAAAACATTCTACCCAATATATATTCTTTTCATCAGCACAGGGAACATTCTCTAAGATACACTACATGTTAGGTCACAAAACAAGTCTTAAATTTTTAAAAATCAAAATCATATCGAGTATCTTCTCAGGCTGCAGTGGAATAAAGCTAGAAATCAACAGCAAGAGGAACCTTGGAAACTATATAAATACATGGGAATTAAATAGCATGCTCCTGAACAGTCACTAGGTCAATAAAGAAATTAATATGGAAATTAAACATTTTTTGAAACAAGTGAAAATAAAAACACAACATAACCAAAACCTATGGTATACAGCAATAGCAGTGCCAAGAGGGAAGTCTTAACATTAAATGCCTATATCAAAAAAGTAGAAGGACCACAAATTTACAAGCTAATGTCACACCTCAAGGAACTAGAAAAAGAACAAACCAAACCCAAAGTTAGCAGAAGAAAATAAATAACAAGGAAATGAACAAAAATAAATAAAATAGAACCCTCCCAAAATACAAAGGATCAATGAAACAAAAAAATTAGTTCTTTGAAAAGATATACAAAACTGATAAACCACTAGCTAGACTAACTAAGAAAAAAATAAAGACGCAAATAAACACAATCAGAAATGACAAAGGAGACATTACAACTGATACCACAGAAGTACAAAGGTCACTAAAGACTATTACAAACAAGTATTCACAACTTAGATAACCTAGAGTAAATGGATAAATTCCCGAAAACACACAATTTCCCAAGATTAAACCAGGATAAAAGAGGATTCCCAAAGAGACAAATAATTGGTAGTGAGACTGAAATCAGTAATAAAAAATCTCTCAACAAAAAAATCCCAGGATCAGGAGGATTCACAGCCAAATTACACCAAACATACAAAAAAAATTAATACCTATTCTTTTGAAACTATTCTAAAACATAGATAAGCAGGGAATCCTCAACAAAACACTAAAAAATGGAATCCAACAGCACATCAAAAAGATACCACACCACGATCAGGTGTAATTTATCCCAAGGGCGGAAGGATGGTTTAACATATGGAAATCAGTAAGTGTGATATATCACATCAACAGAATTAGAAACAAAAACCATATGATCATCTCAACAGATGCAGAAAAGGCATCCAATAAAACTCAGCATCACTTCATGATAAAAATCCTCAACAAACTAGGCATAGAAGAAATATACTTCAACATAATAAAGATTATATACAACAAACCCACAGCCAACATCATACTTTTTAAAAAATAGAAACCCTTCAGATCCTCCTGTGTATCATTCATCTATAAGAATGTGGTAGTATTTCTGCTTATTCCAAGAGGGCAGCTGATTAATATCAAACTCTTTTTCTTTCTCCCACTAGAATCAGAAGACCTTTCAAAACAGGATTTTCTTGTTCACTTGTTTTACCTACATCCTTAGCAACTAGCACAGGGCCCTAAATAGAGAAATTTGAAAATACATTTAATGATGCTAGTAGAAATATTTCTGAGGACATGTTTTGTGCATAAGGAAATGAGTAAGAAGACATTTTCCCTACTTTTTGCAAAGACCTCAATCCTAAGGCTAAAATATGCATTACCTAATCTCATAATTCTATCTCGTTTTTTAAAATTTTAGATTCAGGGGTACCTGTGCAGGTTTTTTATATGGGTATATTTTCTGATGCTGAGGTTTGGGCTTCTAATGATCTGTTGCCCAAGTAGCAAACATAGTACCCAATAAGTAATCTCCCAACCCTTGTTCCCCATCCTTCCTCCCCTAATTTAGAGTGTCCCATGTCTACTCTTCCCATCTTTGTGTCCATGTGTACCCAACAACATCATATCTAATATGGGAAAGTTGAAAGCATTTCCTGTAAGAACTAGAACAATACAAGGATGCCGACTTTCACTATTCTTATTCAACACAGTACTGGAATTTCTTGCCAGAGCAATCAGGCAGAAGAAAGAAATAAAATGCATCCAAATTGGAAAAGAGGAAGTCAAGTTACCCCTGTTTGCTGATGATATAATATTATTCCTGAAGAACCCTAAAGATGCTGCCCAAAATTCTTAAATTTGACAAAGGAAGCAGTGAGCGTCAGGATACAAAATTAATGTACAAATATCAGTAGTGTTTATATACACAAATAATGAGCCAGCCAAAGGCCAAATCAAGAAAACAATCCCATTTACAATAGCTACAAAAAAATACCGAGGAATATCTTTGACCTAGAAGCTGAAAGACTTCTAGAAGGAGAACTACAAAACACTGATGAAAAAAATCCTAGATGACATAAACAAATGAAAAACCCCCACGCTTATAAATTAGAATATGCAATATCATTAAAATGACCATACTGTTCAAGGCAAACTACAGATTCAACACAATCCCTATCAAATTACCAATGTTATTTTTCACAGAATTAGAAAAAAAAATCCTAAAATTAATATGGAACCAAAAAAAGGGCCTGAACAGCCAAAGCAATTCTAAGGAAGAAGAACAAAGCTGGAGGCATCACATTACCTGTTTTCAAATTATACTACAAAAC
The DNA here is from genome assembly GCF_000001405.40 of Homo sapiens. NCBI lineage: Eukaryota > Metazoa > Chordata > Mammalia > Primates > Hominidae > Homo > Homo sapiens. The sequence goes on along the minus strand of NC_000020.11, from coordinate 25,722,306 downwards.
TATAGAAACCAAAACAGCATTGTACTGGCATAACATAGACACATAGATCAATGGAGCAGAATAGACAACTCAGAAATAAAGCCCCATACCTACAACCAACTTATCTTTTAAAAAGTCAACAAAAATATATTCTGGGGAAATGACACCCTATAAATAAGTGGTGCCAGTAAAATTGGATAAACACATATGGGATAATAAAACTGGACCCATACCTCTCAAAATATACAAAAATAAACTCAATATGGATCAAAGACCAAAGTGTAAGACCTGAAACCACAGAAATCCTAGAAGAAAACTTAGGAAAAACCCTTCCAGACATTGGTCTAGGCAAAGAATTAATGACCAAGTCCTCAAAAGCAAATGCAATAAAAATAAACAGACGAGATAATTTAACTAAAAAGTTTCTGCACAGCAAAAGAAATAATTAATAAAGTAAACAGACAACCTATAAAGTGGGAAAATATATTTGCAAACTATGCATCCAACAAAGCGCTTACATCCAGAATCTACAAGGAACTCTAACAACAAAACAACAAGAAACAACCCCATTAAAAAGCGGGCAAAGGATACAAACAGACATTTTTCAAAAGAGTACCTACAAGCAGTCAACAAACATGAAAAATGCTCAATATTTCTAATCATCAGAGAAATAAAAATTAAAATAGTAAAATACAATCTTATACCAGTCAGAATGGCTATTACTAAAAAGTCAAAAAAAACAAAACAGATGTTGATGAGGATGTGAAGAAAAGGTAATGCTTATATACTGTTGGTAGAAATGTAAATAAGTACAACCTCTACGGAAAACAATAAGGAGATTTCTCAAAGAACTAATAACAGAACTACCATTTGATCCAATTCCATTACTGGGTATATACCCAAAGGAAAAGAAATCAGTATATCAAAAATATACCTGCACTCATGTTTATCACAGACCTATTCACAATTGCAAAAAAAGAAATAAACATACATGTCCATCAGCGGAGAACTGGATATAGAAAATACTACTCAGCCATAAAATCATGTCTTTTGCAGCAACACTGATGGTATTGAAGCCCATTATCTTAAGTGAAAAACTCAGAAACAGAAAGTCAAATACTGCATGCCATCACTTGTAAATGAGAGCTAAACAATTGATACATATGGACATACAGAGTGAAATAATACGCATTGGAGACTACAAAAGATAGGAGGGTGGGAGAGAGGTGATGGTTGAAAATTTACCTATTGGGTACAGTGATCACTATTAAGGTGACGGGTACACTAAAAGCCCAGTCTACCCAACAGTATGCAATATATGCATGTAAGAAATCTGCACTTGTACCTACTAAAGAAATGAAAAATAAAAATTAAAAAGTATAACAAGTACAACTATGTAAGGTACATAATCTTTTATGGTGATTGGAGGCTCCCATTGAAAAAAAAACATAAGCCAGGATTCTGCTCCAAGACAGCCGAATAGGAACAGCTCCCGTCTGCAGCTCCCAGCATGATCAATGCAGAAGATGGCAATTTCTGCATTTCCAACTGAGGTACCTGGTTCATCTTACTGGGACTGGTTGGACAGTGGATGCAGCCCATGGAGGGTGAGCCAAAGCAGGGTGGTGCATCACCTTACCTGGGAAGTGCAAGGGGTCAGGGGATTTCCCTTTCCCAGCCAAGGGAAGCCAAGTCAGACTGAACCTAGAAAATCCGGACACCCTCACACAAATACTGTGCTTTACCTACAGTCTTAGCAAATGGCACACCCAGAGATTATATCTCGCACCTGGCTTGGCAGGACCCACACCCACAGAGCCTTGCTCACTGCTACAGCAGCAGTCTGAGATCGACCTGTGAGGCAGCAGTCTGGCAGTGGGAGAGGTGTCCGCCATTGCTCAGGCGTGAGTAGGTAAACAAAGTGGCCTGGGAAGCTTGAACGGGGCAGAGCCCACCGCAGCTCTGCAAGGCCTGCTGCCTCTGTAGACCCCACCTCTGGGGGTGGGGAATAGCTAAACAAAAGACAGCAGAAACTTCTGCAGACTTAAATATCCCTGTCTGACAGCTCTGAAGAGAGAAGTGGTTCTCCCAGCATGGTGTTTGAGCTCTGAGAATGGATAGACTGCCTCCTCAAGTGGGTCCCTGACACGCATGTAGCCAAACTG